>NC_000011.10:10060000-10685000 GCF_000001405.40 Homo sapiens
AGCTAGCAGAAGACGAGAAATAACAAAAATCAGAGCTAAACTGAAGGACACTGAGACACAAAAAGTCATTCAGAGGATCAATAATCCAGGAATTGGCTTTTTGAAAACAATTAATAAAACAGGCCAATAGCTAGACTAATTACGAAGAAAAGAGAGAAAACCCAAATAAACAGAATTAGAAATGGCAAAGGGGATGTTACTACTGAACCCACAGAAACAAAAATAACCATCAGAAACTACTATGAACACCCCTCCGCACACAAAAACTAGAAAACCTTGAAGAGATTAATAAATTCCTGGACACATATACCCTCCCAAGACTAAGCCAGGAAGAAACTGAATCTCTGAACAGACTACTAACAAGCTCCGAAACTGAATCAGTAATAAATAGCCTACCAACCAAAGAAAAGCCCAGGAACTGACGGATTCACAGCTGAATTCTACCAGGTGTACAAAGAAGAGCTAGTAATATTCCTATAGAAACTATTCCCAAAAATTGAGGAGGAAGGACTTCTTCTTAACTCATTCTAGGAGGCCAGCATCATCCTGATACCTAAACTTGGCAGAGACACAACAGAGAAAGAAAACCTCAGGCCAATACCCTTGATGAACATCAATGCAAAAATCCTCAACAAAATACTTGCAAACTGAGTCCAGCAGCACATCAAAAAGCTAACCCACCATGACCAAGTAGGCTTCATCCCTGGGATGCAAAGTTGGTTCAACATATAAAAATCTGTAAACGTGGCCAGGTGCGGTGGCTCATGCCTGTAATCCCAGCACTTTGGGAGGCCGAGGCAGGAGGATCACGAGGTTAGGCGATCGAGACCATCCTGGCTAACACGGTTAAACCCTGTCTCTACTAAAAATACAAAAAATTAGCCAGGCGTGGTAGTGGGCACCTGTAGTCCCAGCTACTCCGGAGGCTGAGGCAGGAGAATAGTGTGAACCTGGAAGGTGGAGCTTGCAGTAGGCTGAGATCGTGCCACTACATTCCAGCCTGAGCAACAGAGCGAGACTCCATCTCAAAAAAAAATAAATAAATAAACAAATAAATCTGTAAATGTGATTCATAATATAAACAGAACTAAAGACAAAAACCACATAATTATATCACTAGATGCAGAAAGGGCCTTTGATAAAATTAAATATCCCTTCACGTTAAGAACTCTTAACAAACTACATATTGAAGGAACATACCTCAAAATAATAAGAGCCATCTATGACAAACTCACAGCCCACATTATACAGAATGGTCAAAATCTGGAAGCACTCCCCTTGAAAACTGGCACAAGACAAGGATGCCCTCTCTCACCACTTAATATTGGAATTCCCAGCCAGAGCAATCAGGCAAGAGAAAGAAATAAAGGACATCCAAATAGGAAGAGAGGAAGTCAAACTATATCTGTTTGCAGATGACATGATTCTATATCTAGAAAACCCCAGGCTCAGCCCAAAAGCTCCTTCAGCTGATAAACAACTTCAGCAAAGTTGCAGGATACAAAATCAATATACGAAAATCACTAGCATTCCTATACACCAACAACAACGAAACCGAGAGCCAAATCAGAAAGGCAACCCATTCACAATTCCCACACATAAAATAATAAAATACACAGGAATACAGTTAACCAGGAAGGTGAAAGATCTCTACAATGAGAATTACAAAACACTGCTCGAAGAAATCAGAGTAGACACAAACAAATGGAAAAACATCCCATGCTCATGTATAGGAAGAATCAATATCATTAAAATGGCTACCTTGCCCAAAGCCATTTACAGACTCAATGCTATTCCTATCAAACTACCAATGACATTCTTCACAGGACTAGAAAAAACTATTTTAAAATTTATATGGAACCAAAAAAGAGTCTGTATAGCCAAGGCAAATCTCAGCAAAAAGAGCAAAGCTGGAGGAATCATGTTACCTGACTTCAAACTATAGTGCAAGGCTACAGTAACCAAAAATAGCATGGTACTGGTACAAGCACAGACACACAGACCAATGGAAGAGACCAATAGAGAGCCCAGAAATAAGGCCACACATCTATGGCCATCTGATCTTTGACAACGCTGACAAAAACTAGCAATGGAGAAAAGACTCCCTAAATGGTACTGGGATAACTGGCTAGCCATATGCAGAATACTGAAGCTGGACCCCTTCCTCACACCATATACAAAAATCAACTCATGATGAATTAAAGACTTAAATGTAAAACCCAAAACTATAAATACCCTGGAAGACAACCTAGGTAATACCCTCATGGATCTAGGAATAGGCAAAGATTTCATGACGAAGTCACCAAAACCAATTGTAACAGAACCAAAAATTGACAAATGGGGTCTAATTTAACTTAGGAACTTCCGCACAGCAAAAGAAACTATCAACAGAGTAAAGAGAAGCCTACAGACTGGGAGAAAATTTATGCAAACTATGCATCTGACAAAGGTCCAATATCCAGAATCTATAAGGAACTTAAACAAATTTATAAGAGAAGAACAAACAACCTCATTAAAAAGTGGGCAAAGGACATGAACAGACCATTTTAAAAAAAGACATACATGTGGCCAATAAGCATATGGAAACAAGCTCAATATCACTGATCATTAGAGAAATGCAAATCAAAACCACAATGAGATACCATTTCACACCAGTCAGAACGGCTATATTAAAAATTCAAAAAATAACAGATGCTGGCAAGGTTGTGGAGAAAAGAGAACCCTTATACACTGTTGGTGGGAGTGTAAATTAGTTCAACCATTTTGGAAAGCAGTACGGTGATTCCTCAAAGAGCTAAAAGCAGAACTACCATTTGACTCAGCAATCTCGTTACTGAGTATATACCCAAAGGAATATAAAGCATTCTACCATAAAGACCCAGACACGTGAATGTTCACTGCAGCACTGTTCACAACAGCAAAGACATGGAATCAACCTAAATGCTCATCAATGACAGACAGGATAAAGAAAATGTGGTACATATACACATGGAATATCATGCAGCCATAAAAAAGAAAGAGATCATGTCTTTTGCCGGACCATGGATGGAGCTACAGGCTATCATCCTTAGCAAACTAATGCAGGAACAGAAAGGCAAATACCGCATGTTCTCACTTATAAGAACATATGAACACAAAGAAGGAAATAACAGACACTGGGGTCTACTTGACAGGGGAGGGTGGAAGAAGGGAGAAGAACAGAAAAGATAACTATTGGGTACTTGGCTTAATAACTTGGTAATGTAATAATATGTACAACAAACCCCCGACACATGTTTATCTATGTAACAAACCTTCACATGTACCCTCTAACCTAAAGTAAAAAAAATATATATATATATATATTTTTTTAATTTTTTTATTTTATTTTTTTTTGAGACAGAGTCTTGCTCTGTCGCCCAGGCTGGAGTGCAGTGGCGTGATCTCGGCTCACTGCAAGCCCTGCCTCCTAGGTTCACGCCATTCTCCTGCCTCAGCCTCCCGAGTAGCTGGGACTACAGATGCCCTGCACCACGCCCAGCTATTTCTTTGTATTTTTTAGTAGAGACGGGTTTCATCATGTTAGCCAGGATGGTCTCGATCTCCTGACCTCATGATCTGCCTGAGTCGGCCTCCCAAAGTGCTGGGATTACAGACGTGAGCCACCGCGCCTGGCCAAAAATTTTTTAAAAGTTAGAAATTATAATATAAAAAAACTCAAACTACTGAAGACAAAAACCATAATGTCTGAGATAAAAGACAAATCAAATGATATTCACAACAGATTAGATGCTATGGAAGAAAAGACTAGTAAACTTAAGTTTACACCAATAAAAATTATCTAAAATAAAACACACACACACACACACACACACACACAGAGAGAGAGAGAGAGAGAGAGAAAACGAAAAGAGAATCAGTGAGCTGTAAGAGAACTTCAAGTGGCCTAAAATATAAGTAACAGGAATTAAGGCGTCGGGGGGAGCAAAAATATTTTAAGAAATAATGGCAAAACTAATACCAGATGCAAATATGACTGCATAAAACAATGAAGAATACCAGATGGAGTAACTACATGGGTAAATGCATAAGATTTTTTTTATTATTTAAATATCTTTTAAAGATGATTGACTATATAAATAAAAATAACACTGCAGCATGGGGTTTATAGCATATATAAAACTACAATATATGTCAACAATAGCACAAAATTTGGGAAGGGAGAAATGAAAGAGTACTCTTGCTGTATAGTTCTTATACTATAGGAAAAGTGATACAGTATCACTTGAAAGTAGAATATACAAATTAAAGATTGCATAAGTTAAACAAGGATTGTTTAAGCCCAAAAGTAACCACTAAAATGAAAATACAGTGAGTTGTAACTAATAAGCCAACAAAGGACTTAACCTAAAAGAAGGCTGAAAAATAAAGGGTAAAAAGGACCAATGGAATGAACAGAAAACAGTAAAATAATAGATTCCAGCCTAACCATATTAGTCATCACATTAAATAGATTTTAAGACCACGTAAAAAAGCAAGACCCAACTACATACTGTGTACAAGAAACATTTTAAATACAAAGACTCGAAAAGGTTAAAAGAAAAAGGAGGGGAAACAGATATATTATGCTACCATTAAATAAATAAAGCTAAAGTGGCTACATTAATATCAACGTAGATTTCAGAAATTTTTTTTAAACAGGAAGAAGACATTTTATAATGATATATGGGCCAATTAATCAAGAGAACATAAAATCCTAAACATTTTTGTACATAATAAAGATCTTTGAACTATGTGAAACAAATCTGATAGAACAGCAAGAGGGAAGAGGCAAATATCCTCTATTTCAGTCAAAGATTTCAAAACCCCCTCTCAATAACAGATAGAACGAATAGAAAAATAGTGAGGATATAGACGATCTGAACAATCTGTCAATCAACTTGACCTATTTGATGTTTATAGAACACTCCACACAGCAGCAGCAGAATATGCATTCTTCTCAAGTACATCTGAATTAGTTGCCAAACCAGACCATATACTGGGCCACTAAGTAAGCCACAATAAAATTAAAATGATTTAAACAATATAAAATATGTTCTCATGTCAAAGGGAATTAAATTAGAAATGAAAAACAGAAATATCTCTTGAAAAATCATAAATTTAAAAACTAAATGCATACCTAAATAACTCATAAACCAAAGAAGAAGTCAAAAGAAAAAATGGAAATTATTCAGAACTAAATGAAAATGAAAACAACCTATAAAAATTTGTAGGATGCTACTAAAGTAGTATGTAAGGGGAAATTTATAGCACTAAACACTTAAAATGTTATAGAAAGCTTCAATCGATGAACTCAGTTTCCACCTTAAGAAATCAGATGAAGAGAAAGTTAAATCAAAGTAAATAAACAAGAAAAGATAATAGGGATAAAAACAGAAATCAATAAAATAAAAAGTAGACACAGTAATAAAAAATCAACTAAAGCAAAAGTTTGTTCTTTGAGATAAAAAAAACTTTAGCCACACTGATCACACACAGAGAAAAAAATGTTAATATTTGGAATAAGATGATATCACTAGAATTTCTATAGCTATTAAAAGGATCATAAGGGAATATTATGAAAAACATCCTATAAATAAACTTGACAACTTAGACGAAATAAAGAAATTCTCTAAAAGACACAAACTACTGGCCAGGCACAGTGACGCACGCCTGTAATCCCAGCACTTTGGGAGGCCAAGGCAGGTGGATCACTTGAGGTCAGGAGTTCGAGACCAGCTTAACATGGTGAAACCCCGTCTCTACTAAAAATACAAAAACTAGCCAGGTGTGACGGTGCATGTCTGTAATCCCAGCTACTCAGGAGGCTGAGGCAGGAGAATCCTTGAACCCAGGGGGTGGAAGTTGCAGTGAGCCAAGATCGCGCCATTGCACTCCAGCCTGGGCAAGAAGAACAAAACTCCTTCTCAAACAACAAACAAACAAACAAACAAAAAACCAGACAAACTACCAAACCTCACTCATGAAGACATAACCTGAATAACCCTATATCCATTGAAGAAAATAAAACTATAGTTAAAAAACTTTCCACAAAAACAAAAACAAAAAACCCTACAGTTCCAGATGGCTTCACTGGTAAATTCTACTAAACATTAAAGGTTTTTTCCTTAAAAAAATAACAGCAATTCTACCCAAACTCTTCTAAAAAAACGGAAAAATATAGAATACTTTCCAACCCATTTTATAAGGCCGACATTACCAATACCAAAACTTGATAAAGACATTACAAGAAAACTACAGTTCAATATCCCTCATGAACACAGTTGTAAAAATACTAAATATCTATATATCTATATATCTATATCTATATATATATATCTTTTATTTTAGCAAATTGAATCCAACCATGTAATAAAAGGCTAACATATCATGACCAAGCGGGGTTTAACACAGGAATACAGGGTTGATTTACATTTGAAAAGCAATCAACAGAATTCATTTTAACATGTTTACATAAAAAAGAAACAAACTAAGAAAAATGATATGATCATTTCAATACAAACAGAAAACGCATTTGACAAAAGTGAGCAAACACTTCTGTTAAAAACTCTGAGTACACTAGGAGAAAAACCAGATTTCCTTAACCTAATAAAGAGCATTGATGTGAAATCCACAGCTAACATCATACTTAATGTTGAAAAACCGAATGCTTTTCCACTAAGATCAGAAACAAGATAGGCACGTCTTCTATCACCACTTGTATTCAACTTTGTGCTCCAGGTTCTAGCCTGGGCAATCAAGCAAAAAAAAGGAAGGAACCCGATTGCTGAAAATCTACAGAGAAAAATCTACAAAGAGTGGACTCTACAAAGAGTGTCTAGAACAAATAAGTTTAGCAAGGTAGTAGAACACATGATCAATATATAAAAATCAATTACATTTCTTCCTATTAGCAATGAGCAAACCAGAAATTTAAATTAAAATGTCATTTATAAAAGCATCAAGAATATGAACTAGGCTAGGTATGGTGGCTCACACCTGTAATCCCAGCATTTTGGGAGTGTGAAATGGGAAGACTGCTTGAGGCCAGGAGATTGAGACCAGCCTGGGCAACACAGTGGGACCCTGACTCTGTTTTTTTTAAAATGAATTACTTAGGGATACATATGTCAAAAGATGTGAAAGAGCTGGACAATGAAAATTACAAAACACTGCTGAGGAAAACTAAATAAGACCCAAACAAATAGGAAGATGTATATTGTTGAAGGGCTGGCCAACTTGATATTGTCAAGATGTCAATTCTTCTACAAGTCAATCTATGTTTGAATAAATCTACAGATTTGATGCAATCCCAGTCCAAGTGTCACCAGGTTTTTTGGTTGTGTGTTTGTTTTTTTGAGGGGGAGGGGGAAAGTGAGGACAGTAGAAGTTGTAAAACTGAGTTTGAAATTCCAGTGAAAATGTAAAGGACCTAGAATGCCAAAACAACTCTGAAACAGACTAAATTGGAGAAGTAACACTACCTGATTCCAAGAATTGTGGTAAAGCAACATTAACCAAAAAAACAAAAACAAAAACAAAAACAAAACAAAAAAATGCCCAGCATAGTACTAGAGTAAAGAAATGGAAATAAGGTCTGGTGTGGTGACTCACACCTATAATCTCAGCACCATGGGAGGCCAAGGCAGAAGGATTGCTTGAGTCCAGTAGTTTGAGACCAACCTGGGCAACATAGGGAGACCCTGTCTCTATAAAAAATAACGACAACCAAAAAACAAAAACTTAGCTGTCTGTGCATCCAGCTCGAGAGGCTGAGGTGGGAGGATCAATTGAGCCCAAAAGGTTGAAGCTGCAGTAAGCTATTATCATGCCACTGAACTCCAGCCTGGCAACAAAATGATACCCCTCCCCCGAATAAAAAAAAGAAATGCAAACAGACAAATAAAACAAAACACAGAAACCCACACATAGAAGGACAACTGATCCCTTTCCATTAATAAGAAACTTTAACACTTGCTCAAGAAAAGTGTAACTATTGTTAGGTGTTCTTAAAGCAGGGGATAATGAAATCATGAAATGAAGCAATGTGTTAATGGAGAAGGTCCCTCTGCTGCAGGCAGCAGAAATTCTCCCTGCAAATTGGATTACCTGATCTATTGCTGCTTGCAAACTGCCAGCTGCAAACCTAGCATAGCACCCACATGGTTAAATTTTACTTTACATGTATTTATACAGTATTAAGTGCTTCCTTAAGTGATTTTTTAAAATAAATCATAGGCAATTGAGTTCTGATTACAACTCACCCTTTCCTGAATCCTCATTTTGGTCAGTTTGAGAAACAAGGTGCTTTTCTGTTTGAATCCAAGGTCTAGCCCTCTGGCTAAGGGTCCTACATACCACTGACCTGACCATTTTAACCACTTTCAGAGCTGTGACTTTAGAAATACTGTTTTCCTATTTCTTACCCATTCTCATTATTCAGACTCTAGCACTGTGTTTAAGACTTGGGATTCTAGAATAAAAGACATATTCAAATTTCAGACTTGCTATTTACTTAGCTGTGTGGGCTCTCCACAATCCTTTAATTAATAAAATCTTAATGAAAATACTGTGATATACCTTACGTAGCTTTTATAAAAAACTATTTTATGCACCTAAAATGTTTAACATAGTACCTAGCAAAGAGTAAATATTTAATAAATAGTAGCTATTGTATTATCATTATTACTAATATTATTACCGACTCAGCCCCCGTCACCCCTTTCAAAATAATGTCAACTTGATTCTTCTCTACCTCAAAACTTGAATCAATTCACAGCATTGTTGCCCTCAAGGAGCTGATGAATGAAAATACATACTGATTATTTTGAATTCTTTAAACAATTAAAATATGAATATATTTTTATTGCCGAAAGCCCAAACAATACAGAAATTTGTAGAGAAATCATTCAAATTCTTGCTGCCCAACCAAATGATGTGGGGCACTCTACCCCTCACTTCCAGCCATATTAATCATTATTAATTGCTTTATGTGTTTCCTTCCAAATATTTTTGTATGCATTTACCTACATATGTATGTGTGCATATAAATATTCAGGCATAATTTGAATAGTACAATGAAACCCATTTACCCTTATTTAGATACACTAATTGTCAATAATTCACCACATAAAAATAACTAATTTTGATTTTTTTATATTCTACTTTAAGTTCTAGGGTACATGTGCACAACGTGCAGGTTTGTTACATAGGTATACATGTGCCATGTTGGTTTGCTGCACCCATCAACTCATCATTTATATTAGGTATTTCTCCTAATGCTATCCTCCCCTCCCCCCACCCCCCAACAGGCCCCAGGGTGTGATGTTCCCCACCCTATTCCAAGTGTTCTCATTGTTCAATTCCCACCTATGAGTGAGAACATGTGGTGTTTGGTTTTCTGTCTTTGTTACAGTTTGCTAAGAACGATGGTTTCTAACTTCATCCATGTACCTGCAAAGGACATGAACTCATCCTTTTTTATGGCTGCATAGTATTCTATGGTGTATATGTGCCACATTTTCTTTATCCAGTCTATCATTGATGGGCATTTGGGTTGGCTCCAAGACTTTGCTGCTGTGAACAGTGCTGCAATAAACATACATGTGCATGTGTCTTTATATTAGAATGATTGATAATCCTTTGGGTATATACCCAGTAATGGGATTGCTGGGTCAAATGGTATTTCTAGTTCTAGATCCTTGAGGAATCACCAAACTGTCTTCCACAATGGCTGAACTAATTTATACTCCCACCAACAGTGTAAAAGCATTCCTATTTCTCCACATCCTCTCCAGCATCTGTTGTTTCCTGACTTTTTAATGATCGCCATTCTAACTGGTGTGAGATGGTATCTCATTGTGGTTTTGATTTGCATTTCTCTGATGACCAATGATGATGAGCATTTTTTCATGTGTCTGTTGGCTGCATAAATGTCTTCTTTTGAGAAGTGTCTGTTCATATCCTTTGCCCACTTGTTGATGGGGTTGTTTTTTTCTTGTAAATTTGTTTAAGTTCTTTGTAGATTCTGGATATTAGCCCTTTGTCAGATGGGTAGACTGCAAAATTTTTCTCCCATTCTGTAGGTTGCCTGTTCACTCTGATGGTAGTTTCTTTTGCTGGGCAGAAGCTCTTTAGTTTAATTAGATCCCATTTGTCAATTTTGGCTTTTGTTGCCATTGCTTTTGGTGTTTTAGCCATGAAGTCCTCGCCCATGCCTATGTCGTAAATGGTACTGCCTAGGTTTTTCTTCTAGGGTTTTTATGGTTTTATGTCTAACATTTAAGTCTTTAATCCATCTTGAATTAATTTTTGTTATAAGATGTAAGGAAGGGATCCAGTTTCAGTTTTCTACATATGGCTAGCCAGTTTTCCCAACACCATTTATTAAATAGGGAATCCTTTCCCCACTTCTTGTTTTTGCCAGGTTTGTCACAGATCAGATGGTTGTAGGTGTGTGGTGTTATTTCTGAAGGCTTTGTTCTGTTCCATTGGTGTATATATGTGGTTTGGTACCAGCACCATGCTGTTTTGGTTACTATAGCCTTGTAGTATAGTTTGAAGTCAGGTAGCATGATGCCTCCAGCTTTGTTCATTTTGCTTAGAATTGTCTTGGCAATGTGGGCTCTTTTTTGGTTCCATATGAACTTTAAAATAGTTTTTTTCCAATTCTGTGAAGAAAGTCATTGGTAGCTTGATGGGGATGGAATTGAATCTATAGATTACTTTGGGCCATATGGCCATTTTCACGGTATTGATTCTTCCTATCCATGAGCATGGAATGTTTTTCCATTTGTTTGTGTCCTCTTTTATTTCGTTGAGCAGTGGTTTGTAGTTCTCCCTGAAGAAGTCCTTCACATCCCTTGTAAACTGGATTCCCAGGTATTTTATTCTCTTTGTAGCAATTGTGAATGGGGGTTCACTCATGGTTTGGCTCTCTGTTTGTCTGTTATTGGTGTATAGGAATGCTTGTGATTTTTGCACACTGATTTTGTTTCCTGAGACACTGCTGAAGCTGCCTATCAGCTTAAGGAGGTTTTGGGCTGAGACGATGGTGTTTTCTAAATATACAATATTGTAATCCACAAACAGAGACAATTTGACTTCCTCTCTTCCAAATTGAATACCCTTTATTTCTTTCTCTTGCCTGATTGCCCTGGCTGGAACCTCCAACACTAAGTTGAATAGAAGTGGTGAGAGAGGGCATCCTTGTCTTGTGCCGGTTTTCTCTTTTTTTCTCTCTCTCTCTTTTTTTTTTTTTTTTTTTGAGAGGGAGTCTCACTCTGTCACCCAGGCTGGAGTGTGGTGGCGTGATCTGAGCTCACGGCAAGCTCTGCCTCCCAGGTTCACACCATTCTCCTGCTTCAGCCTCCAGAGTACCTGGGACTACAAGCGCCCGCAACCACGCCTGGCTAATTTTTTGTATTTTTCATAGAGATGGGGTTTCACCATGTTAGCCAGGATGGTCTTGATTTCCCAACCTCGTGATCCACCTGCCTCGGCCTCCCAAAGTGCTGGGATTACAGGTGTGAGCCGCCGTGCCCGGCCATTGTGCCAGTTTTCAAAGGGAATGCTTCCAGTTTTTGCCCATTCAGTATGATATTGGCTGTGGGTTTGTCATAAACAGCTCTTATTATTTTGAGATACATTCCATCAATATCTAGTTTATTGAGAGTTTTTAGCATGAAGGGCTGTTGAATTTTGCTGAAGGCCTTTTTTGCATCTATTGAGATAATCATGTGGTTTTTCTCACTGGGTCTGTTTATGTTATGGATTACGTTTATTGATTTGCATATGTTGAACCAGCCTTGCATCTCAGGGATGAAGCTGACTTGATCATGGTGGATAAGCTTTTTGATGTGCTGCTGGATTTGGTTTGCCAGTATTTTATTGAGGATTTTCGCATCAATACAGAAATTTGTAGGGAAATCATTCAAGTTTTTGCCGCCCAACCCAATGATGTGGGGCACTCCACCCTTCACCTCCAGCCATATTAATCATTATTAATTGCTTTATGTGTTTCCTTCCAAATATTTTTTGTATGCATTTACATACACATGTATGTGTGCATATAAATATTCAGGCATAATTTGAATAGTACAATGAAACCCATTTACCCTTACCTAGATTCACTAATTGCCAAATAAGTCACCACATAAAAATACCTAATTTTGACTTTTAACCAAAATATCTTTTATATCTTATATAGCCTTTAAGGTAGATATTAAGACTATAGTTCCTAAAGCCAAAACTTCACAAACGGTTTCTAAGAAAACATGACTCATATCAAGGATTTGTATATTTTAAGGGAAATTTAAGATTCTAGTCAGCACAAAGTGTTGACATTTCAAAATCTCTCAGGCCCAACAACCTACTCACTTCTTGAAGCTCACTACCTTTTAAGAGTCAGAAATCTTATGTATAATGACTCAGGAAACAGTTGAAGATATACTTCTATTTTTTTTTTCAATTAAAATTGACAAATAGTAATAATTCTTTGATTTTTAAGAATAAATGTAAAAGTACTTAAATAGAGGAAATAAGGTGAGTTCCATTTCAATTCCTTTTCCTTTCTTGTAAATTATAAACGTTGGAATTTTACTAATTTCCTGGACAACAAATAGAAGGAATGCTATCATTTGGGGCTTTTCCACTAATGGCTGCATTACTATGTTCTCAAAAAACAAAAAAATCCAGTGGAATCTTTTTTTTTTTTCTTTTTTTTTTTTTTGGAGACAGGGTCTCATTCTGTTGCCCAGGCTGGAGTGCAGTGGCACCATCTCAGATCACTGCTGCCTCGCCCTCCCAGGGTCAAGCAATCATGATCCTGTCAAGTAGCTAGGACTACAGATGCATGACACCACATATGGCTAATTATTATTATTATTATTATTATCATCATCATCATCATCATTATTTTTGGTAAAGACAGGTTTCACTTTTTTGCCCAGTCTGGTTTTGAACCCCCGGGCTCAAGCAATCCGCCTGCCTTGGCATCCCAAAGTGCTGGGATTCCAGGTGTGAGTCATCGCACCCAGTGGTTATCTTGCTTTCAATTGACTCCTTCAAAAGGCCAATATATAATGTGATCTGAGTAATGGGATGTATTGCAATATGGGATCTACAGGGTTGCTGTGAATATGAAGTGCTTAGAATTCTGCCTAGCAGGTAAGTAATCAATAAAGGCTTATCTGAAGAGAAATAAAGTAAGCTTTTACTTACAATGAGTTATAGTTATGTGTTTCCTATATCCCTTGTAAAGTTGAAGTAAAAATTATTAAAATTATTTTCATTTTAAAATTATTAAAATTTTCAAATTCCTTATTAAATTGAAATTAAGGAAGAGCAATTTCCTTAACAAATTATATGGAAGAAAATCAAAGAAGAAACTATAGATTAAGAAAGATTTAAGTGGCCCAGCACAGTGGCTTGCACCTGTAATCTCAGCACTTTGGAAGGGCCAGGCGGGCAGATCACTTGAGGTCAGGAGTTTGAGACCAGCCTGGCCTACATGGCGAAACACTGTCTGTCTCTACTAATAATACAAAAACTAGCTGGGTGTGGTGGCATGCACCTGTAGTCCCAGCTACTCAGGAGGCTGAGGCATGAGAATTGCCTGAAACTGGGAGGCAGAGGTTGCAGTGAGCCAAGATTGTGAGATCGCACTACTGCACTCTAGCCTGGGAGACAGAGTGCGGCTCCAACTCAAAAAAACAAAAAAAAAGATTTAGGAGACCTATCAACCAAATGCATATGTAGACCTTGTTTGGATGTGAATTCAAACAAACCAACTGTGAAAAGATAGTAAATGAGCAATATACACACTTACATACTACAAGTGGGGAAATATAAAGACTGCAGATGGTTGGTGATATTATTACTTATGTTTTAGGTATGATAAATGACACTGTGGTTGTGTTAAGAAAAAAGAGGTCTTTTAGAAGTACTCTAATATTTATGAACAAAGTGATATGAAGTTGAATCAAATGTAATTATCATTTTATAGGTGAAAATAAATGGATGTAGACAATTTCGTATGATTCAATTAATACAATATTTGTAGTTTGCTTCACAATAATCCAATTAGAAGGGTTTGAGGCCAGTAGGTAGACAGGTATAATAGAGCGGGAAAGAAAGAGTGACCCAGAGTTAACGATTGCTGTAGTTGTATGATGAGTACATGGGAGTTCATTGTTCTCTATTTTTATCTTTTAATTTTTCTATGTTTTTAACAAGAAAACCAAGAGAACCCTACCTTATACAACTGTGCCTTGCCTAATGCTTATTAGCACTATATTTGATAAATAATAAATACCAAAAACATAGATGTTGAACATGTTTGAATCAATATTCTCAGAAAGGTCCATTTATAAGAAATGATGAATTCACAAAAACTCAGCCAGCAAAGGAAGATCAAATGGAAAGACAAAAATTAGAAACAAAATGTTCTTCGAATTTTATAAAACTCTCACATGTGACTGACTGACTTTTCATTCTGCAGATTTTATTATCTCTCAAAGTTATCTCTCAAAGTCTGTGATAGCTATATATTCATCTTTTGCTTATTTTAAGTGTTTTATATTATTTTACTTAGGCTGATTAAAAAATATTTGCACTGAACTCCATTACCTATCTCTGTTTATTAAGTTTAGATGTAGTTATAGACTAGGGAGAACAGAGAAAATTGAAAATGTGTACATTAGATTCCCCAGAGTAATTTTGTTTTTGGTTTTTACATCAGACACACACAATTTTAAATACAAGTTTATCCATCTGAAAAGAGATTTCTTGCTTATAGCCAGGTCAATTTTGTTTACACATATATTAAATACAATTTGCTAAATATAGCCAATGTTAATAAGAATAGATTCATTTTACCCTCTGTATGTCTGGAATGGTTAAGATATAATAGTTTAAAAGTTACAGAAAAATATATTAATGTTTCCTTAATATTAGGGAGAACGTGTTAACATTTAAAGCTGTCAAACAATGGAATAAACTATGTCCTAGAGAATGAGAACCCCTTACTTCACAAATTAAACCAGAAGTTGGATGGCAATTTATCAGATATACTGAAAAAGAGATTCACAGAGAAGGCTAAAACTTGATAATCTCATGGCCTGTGCCACCAGACAGACAAGAATCTTGATCTGACTCTTAACTTAGGTTATAATTTTGGTAAATTACCTAATTTCTCTAAACCTCAGTTTTCCTTGAACACAAAATACATCATTACTGTCAAGATTAAGTGATATCATGCATGTAAACTGGTTAGCATTCTGCCTCAGACATTGTAAGTGATTAATAAACACTGTTATAGAATTATGACCAGTCACACAATCAGTACTCAAGTAATGAGTAACATCTTCACTACTACTGCTATTGCTATGTAAGAGAATAATAGGTAGTTGATATGGTTTGGTTCTGTGTCCCCACCCAAATCTTATGTTGAATCGTGATCCCAAGTGTTGAAGGTGGGGCCTGGTGAAAGGTGATTGGATCATCGGGGCAGATTTCCCCCTTGCTGTTCTTATGATAGTGAATGAGTTCTCATGAAATCTGGTAGTTTAAAAGTGTATAGCACTTTCCCCTTCATTTGCTGTCTCTCCTGCCACCATGTGAAAACATGCTTGCTTCCTCTTTGCCCTTCTGCCATGATTGTAAGTTTCCTGAGGCCTCTCTGCCATGCCTCCTGTACAGCCAGACTGTGGAACTGTGAGTCAATTAAACCTCTTTTCTTTATAAATTACCGGTCTTGGGTAGTTCTTTATAGCAGTGTGAGAACAGACTAACACAGTAATTGATGAATGCAACAGAGGACACCTCTAGCCTGAGACATAAAGGATGGGATCGTAGAGGAAACAGAAAACCATTTCTGGTAGTTTTTTTTTTTTTCTGCGAGTTGGCAAATTAGAGGCTTTGTTACCATAGCTCACCCACTCAGAAATAGCAAAATAGCATGTACAGATTCACATGGTGAACTTTCATCCAAGAAGAAACATGAGAGCTAAATATAAAAGCAAAAGAATAATTGAATACTTTGAAAAATACAGTGGGCATTAGGCTACGCTGTGGATCTGTGGTGGAAAACTGTGAGTGAATCACCAGTGTATGACGGGGGAGAGAGTATCTTACAATACATATTTCTACTAAGGAACGAGGCAATCCAGGCCACTGGGGAGCTCCGTGACCCTACTGAGAGCTAGATCTTAAGTTGGAGAACAGGGAGACTGTAAGAAGGAATGGCAGTAGAAAGTGCTCCATATGCACTCCCGTCTCCAACTACTGACAGAAGGCCATTCTTGATCCAACTAAGGGGGCTGCACGAAAACCAGCCAGCCAGCACAGGTGGCAGACACTGGTTTGGAGAATCTTCAGATCAGGACTTGCAATCCAGTCTCTAGTGGGACAGGAGCCCCTATGGCCAGAACTGAGAGGTGAGAATATGTGGGCTCCAGCTTTGGGTACAGGAGTTGGGCACTACCCGTTTGCAGCATGGGACCAGGAGGGGTGTGGCCTGGGAGCCATGTTTTTGTCTCAGGGAGGGAGCTTTGAGACCTGGGGCGATGTTACAATCTGAAGAAAGACTGCTTATAACTTGGCTGGCTGTATTAGCATACCACTGGCAGCAGGCCATGGGAGGGAGCCCTGCCAGGCTGAAAGCATGGACTTCAGGCAGGTCCCACTACTGCCTGCTAGGCTGTGGAACCAAAACTACCCTTCTGTCCCTGTATTGGCTCTTTGACACAGCACCAGTTGCTCTGCTCCTCCCTCGAGCATTGCCCCAGGGGCCTGAGAACTGCTTTCTGATCCTCCTTGGGGACAGCACTTGTGCTTGGTGTTGGGGATGCCGGAGCATGGGACTGTCCAGCCTAGCCCCATTTGGCCTTGCCTCCATCAACCTGCATCTGAGGAAGAGCTTGGGAACAGGGCCCCTGGGAGTTCCACAGCCTAGTCCATCACCTAAGACATCAGAGTACCTCTGGTTAACAAAGGTCAAGCATATTGCCACCACCTCAGCTGGATCTCGCATGCTAGCGCCACCTACTGGCTGCAAGGCCAACCTGCAGAGCTTATTACATTATCTGTTGATAAAATTGCATGGGGTTTGACCACTGCTCAAGGAAATAAAAGAGGACACAAACAAATGGAAGAACATTCCATGCTCATGGATAGGAAGAACCAATATCGTGAAAATGGCCATACGGCTCAAAGTAATTTATAGATTCAATGCCATCCCCATCAAGCTACCAATGACTTTCTTCACAGAATTGGAAAAAACTACTTTAAAGTTCATATGGACCCCAAAAAGGGCCCATATTGCCAATACAATCCTAAGCAAAAAGAACAAAGCTGGAGGCATCATGCTACCTGACTTCAAACTATACTACAAGGCTACAGTAACCAAAATAATATGGTACTGGTACCAAACCACATCTATACACCAATGGAATAACAAACACCACACATCTACAACCATCTCATCTTTGACAAGCCTGACAAAAACAAGCAATGGGGAAAGGATTCCCTATTTAATAAACGGTGTTGGGAAAACTGGCAAGCCATATGCAGAAAGCTGAAACTGGATCCCTTCCTTAAACCTTATACAAAAATTAACTCAAGATGGATTAAAGACTTAAATGTTAGACATAAAACCATTAAAAATCCTAGAAGAAAACGTAGGCAATACCATGTAGCACATAGGCATGGGCAAAGACTTCATGACTAAAACACCAAAAGCAATGGCAACAAAGCCAAAATAGACAAATGGGATCTAATTAAACTAAAGAGCTTCTGCACAGCAAAAGAAACTATCAGCAGAGTGAACAGGCAACCTACAGGATAGGAGAAAATTTCTGCAAACTATCCATCTGACAAAGGGCTAATATCCAGAATCTACAAAGAACTTAAACAAATTTACAAGAAAAAAACAAACAACCTCATCAACAAGTGGGCAAAGGATATGAACAGACACTTCTCAAAAGAAGACATTTATGCAGCCAACAAACTTATGAAAAAATGCTCATCATCACTGGTCATTAGAGAAATGCAAATCAAAACCACAATGAGATACCATCTCATGCCATTTAGAATGGCGATCATTAAAAATTCAGGAAACAAAAGATGCTGGAGAGGATATGGAGAAATAGAAACGCTTTTACACTAGTGTAAACTAGTTCAACCATTGTGGAAGACAGTGTGGTGACTCCTCAAGGATCTAGAGCTAGTAATACCATTTGATCCAGTGATCCCATTACTGGGTATATACCCAAAGGATTATCAATCATTCTAATATAAAGACACATGAACACATATGTTTACTGTAGCACTGTTCACAATAGCAAAGACTTGGAACCAACCCAAATGCCCATCAATGATAGAGTGGATAAAGAAAATGTGGCACATATACACCATGGAATACTATGCAGCCATAAAAAAGGATGAGTTCATGTCCTTTGTAGGGACATGGATGAAACTGGAAACCATCATTCTCAGCAAAGTAACACAAGGACAGAAAACCAAACACCACATGTTCTCATTCATAAGTGGGAGTTGAACAATGAGAACACATGGACACAGGGAGGGGAATATCACACATCAGGGCCTATCGGGGGTTTGGGGGCTGGGGGAGGGATAGCATTAGGAGAAATACCTAATGTAAATGACGAGTTGATGGGTGCAGCAAACCAACATGGCACACGTATACCTACGTAACAAACCTGCAGGTTGTGCACATGTACCCCAGAACTTAAAGTATAATAATAAAAAACAAATTTAAAAAAATTGCATGAGGTTTGAAGAACAGACAAGCTCTGTGTGACCTCTACTACCAACACCACACCCTGGCTACTCAGGAGGACTTGAACCCATTTGCTCAACCTTACATTATGACTGCAACTAGCATTTAAGAAATCCACCAAACTGAGGCTATTTATAACCAAGAAAATCATACATAGTCTATGCCACCAAATGCACCCATAAGCAAAGCCAGAGAACCCTACTCAACATACACCACAGATGCATCCTGAAGAAGAAAAAAAGTTACCTTTCAGTAAAAGTGAATTCAAAAATAAGAAGAAGCGACTGTTACCCCATATGCAAATGTATCAGTGCAATAATACTGGAAATATTTAAAAAAACACAAGATGCTATGACATCTCAAAGAAACGCCGTAATTCTATAGCGATGGAGCCTAACAAAAAAGAAATCTCACAACAATGTACAAGAGAAACCAGAAAACTAATGCAAAGAAATTAGAAAATAAATTCAGGATATAATTGAGAAATCTGCAAAGATACATACAACTACATCAGTATCTACATTTACAGGATATGACTGAGAAATTCACCAAAGATATCTACATCCCCCTATTTATCTATAAAGCCAAACCAAACTTTTGGAAATGAAAAATTTATTGAAGAAATTCCATAATACAGTTGAAAGTTCTGACAACAGACTAGACCAAATGGAAGAAAGAATCTCAGAAACTGAAGACAGGTCTTTCAAATTAATCCAGTTAGACAAAAGTTTTTTAAAAAAGGATTTAATAAACAAACAAAGCATTTGAGAAGTATGGAACTATAAAAACAAGACTGAACCTACAAATCATAGGTACTCCTGAGAAATAAAAAAGTTTGGACACCTGATTTGAGGAAATAATTATGGAAAACTACCTTATTCTAGCAGAAGATCCAGATATTCAAATACAAGAGGCTCCATGAACTCCGGAAATTACATTGCAAGAAAGAACTCACCATGACATAGTCATCAGAATGCCTATGGTTAACATTAAGAGGGGAAAAAAAATTCTAAAATCAGCAAGAGTAAAGCATCTAGTGACCTATCAAGGAAATCCCAAGAGACTAACAGTAGACTTCTCAGCAGAAACCTTACAAGCCAGAGAGATTGAGATTCTATTTTCAAAGTGCTTAAAGAAAAAAAAATGTGGGACAGGCACGATGGCTCATGCCTGTAATCCCTGCACTTTAGGAGGCTGAGCAGGGTGGATCACCTGAGGTCAGGAGTTTGAGACCAGCCTGGCCAACATGGTGAAACCCTGTCTCTACTAAAAACACAAAAATTAGCCAGGCCTGGTAGTGTGTGCCTGTAGTCTCAGCTACTTGGAAGGCTGAGGCAGGAGAATTGCTTGAACCCGGGAGGCAGAGGTTGCAGTGAGCCGAGGTCACACCACTGCACTCCAGCCTGGAAAATAAGAGCGAAACTCTGTCTCAAAAAAAAAAAAAAAAAAAAAAGTAAACCCCAAATTTTATATCCTGCTAGAATAAGTAAAGGAGTAATAAAGTCTTTCCTAGACAAGGAAATGCTGATGGAATTCATCACCACTAGACCGGTCCTATCAAAAAAACTCAAAGAAGTTTTTAACATGGAAACAAAAGGTTGACACTCTCCATCCTAACAAAACACAAAAGTATAAAACTCACAGGTCTTATAAAACAATTACACTTATGAGAAAGACACATAAATCATATGGCAATGTGACAAAACCCTACTAAACCTAAAAAGACAGAGAAAAAAAAAAGAATCCCAAAGGCAAGTAGATAGAAACATTATGATAGAAACAAAAACCTTACATATCAATATTACTCTTTAACATAAATTGATTAAATGCTCTACTTAAAAGATACAGATTCGTGGAATGAATTTAAAAACAGATCCAACTATATTCTGCTTATGAGAAATTTGCCTTACTCATAAAGACATGTACAGACTGAAGGTAAAGGGGTAAAAAAACATATTCCATGCAAACAAAAATCAAACGCAAGCAGAAATAGCTATACTTATATCAGACAAAACAGACTTTACATCAACAGTAGTAAAAAAAAGGAAGTCTTTATGTAATAATAAAGCAATCAATTCACCAAGAAAATATAACAATCCTAAATATATATGGACCCAACACTGCAGCACCCAGATTCATAAAACAAGTATTACTAAACCTAAGAGAAAAATATAGATAGCAATACAATACTAGTGGGGGATGTCAGCACACCACTGACAGCACTACGCAGAGTATCATGACAGAAAATTAAAGTGGACTTTAGACCAAGTGGACCTATAGACATTTACAGAACATTCTATACAAGGAATATATCAACAGATGGAACATTCTCCAAGACAGTAACTATATTAGGTCACAAAAAAAGTCTCAATAAATTTTAAAAAAATCTCAAAATCATACCAAGTATCTTCTTGGACCACAGTGGAATAAAACCAGAAATCAATTCCAAGAGGAACTTTCAAAACCATACAAACACATAGAAATTAAAGAATATGCTCCTGAATGATCTATGGGTCAACAATGAAATTAAGGCAGAAATTTACAACAAAAATTGAAAAGAATGAAAATGGAGACACAACATATCAAAAACCTCTGGGATACAGCAAAAGCAGTGCTAAGAGGGAAATTTATAACATTAAATACCTCCATTTAAAGAAATGGCTGGGCACGGTAGCTCACACCTGTAATCCCAGCACTTTGGGAGGCTGAGACGGATAGATCGTCTGAGGTCAGGAGATCGAGACCATCCTGGCTAACATGGTGAAACCCCATCTCTACTAAAATTACAAAAAATTAGCCAGGCGTGGTGACACGCGCCTGTAGTCCTAGCTACTCGGGAGGCTGAGGCAGGAGGATCGCTTGAACCTGGAAGGCAGAGGTTACAGTGAGCTGAGATTGCGCCACTGCACTCCAGCCTGACCCACAGAGCAAGACTCCACCTCAAAAAAAAAAAAAAAGAAAAAGAAATATTGCACATTAGCAACCTGACATTGTATCTCAAGGAACTAGAAAACCAAGAACAAACCAAACTCAAAGCTAGAAGAACAAAAGAAATAACAAAGATTCAAGCAAATAGAAAGAAATTGAGACCAAAAAAATAAAACATAAAGGATCAACAAAAAATTAAAAAGTTGATACTTAGAAAATATAAACAAAATTGATAGAACACTTGACTAACCACGAAAAGGAGAGAAGATTCAAATAAACACAATCAGAAAAGAAAAAGGAGACATTGCAACTGATACCACAGAAATGCAAAAGAGCATCAGAGACTACTATGAGCAGCTCTACATTCACAAACTAGAAAACCAAAAGGAAATGGATAAGTTCCTGGAAACACACAACCTCCCAAGACTGAACCAGAAGGAAATAGAAATTATGAATTGACTAATAATTAGTGAGATTGAACTAGTAATAAAAATTCACCCATCAACAAAAAAGTCCAGGACCAGAGAATTCACAGCCAAATTCTACCAGATATACAAAGAATAGCTGGTACCAGTCCTACTAAAACTGTTCAAAAAATTAATGTGGACGGAAACTTCCCTAACTCATTCTATGATGCCAGTATTACCCTGATATCAAAGCACAGTAAATACACAACAATGACGACAAAAAAGAAAACTACATATCAATATCCCTCTTGAACACAGACACAAAAATCCTTGACGGAATACTAGAAAACTGAATTCAACAGCACGTCAAAAGGATAATGCACCATGATCAAGTAGGTTTTATTCCCGGGATGCAAAAATGGCTCAATATATGCAAATCAATAAATGTGATTCACTAGATAAACACAATTAAAAACAAAAACCATATGATCATCTCAACAGATGCAAAAAATCATTTGATAAAATTCAGCATCCCTTTATAATAAAAACCTTCAACAAAATAGGTACAGAAGGAACATATCTCAATGTAATAAAAGCCATATAAAACAAACCCACAGTCAACATCATACTGAAGGGGGAAAAAGATGAAA
Organism: Homo sapiens; assembly: GCF_000001405.40. NCBI lineage: Eukaryota > Metazoa > Chordata > Mammalia > Primates > Hominidae > Homo > Homo sapiens. Next base: position 10,082,803 of record NC_000011.10, read on the forward strand.
ATATTTCCCCTAAGAGCTGGGACAAGATAAGGATGCTCGCTATCACCACTCCTATTCAACACAGTACTGGAAATCCCAGCCAGAGCAACCAGGCAAGAGAAAGAAATAAAAGGCGTCCAAATTGGAAAAGAATTCAAATGATCTCTGCCAACAATATGATCTTATACCTAGAAAACCCTAAAGACTCCTCCAAAAGACTCCTGTATTTGATAAATGAATTCATTAAAGTTTCAGCATACAAATCAACATACAAAAATCAGTACCATTTCTATACACCAATAACTACCAAACTGAGAACCAAATCAAGAAGTCAATCCTATTTACAATAGCTACCAAAACCAAAACAACACAGCTCTAGGAATACAGTTAACGAAGGAGGTGAAAGATCTCTACAAGGACAACTATAAGATACTGATGAAAAAAACTGTAGATGACACAAACAAATGTAAGAACATCCCACACCATGAATTTGAAGAATCAATATCATTAAAACAATGATGCTGACAAAAGCAGTCTACAGATTCAATGCAATCCCTATCCAAATACGAACATCATTTTTTCACAGAATTAGAAAAAATAATCCTAAAATTCACATGGAATCAAGGGAGAGCTGAAATAGCCAAAGAAATCCTGAGCAAAAAGAACAAAGTTGGAGGCCCCATAGTACCTGGCTTCAAATTACACAAGGCTATAATAACCAAAACAGCATTGTACTAATATAAAAATAGATACAGATCAATGGAACATACCAGAGAACTAAATAAAGCCACATGCCTACAGACAATTGATTTCTGATAGAGTCAACAAAAACATACAATGGGGAAAGGACACCTTATTCAATAAATGGTGCTAGGGAAATTGGAGTGCCATATGGAGAAGAATAAAATAGAACCCATATCTCTCACCATATGCAAAAATTAATTCAAGATGGATTAAAGACTTAAATATAAGACCTGAAACTATAAAAAAATACCAGAAGAAAACGTAGGAAAAACTCTTCTGGACATTGACCTAAGGAAATGATTCATTACTAAAACCTCAAAAGCAAATGCAACAAAAGCAAAAATGGATGGCCATGGTGGCTGACACCTGGAATCCCAGCATCTCTGGAAGTCATGCTTGAGGCCACGAGTTCAAGACTAGCCCAGGCAACACAGGGAGACCACATCTCTATAAAACATACACAAATAAACAAATGTGAATTAATTAAACCAAAAAGCTTATGCACAGCAAAAGAAATAATCAACAGAGTGAACAAACAGTCTGCAAAATGGCAGAAAATGTTTGCAAAGTATCTATCCAACAAGGGACTAATACTCAGAATCTATGAGGAATTCAAACTAAGAACAAAACAAAACAAAAAATTAACCTTATTAAAAAGTGTAGAAAGATGTTTGCCTACATAACAAACCTGCACATCCTGCACATGTATCCTGGAACTTTTGGAAAAAAAAAAGTGTGCAAAAGACATGAACAGGCATTATTCAGAAGAAGACATACAAATGACCAAAAAGCATAGGAAAAAATGCTCAAGTTCAGTAATAATCAGAGAAATACAAGATAAAACCACAATGAGGCATCATCTTATACCAGTCAGAATGGCTATTATTAAAAAGTCAAAAAATAACAGATGTTGGTGAGGATACAAAGAAAAGAGAATGCTTATACACTGTTGGGTGGGAATGTAAATTAGCACAACCTCTGTAGAAAACAGTATGAAGATATCTCAAAGAACTAAAAATGGAACTAGCATTATATCCAGCAATCCCACTACTGGGTATCTACTGAAAGGAAAATAAGTTATGACATAAAAAAGATGCCTGCACTTATGTATGTTTATTGTAGCACTATTCACAATGGCAAAGATATGAAACCAAACTAAGTGTCCATCAACGGATGACTGGATAAAGAAAATGTGGTAGGTATATACAATGGAATACTATTCAGCATAAAAAAGAATGTAATCATGTATTTTACAGCAACATGGATGGAACTGGAGGCTGTTATCTTAAGTGAAATAACTCAGAAACAGAGTCAAATGCCACATGTTCTCACTTACAAGTGGGTGCTAAAAATGTGTTCACATGGATGAGAGAGTGGAATTATATATATAGTGGAGACTCAGACAGGTGAGGAGCTATGGCGGGGGTAGCATGGTAAAAAATTTGTTAATGGGTGCAATATATATTAGTTGGGTGATGGATACCCTAAAAGCCCTGACATGACTTCATAATCTATGTATATAATAAAATCGCACATGCATTCCACAAATTTGTACAAAACAAAACAGAAAAGACTAGGATGCTGAGGTAGAGACAAATCTATGGGAAATTCCCAGATTAAGAAACAATTTGAAAATACTGTTTTTTCAGGCTGACTTCAAATGTCCAGTTTCTTGATTCATTTTTCTTTTGTTCTCAAAACCTTTTAGCAATTATTGTTTCTTCACTGTTTCTTTTAATCCCTTTCTCTCAAACTCGTATTACATGAATATTACAGCCTTTCAATCTACCTTATATGTCTTTTAGCTGTGGTAAATTAAATTGTTTTTTTCTGACCCCGTATTGAGTTTCTGGTAAATGTATCAGGACTATCCGGAATTTTCTCTTCAACTCTATCTAGAGAAGATTTTATTTCATGTACTAATTTATGTTTATTTCAATGACTGTATTTTTATTTTCAAGTTTCTAATTGGATTCTCTTCATACATACATTTCTCTCCTGCTTTTGTTTTTATCATTTTCTGTTCATTTTTATTTGATGTTTCATCTGCATTTGTCTTTTTGAACATTCGGTATGAACATATTTTTAAAGTTTTTGTTATTTATTTCTGTAAAATTAATTTCATATTGAGCAAATTCAGGTTCTGACTTTTCTTCTGGCTGTAATTTTTAGCAGCAGATTTCTCCATATGATTTTGAATACTGTTTTAATGGCTCGTTTTGAGTGGAAGATGTTTTTCTGCGGTTGTTTTCTCTCACTTCCTTCTCCCTGCTCATACCTGTCTGTCTTTGTCTTTCATCTTGACCCTCCTGTCCCCAGCCAAAAATAATTTTTCTTCTATCACCAGTTATACTGTACACATGGAAGACTCTTTCACAGACATATGTGATACTTTGGTTCCGTTTCTAACAGATTAATAGTATGTCAGCTGTCCTTCCCCCCACCCCCCACCCCAGGTATCCTCAGGCAAGCAGTTTGTCAAAAGATATAAGTGGAGGCTGGCACACACGTGCATGTGTGCATGCACGTGTGTGTGTTCTAACCTGCCTTCTTAGAGACAAGTGCTGGTGTGCTCTGTCATTTCTGGTTAAGTTCTATCATCAACAGGCTAAGTTTCCTTTTTCTTCTTTATACAATTTCTGTTTAATTATTGGCAATTGAGGTGTTTATCTTGCTTTTGAACTCGGCCCTGCCTTTTTTATCTTTTCATATGTTTTATATGTCCTGGCCATGTTTTTGGTGTGCAATCAGTGATTGATGGTTCACTATCATGCCATCCTGATTTGAAGACAAGTTTCTAAGTTAGCAGATTTTCAAATATACCTGACATAACTCTTACTGATTCTAAGTGGACAAGGAAAGGCAAGGAAAAGTTAGGATTATAAATCTAATGTAATTCACTTGCTGGTCCTCTGCAGTAGATAATATATAAGTGGCTTGCTTATTGATAACTTGCAATTGCTTGGCTTCATTCTGAATTCTGTAAGTTCTCCAAAAATTCCTGTCCCCAAGTTTTCTAAGCACTATAGTACAATCAGAGGAGAATTATTAGCCCAGAAGTCTAATGTCCTGGAGCCTAGGTGGGTGAATCTGGGCACTTTTGTATTTCAATTTCCTCCTTTATAAAACAGGTATAATAATGTCTACGTTCACCTTCATATGGAGTTGTTGAGGACACTGCAGAGATAACAGAGTGAAATTCAACAAAGTTTTACTTAGCTTCTGTTTGGAGACAGATATATTGCTAGGTCTAGGGAAATAAAAATTGAAGCATAGCCCTTTGGTTATTTATAATACTGTGGTCCAGATCGCCTGTTTTATTATGAGTTGTGACAATCCAATGTGGACTGTGGTAAACACTAAACTAGGTATAAACAGTGAATTAAGACCACCCTCCAAAAGGAGCAATTCGCACTTGAGGAAATGAGTGAAAACTTCACTTAGTAACCCATCTTTGATCTAAAGTCCTGTGAAAATGCCAAGATGCTATGTAAATGTAAGATGTGCTATTATTTTATTTTATATACCAAAGTTTTCTCATGAGTGAATCTGACTGGAGACCACTTAGCCATTTTGTCTTTTTTTTTGTTTGTTGTGTAGGTCGGACCTTGCACTTAAATCTTCCATCTTCTGGGTCCTGGTGCTTGTCAGTCAATCATTCTCTCATCTGTGATGGCTAATTTTGATGTGTATTTTTGAAAATCTTCTCCTCCAGGCTGCTTTTCAATCTGAAGTTCCAAGGAAACACCCATTTTGCTATTATCCAGATACAATTTAGACTGAGCCGTTGCAGTAGAACATTGTGTTCTATTTGCCATAATTTTTTTTCAAGAGACAAAGATAAACAGCTTAAACAGATAACCATCTCTGGTTGCTGATTTTAACAATAATATTTAGCAGCCAGTGAATATTCTGCAAGTGCCTTTCTCAGAAAGGCTGCATTAAGTAAACAAGCAGTAAATATTCCAAATGACTGAGATAATAGAAGTTAAATTTAGTTAGCTAACTGCCCATATCTGGCTAAAACATTGTTTTTCTGTTATGGTAAATAATACTCATCTTGTTTAGACAGGTTTTATCAAAAACAGTGTTAGTATTTCATACCAAACATATTTTTATGAAGCTCATGAAGCTTATGAGGGCTAAAACTAACAAATTTTGAGCTGCTTCAGTCATATTTCATTAGTTTTCTTTAGATGTATATTTTGATTTATTTCCAAATCACAAGTTATACTGTATCCTGTGTTTTGAAGAACAATAGTGACTGGAGTATTCCAATTAGTCAGCATTTTCAGTAAAACCTGGGTTGTTTCTGCCATTGAAATATCAGCCATGAATTGAATTGGTATTTTGAAACATTTTCATTTGATTCCTGGCTGCCAAAGAATGATTTTGTTGCAGGTGTTTTTTGAGATTTATGTACTTAATATGTGGTAGGTTCTGTATCACATATCGTTGTAATTTGAAGTGTCAAAGTGTCATTTCCTTTGCAAACTTTAATTTTTTTTTTTTTTTCCAGACAAGGTCTCACTCTGTTGCCCAGGCTGGAGTGCAGTGGCGTGATCTCAGCTCACTGCAGCCTTGACTTCCTGGGCTTAGGTGATCCTCCCACCTCAGCCTCCTGAGTAGCTGAGACTATAGGTGCACACCACCACGGCCGGCTAATTTTTTGTATTTTTAGTAAAGACAAGGTTTTGCCATGTTGCCCAGGCTGGTCTCAAACTCCTGGACTCAAGCAATCCGCCTACCTCAGCCTCCCAAAATGCTGGGATTACAGTCATGTGCCACCATGCCCAGCCCTCTGCAAACTTTACAGCAAGAGTAGTCTAAGAGATGTGGCCATTCCACAGAAAAGAGAGTTACTATACACTATATCCACAGTGTCTTCATCTGTTTATTATTGCTATAAAGGAACACCTGAGGGTAGGCAATTTATAAAGAAAAGAGGCTTATTCAGCTCATGGTTCTGCAGGCTGGATTGTTCAAGATTAGCCATCTGGTGAGGGCCTCAGGCTGCTTCTACCCAAGGTAGGGGAAGGGAAGCCAACATGTGCAGAGACTACATGATGAGAGAGAAAGCAAAAAACTGAAGGGGAGGTGTCTGGCTCTTTATAACAACCAGCTCTTGCTGGAACTTAAAGAGTGAGAACTCACCTCCCCATCCCCTGCAGAAAGGTATTAATCTATTTTTGAGGGGGTGTACCCCCACGATCCAAACACTTTCCATTAGGGCCTCACCTTCAACATTGGGATCAAATTTCAGCATGAGGCTTGGGTGGGACAAACATCCAAACTATGGCAATCAGAATAATGAGAAACACCAAAAAGTAAACTTCCGCAGGGCAAGGATTTTATCTTTCTCATTGTATTTTTGGATCCTAAAACAGGCCTCTTTGCATATAGTGGTTGTTCAATAAATTAACTGAAATAATTATCATCGGCCCCAAGATCATCATCAGTATTTCCATTGCTTATGAAAATACTGACACATAGAACCTGGGTCCTGCCCTCCTCCAAAAGACGGTCTTAAAAAAAATGTATAAACTTAGTGGGTACAAGTGCAGTTTTGATACATGAATACACTGCATAGTGGCGAAGTCTGTACTTTTAATGCAACACACATCACCCAAGTAGTGTACACTGAACCCATTCAGTAATTTCTCATCCTTTAAACCCCTCCCACCTTTAAGTCTCCAATGTCTATGAGTCCACACTGTATGTCCATATATACACCTTGAGGTACAGTAAAAATGTGACATTAATCTTATGAAACTACCATCATATATGCAGCCCGTCATTGACTGGAAAATCATTATGCAGAGCATGACTGTACTTCTTTAGCCTAAACAACCTACATGCCAATAAAAGTTTCACTGTTTCTTGATTCTGTATCTTTCAAAATGTTTCTTTCTTCTTGAATGCCTCCCTCATTTTCCAACTATTCATCAAAATAGTATAAATTGTTCAAGTGATGGGTCAATCTTTTTCTCTATTCCCTGACTTACCTTAATTAAAATAACTCTATTACATCCACGGATACCCAGAGTACTTTATTTAGTACCTCTTGTAAACAAATATTGTATGTATACAGGGTAGTTACATACCAAAAAAACTTGGAAATGAAATAAATAAAGGTGTTCTCCAAGATAAAATTTTAAACATTAACATATATTTCAATAAAGTGTCATCTTTTCAAAAATTTCTGGTCCACAAGCCTGGTCCACAAGCCAAACCAACACAAAACTAACGGCATTTACTTAAAAATATATTCTCAAAAGAATTATATTAAGTAGAAAGGAGGTGGGGAGAAATGAGAAATATTCAAATACTCAACAATAAAAACTCAGTGAGTATACCAATAGTCACAGCAGTATTGTTCATAATAGCCAAAAGGTGGAAACAACCAAAATGTCCATCAATAGATGAATGGATAAACAAAATGTGATATAAGCACACAATGAAATTTATTTAGTCTTAAGATGGCCGGAAATTCTGATACATGCCACAACCTGAATGAGCTTGGAAGACATTATGCTAAGTGAAATAAGCCAGACACAAAACAATACATATTGGATGATTCCACTTATACAAGGTACTTAGAATGGTCAAATTCCTAGAGACAGAAAATAGAATGGTGATTATGAGAGGATGAATGATGAGGGAAATGGGGTTATTGTTTAACGGGTACAGCATCTGTATGGGCTGATTAAAAGTTCTGGGGATGGATAGCAGTGCTGATTGCATAACAATGAGAATATACTTAATGCCACTGAACCATACACTTTAAAATGGTTAAAAAGGTATATTTTATGTTATATATATTTTAACACAGTTATATAAACTTAGTGAAGGAAGAGTTGACAGGTCTCACCCAAACACTGACACAGGTACAGATGACCCATGTCCATCTTATAGATATAACTTTACCGTGAAAAATAAGCACATAAAACTATTAGACGCTGGGCGCAGTGGCTCATGCCTGTAATTCCAGCACTTTGGGAGGCTGAGGCGGGCAAATCACTTGAGGTCAGGAGTTTGAGACTAGCCTGGCCAACATGGTGAAACCTCATCTCTACCAAAAATACAAAAATTAGCCGGGTGTGGTCACACACGCCTGTAGTCCCAGCTACTCAGGAGGCTGAGGCAGGAGAATCACTTGAATCTGGGAGGCGGAGGCTGCAGTGAGCCGAGATTGTGCCACAGCACTCTAGCCTGGGAGTCAGAGCAAGATTCCATCTCAAAAAAAAAAAAAAAAAAAAAGCTATTAGAACCTAGTACAACTAAACAATCAAAACAGTAATTCCCCTCTTCCTAAGTTCCAAGCATGAGGCCAGAATGCTAAATAAAATGCAATTCCTTTTTTCTTCTTCAATTTCCAGCTCCAGGGGCTATGAACAAGGAGTTTCTACTATAAAACGTAACTTATAATATTGCAATTCTCACACACCAAAATCCAAGAAAATGGTATCTGAGAAATAATTTTTGAAAACTCAACAGCACACCTTCTAGGGATTGATACAGCTACTAAGTATCACAGAATACCTACTATACTCAAGATACTATGCTAACAAATTAAGTCCAATGAAGTATAATACTATCCTCACTCTCTGGGAATACAATGCAGTTTGGGACTAGGTAGGTAAGCATTAAAAACTATATACAATATGAAGCAACATATACAAGGTTCAAAATGAGTGGCACAAACAACAGATTTTAAAGGAGCTAAGACAAGAAAGAAACCTCCAGAACAGACATGATACAAACTTTCCTATAAACTTGCCTATAGATTTCAAGAAACATCAGTTCTCTACTTGATTACTGTCCTTCTCCACAGAAGTCTTCCCTAATTATTCTAGCCTCTGTATGTCATTTGCTGTACTCTACACTATAACCTATATTCAATTTTCTTATACACCAGCTTGTCACCATAACAACTGAGCTAACAAAGTACATTATTAAGTATAATTCTGTACATAAAGAAAGTGCTCCATAAAGACCCAATGAACTGAAATGAATGCTTCCGTTATAAGCTCTCAGGAATGTTGCCTGCATACATAATAAAGCAAACAATTACTAGTTAATGTCTGTAATACAGATAATTTTGGGGGTAGGGAGGCTGCATAGAGGAGGAACTGTATCTCATCATTTATTCCACTCCAAAAAGTATTGGCATTATGGATATGGCAGGTATTCAACCATTACTTGCTGCCTTTATTTTGAGACAATTCTATACTTTCTAGGTGACCCAGTACATAATTTTGTGGTTTCCTGCACAAGGAGATAAAGAAAGCACGAACTGATCTAAAACCAAGACAACTGTCGGTTATGATGAAATGTTAGTTCTTGGTAGATTTCTAGGAGTTTTTGAGTTTTGCTTCCCTGATTTCTCTTACTTGGAAGAGGCCCAGAAGTTATCAGTACAATTTGGATTAGTCAAGTAATAGTTTAGCTGAATTTATTTGTACTGTAAAATGTAACAACTGTAATCTGATTTTTAAGAACTTTAAAATAATTAAACATTTCAAGACTACCAAAGATAAACTCACCTACAAAGGAAAAATAAAGCAAAATATGATCTGAAGACAATATTTAGAGAAAATAACTCTTCCAATCACTTATAAAAGTAGAGAAAAAGCAAAGTTAGTAATTTTGAGAAACAGAAATTAAAACAAGTCCCAAGGGAACAGTAAGGGTCTCAGGCCCTAGAAAGATCCATCATTTGGCAATCAAAATGATTACTAATATGCTAATTTTTTTCTTGGAGATAACATATACATGATTTTAATTTTTCTAGAAAATGGGTAATTTTTATTGTTATATTTAGTTTTAAAACATTTTACCCTAAAAAGAAGGACTCTGTAAATATAAGGCCGAAGTTGTAATTTTTGCAGCTTATGTATGGCTGTGATTAGCTGATGAATGAAATGAGAAGTGAAAAACTTTGACTTGCCTAAGACAGAATCTGATTTTCCCATACGATTATCAGAAAGGAGTATATCATTAATCATTTGTGCTACCATGCAATCATATAACTCCACTAAGCCATTTATCACAGATCTGTTTTCGCTAACATTCTAGAACTAGAAATTAATTCTGGCAGATCTAAGTCAATTTGCTATCTGTACAGAAGCCGTAATTTCTATTGGTGAAAGGAATGAAAGAGGGTACGATTTAGAGGAAGAGAACATCCATTAATGCTAAAATAAAGGGATGACACATACACACGCATTTAAATTCAAGAGTTAACTAATGGAGCTTGACCAACACCAAAGTGAGAGAGAAAGAACATCATGAATGCAGTGTAGGCAATTTTACTTGATATTCCTCTCAGTAAGATTATACCCTAGAACGAGCATAAGATTCAAAACAAAAACATGCTATCCACAGTTTACCTCAATTTAGGAATGCCTTTTAGGAAAAAAAAAATAGAATACATTTACACTGTGTATGATTCAAGTATTGAAGTCACAATTCCTCATTTTCTTTTCCTTCTTTCTTTTTTTTTTTGTTTGAGACAGGGTCTTGCTGTTACCCAGGCTGGAGGGCAGTGGCATGAACCCTGATCACTGCAACTTCTTCCTCCTGGGTTCAAGCGATTCTCCTGCCTTAGCCTCCCAAGCAGCTGAGACTGCAGGTGCATCCCACCATGCCTAGCTAATTTTTGTATTTTCATTAGAGACAGTTTTGCCATGTTGACCAAGCTGGTCTCAAACTCCTGGCCTCAAGTGATCCACCAGCCTCAGCCTCCCAAAGTGCTGGGATTATAGGTTTGAGCCACTGTGCCCAGCCTACAATTCATAATTTTAGATCAATATAAACTCCAAATATACTAACAGCTTCATCCAGTGGTCAGCTGGAAAAAAAAAAAAAACAAAAAAAAATTTCTTCCAATCTTGAAAGAATAAGCTGCTTTAGATGTAAGATTTAATTTTATATTACCTCTGTAATTATACAGATAATTTATCAATTTCTTAAGACATCCTTGGTAATACCAGATTTTTTCCTTATGTGTTAACTTTAGAACCCAGTTATCACATACGATGTACATATATGTACTAAAAAACTATACATGATAATTAACATATGCTAAATATCTATCTAGTTTTATTTCTTAAAGCAATAAATAATAGATATGTGACTTCTAGTCTCCCACTAAACTGTGATTGTTTCAAAAATAATAACTTTTAAAGTACATTCTCTTTTGCTAAATACAGAAAGGTTAGCCTGAAATACCTTTGTGTACAGTAAATACCAACTTGGGATATTCTGTAGTGGAGCGAAATCTTGAAAAACTGTAGGAAGATAGGTAAATAATACCAACATTCTTGTCACAAATAAATCACAAACTACATACAGTAGTTAAATAGACACAATAAAGTTTAGACAATCCCATTCAGTAATGGTAAGGTGGCATAAACATTAAAAAGCATTAAAAAATACAAACAAGGATATTTGGTAAAGCATAAAATTTGGAAAGTACTTCTCAGAGTTTCCTAAAAGTTCCTATAAATATATTAACTTTTGGCCGGGTGCGGTGGCTCACGCCTATAATCCCAGCACTTTGGGAGGCCAAGGCAGGTGGATCACCTAAGGTCAGGAGTTTGAGACCAGCCTGACCAACATGGTGAAACTCTGTCTCTACTAAAAATACAAAATTAGTGGTGGCGCATGCCTGTAATCCCAGCTACTCGGCAGGCTGAAGCAGGAGAATCACTTGAACCCAGGAGGCAGAGGTGGCAGTGAGCTGAGATGGTGCCATTGCACTCCAGCCTGGGCAACAAGAACGAAACTCCATCTCAAAAAATATATGTATATATATATTAACTTTTTATTCAAAATAAGGCCTGTAATTTCCCACTTCCATTTAGAATCATTTTCAACATATAGACATTTATTTTTAACAATTAAACCTGACTGCCTATAAAGGTTGTGCATATGAGTCTGTGGGTATGTGACTACATACAGTCAAAAAAATTATTTTCCCTACTACAAATACACACAGATTTTTTTTTTTTTTTTTTGAGACAGAGTTTCACTCTTGGTCTTGGCTCACTGCAATCTCTGCCTCCGAGGTTCAAGTGATTCTCCTGCCTCAGCCTCCCGAGTAGCTGGGATTACAGGTGCCCGCCACGACGCCTGGCTAATTTTGTATTTTTTTAGTAGAGACGGGGTTTCACCATGTTGGCCAGGCTGGTCTTCAACTCCCGACCTCAGGTGATCCACCCGCCTCGGCCTCCTTAAAGTGCTGGGATTATAGGCATGAGCCACCGTCCCTGGCCCAAATACATACAGATTATATCTGTATTAATATCATATGATTTTTGGGTGGTGGTAACGGGGAGTGGGTATCACTGACAAGCCTTCTTAGACTCATGAAGCATAAAAAAAAATAAAAAGGAATCCCACACAATCACATTTTTAAACAGCATAGGTTATGGCCAGCTGAGAAAAAAAAGAAAAAAGGAACCATCGAAGCCATAAAATATATAAAATATATAAAATATATCCTACCTTGGCTTTCTGAGTAGCTGGGACTATACAGGTATGCACCACCATGCCGAGCTAAATTTTTTTTTTTGTACAGACAAGGTCTTGCTATGTTGCCCAGGCTAGTCTGAAGCTCCTGGCTTCAAGCAATCCTCACATCTTAGCCTCCCAAAAAGCTGGGATTAGAGACATAAGCCACAGTGTCCTGCCTATATTTGGTTTTTAAGGAGTACAATAATATCACCTTCAAGTTATTGTAAACATTTAAATAGTAAGAAAATATTATCAACAATGAAGTAATAGGATTTAGTCTGTATCAGCACTAAAATGACAACTCCTGATGTAAGACCAGAGGGCTAAACATGTGCAGAGAATGCAAGATATCACTTGCACACAAACTTAAGATACATAACATAGAAATACTTTAATGAAAACAGATTTAAACCCACAATTTAGTACTTTCAACAGCCAACTATGACAGTCTTATACATTTCTTCCCCAAATAAAAAGGAATATCACTGAACTCCACAAGCTTTTTTAAAAAAAATCAACTGCTGCTAGGTGTAATAATATGGCATAGAGTAAGAAAATCAAAGCACATGGTATATTTGATGAGTCATGTTCCAAAGAAAATAGTCCATTTTTTAAAAAGGTTTAAAAGAAAGTTCCATGAGGATAAGAAGAGGATTCAAGTTTTTGTCTCAGAGAACAAACGGATTTTAATCACACATACTGATTTTAATCACACGTACTGCTTTTAATCACACGTACTGATTTTAATCACATATTACCTGTTTCTAGACTTAATGAACCTTGTATTACACAGTTGAGCAAAATGTCCCAAATAAAACAGCCATATAGAGTCTCAGAGCGGGGGAAAAAAAGAAGTATGCTAACATCAGAAGAACATACCTAAATAAATAAATGTTATTTTTATTTCAACCTGCCATTGCTTAGTTACTTTAACTAAGTGACTATTCAAAAGTAAACTGAACCAGGAGCCACAACCAGTGAACTATTTCAAAAGTAAACTGAACCAGGAGCCATAAAATGCCCTAACATCTAATAAATACAAATAAACCATGCCACACTGACTCAACACAAAGGAGACCTTCATAAACAAATCTCTCCATACTTTAAAAATATTTGGCTAAATAGATGCTAGAGGTTTCCTAAAACAAGATAATTGTATTTTTCTACATGTCAGCTAGTTTATCATCAAGTTTTAGGTATAGTTTACAAACAAAGATTTAAAATCAAAACTACCTACACATTAATAAACAATACAGGTGAATCAAGATTTTGCTTTGATTGATATATAAGATTTAGTATATAACAAAATAAAATATTTTCCCTAGAAATATGTATTTTTAACTACTCAATTTGATTAGCCTTATAAGTCAAAGTTCTGTAAAAAAAAAAAAAAAAAAGTAATGAAATGAGCCAAAAGGTCTTACTTATCTCTATTACTTTATCAGGAATCAGCTATTTAAATCTAAATTCCTTGCTGTCCATTACACAAGGCATTAACAATATTGTTATCATAACAATACTTTAAAAAAGCCTTACGAGACTTAGAATAAAGTAATTATGCAAGTACAAAATAACAGAACTGCTCAAGGTCTGGAATAAATATTCACAAAATCTCATACAAGCGGTGTCTTTTAAAAATATTACTTTTCTGATAATGTCAAAAGGCACCTCAATAGTACATTTGTGACAATAATAATGCACTTTTTTATCACCTTGCAATGAGTCATTACTTTTTCTCATAAAACTTAAGGGAAAATATTCTCTTATAAAGTACAAAACAATTTGCTTTCCAAATTATAGTGCTAATCATTCATTTTTTTTCTGACACCACTACAGGCAGCAACAATAGAAATTAAGAGAAAATTGGACATGTATATAAAGGATGAATAAAGAAATAAATGCAACACATTTACACTATTCAGTCACTATGACTTTCTCTAGAACCTACTATTCTCATTGCTATGGTCTAAAAGGCCCCTAAAATTCATGTGTTAAAATTTTATCAACAATGTGATAGTATTCAGAGGTGAGGCCTTCAGTAGATGATTAAGTCATGAGAATACAACCCTGATGAATGGAATTAGCAACCTTAAAATGGAGCTTGAGGAAATGAGTTCACCCTGTCCGTCACTTTCGCCATTTGAGAACACAGCATTCTCTCCTCCAGAGGATGTAGCAACAAGCACTTGACAACAGAGAACAAGCCATCACCAGACAACAAACTTTCTGCAACCTTTAAGCGTGGATTTCCCGGCCTTGAGAACTGTGAAGAAATAAATATCTATTCTTTATAAATTACTGTCTGTAGTATTTTGTTATAAAAGCACAAACGGGCTGACACATTGACACAATTTGGTTCTAGATTAAACAGGTAAAAACGAGGCAGTGAAACAGTATTACTTTCCAGGCAAGTGCCTGTCTATTCAGGCAGAGACCACGAAACAAAATTAACAAAATTTAAAATATTCCAAAACACATTCTTTAAAAAAAGCTTATTAGAAAGGAAATCCTCAAAAATTTGGCATCAAGATGTAGAAATAGGAAATTTCAGCCATCGTCTTCCTGCAGAAACAATATTGTCAACCACCCACAGATGACAGTAGCTTTGTGGGAGCCCAAAAGTCCAGCAGATATGGCCAACACCCCAGTAGAAAAAAAGCTTAAATAAATAGATGCATTGAAAAGGGTAAGAACAATTTCACTTTAGCTATTTCTTCATCCCTCCCCTAAAGCCGCACAGCCCAGTGCCAAGAGAGATCCAATCAGCCTTGGATCTGTCTCACAAAGGAAAGTAAAAGCATAGTGAGTTCCTGTCTTCTACAGCTCTGAGAGTCACTGCCTAAGAGGCCTACTTCTTTCTCACCCCACCGACAACACACAGAAGACTCGGAGGAGAAGCTAGAAACAGGAGAAAAGGGTGGGGACTCAAAACAACTAGGGCACAGAACGCAACAAAGCACCATGGTTTCTGCTAAATGCCTCCCACACTCCACCAAGAGGTATTCCCAAGAACATCTCACCTATGGTCCCATCTGCCAACTAGGCTATATGTTCCCCTAACATACCATGCACCCCTCTCTCCTGTACATGGCACCCTATATGTGCCCCTGCAGACAATACATACAAGCATCCACAGACTTGGTTTGATTCTGAACATTTCAGGACACTACCGTAGAGAAAATTAAAGGAGGCTCTCAACAATGGACCTACCTTTGCAGGATTGAGAGAAGGAATGTAAACCTAAGATTTCTTCCCTGAAAAAGGGAAGAAGTAGAGTAGTTATATCCACAGAAAAGGTCTGAAGGACCTCCAGAATCCCCACCTCAGCTGACTGGTGAAGTCTTTTCTCCTGAAGCCAGTCACTACAGAGCAAAGAAGATAACATCTTCTTTGAATGTGAAGATGGCAAGGCAAGGCTTCAAGGAAAATTAAAAAAAAAAAAACAAAGAAATATGATACCACCAAAGAAACAAAGTAAATTTCTAGTAACTAACACCAAAGAAATGGAGATCTATGAATTGCCTGACAAAGAACTCATAATAATTGTTTAACAAGCTACAAGAGGTCACAGACAACTCGATGCAACCAGAAAAACAATATATCAACAAAATACAATCAACAAAGACAAAAAATGCACACACACACACACACACACACACACACACACACACACACGAAATTCTGGAGCTGAAGAACACCATAAATGAAATAAAAATGTAACGGCCAACTTCAATATCAGACTTGATAAAGAAAAGAAAGAATCTACAAACTCAAAAACAGGTCATTTGATTTCCAGTCAGAGGAGAAAAAGAAAAAAAAAGAATGAAAAAGAGTGAGGAAAGCCTGCAGGATTTATGAGACAAAATGAACCAAACCAAAATATGCATGATAGAAGTCTCAGAAAAAGAAGACAAAAAGGATTTATGGGACAAAATGAACCAAACCAAAATATGCATGATAGAAGTCCCAGAAAAAGAAGACAAAAAGAAAGAAGCAAAAGGCTTCTTTAGATAAATAATGCCTTAAAACTATCCAAATCTTGAGAGAGATATGGACTTCCATGTTCATGAAGCTCAAAAAATCAAGACCAATCCAAAGAAAATTACACTAAGACATGTGCTAATCAAATTACCAGAAGTTAAAGACAAAGTAAGACTTTGAAAGGAGCATTAGAAAACTGACTCATCAGAGACAAAGAAACACCAATTAGCCTATCCACAAGCTTCTCCCTAAAAATGTTACGGACCAGAAGAAAGGGATAATATATTCAAAGGGCTGAAAAAAACCATGTGAACCAAGAATACTATAACTAGCAAAAATGTTTTTCAGAAATGAAAGAGAGATTAAAAACTTTCCCAAACAAAAGCTAAGGGAGTTCAAAAACAGTAAACCTGCCTTACAAGAAATGCTAAAGGGGGTTCTTTAACCTGAAACAAAACTATTCTAATTAATAACCTGAAAACATGAAGGTATAAAACTAACTGGTAAAGGTAAGTAGATAGTCAGTGTCAGAATATTACACTATAACGATGATACACAAATCATTTTTAACTCTGGTACAAAGGCTTAAAGACAACTATTAAAGTGACTATAGCCATAATAATTTGTTAAGTATATTAAGATAAAAAGTTGTACATTGTGACATCGATAACAAACTGTTGGGGTGGGGGGAATAAAAGTGCAGAGTTTTTGTATGTGAGGGAATTTAAGATGTTATCAGTTTAAAAAAGACTGTTAAAACTATAAAATGTTTGATATGTCTTATGAAAACCAAACACACACACACACCTCTAATAGAAACAAAGAGAAACAACAAATAGAAAGAAATCAAAGTATGCCACTATAAAAAAATAAAGTTACAATGAAAAACACAAAAGAGGAAGAAAGAATCAAAGGACCTACAAAGCAGCAGGAAAAAAATTTTAAAAAATGGCAATACTAAGTTCTTATCTATCAATAATTACTTTAAATTGCAAATGAAACTAAGTTCTTCAATAAAAAGACAAAGTGGGTGAATCAATAATAAAACAAGACCCAACTATATGCTGCCAACAAAAGACTCATTTTAACTTTATAAACACACATAGGCTAAAAGGGGATGGAAAAAGGCATTTTGTAAAAATGGAAACCAAGGAGACAGATTTGAGTAATTATAAAACTCCAATCTCCTGCAAAACTGGCTCTGTGTTAATTACTCTTTCTCTACTGGAATTCACCCATCTTGATAAATTGGCTCTGCCTAGGCAGCGGGCAGGGTGAACCTGTTGGGCAGTTACAAATTTGGAGGCTCGTCTGGGATTGCCCTTGTGGCTGCCTGCCTGTGGTTCAGTAGCCCCCTCTCTGGTGATGGATCCAAAGGCCAGCCCAAGCGGCCACAGTTGTCTTGGACTGGGGGCTGATTCTGGCAATCTCTCTACTGGCAGGGTGCTGCCAATCCAATGTGCATGAATTTAACTGCAATAGAGAAACAGTCCTGGGGAGACGTCCCATAACTGTAGCCCTACCACAGGGTGTCTGTCTGTAGCTCCATGGCAGGGTATATGTCTGTAGCCTGGTCATGGAGTGCTTATAGCTGTAGCCCCACTATGAGGTATCTGGTTTGGTGAGTATCCTAGGTACTGCCCACACCTCCTTCCTTCTCCTGATCAGTTTGGATCCTTCAGGGGTGTTGGTTTTTCTGTAGCCCCATGGTGGAGTATCCGTCTGTAGCCCCACTGCATGGTGTCTGTCTTGGTTTGGCTCCATCAGGGGTCTTGGTTTTCCTGTAGCCTTGTGTGGAGGTGTCTGTAGCTCCACTGCAGGGTGTCTGTCTTGGTTCAGCCCCTTTGGGGGTCTCAGTTGGCTCTCCCTAATTAGTAGGAGGAGTCTTGGTTCAGCAGACATCTAAATCAGGAAGATTTCAGGGAGATTTCTCAGACGGAAAATAGAATAGTTTAGAAAGGATACTCTCGGAGTTCTTGGTTAGGGATCTGGATTTGGAAGGCCTTCTGCCTATCGTGTCTTTGTGTGTGTGTTTGTTTATGTGAAGGGAATCTCTGGAGGAATTGCTGGCACAAGTTCAGCAGGCCTAACTCAGAGAACCCTCCTTATTTGTCTGGTCACATTCGGTGAGCCCTGAAGGAAGCTCAACAGGCCTGACTCGGGGAGACTATCCACTCTTCGTCTTACCCAGCAACTACCCAATGAATTACCATTCGGAGGTCATCCCTCCCCGCCTGGAGTGAATCAAAGGCAACAGGGACCAACAGGAGAAAGCTGAGCCTTGCCAGTTTAATACTGGGTGCTGAATGAGTTGACTAGTGTCTGTTTTGTTATATGTATTTTGCTTTGGCTGGGATGGAAAATGTTAACTCAGTTCCCCACACAGTCTGTTGGGCAGCATCTTGCAAAATTGAGAATCTTTTGCCAATAGTTCCATAAAACAGAAAAGGGTGATTTCCTTTTGTAAAGTGGCTTGACCCCCACAGCTATGCCACAGTAAGCAGGGTCATCAAAAACCGCTCCATTTTTCTGGAAGCTGCAGTGAAATGGAACCCGGAAACCTGGTATGCCGGCAAAAAGGGTAAGAAATTCTTACCAGTCAAAAGTTTCTGGTGTGTCTCTCTCTCTCGCTCTGTGTGTGTGTGTGTGTGTGTGTGTGTGTGTGTACATGGTAAATGTCAATATTTATCTCCTCTGCAAGGGTTTAATTAATAGAAAAAAAGGATTTGTGAGACTAGTCTTAGGCTGCAGCAAATCTGGTGCGCTTTGTGCTAAGAATGTCTTTCAGTGTCGTTCTGTAATGGAGAGAGAGGTATCACAGGATAGAACATGGGTTTAGGACCCCTATAAGCCTACCTTTCAAGCCAGCCTGGCAGGCTGGTCAGTTACAAACTTTGCTAGGGGTCCCTGAAACCAATACTAGATGAAACTTTGTCTTGTTTTATGTCCTTAAGAGCTTAACCTTGTGACCATGTGGTGATACTCTCTCTTGGTTTCCACCATCCAGAAGACACGTGATTTTAGTAATTTTCTGGGAATAAAGACAGTTTTAAAGACTACTGGTAAAATTAAAAGTCCTCCAAATTTAGACATTTGGTCTAAATTAAGGTCAGGTATCAGATTTGCTAAATGCTTTAAAGTCATAAACTGCTTCTTTGACTTTTGAAAATTGTTCAGTTTACCTAATTTGGAGCATTAGATTCTAGATAAGGCCTGGGAACATGTGGAGTTAGCCTGGCTCCCCAGCTATGCTGGAAAGAGTAAGACCTCATCTGCACTTCTGTCTGATGTCTTAGGCTCCACACCTAGTACATAATTAAAATCACTTATTTATCAGCTTTTTCATCAAAAATAAAAGTTGCTAAGAGTTAAACACTGTAACATGTAATTGAGACTACTGGAGAAACAGCTTGACATACAAGGTTGCAAGGTATAGAAGGAAAAAGTAGAATATGGTTTTGCTGGGAGATCAAAAGAAGGCATGGGGATATGGTTTTCGTGAAAGACAATGTAATTTTGTGTAGTTCAGAGGGTTTTAAAGATTGTCTCAACCTAAAAGAGTAATGGGACAAAACTGAAAGTTTAAGCAGGTTGAAAAGGGTGTGTGAAGGGTTGATCCTGTAAAAAAAGTTCTGGGGGTATAAGCAAGTTGGCTAAGGTTTGAAGGGTATTATTTTTTTCTGCAGGTTGAACATTAAAATAAAAGCACACTGATATGGGGCCACAGTCTGGGCCCATGTGTCTGAGTAACAGGGTTTTCTTAGAAAATTTATCTGCTGTTTAACAGAAAATTATAAAGAGATCTAAAAAGTTTATGAAAATCTTACCTTATGGTAAAACTAATAAAAAGTGGATGGATTTATAAAATTTTATTTAAAAACTAGCTTTAGCATTAAAGATGCACTAATAAAAACATAAAATTTTTCTCTTTTGAAAAAGATTTTTATGTAATATTGAGAGACAATGAAAGATTTTTGCTTGCCTTTTGAGTAAACTACAAAAAATGGGGAGAGAGAAGAAACAGATTCAGTTGGCCTCAGGGTGTCTTCATTGGGTCTAATATATTGTTTGAAAAGCTGAGTCTCCTAACAGAGTAAACGTTTTTCTTTTTAAAAATTTTTGAGTTATCATTTTGGCCAAATGAATGAATTATGATGACCTGAAATTCTATTTTGTGATATCCAGTGTTTTAAACCTTTGATATTTGACAAACTTTCCAATATCAAATTATGAAGTATGCATTTTTCTGACCTAATTAATCTTTTAGATATTATGTCCTCTAAAGACCAAAAACGACACACTTGGTTTATTTGGTATAAAAATCATAAAAGAAACACTATCAAATATGAAATGGTGTTTGGCTTTCTTTGTGCTATATTTGTGTAAATGTGTTATTGGTATATGTTGCAAAATTATATGAAAGTCATAATTCTGATATGACTTAGTATATGGTACCAGTAATAATTATGTTAAATTATTGTGTGCCACAAAAGTAACAAATTTCCTTGTCAATTTTGTCTTTACCTGTGGCTAAGACTTTTTGTCATCCACAGACAATTGTTGTCTTGCTTTGATCCTCTTTAAATGGTGATTTTATAATCAGCTGTAAAACTCTAACAGATGTTCTTAAATGCAGGTTTCTGATAACTTTGAAGATGGCAACAGTAGAATGAAGGGAAATAACTTTTAGGACTCTCATGGAGAGCTGATATGTTCATGAATATCAAGCAAAACAGGAGTTAACTGAATGGACTGAACTAACAGATAATGAAGGCCAGGTGCGGTGGCTCATACCTATAATCCCAGCACTTTGGGAGGCCAAGGCAAAAGGACTGCTTGAGCCGAGATAGCTGAGACCAGCTTGGGCAACATAGTCAGACCTCATTGCTCCAAAAAACCTTTTAAAATTAGCCAAGCATGGTGATGCACACCTGGAGTCCACCCTACTCAGGAGGCTTAGGTGAAAGGATCACTTGTGCCCAGGAGGTGGAGGTTGCAGTGAGCTGAAACTGCACCACTGTACTCCATCCATCTGGGGCAAAAGAGTGAGACCCTGTCTCAGAAAAAAAAAAAAAAAGAGAGAGTGCCATTTCCATAAATGTGTGAATTTTCCAATTTTACTTCTGCTAGTGAGTCTAACTTCATCCTGTTGTGGTCAGAGAAGATACTTTGTATGGTATCTCTTCTTAAATTTGAGGCAAAAATTTGTGTCCTAAAACACGATCTATCCTGGAAAATGTTCCATGTGTAACTGAGAAGAATTTGAAAACAAAAAAGAAAAAGGAAACAGTACCAGCCCTTTAAATCCCCTGGAAGTCACTTGTCAAAAGAAGAGCAGTTTGAAACAATGGTGGAAGGTATAACAACAATGGCTGCCCACTTCTTTGTCTGGAAATCTGAGATCAGAAGCAGCAATCGGCAATCAGAGCACAGATCCCCAATATTTGGAGAACAGGCTCCTAACTTCCGCAACGTAGGTGCAAACTGCTCCAGGAATATGTACATGGCTGCCTATCACGGGGCTGGGTGTGAGAGACAGGGAGCTGGTACTGTGCTAAGAGCTGAAACTGACCAAAACAAACTACATTTATCATCTAAGCCTTTTCTTGGAAACTGTAAGCATTAAACAGTCTCCAGAGTTCCAAAATAGTCACATTAGATTCTACCAGTGCAACTGTTGTCTAGGTGGGGAGACAGATTCTTATTGCTTCCTACTCAGCCTCTTCCCATAATCCTCCAATAGATTTTCTTAAATAAGTTTTCCTTTATTTGCTATATGACCTTAGGACCATTTCCAGAGACTTAAAATACTTGTGGAGCATCTCATGCTATCGTTTCAGAAGTCATCTTTGACTATATTATTTTCTCTTCTTCACTGAGTATTAAACAAGCCTTGCATTCCTGGAATAAAGTCCACTTGGTCACAGCATATGATCTATTTTATATATTGCTAGATTCAAATTGCTAATATTTTGTTAAGGATATTTTTATCATCTTCACTGGGAACACTGGCCTTTTTTTCCCCCTGTAATGTGTTTGCCTGATTTTAAGGTGAGAATAATGCTGGCCTTATAATTAGTTGGAAAGTATTCCTCCTCCTCTATTCACTGAAAGACTTTGTGAACGATGGGCTACAGATAGATTAGCGCTGTAAGGGTTCAAAAGAAAACACTGTGTCTTGAAAGGACTGATACAGTTGGTGAAATCTGACCTGCAAAAGCCAGTCTTAGGAGAGAGGGGTGAAGAAATACCATAACTAAGGGAACAAATATGAGAAATTTTAAAACAAACTAAGGAAATAAGCAGCCTACTTTGCTTAACTCAGCAACTTCTGGTACATTGGTAATAAGCTACTAAAACATGATGATAGAAAGAAACATACAAGGAATTTATATCTCCAATTTTCAATTACTTCGTGAAGAATAATCACACCACTATAATCTTACTAAATAGATTAAGTAAATGGATTGTACCATTCTTGTACAATGTAAACATGGTATCACTACATGCTATGTACCTTTTAAATAACAGAGCAGAAGGCATTTGATATTCTTTTAGCCTGTGAAAAATAAAAGCTCACTTTTTTATATTTAGAGAATATCCAGTGTAAGGCCATTTCACTAACATATGCTGTAAATGTCAAACACTTGCTCTCTTAGTCTTCTTTGCAGCCAGGGAAAGGCACATGACCTAACCTGTATCGATCAGCCATCAGCTGAAGCATGAATGGGTAACCGGAAGCAATAGTCAAATCCAATTTTCAAAGCACATTCTGGCAGATTCTATAGCTATATCAAACTCTAAAAATACAATCTAATGCATAGTGACAGAAAGCATATCAGTGATAGCTGACAGAGGGAGGTGCATGGAGAAGAGCAGGAGGGAGATTACCAAGGGGCAATAGGAAATTATTAGAGTTGATGAATAATTGCATTATCTTCAAAAGTGACTTCATAGGTGTTTAGATATGTCAAAGCTTTTCAAATGTGTGTAGTTTTATTTTTTATTATTATTACTATTTTAGACTCAGGAGGTATATGTGCAGGTTTGTTACATGGGTATATTGCTTGATGCTGAGGTTTGAACTTCTAATGATCCCATCTTGCAAGTAGTGAACATAGTACCCAATAGGTAGTTTTTGAACCCTTACCCCACTTCCTCACTTCCCTCTGTAGTTTTTAATAGGTGTAGTTCACTGTGTGTAAATTATATCTCATTATACCTTTTTGAAATAAAGAAAATAAAGAAAAGACAGGGAAAAACCTTTGCTACAGGGGTAAGGCAATAATCCTTTAGATACACACCAAAAAACACAACTGGCCGGGCACAGTGGCTCATGCCTGTAATCCCAGGACTTTGGGAGGCCGAGGCAGGCGGCTCACCTGAGGTCAGGAGTTCGAGAACAGCCTGGCCAACATGGCGAAACCCCATCTCTACTAAAAATACAAAAAAAATAGCCGGACGTGGTGGCGTGCACCTGTAGTCCCAGGTGGCGTATGCCTGGAGGCATGAGAATCGCTTGAACCCGCGCAGCAGAGGTTGCAGTGAGCCAAAATCGCACCACTGCACTCCAGCCTGGGTGACAGAGCAAGACTCCGACTCAATTAAAAAAAAAAAAAAAAACCCACACAATTAAAAAACTAACGAAATTGTTAAACCTGTTTTTTTTGAAATACACTTATAAAGTAATAAAAAAGCCACAGATTAAAAGAAAAATATTTGCAAATCATGTATCTGAAGGACTTGTATCCAGATAGATTTTTTAAAATCTCTAAACCAAGTAAGAAAAATCTAATTTAAAATAAAAATCCAACTTAAAAAATGGGCCAAAGAATTGAAGAAGTACTTCACCAAATGAGATATACAGATGGAAAATGAGCTCATAAAAATGCTCAATATTCTAATTCATTAGACAAATGGAAATTAAAACCACGAGATGCCACTACACTGTAGTCCAATGGTTAAAATTAAACCAATTGTCCCTTCCTAGATGTTAGTAGGATGTGGAGGCAATGGACCTCACTCTACTTGAAGAAATGGTGTACAATATATTTGAAAAATACTTTGGCAGTTTATTCCAAAAGTTAACTATATACATATACATACTTAAATAAGTCCAGGCCATTCAGCTTCTACAAATTTACCCAAGGGAAATGAAATCATGTGTTCACACAAAAACTTGACACAAATATTCATAGTAACTTAATTTATAATAGCCAAAAAACTAAAACAACCGAACATTCATCAACAGGTGAACAGATAAAGTGTGGCATATACATATAAATGGAATACTATTCGTCAATAAAAGATGAATTATTAATCAATGCAATAACAAAGACAGATCTCAAAATAATTATACTGAGTTAAAGAATCTAGATAAAAAAGAATATTGTATGACTCCATTTAGGTAAAATTCTATACAATACAAACTGATCTTGTATTAGTTTCACAGGGCTGCTGTGACAAATTACCAGAATCTTGGTGGTTTTAAACAACATAGATTTATTCTGTTGCAGTTCTAAAGGCCAGGGTCCAAAATCAAAGTGTTGGCAGGATTGGTTCATTCTGGAAGCTCTGAAGGATTATGTATTCTGTGTCTCTTGCCTAGCTTCTGGTAGCTGCCAGCAATACTTGGCATTCCTTTCCTTCTAAATTTATTATTCCAATCTCTGCCTCCATCACATCACCTCCTCTTTATGTCTCCTCCCCTCTCTTCTAAGGATATTTGACATTGGATTTACGGCCCGTCCTAATACAGGATGATCTCATCTGAAACCCTCAATTACATTTGCAAAGATGGTTTTTTTCCAAATAAGGTACCATTCACAGGTTATGGATAGACATCTTTTGGGGTGGGGACACCATTCAACCCACTACAAAGCTCTAGTGACAGAAAGCAAATCAGTGGTTATCTGGAGATGGGGAGGGATTAGAGGAAAGAATTGCAAAGAGGCATGAGAAAACTTCTAAGGTGATAGATATATCCACTATCATGATTGTGGTACTGGCTTCATGGATATAAATGTATATTAAAAGTTATGAAAGTATACGCTTTGTGACAAGAATATGATAATTTCTCATGCCTGAGTCTCCGGATACAGCCATCAAATATAACCTAAGTAACCATAAATTCAAACACGATAGAACAAATAGTTTTAAAAAGATGTGGAATTGAGAAAGGATAGCAGAACACTGAGCTATAAATTAATAAATGACAGAGGCTAAGGAAGAATGAGTTCTGCTACCCCAAAAGGGAAGACAGGTAAATCAGACAGTTTACAATTAGTTCCCTGAGCATTGTCTTCTACATAGACCCTAAACAAATACTGGTGGAGTGAGTCAATGGCTCAATGAAGCACTAATTCAGAGTTCCCTGTGTTAACTATGAAGTGGTATTTATAGATCCAGGGCAGTTTGGGTGCTTGTTGGAACAAAGTAAGGCACACAGAACCTCAAAGAAGGCTGCAAAAACAAACAGTAATAGTTAACTTTTTTTTTTTTTTTTTTTTTTTTTTTGAGACGGAGTCTCGCTCTGTCGCCCAGGCTGGAGTGCAGTGGCGCGATCTCGGCTCACTGCAAGCTCCGCCTCCCGGGTTCATGCCATTCTCCTGCCTCAGCCTCCCGAGTAGCTGGGACTACAGGCGCCCGCCACCACGCCCGGCTAATTTTTTGTATTTTTAGTAGAGGCGGGGTTTCACTGTGTTAGCCAGGATGGTCTCGATCTCCTGACCTCGTGATCCGCCCGCCTCTGCCTCCCAAAGTGCTGGGATTACAGGCGTGAGCCACCGCGCCCGGCCAATAGTTAACTTTTTAAGGGGACTGTATGTACCAGTACGACAAACCAGATTTCTATAGTAACATTAGCATACATAAGACCAAATAAATTAATGTTCCCACTTAACTCTCATTTGCCAAGAAGAAAATTTTACATGGTGCAGACTAAAGGAGGAGGAAAAGTTAGAAGAAAGAATAAGAGGAAAAGAGTAGGAACCTCCAAAGGCTGGCCCCTTCCAAGCCTCTTACAATATCTACAATTTGGTGATGCATTGGAAAATATGCTGAACATAAAAATTCCTGCCATATTATTTAGAAACCGCCAAATTAAATACATATGCAAAAGGCATTTTTTTCTATTCCACAGAAAGTTCAAAGGTATGTGTGTATATATATATATATGCAAATAGCTCTAGATTTATCTATGAATAAACCTTATAATGTTATTATATGGAAAATATATTACATGTTAAAGGACCAAAAAATAATCCTTGAGAAAGATCAAACATCTTCTTTAATGAGGGAGATTTATTAAGCAGCAACCATTTGTTCTAGTGTATTGAGTTTAATTCACATGACTAGCAGCTTGATTTGGCAGTCTCAATGCATAAGACAAATAATTCATAAAAGTTTGACAGTATTATTTTTAGCTCGCATGCTTCTTGGACTCAGCCCACAAATGCTGCTGCTTTATGCTACCCTAGGGACTCCATTCAAATACAAATACATTTGTTAGCAACTGGGAGGCTGAGGGAGGCACTCAGTGCACACAACATGATATTCTGAGAATCCAAATTTATCATCTCATTTGGGTAGACACTTAGAATAATTAAAAAATGACTGTTGTTGCTTCTACATGGACTCAACGAAGTAAGATGGTATAATTTAGGCCACATAACATTATGTACTAGAAGCATGTTTCTAGTAAGGATTATGGTTACCAATGATCATTACCTAGTAAGTTTAACAGTTTAATTGATCTCTCTTTCATAAAACAATATTTGAGAATGGTCACCTAAAACATCTTGTTAAATGTAAACAGTGTTTTCACATACCTTGATTATATTATGAAGCACAAAACATTTTTATTTTTCATGAGGGAGAAATATATCTAAAATTAGAACTTAACACAAACATGTGAATCAATTGTTTCTCAACTACTTCCAAACAAAATATTTCAAATTCCACACAAGATTCTGCAAACCCATGAGTACAAGCTCTAATCTTGACACTGAATTTGGATCATCTCCATGGAGGAAATCCATGAACCAGATGTGGATTTATTCGTCCAGATGTATTTCACATGTATGAGGAAAAATAAAACATTTCTTCACTGCCTTTATTTGAGGCCACTTAAAAATACACTAGATAAAAATAGCAAAAAAGGAAATCCTACAAATCTTGAATCTTGAGTCTTCCACTATTCTGAAGGAATCATTTGTTGAATTATTACTAAATTAACCAAACTACATATCGAGTAGTTTTCATATTATCAATGCACATTAAAGTTACTAGTAAATCACAATCAACTTAACATCATTTTTATAATCCTCCATTTTTCTCGGTATTCAGTAGCCATACTAATTAAAATAGAAAATTTTAAAACAATTTTTGCTTTCACATTATTTGCAAATTAAAGAGAAAAAGTATTCCTTCAGTTTTAACTAAAATGTCATGACTTCAAGATCTAAAATAAACTTCTATGCACAAAGAAAACATGGATCTACAATGGCAAATTAATGATCACAACAAAATTTCATAAAATTAGTAATACACCTGGATCTAATTGTATGGTCTCAAAATTTCAAATTACTTTAAAATACCAATGACACGAGTTTTAAAAGCTATAAATTTAATATCACAAAACCAACCTCCATCATATTAAGAGTTCAACTAACTAGAAAAAAACAAAAATGGTTCTGTTGGCACATATATTTCCTTTGCCCTCTACTAGAGATCCTTCAAATGCTTAACAACTCTATTTAAATGTTAAAGAAAGTCAAATCAGGAAAATGGGTGATCTAGTTGAAATGTTTAATTTTACCCAGGAAAAGAATGTACACATATACTATTTAGTTATAATAATTGTAAACAGATATAACGATACTTATTTTATATGAAAATGTTTAATTTACTGAGACACAGTAGCTAGTCATATATCAATGCAAATTACAGCAGTACAGATATACACATACGACCACATTAAACTGAAACAGTAGCTAGTCATATATCAATGCAAATTACAGGAGTATAAATATACACATACAACCACATTAAACTGAATTAACTTTTGTACAGCTTAGGTTGTCAAGGATTTAATAAGAATGTTAAAATTATATGCTGACATAAAAATGAATATTTTAAATTTAGTAACCCATTTTAATTTAATAAAATATGATTTTAAATGATTTCACAGAAATACTTCATGCTTGCTCCAAAAATTAAAATTCTAAACAAACAGAAGAAAATTTCCAGCCAAGAAATATTTTATAAATAATTACTTTTTAATTTATGGAGGAGGGATGGTTTCCCACATGCATCAGAAATAAATGCGAAGTAGTCGGCAAGAATATATGTTTTAGGCTTCAGTAAAGTTGTACAATCACTCAAATCATAGCAACAGTATTTCATTTCCAATACTATAAAGAACCAGAAGTAGATCATTTTCATAAACACATACTTAATGCATAATTTTGGAGTGTGTCAACAACACTAGAGCCTTAAGAATTTCTCTCTAGAAAAAAGTAACTGTAGTTGGATTTTAAATACAAATAAAGAACAAAAATTTTACTTGGCTGGGTGCAGTGGCTCACGCCTGTAATCCCAGCACTTTGGGAGACGGAGGTGGGCAGATCACTTGAGATCAGGAGTTCAAGACCAGCCTGGCCAACATGGCAAAACCGCATCTCTACTAAAAATATGAAAAATTAGCTGGGCGCGGTGGCGCACGCCTGTAATCCCAGCTACTCAGGAGGCTGAGACAGGAGAATCGCTTGAACCCGGGAGACAGAAATTGCAGTGAGCTGAGTTCACACCACTTCACTCCAGCCTGGGTGACACAGTGAGACTCAGTCTCAAAAAAACCAAAAAAAATTAACTTAGAGTTCTGTTAGAGATGTTTTGTTTCACTATTTAAAAAATTCTATCAAGGGCAAAATCTCCTATTTCAGAGGAAAGCAGTTATAAGCTGTATTTAGACATCAAATTTGAATGACATAAATTACTCTGAATCACAGAAAGATGTAGTCTCTAATTTCAAGAATCAAAGTATGAATAAGACCAGCCATGAACTAAATGTCACATTCTACACATGATAAAGTTTGAACCCCTGATTTCTAAAACACATCTGGTCTTTCCTTTATCTAAACTCTTGAAAGCAAAAGAACAAGAACTGAGAGTAAAGAGGGCACTTACCACCTGATATGGTTTGGCTATGTCCCCACCCAAATCTCACCTTGAATTGTAACTCCCACAATTTCCATGTGTTGTGGAAGGAACCCAGCAGGAGGTGACTGAATTATGGGGGTGGGTCTTTCCTGCACCATTCTCGTGATAGTGACTGAGTCTCACAAGATCTGATGGTTTTTAAAATGGGAGTTTCCTTGCACAAGCTCCCTCTTTGCCTGCCGCCATCCATGTAAGATATGACTTGCTCCTCCTTGCCTTCCGCCATGATTGTGAGGCCTCCCCAGCCATGTGAAACTGTAAGTCCATTAAACTTCTTTCTGGTATAAATTACCCAGTCTCAGGTATGTCTTTATCAGCAGTGTGAAATGGACTAATACACTACCAGACAAGGACAATGCAACCTTTAATAAGTCAGTTAGCAAACACATCTTTGGGGAAAATAAAATTTGTAAGGCTCAAGAAACAGAAGACAGAAGCAAAATGAATAAACAGAAGAGGTAAGAGCAGGGAAAGCAAAATCATGTAAATCTGACTCTGACACAGCTCTTTAAATTATAAGTGCATTAAAGAAAATAATATGAGAATGTTCCTTATTAAAAGGAAAACCTACTGAAGTATGCTGACAACAGAATGAAAAATAAATAGGAAAGAAGTGCATTACATATGTGTACTTATCATGAAGAACAGAAAACAATTTTTCTATCTTCTCCTCTCCTGAATTATTTCTAAAAAGTAACAAAATACAAAACACTCTTGTATCTCATAGAGATCATTCTCTTATTTTATTTGTTGTTGTTGTTTTTGAGACAGGGTCTCACTCTGTTGCCCAGGCTGTAGGGCAGTGGATCAATCTCAGCTCACTGCAACCTCCACCTCCTGGGCTTAAGCGATCCTCCCACATCAGCCTCCCAAGTAGCTGGGACCAGAGGTGCACACCACCACATCTGGCTGATTTTTTAATTTTTTATAGAGACAGGGTCTCACTATGTTGCCCAGGCTCATCTCAAACCCCTGGGCTCAAGCAGTCCTCCGAAATCAATCTCCCAAAGTGCTGGGATTACAGGCGTGAGCCACCACGCCTGGCTGGGACTATTTTCTAATAACAACATACATGTTCAAAAATGACACACATTAAAAATCTTAAGTATTTAAACCTGAAATATCTGCAGAGAATAAATAATAAAATATAAAAATATAAACAAACTTGTTTCATCTGATATTTTTCTATAGCAATTATGATAGTTCAAATAATGAGAGCAAATATAATTATCAAAGACTTCTAAATATTTTAAAAACATTAAGATATTACTATATCTATTTTTCAGTGAAATATTTATTGAGAGCCTAACACATGCCAGGTATTTCACTATAAAGACTAAAGATGTAGATGGCAAATAAGCAAAACATGATCCGTGCCCTTATAAAGGTTACTTTTTAGTGGGAAAGTGAAACATACATTAGGTAGAGATGTGTGGTAAATGTCACTCAGAAAAATTATTCAATTTTATATTTTCTGGAAATACTAATAGAAGTTTTGGGAAAATTCACAAATAAAATGTATGAGACTGGTGTTTCTCTTACATGCAGTTTAAAAAAAAAAAAAAAACTAATGAGTCAATGTCTTTAAAGGTTAGAGTTCCTTAAGATTTTCTATTTGCTTTTACATTTCTCCAGAAAATTTGTAATTCTTTGTTCAAAATTTTCATAATTTTAGAATAAACTTGTTCAAAGCTGCTATTATAATTTTAAAAATCTCAACAGGTACCCTTTACATTCCTAATATTGTTAGTGTGTATTTCTCTTATTTATTGATCAATGTTAGGAAGATTGCACAATTTCAAACACTGGCTCCACCATTTACTACTTGTGTGGCTTTAGGTAGGTTACTTCTCTGGGCCTCAGTTTCCTCAATTTTAAAAAAGGAATAAAAACAGTACTTTCTCCCAAAGCATTACTGAAGGAATTAAATTAGATAATGCATGTATTTAGAACATGCCTGAGATATAACATAATAAGTGCTCAATAAATGTGATGTATTATTTTTAAGTGTAGATTTATTTGTATATACTTTATTTGGAACTCAGCATCCATCTTCAATCTGAGATCTCATGTTTTTCTTTAATTTTGGAAAATATATGCTTTATCTTTCTTTCAGATGGCATTTCTTATTCTTTTTATTCTCTGGTTCTAAAACTCCTATTAGGCATAAGTTGAAGCTTCTCATTCTGTCTTCCATGTTCTTAACATTTCTCTTCCTTTCCTCTTTCTTTATATCTACATGCTGTTTTCTAGGTGACATCCTCAAATCTTCCTTCATATTATGTAAGTCTGCCTTTGCATGATTATAAAATACTATAGTAAGAACTACACAGTGGCACATAGAACTCAAAAGTTTGCTGAATGAAAACCGATGACATTTTAATATCAATTATTGTATGCTTTCATTTCTAAGTATTGTCTGACCGCTTTCAAATCTTCCTGTTCCTTTTGTATTGCACAGGTTTTCCATTATGATCCCATTGTCCTTTTTGTCTATAATCATTTCAAACAAATTTGTTTCACAGTCTCTTTGAAGTTTTTCTATTATCTTCAGTTCTTGTTGTGTTTATTATCTTACTTATGTTTGCACATTCTTCTACATGATGGTTTGTTTTCTCCTGTGGTTTATAATGCCTGTAACCATCAGCAAAGGTCAGTTTATCCTGTGGGAGCCTGGTGTGCCTGGAGCTATGGAAACCCATCTACAGGGCAGTTGCATTTGGACATTTGCTTCAGCCAGGCTCCAGGAGCTCTCATTAGTTCCAACCAGGGATATGGGAAAGAGGTTCATATGCAACTCAAGTTTGTAGGAATTGTTTATTTATGCATAATTTTTTGCTTATTTTACAGTATTTTTTATTTTGATAGGAATGACTACATCATTGTTAATGAAATTCCTGGCCTCGGTGAACAAATTAACATTCCTTTAGATGTTTTTCTCTGAACAATATATTCAAGTCATACCAGATATGTATACTACTATCCCAAGTACTGGCAGTTCTAACCTTTTCTATAAATCACCTTTTTAATAAAGGAATGCAATACATTGCTGTGTATTTTTAGAGTAATTGTCATAAAAATAATATTAAATACATTCAAGTTGTATGCTAAGAGTTTACATAATCCTTTAAGTAAATTCAAAAAATGGTGTCTTCCATGTATTCCTTGCAACCACCCTGGGAAGAAAGGGCATGGTTTACTAATCCCATTTGAGACATGAAGATCTGAGATCCAAACCTACTGGCTCATGTGCACACACAGAAATATACTACATTCCCATTTACTGTTCATTTGGAGTACACATATTTGATATTCTCACATTGGTAACTATTCTTCCTTGTTTTCTGCTAAATTCTAGATACTAAATCCTGCAACTCTTCCCACCTATTTTACTTCTTCAATTATTAACATATAACACTAATTGGCACTCCTAATCTACGAGACACATAATGCTATAGGCATTATGAAAACACTATATAACCTCAAACCTAAAATATATCTTTCACACTTTAATGTTTCTACAATCAGGATGTATCTTTCAATTAATGTCAAAGGAAACTTTCTGATGATCAGGTAGAAAAGTAAGTTATAATACTACTACAAACACAATTGTACATATAAAATATTTGTTTATCTGGGCCAGGTGCGGTGGCTCATGCCTGTAATCCTAGCACTTTGGGAGGCCGAGGCAGGCAGATCACGAGGTCAGGAGATTGAGACCATCCTGGCTAACACGGTGAAACCCCATCTCTACTAAAAAAATACAAAAAAATTAGCCAGGCGTGGTGATGGGCGCCTGTAGTCCCAGCTACTCGGGAGGCTGAGGCAGGAGAATGGTGTGAACCTGGGAGGCGGAGCTTGCCGTGAGCCGAGATCACGCCACTGCACTCCAGCCTGGGCGACAGAGCGAGACTCCCTCTCAAAAAGAAAAAAAGGAAAAAAAATATTTGTTTATCTGAATATTACTTTGGTTGAGGTATTTGCATTTGTATGTCATTGTGACTGAATTTTAATTCATTTAATTCCTGGTTGTCTAGTTTTCTAAAAAGATTATACTGTGATACTGTTCTGAAACAGAAAGTAAGACGATACATATAAAGTTGACTGTCATATACCAGGTAAGGCATTTAATTAAATACAGTGGAAAACATGAAATCTTTAAGAACTGGTTGCTGAATTACAATGCCAGGAGAGGATTTATGCATCAGAAAAAACTCAAGATACTCTCTTCTAAATTTTTCAAAAATAATTGATATATTATTTTTCTAAAACATTGCTTTTGTCATATTATTTCCCTGTTCAAGAATCTATAATGGTTTCCCACTGCTTCCTAATTCAAATATAAACTCCTACACAACTTGCAAGGCCCTCTATTACCTGGCTTCATTAGTTTATACAATTTTAATTGTCTTTTTTTTTTCCTCCACAATTCTCCATGAGCTCTCTGCTTTAGTCAGATCAGTCTCTTTAAGTAAGTCTCCATCTTGCTTACAACTCTGCCTTGGTCCTCACTTCCTGTGTCACCCTCTTACTAGCAGGAAAAACCCTGCCTAGCCTTCAGGCCCATTCAAGTCTTAATCTACGTCATTTTGAGCTCCTATTTATAGCTAGAGACATTGTTATGTAAGTTACCCATGGCATTTGTCTATTCTTGGTTTCAAAACTATTACTTTTTCCAAATTTATGTTGAATATGGAAAACATTATTGATCATTTCTCTTTTTCATTAGAGGAAATTCTATTAAAAAGAAAAGAGATTGTAAAGATAGAAAACTAAATCTCAGAGTAATTAAGTGAAGTGCCCAGATCAAAGAGATAAATATTTCAAGCTAGTCAAAAAACCAGGTTAGTGATCTTTTACTTTCATAGTACTGATACATGAAGTAAGGAGCAAAACAAAAGATATGTATCAGGCCGGGCGTGGTGGCTCACGCCTGTAATCCCAGCACTTCAGGAGGCTGAGGCAGGTGAATCACTTGAGGTTAGGAGTTCGAGACCAGCCTGGCCAACATGGAGAAACCCCGTGTCTACTAAAAATACAAAAATTAGCCAGGTGTGGTAGTGCACACCTGCAATCCCAGCTACTCGGGAGGCTGAGGCAGGAGAACTGCTTGAACCCAGGAGGTGGGGGTTGCAGTGAGTCAAGATGGCACCATTGCACTCCAGCCTGGGCGACAGAGTGAGAATCCAACTCAAAAAAAAAAAAAAAAAAAAAGATATGTATCAAATCCTGTGTCCTATTTTGCTTTTCAGCTAGCTTAATATAAAAATTAAAATCACAAATGGGACCCATTACACATTTCTGTTTATTGCATGTTGATCCACTGACATTCCTCTTTCCTGATCAGACTGAAAGTTTATGAACTTTCAAGTGTAAGTTCACATAAATACAAATTAGGTGTGATTATTGGGAGCAGGGGAGATGGGGAGGATTAATTATGGATTTGCTTAGAGACACAAAGATATATTTGAACTTGGGAAAGCAGCCTTAAGAGTCTCTCTTGGGTGCTATTTCCATGTTGTTGGGTTTTTTTTTTTTCTGGTTATACTTATGCAATATGACTCCATTTGGGATTTCAAGTAAAGCTGGAATGCTGTATTCTCTAAGGAATTAATACTGTTCAGTTTTTTTGTTAAAACAAAGAATGTGATACTTTTGGTCAAAAGTTCTTTCTCTGGAATTCATGATAAATGAAAAGAATCTTGGCAGTTTCTATGTCATTCTGCATCTCACAAGCAACGTGCAATTCTTCATGTCACTACAACTTGGTTATTCACTGAAACAACTGATCTTATTACAAAACAAGTTAAAGAAACAAACAAAGCCTCCTTCAGTTCCTGCCTTGATTCATTATTAGAATTCACCTTTCCTTTCACCTCACCCACAATCCCAGATATTTGAAGGCCAAATGTTGTTCTCTCTGAAAGACAGGACATTAGACAATTTAAACATCAGCAAATTGAGTTCAGCTATCCTTAGTCACTGACTGATGACTCTATTCCTATTTGTACATTTTTAAAGTAATACTTATGTCCTTCCTGGAAGTTCTTTTTGCATTCCAGATTACGACAGGGACTAAAGTACAACAAAGAAAAAACGCAAAAAGTCAAGTGTCAGGCAGAATAAGATCCATAAGCATACATATATGTAAGTCTGGGTCAAATTCACCAGGGTATTAATCTTTATTTTAAAATTACAAGTAATATTTATCAAATTTTGCCCAAAGTAATTTAATTCTGGCTTAGTATCAAATTTTAAAATATGGTCAGAGGTATACATTTCAAACATATGTAAGCAGAAAATATTTACAAAGAATTTAAATTCTATAATAAATAATATTTGGTTGTACCATATATCCTCTTTCTAATGTCATGTGATAATCAGATGTAAAAATTGCTACCATCCATTTTCCATCTCCAATTTTAGAAGATGTAATGTACCTGTTCCCCCCAAAATCAGAGATGACATAATTGAATGAGTTAAAATTTCTAAAATTTCCCTAGAGGAATTTCAAAGAAAATAAGCAATTTAGTAAGAACATTAGAAAATCTCAAACATTTTTAAATGGTATACACCCTCTATCTCTAAATTACCTAAGGTTCATTTAGCAAATAACTATTGTCTTTATTCTGCTGATCACCTGAAGTACTGGAAGAAAAAAAAAAAACAAAACTAAACAAACAAACAAACAAAAAAAAAACACTCAGCATCTTCCTCTGTTAAAGTC
Organism: Homo sapiens; assembly: GCF_000001405.40. Taxonomy (NCBI): domain Eukaryota; kingdom Metazoa; phylum Chordata; class Mammalia; order Primates; family Hominidae; genus Homo; species Homo sapiens. Next base: position 10,118,975 of record NC_000011.10, read on the forward strand.
ACATCTGCAGGAAAAAGGCTACTAAAAAAAGAACAATCTGCTGTTCCAAGTTCATATCCTGCCAGTAGATATTTTGCAATTCTCAGGGTAGAACAATGTTTGAAAAAAACAGTTTTATAGGATCAAATATTTAAGGTGGAAATTCCATACTCAGAATATTTAAATGGTAGTTACATTACTAATTAATATATTTTACTAAGTCTGCCACTTTGTCCAAGTCTCCAGTTTGTACCATGTTTTCTAAAACTTTATATGACAAAGCTTGTCTTAGTACTTCCTGTTCCGCTTGTTTTTCCCATGGACTATATTTACCATTTATGATTCTCATGAGTAAATACTAGTATAAAGAATAAAGTAGAGACAATTTTTCTGAAAAAATCCAGAAAAGAATTAAAGAGATATACAGATAAAAACAATAAAGGCATAAGCAACAAACACTATTCCAGTTGAACTGTACTTAATCTCCCAAAGCAAAAGTTTAAGTTAAATAAATGTTCATTTAACTGTTCTTAGGCCACTGCAAGGTCAAAAATAGATTCAAAAGTTCTTAACCAAGTGATATGCTGTTATCTTGTATACACTGGTCAAAGTCATTGATAAGAGAACCTGACATGTCTGTTTTCACATTATTTCTTCATTTATTAAAGTGATTCTCTGTTTTAAACTCTGATGGCTAAATTAATAAATAATTGCTTAGTAAATTGGAGTCCGACAGTATGTGAACCAAAGAATGTTTAATCTCCTGGGATAAAATTATTTATAGGGTCATAAAAAAACCACCTACCTAATATCTTGTGGTTACAATTACTTATGTTTTTATGTTTATTTCAGTGTTTCTCAACTCTGTGCTGTGGAATCAACCTGGGAGGCTTTTTAAATTTTGCAATATCAAGACTCCATCTCAAATTGTATAAATCAGAATATCTTGGCAGTCGGGCCTTAGAATCAATATTTTAAATTTTCTAATTATGGTAAAAACATAAAATTTATCATCTCATCCATTGGTAAATGTATAGTTCAGTAGTGTTAACTATGTGTACACTGTTGTGCAACAGATCTCTAGAACTTTTTCATCCTGCAAAACTGAAACTCTATACCCACTGAACAACTCCCCATTTTCCCTTCCCCTAGCCCCTGGCAATCCCATTCTACTTCCTGATTCTATGAGTTTGACTACTTTAGAGACCTGTTATAAATGAAATTATTAAGTATGTGTCTTCTCATGACTGGCTTGTTTCACACAGCATAATGTTCTCATGGTTTATCCATGTTATAGCATGTAATAGGATTTTCTTCTTTTTTAAGGCTGGATAATATTCTATTGAATGTATATACCACATTTTCTTTATTCTACTGACAGACATCTGGGTTGCTTCTACTTCTTGGCTGCAGTAAATAATGCTGCAATGAATATGGGTGTGCAAATATCTTTGCAATTCTCCTTGAAGTTCTTCTGGAAGTACACCCAAAAGTGGAATTGTTGAATCATTCAGTAAATATAATTTTTTTAATTTTTAGTTTTAATTTTTTAAGGACCCTTCATACTGTTTCCCACAATGGCTGTACCATGTTACATTCCTGCTAATAGGGCAAAAGGGTCTAATTTAATCCACATCCTCAGTAACACTTGTTGTTTTCTGTTTGTTTTTTCTTCTGTTTTTTTTGAGACAGAGTCTCGCTCTGTCACCCAGGCTGGAGTGCAGTGGCGTGATCTCAGCTCACTGCAACCTCCGCCTCCGGGTTCAAGCGATTCTCCTGCTTCAGCCTCCTGAGTAGCTGGGATTACAGGCGTGTGCCACCACGCCCAGCTAATTTTTGTATTTTTAGTAGAGATGGGGTTTCACCATGTTGATTAGGCTGGTCTCGAACTCCTGACCTTGTGATCCACCTGCCTCGGCCTCCCAAAGTGCTGGGAGCTAGCAGGCGTGAGCTACCGTGCCCAGCCATGCCCGGCTAATTTTTTATATTTTTGGTAGAGACGAGGTTCCACCACGTTGGCAAGGCTGGTCTCGAACTCCTGTCCTCAAGTTATCTACCTGCCTCGGCCTCCCAAAGTGCTGGGATTACAGGCTTGAGCCATCACGCCCCGCCTGTTTTTTGTTTGTTTGTTTGTTTAATAGTATCCAACCTAATGGGTGCGGTGTGACATCTCATTGTGGTTTTAATTTGCATTTCTCTAATGATTAGTGATGTTAAGAAACATCCACATAATAACATCCAGTCAGAAATACGGGATCAGCACTCAGAAGATAATGCATAGATAGGTAATGGTTGAAATACAATTAGATGAGAGACAAAACTTTCAAGTAAGACTGGTTTGCTTCTTCCATCTAAGACAGCCTGCTTCTGTCTTTGAAATCTCTCCAATCTCTCCTTTTTCTATATTCTTTCAATCCAATTCTGCTCTTAAGAAAGGATTTAATATGACTTGAGGAACATTTTTTATTTCTCCCAGGGACATTTATGTATGAAGTCTTAACACTGTTAAAGGAAAGATATATCCCCCTCCCACCACCACATGGTAAGGAGGATGGGATAAAGCCTTAAGACTTAGCTACAAGGCAGAGGTATGCAGGGCTAGTATTCTCGAAACCAATTTTACATATGACTAGCAGCTGATCCCCTATTTCACCTAAGACTGACAATTTTTAGAAACAAAAACAACCAACATTGATATAAAAATATGCTTTTGTACAAGCCAAGCATTTACTTGGGAACCTGTAGAATAAATTACAGTTGTCCTCTTTTACCCACAGTTTCATTTTCTGTGCCTTCAGATCTGAAAATATTAAACAGAAAATTCTAGAAATAAATAATTCATAAGTTTTAAATTTCATACCATTCTGCATAGTGTGATGAAATCTGTCACCACTCCATCCAGCCTCGGACAGAAATCACTCCTTTGTCCAGTGAATCCACAATGTGTATGCTATCTGCCCACCTGTTACTCACTTAGTACCATCCTGGTTATGATGACTGCTGAAGTATTACAGGGTTTGTGTTCAAGTAACCCTTATTTTACTTAGTAATGTCCCCAAAGTACAAGAGTAGTGATGCTGGCAATTCAGATATGCCAAAGAGAAGCCATAAAGTGCTTCCTTTAAGTGTAAAAGTGAAAATTCTCAAGTGAATAAGGAAAGAAAAAAATCATATGCTTAGGCTGCTATGATCTATGGTAGGAATAAATCTTCTACCCATGACATTGTGAAGAAGGAAAAAGAAATTCATGCTAATGTTGCTGTCACACCTCAAACTGCCAAAGTTACAGCTACAGTGTATATAGTAAGTGTTTAGTTAAGATGAAAAAGGCATTAAATTTGTGGGTGGAAGACAGGAATAAAAATGTATTCCAACTGATGGCAATCAAGTGGGTACTGTCCACAGTTTCAGGGTGGGAGTCTTCGAACATATACTCCTCAGCTAAGTGGGGACTAATATATATTTATGTATTTTAGAGTGCACAGCTAGAACTCAGAACAGGCCCTAAAAACTTGCTTAATATTTGAATTATGAGACTTTTCCAACATCTCACTTGTTCAACACCCTCAATTATGTGGCACACAGCCAAGGTCCTAAAAGTAGGCCAAACAAGCAAACTATAAAAAACTAAAATTAGATATCACAAATCTTTATTAAAAGGCACTTGATTTTCCTCATAGGAGAATCATTTGACACTCACTCAGTTATTAGATACTATTAGTTTACACATAATTCTAGCAAATTCAACTAGTCATTTTCCAATTTATAACAAATGCATTTACACTGGGGGTGAAGATGGAGACACGGGAGTCTCAGCACGCACAGTAGGCTAGGTCAGCCCTTCATACCTGCACACTTACACATTACTTGTATGCATCATTTACTAGAGTAGATTACAAGAATTGAAACTCTATAGAATAGCCTTAGTCATCAAAGGTTAAATTATATTAGTATGTGCTCTCAGAAATATGCATAGCTTGTACAGCATGTAGTTACACACACACATACACACCCATACCTTGTCTCCGTTTTTCTTCTGCTTTCTGCCAAAAGCTATTCAAACCTCAACCATTTCATGAGTCACCACACAGGCAGCTCTTACTTTGGCTTTACCTCTCCCTGCTTGGTTTCACCACTCCAATCACCTGGCTCAACTATAGAAAACCCTTCTGATTTTCCCTACTGAAGGAAACATCAGGGTTAGAGTGTCACAAAACACTACAAAACCGAAATGAATCCATGTATGCTCATCTTTGAAAGAGAAAGTCAGGGAGGAAGAGTTCGACAAACAGAAACAGGAATAAGAAGGGAAACATAGGGTTCAGCTCACAAATACTTGCAATTTATTTGAGTACAAAATATTCATTCCTCTAAGTAGTTTATTTATGACAGACACTTTGAGGTACTGTATACTCTAATCACTTGTTCTACTTTATCTGTCTTTAACATTACTAGGAAAAACTGAAGGATTTCCCTGTTATCTGGGTAGTTTTATAAATCCCGACAATAAAAAATCTACCAAGAGAATGTGATATTTAAGTTTTTGTATTCATATTTTTAAAATTCTTTTTAAAAATACAAAAATTAAAATCACTTATCCCTACTTGAAAAAAGAGAGAGAAATCTACTTCCTAACAGTGCCTAATGGTTATAGATCTCCACTAGTTCCTGTTGTATTCAGAGTCGAGTTTAATCTCTCTCCCCTAGTCTTGACTATAAAGTCTTCCTTACAAAAAAAAAAAGAAAAATATTTTCCTTACTTCCACTAACATAAATAAGCTTTATTGTCTGCATTATTCAGACCTAGGTATAAACATACACATGTAATAATAGCTTTTTAAAATAAAAATGTACATTTGTCCACATCTTGCTTTTCTCACTTAACAATGTCATTCTTTTCTACACTTCTCAAACATGGTGTATTTACCTAACAACAAGACTACTGAGACGGTTTTCAGTATTTTGCTATTCCAAGAAACACCAATGAATATGCTTATAACAAATTAGAATCTCACTATTAAAGTGTGAATATGAACAGCCTAACACTAATAGTTAGTTATAGAAACATTTTATGGTTTGGCCAACCTGATAGCCAAAATCTTCATTCACTTTTATTTTAGATTGCCTTTAAAAAATTATGACTGAGATTGCAGGCAGCTTCTCATGGTTTCTGGCAATATGTGTTTCTTCAGTGAACTGACAGTTTGTATTTTTTTGGTTGTTGTTTAGTTTTACTATTAAGTTCTAAGGTGTTTTTGATCAAGGTAATCAACCTTTGTATCTTTTAACTTGGTTGACAGTATCTACCACAGTACACTAACATTAAGAAAATTTATCCTTCCAATGGCATACTAGAAAACTGTTAACCTGCCTACTTACTCTATCTGATTAGAGTCTAGACACTGTGAAGTTCCATGTAACTTGTACATTTCCGTCCTAGAGAAAGCAGAAACCCAAAGGTTACCGTTTTATAACTTTTTAGAAAATTAACCAAATTTGTATCTAATCAATATTATTCTGAAGGCATCATTTTTCAATTTTCCTGGAAAGGTGAACTATATAAGTCCCTATTATTCAAATGCTCTAATATCAAGTTTTATTATCTTACTGGTTCCTACTTTAATTAAAATGTTGAATGAGTTTTTGACACATGTTCATTCTGTATTTTCATGAGAGTCATTTTTCTAATGTGTGAAAATTTCCTGACATTTAATTTATTTGTAGATAGAGCTATCACAATGTTATTCCTTTAAAGCACCTGGGCTTTCTCATTAACTGAGGAAGGTCATCTCCATCTCTGCACTGTGAAAAAATAAAAACAAAAAAATATATATACTCATCTATTTTCCACAGATTAAAAAAATTTTCTGGCTGGGCGTGGTGGTTCACGCCTGTAATCTCAGCACTTTGGGAGGCCGAGGCAGGCGGATCACCTGAGGTCAGGAGTTGGAGACCAGCCTGACCAACATGGCAAAACCCCGTCTCTACTAAAAGTACAAAAATTAGCCGGGCGTGGTGGCAGGTGCCTGTAATCCCAGCTACTCAGGAGGCTGAGGCAGGAGGAGAATTGCTTGAACCCGGGAGGCGGAGGTTGCAGTGAGCCGAGATCTCGCTACTGCACTCCAGCCTGGGTGACAAGAGAGAGACTGTGTCTCAAAAAAAAAAAAAAAAAAATTCTACTTAGAATTTTACCATGAATAGTATGATTATGCAGTTTTACTCTTTCAATATGTAATGAATTATATTGATATATTTCATTATAATGAAACATACTGTACATCTCAAATGAAAACTACATAGCATATTACTCTCTCAACAGACTACGAGATTCGATTTTCTAATACTTTGCTTAGGATTTTTGCAACCATATTTTCCCTTTTTTGCTATCTTCATTAAGTTTTTTTTGTACTGAAGTAATGCCACCTTCATATAATACAGTGAGATGCTTTCTATATTTTTAATATTTGGAAATAGTTTTAATAGTAATTTAAGAATTTTCAGTTACTTGTTAATGAACGACACTAGAAAGGGCAGTAAGTCTATAAAACTACATAGCCTCCTGCCTTTTATATGTGTGTCTGTCTGTCATATCTTTAACAACTCTAGATTTAAAGAAAATTGTAAATATAGAATACAGTCCTTATATACCCTTCACTCAGCATCCTCCTATGTTAACATCTTAGAGACAGGGTACAGTTGTTTGAACTAAGAAGTTAGCATTAGTATAATACTATCAACTAAGCTACAGACTCTATCCAGATTTCCCCAGTGTTTCCACTAATGTCCTTTTCTGTTCCAGGACACTATACTGCATTTAGCATCATGACTCTTTAATTGTCCTCCTCTGCTCTGTGATAATTTCTCAGTCTTTTCTTTTTTTCCCATAAACTTGGCAATTTTAAAAAGTATGAGTCAGAAATTTTGTAGAATGTTCCAAAATTTGGGTTTATTTTCTGTGTTCTCATGCCTAGACTGTGTTACGGATTTAGGGGAAGGATACCACAAAGGTGAAGTGATCTTCTCATTGCATCATATTGGGAGGTACATTCTATCCACATGACTTATTACTGGTGATGTGAATCTTGGTTACTTAGTTTTTAACAGTCCTTTTCACTTCATCCATCGTTATCAGTTTGTTCAGGTTTTCTCTCTCAAGTTTCATTCTGATACTTTATATTTTATTTTAAAATGTAATTGTCTCATCTAGATTTAATAACTGTGTATGTTTAAAACTGCACAAAATGTTTTATCATTTTTGGTACTATCTAAATCTGTGGTTATACTGCTTTTCTCAACCCTAATACTGTATATTATTGTTTTCTTTCTCTTTTTTCTTAGGCTTCTTTAGGGTATACCTAATTTGTTCATTTTTGGAGTTTCATTATCAATTATATTTTGGTTTTCTAATTTACTGTCACCGTTGAACTCTATTATGTATCAAAGGAATGGTATTTAGATCTTGATAAATGGTCAATGTGTTGACAGATCAAGAAGGAAAGAGGAAGGCAAAGGGAACAAGCCAGATGACTACAGCAATAGAAGGCTGGAAAATATGGAGCATGTGATCTGTAATCTGGTCTAGCTATAATATATAATACATGCAGGAATGAAAAAGAATAGATGTAAGCAAGCAACATTAAACAGGTGGGAATAAAATATTATATTTAGTAAATAAATACTGAAAAATTAAACACAAAATTTCATACAATCCAACAATTTTACTTCTGGGTATATATCCAAAAGAACTGACACCAGAAATTCAAACAGATATTTGTCTATCCATGCTTATGGCAGTACTAGTCACAATAGCCAAAAAGTGAAAGTAATCCAACTGTCCATCAATGGATGAATAGGTTAAACAAAATGTACTATAATCATACATCAGGATATTATTCATGTTTAAAAAGGAAAGAAATTCTGATACTTGCTATACCATGGATGACCCTTGAAGTCATTACACTAAGTGAAATAAGTAAGACACAAGAGATCAAATAATTGCATGATTCTACTTATAAAGGGTACCTAAAATAGGCAAATCATAGAGACATACAAGGGAACAGAGATTACCAGGAGGTAGGGGCAAAGGGAAATTGAGAGTTTTTTAAAAAATGAATACAGTGTTTCAGTTTCGGATGATGGAAAAGTTCTGGAGATGAATAGCAACAACAGTTGCACAACAATGTGAATGTACTTAATGCCTCTGAATGGTACACTTACAACACTTAAAATGGTACATTTTATGTGTATGCATATTTTATCATAATTTAAAAAATTAAATAAATACAGATTCCTTACTACCTGGAATTAAAGATTCTACATAATTAGTTTGAAATGTTTTTCACATATTATGCTTTACTATTTACTGACAAAGTGTCTGGCTCTCTCAAAAGAAAGTTTAAAGAATGAATGGGCAAAACTGTTTCCTCTTTTAGGCTGGTCTTAACCTCACAATATTCTAAAAGAGTCATGCTAATTCCTCCAATGCATCCTTTTCTATTGTTGTTATCTCATCAACATCCCTCCATTGCCTCCACAGTCCACCTCCCCATCTATATCTTTATCTTAACCATCTTCTAAGGGTCAGTTCTCCATGGAGTCTTTCCCAATAATTCTACTTGATGGTTCTCTATCTCTATTTTCTATCCAAAAATCCTTTTGTGTCAAAGTATGTCATTTGACTACACTTTTTAGAATTTTATCTATTAACATCACCTAACAGTTAAATATATTGTCTTTATCTACTGGAATAAGACCGAAAGCACCTTAAGAGATAGGGATTTTGGTCATGCTTCTTTTATATCCCTATATGGCCTAACACAGTGCTAAATAATACAGAACAGAATACACAAGTGGTTAAGAGCTCAAGATCTGCTGTTACTAACTCAATATAAAAACCACTTCTACCACTAAGTAGGCTACGCAAATTATGAGGCTAAGCAAGTAACGAGGTTAGGCAAGTTACTTAATCTGAGTCTCTTCTTTCTCACTTGCAAAATGGCAAGAATAAAAGTATCTATACTTTATAACATTATGTGAGCATTAAATAAAATAATGAATGTTAAAAGAACATAAGCACTCAATAAAGGTTAGCATTCAGTATTACTATTAGAAGTGTCTGATACTATTTAGCCTAAATGATGTTGAGCAAATTTCTGAGAAGTTGAATTATAAATGAAACTCGATTTTGGTGACTCTACAGCGCACTGGTGACAAACTTGAGAAAATAATACGATTAAACACACACTTGTTTGTTTGCCAGTTCTTTAGCTGTCTTCCTAACTACACTACCTTCACGAAGTCAGGCATTGTATCAGTTTTACCTACTACCATATAGAGAGCACCTAAACACAGAAGTTGGGAGAAGTATACTGCGCACAAATTTGGCATTCAAATAACTACTGAATAAATTAATCAAAAAGCTAATATTTTGTAAAATTCAAACTCAGATGCTTACATTACTAACAATAACACCTCTTCCTCTTTTCCCTGTAAGAAAAGATGATTCTGCCTCCTTGAACAGTAAAAGCAGAGATTATATTTTTTACAAAGGTAACCACAGAATATCAATCTGTTTCAGTCCCTGCCTATTTTACAACATGCTCTAATCCCAAGAACATATGCTAGATAAAGAAAAATAATCTGTAGTTGTACATTACACACTGGTTAAAAACTCTGATGACTCTGGCAATAGATGAAACTACAGTACTAAACCTCAAGGTCCTAAAGAAAATACTGCTGTTCAGACTGAAAATGAGAAACAGTATACTTTGGCAGTTTTATTAATTTATAAACTCAACTTGTAGAAAAAAGAATGCTCAACAAAATAAAAGTTGTGAATTTAGAAAGTTGCAAACATTTCATCTGTTTAAAACACGTAGGGGAAATAAGTTTGTTTTCTTTCAAACCACATTTGCTAATAAATACATGTTTATTTTCCCGCTTCTTTTCTTACCTAGTTCTATTCAGCTATCAAAACAGGAATTCCTTTCCACCTGCACCAACGTAGATAGTATCCAAACAATTAGACTACAGGCTAAAAGAGTCATGTTTCCCATGAAATACTATTTCTTACTCCTTTGTTACCATTTTCTTGGTGATAAGAAGCATTGAGAAAAATGGTTTTGTTATTTGCACGCAATTTTCTCTCTTTTTTTTTTTTTTTTTTTTTTTTTGAGACACAGTCTCGCTCCATCAGGCTGGAGTGCAGTGGCACGATCTTGGCTTACTGCAACCTCGACCTCCCCAGTTCAAGCGATTCTCCTGCCTCAACCTCCTGAGTAGCTGGGATTACAGGCATGCACCACCACACCCAGTTAATTTTTGTATTTTTAGCAGAGTCGGGGTTTCGTCCTGTTGGCCAGGCTGGTCTCGAACTCCTGACCTCAAGTGATCTGCTGCCTTGGCCTCCCAGACTGCTGGGATTACAGGCATGAGCCACCGCGCCCGGCCAATTTTCTCTCCTTTCTTCAAAGGAATCAACAGCTATATATCAAACACATAGCCATGTGCTGTGCTTAGGAAGTGAGAAAACTAAAAAATAAATTATAAGTAAGGCAGGTGCTCTCTTATATCAGCTCACACCTAATTAGATCCTCCTTTAATTTTGTTGAAAGCAATTAATTGGGAATCATCTAACTTCTAATAGGGTTTGTACACAGACATGAGAATTATTCAGTTTCTAATCTTCTGGGAAGTAAACCAAAATAGTTTTTCCAAAAATTATCTTGTGAATATTAATTATGTCTCTAAATTTTTTACCTACGGACAGCGTCTTTAATCAAATAAAAAGGCAGTAATCGTAGCAGTTTGGGAGGCCAAAACAGGAGGGTTGCTTGAGGCCACGAGTTCAAGACCAGCCAGGGCAACATAGCGAGACCCCCATCTCTAAACAAACAAACAAACAAACATTAATGAGGTATGGTGGTGCATACCTGTAATTCCAGCTACTTGGGAAGCTGAGGTGGGAATCTCATTTGAACCCAGGAGGTCAAGACTGCAGTGAGCCAAGATCATGCCACTGCACTCCAGCCTGGGTGAAAGAAGGAGACCCCAATCTCAAAATATTAAAAAAGAAAAAACCAAAAAGGGACTGGAAAACTTAAAATAGTCTTAAATTTCAATACACCTCGCCAGGCGCAGTGGCTCATGCCTGTAATACCAGCACTTTGGGAGGCCGAGGTGGGCAGATCACGAGGTCAGGAGATTGAAACCATCCTGGCTAACACAGTGAAACCCCATCTCTACTAAAAATACAAACAATTAGCCGGGTGTGGTGGCGGGCACCTGTAGTCCCAGCTACTTGGGAGGCTGAGACAGGAGAATCACTTTAACGCAGGAGGCGGAGGTTGCAGTGAGCCGAGATCGCACCACTGTACTCCAGCCTGGGTGACAGAGCAAGACACCATCTCAGAAAAAAAAAAAAAATTCAGTAGATTTCTTAACACTCTTAACAATATACCCTTAAACAATTTTTTTAGTTTTTATTTTAAAATTATAGAAATTCATCAAGTTACAAGGCAATACAATGAGGTCCCCTGTACTCTTTACTCAGTTCCCCCCATGGTTATTTCTTATATAATACAATATCAAAACCAGAAAAATCACATTGATACAATGTGTGTATAGTTCTATGTCATTTTATCACATGCATAGATCTGTGTAATCACCATCACAATCAATAAATAAAACTATTCTCACTATAAAGAGCTTCCTCATGCTACACTTTTATAGTTTCACCCAACCCCGCCCCCACAAAAATCCCATGACTACCATTAATTTCCTGGTGACCTCTACAATTGTGTTGTTTGGAGAATGCTATATAAATTGAATCGTACAGTATGTGTCTTTTTGAGACTGATTTTTTTCACTTACATAATGCTCCTGACTGAGATCTGTCCAAATTTTTGAGGGTATCAATAGTTCATTACTTTATATTGCTACGAGATATACCATAGTATAGATGTACCACAGTTTAATCACTCCTACTATTGTAGGACATTTTGGTTGTTTCCAATTTTGGGCCATTGAAAATAAAACCATGTATGGGATTCTGTGCAGAAATAAATTTTAATTTATCTAGGAGAAACGCCCAAGAGTACAACTGCTGAGTCATATGGTTAAGTGTATAGTTAGCATTTTAAGAAATTGCTAAACCGTTTTCCAGAGCAACTATACTATTTTACAACTCCTACCAGCAATGTGTGAGAGACTGTATTACCATATCCTTGCCACCTCCAGTGGCTGTTCCTTGCCCACATTTAATATTGCCACTAATTTTTTTTTTTTTTTTAAAGATAGGGTCTGGCTCTGTTGCCCAGGCTGGAGTACAGTGGCACGATCACGGCTCACTGCAGCCTTGACCTCCCAGGCTTAAGTAGATCCTCCTACCCTAAATCCTTTTTGGCAAAATATCTTTTTGTGTCTTTTGCACATTTTCTAAATGAACTGTTGTTTACTGTTGTTTTTAAAAAAGATTGTGATTTGAGAGTTCTTTATATATTCTCTTGTTTTGCTCTTGTTGCCCAGGCTGGAGTGCAATGCTGTGACCTTGGCTCACTGCAACCTCCGCCTCCCAGGTTCAAGCGATTCTCCTGCCTCAGCCTCCCAAGTAGCTGGGACTACAGGTATGCACCACCACATCTGGCTAATTTTTGTATTTTTAGTAGAGACAGGATTTCTCCATGTTGGTCAGGCTGGAGGCTGGTCTCAAACTCCTGACCTCAAGTGATCTGCCCACCTCGGCCTCCCAAAGTGCTGGGATTACAGGCATGAGCCACCACGCCCGGCCAAGAGAGTTCTTTATCTATTCTATATACAAGTCTTTTGTCAGGTGGTGGTTTGCCAATATTTTATCCTAGTCTTTTCATTCTCATTACAGGGTATTTAGCACAGCAAAAGTTCTTAATTTTAATACATTCCAATTTAGCAATTTTTTATAGATCATGTTTCTTGTGTCATGTCTAAGAACTCTTCACCAAGTTTTAGTTCCAAAGATGTTCTATGTTTTCTCCTAAAAGTTTTATAGTTTTACATTTTAAACTTCAGTCTATTATCCATTTTGAGTTACTCTGGTACCACTGTGAGTCTTAGGTCAAGATTATTTTTTTGGTCTAAGTTTTTTGTCTATGGATATCCAATTGCACTGGCCCCACTTCTGAAGAATACTATTCTTTTCCTTTGAATTGTTTTTGTACCTTTGTCAAAAGCCAGGTGGCTGTAATTGGATAGGCTATTTCTGGGTTTGCTGTTCTGTTCCACTGACCTAGTGGTCAATGGAACAAACCAAATATATATATTTGGTTTCTGCCCCTGGTTCTAACACAAAGCTCCTAAAACTCTTGTAATTTCGTGAACGACAGGGGTCCTAATGTGTCCAGAATTGGTGGGTTCTTGGTCTCACTGACTTCAAGAATGAAGCCGTGGACCCTCGCGGTGAGTGTTACAGCTCTTAAGGTGGCGTGTCTGGAGTCTGTCCCTTCTGATGTTCAGATGTGTTTGGAGTTTCTTCCTTCTGGTGGGTTTGTGGTCTCGCTGGCTCAGGAGTGAAGCTGCAGACCTTCGCGGTGAGTGTTACAGCTCTTAAGGCAGCGCGTCTGGAGTTGTTCGTTCCTCCCGGTGGGCTCGTGGTCTCGCTGGGCTCAGGAGTGAAGCTGCAGATCTTCACGGTGAGTGTTACAGCTCATAAAAGCAGTGTGGACCCAAAGAGTGAGCAGTAGCAAGATTTATTGCAAAGAACGAAAGAACAAAGCTTCCACAGTGTGGAAGGGGACCCGAGCGGGTTGCCAATGCTGGCTCGGGCAGCCTGCTTTTGTTCTGTTATCTGGCCCCACCCACATCCTGCTGATTGGTAGGGCCGAGTGGCCTGTTTTGTCAGGGCGCTGATTGGTGCGTTTACAATCCCTGAGCTAGATACAAAGGTTCTCCACGTCCCCATCAGATTAGTTAGATACAAAGTTTCCACACACAGGTTCTCCAAGGCCCCACCAGAGAAGCTAGGTACAGAGTGTCGATTGGTGCATTCACAAACCTTGAGCTAAACACAGGGTGCTGATTGGTGTGTTTACAAACCTTGAGCTAGATACAGAGTGCCGATTGGTGTATTTACAATCCTTGAGCTAGACATAAAGGTTCTCCACTTCCTCACCAGAGCAGCTAGATACAGAGTGTCGATTGGTGCACTCACAAACCTTGAGCTAAACACAGGGTGCTGATTGGTGTATTTACAATCCCTGAGCTAGATATAAAGACTCTCCACATCCCCATCAGACTCAGGAGCCCAGCTGGCTTCACCTAGTGGATCCCGCGTAGGGGCTGCAGGTGGAGCTGCCTGCCAGTCCTGCGCCGTGTGCTCGCATTCCTCAGCCCTTGGGTGGTCGATGGGACTGGGTGCCGTGGAGCAGGGGGTGGTGCTTGTCGGGGAGGCTCGGGCCGCACAGGAGCCCATGGAGTGGGTGGGAGGCTTAGGCATGGCGGGCTGCAGGTCCCGAGCCCTGCCCCGTGGGAGGGCAGCCAAGGCCCAGCGAGAAATCGAACGCAGTGCCGGTGGGCCAGCACTGCTGGGGGACTCAGTACACCCTCCGCAGCCACTGGCCTGGGTGCTAAGTCCCCCATTGCCCAGGGCCAGCAGGGCTGCCTGGCTGCTCCGAGTGCGGGGCCCACCAAGCCCACGCCCACCCGGAACTCCAGCTGGCCCGCAAGTGCCGCACACAGCCCCGGTTCCCGCTCATGCCTCTCCCTCCACACCTCCCTGCAAGCTGAGGGAGTGGGCTCCGGCCTTGGCCAGGCCAGAAAGGGGCTCCCACAGTGCAATGGGGGACTGAAGGGCTCCTCAAATGCCACCAAAGTGGGAGCCCAGGCAGGGGAGGTGCCGAGAGCAAGCGAGGGCTCTGAGGACTGCCAGCACGCTGTCACCTCTCACTAAGAGCATCTTTTGTTCTAATATTTGGTCTTTGACCTTGGTTCCTGACACAGAACTCCTAAAACCACTGAGTGATAGCAATGATAGGAACATCTTACGTAAAGCTTCTGAATTCCTTAGACTTTGTATTAGTCCGATTTTATGCTGCTGATAAAGACATACCTGAGACCGGGCAATTTACAAAGAAAGGCGTTTAATAGACTCACAGTTCCATGTGGCTGGGGAGGCCTCACAATCATGGCAGAAGGTGAAAGGCATATCTCACATGGCGGCAGACAAGAGAAGAGAACATATATATACAGGGAAACTCCCCTTTACAAAACCATCAGATCTCATGAGACTTATTCACTATCACTAGAACAGCACAGGAAAGACCTGCCCCCCTGATTCAATTACCTCCCACTGGGTCCCTCCCATGACACATGGCAATTGTGGGAGCTACAATTCAAGATAAAATTAGGGTGGGGACACAGCCAAACCATATCATTCTGCCCTGGCCCCCCCCAAACCTCATGTCCTCACATTTCAAAACCAGTCATGCCTTCCCAACAGTCCCCCAAAGTCTTAACTCATGTCAGCATTAACGTGAAAGTCCACAGTCCAAAGTCTCATCAGAGACAAGGCAAGTCCTTTCTGCCTATGAGCCTGTAAAATCAAAAGCAAGTTTATTACTTCCTAGATACAATGGGGGTACAGGCATTGGGTAAATACAGCCATTTCAAATGTGAGAAATTGACCAAAACAAAGGGGTTACAGGCACTGTGCAAGTCCGAAATCCAGCAGGTCAGTCAAATCTTAAAGCTCCAAAATGATCTCCTTTGACTCCAGGTCTCATATCCAGGTCACACGGATGCAAGAGGTAAGCTGTATGGTCTTGGGCAGCTCCGCCCCTGTGGCTTTGCAGGGTATAGCCTCCCTCCTGGCTGCTTTCACGGGCTGCTGTTGAGTGTCTGTGGCTTTTCCAGGCACACAGTGCAAGCTGTCGGTGGATCTACCATTCTGGGATCTGGAGGACAGTGGCCCTCTTCTCACAGCTCCACTAGGCAGCAGCCCAGTGGGGACTCTGTATGGGGGCTTCAACCCCACGTTTCCCTTTTGCACTGCCCTAGCAGAAGTTCTTCCTGAGGACCCTGCCCCAGCAGCAAACTTGTTCCTGGACATCCAGGCATTTCCACACATCTTCTGAAACCTAGGTGGAGGTTCCCAAACCTCAGTTCTTGACTTCTGTGCACTGGCAGGCTCAACACCGCGTTGAAGTTGCCAAGGCTTAGGGCTTGCAGCCTCTGAAGCCACAGCCCACACTGTACCTTGGCCCCTTTCAGTCACTGCTAGAGCAGCTAGGAGGCAGGGCACCAAGTCCCTAGACTGCACACAGCAGTGGGACCCTGGGCCTGGCCCAGGAAACCATTTTTTCCTCCTAGGCCTCTGGGTCTGTGATGGCAGGGGCTGCCACAGAGGTCTCTGACACGCCCTAGAGACCTTTTCCGCATGGCCTTGGCAATTAACATTTGGCTCCTCGTTACTTATGCAAATTTCTGCAGCTGGCTTGAATTTCTCCTTAGAAAATGGGATTTTCCTTTCTATTGCATTGTCAGGCTGCAAATCATCTGAACGTTTATGCTCTGCTTCCGTTATAAAATTAAATGCCTTTAACAGCACCCAAGTCACATCTTGAATGCTTTGCTGCTTATAAATTTCTTCTCCCACACCCTAAATCAACTCTCTCAAGTTCAAAGTTCCACAAATCTCTAGGGCAGGGGCAATCTGTCACCAGTCTCTTTGCTAAAACATAATAAGAGTCACTTTTGCTCCAGTTCCCAATAAGTTCTTCATTTCCATTTGAGACCACATCAGCCTGAACTTTATTGTCCATATCACTATCAGCATTTTGGTCAAAGCCATTCAACAAGTCTAGGAGGTTCCAAACTGTCCTACATTTTCCTATCTTCTCCTAAGCCTTCCAAACTGTTCCAACCTCGGCCTGCTACCCAGTTCCAAAGTTGCTTCCACATTTTTTGGGTATCTTTACTGCAGCGCCCCACTCTCCTGGTACCAATTTATTGTATTAGTCCATTTTTATGTTGCTTTATAAGCAACATAAAGACATACCTGATACTGGGCGATTTACAAAAGAAAGGCGTTTAATAGACTCACAGCTCCACATGGCTGGGGAGGCCTCACAATCATGGCAGAAGGTGAAAGGCATGTCTCACATGGCAGCCAACAAGAGAAGACAACTTGTGCAGGGAAATTCCCCTTTATAACACCATCAGATCTCATGAGACTTATTCACTATCACGAGAATATCATGGGAAAGACCTGCCTCCATGACTCAATTACCTCCACAAGGTCCCCCCCAACAACACATGGGAATTATGAGAACTACAATTCAAGGTGAGATTTGGATAGGGACACAGCCAAACCATATCAGGCTTCCTTGGTGACAAGCGTATCTTTGCTCTAATGAAGAAACTCTTGGTGGGCTCCTGAATAGCTTCAGGATGGGGAGCTGATCACCAGAAAGACCAAGCCATAATTTGAAGCTGGGGACTTTTAGCCCCATCTGCATTCTCCAGGGAGTGGCTGGAGACTGAGTTAGTATTTGATTATGTGTACACACTGAAGCCTCCACAAAAAGCCTATCTGCTGAAGCCTCCAAAACTGCAGGGCTTGGAGAACAAACAAATTATCAAACCTGAGGAGGATGTTGTATGGCCAAGTCAGACAAAAGCATGCATACTCCATACTTGCAACTAGCACCTGAAATGGGAGGTAAGGTACTCTTGTGGGACTGAGCCTTTAATCCGTGGGAATTCTAGGTAATTAATGTCAAAAACTGAGTTAAACTATAGGACACTCTATTGGTATCCACAGAGAAGTGAAGAACTGCTTGGTGTGGAACACCCATGCATTTGATATAAGAAGTGTTGCGAATAAAGAAACTGTTTTTCTTTTATTATCTTTCTGCCAATACAATAGGATGATTCTTCCCACTTTTTTCTTCTTTTTCTAAATTGTTTTAGCTATTCTAATTCCTTCAACTTTCCATATATATAATCTTGTCCATGTACTAGAAAAATCTTTGGGGATTTTTATAAGAATTGTGTTAAACCTGTGTATCAACTTGAGTGGAATTAGCATCTTTACTGTATTGAGTCTTCCAATCTATGTACACAGTATTTCCATTTACTTAGATCTTTAATTTTTTCCCCAACATTTTGTAGTCTCAGCATATAAGTCCTGTATGTGTTTTGTTGGATTTACACCTAAATACATCATTTCTTTTAGTAACTGTAAATTACACTGTATTTTAAAATTTTTCCACATCTTCATTGACAGGATATACAAAAATACAATTAGTTTTTGTACGATCTCATAACCTGTGAATCTATATAACTCACTTATTAGTTCTAGATGTGTTTTTGTGTACTCTTTGGAATTGTCTATACACATAATGATGTCAACTACAAACAGGGACAGATTTATTCCTTCCATTTTGATCTGCATGTCCTTTATTTCCTTGTTTTGTGGTATTGAGCTGGCTAGAACTTCCAACAGCATATTGAATAGCAGTAGTGAGAGCAGACATCCTTTCTTATTCTCAATCTTAGGGGGAAAGCATTCAATTTTTCACCAGTAAGTATAATGTTACCTTCGGCTTTCTGTAGCTGTTCTTTATCAAGCTGAAGCAGTTCCCCTCTATTCCTAGCTTTCTAAGATTTTTTAAAAATTATAAATGGGTGTTGAATTTTGTCAAATGCTTTTTCCACATTTATAAACATTTTGTAGTTTTCCTTTTTTGTCTTTGTCTGCTTTTGGTATCAGAGTAACACAGGCTTTAAAAAATAAATTGAGGCCGGGCGCGGTGGTTCACGTCTGTAATCCCAGCACTTTGGGAGGCCGAGGTGGGTGGATCACCTGTGGTCCAGAGTTCAAGACCAGTCTAGTCAACATGGTGAAACCCCGTCTCTACTAAAAATATAAAAATTAGCTGGGTGTGGTTGGCGGACGCCTGTAATCTCGGGAGGCTGAGGCAGGAGAATCGCTTGAACCCAGGAGGCAGAGGTTGCAGTGAGCCGAGATTGTGCCATTGCACTCCAGCCTGGGAGACAGAGTAAGACTCCATCTCCAAAAATAAATAAATAAATAAATAAATAAATTTCTATTTTTTTGGAACCAATTGTATAGAATGAATGTTAATCAGTCTTTAAACATTTAATATAATTATCTGGTAAAATCATCTAGGTTTGGAGATTTCTATTTTGAGAATTTTAAAATTATGAATTCAATTTTCTTAACAGAATTATTCAAATTATCTATTTTATATTGGGTGAGTTGCAGCAGGTTGTGCTTTTCAAGTCATTTGTCCATTTCATCTAACTGAGTCAAATTTACATGCATAGAGTTATTTGTAGCAGTTTCTCATTAACTCGTTGATGACTGACTATAGGGTCTCTAGTGATATTTCATTTCATTTCTGATATTGAACATTTTGTCTATTTGTTCTAGGGGTGTAACAATTGTATCATCCCCTCAAAGAGCCAACTGTGTGTTTCATTGATTTTTCTCTAGTTTTCAATTTCATTGATTTCTGTTTTCATGTTTATTGCTTCCTTCTTACTGCTTGGCTTAACTATTCTGAGCTTCTTTTCCTATTTTTTTTTTTTTGAGACAGGATTTTAGATGATCAATTTTAGACTTTTCCTCTTCTCCAGTATAAGCATGTAGTACTGTAAGTTTCCATCTGAGTAATACTTTAGCTGAATCTCAGAATTTTGATATGTTGTACTTCCATTCAATGTATTTTTATTTCTTTGAACCACTATTTAGAAACATACTGTTCACTTTTCAAGTGTCCAGAGATTTTCCTATTTTCTTTCCATTATGGATATCTAGTTTGATTCCATGGTGGTGAGAGAACATACTCTATATGTTTCAAATTTAAAAAAATTTTTCAGATTTCTTAGTGGTTCAGACTATGGTCTGTCTTGGTGTATTTACCATGAACATTTGAAAACACTGTATTCTGCTATTTGTGGATAGAATGTTCCTTGTCTGCGTTTTCCTTGGAAAGTCTTCATGCATCCCAGGATAAGACTGCTAATTTGCCCATCAACTGGACTCTTTAACAAATGTGACTATGGAAAACCATGTAAGAAACTAACTCATATAATAAAAAAGTATTAATGGAAGGGGAGATTATTCATATCATAAACTATTACTACAGTAACTCCAGAAAATTACATATTTAAATTTCATTTGGGAAGGAGTGTGTATTATTTTTAGTTTACATGAGTATTAAAAATTACTTATTTTTGGGAAAATGTTAAGATTTTCATTTATTTAGCCCATCAAAAAATATTTTCTAAGCACTCTATCATATACAAAGGATTGTGGTTGGTCCAGACTCTCTAGGGGATCGTAAACCAGGCATATTGTAGAGTCTCCAGCAGTTTTTTCCTTGTGTTAGATCACCGCCATCCAAAAGCATTTTCTGTAATGATGGAACTGTTCTTCATCTGTGATGTCAAAGACTGTAGTCACTAGATATATGAGGCTATTGAACACTTCAAATTAGCGTATTAGAAGTGTAGCACCAGAACATAATACAGGCCCCTTGCATTTATTACACTTTCCTTGTTCAAAGCTGTGCAAGATTTGTCTGAATTTAAAGCAGATAAGACAGGAGTGACTGAGATACCCAGTTTTACATTAGACTGCTTCAGATTTTACTTTTACATTTTCTATCACATGGGCTAAAATTGCTCCCGTATATAAGCTCCTGTTCAATCTTAGCTATTTGCTTTATTTAATTTTTGTTCAATAAAAAGGATGGTGTTAAGTAATTGTCTTCCTGCCTTCATTCCAAAAATATGACTAATCTTGGCCAAGTAAGTTATTGTCCTCATTAGTTTCCCTGCCAAGGAAAAATCAACAGAAAATGTCAGCCTTCTACATAGCTCCTTCCATCTACATTCCTGTGTGGCTACTGGCTAGATCATTCTGCTCCTACCCACTGGGTGCGGATTAGCAGAAGTATAAGTCAACTATGATGCAGATGCTATCCGGAGACTCAGAAGGGCAATCCTTAGGTGTGGTTTCCATGAATAAAAGGCCTTTGGACATATAAATATAGGAGATTAAACTTGTATTTCACTTTGATATTGTGATTTGTAGTAAGAAATATACATTTGGTCTTTGCCACCAGTTCCCGGCACAGTGCTTCTAAAACCCTTGTAATTTCCTGAATGACAGGAGTGCCAGGACCATCTTTTGTTTTAATATTTGGTCTGTGACTAGAAACACAGCTCCTAAAACCTCTGGAATCTCAGAAGTGTCTTTTTTTATGCTAATGAGATACATGGTGGCTAAAGTCTCCTGAAGAGCCTCCGGTTGGGGAATGGCTTCCAGGGGAACCAACAATATGATTAGAGCACTGGAAGTTTCAGCTCTCCTCTCCTGATGTCTTACAAAGAGGGACTGGCAATTGAGTTAATCACTATTGGCCAATGATTTTAATCAATCATGCCTACACAATGAGGCCTCCACAAAACCCCAAAGGACGAGGTTTCAAGAGATTCTGGGTTGGTGAACACATGGAGGTTCTGAGAGGTGGTGTGCCTAACTGGGGCAGGGAAGCTCTGTGTCTCTCCCCCTTAAGTGTCCTATGTGTGTCTTGCATTTGGTTATTCCTGAGTTGTATTCTATATAATAAACTGACACTCATAAGTAAAGTGTTACCCTCAGTTTTGTCAGCTGTTCTAGAAAATTTTCAAGCCCAAGGAGGGGCCATGAGAACCTCCCATTTATAGCTAGTCAGTCAGAAGCACAGGTGACAGTTTGGACTTGAGAGTGGCATTTGAAGTGGGGAGCAGTCTTGTGGGACTGAGTCCTTAACTTGTGGGGTCTGTAGTAACCCCAAGTATATACCATCAGAATTGCATTGAACTGTAATACACCCAGTTGGTGTCAGAGGTTGGAAATTGGTTGATGTGGGAAAAATTCCCACACATCTGTTTTCAGAAGATAAATATTTTAAGTATAGGAAAACAGTTTATTTTTCCTTTTTTATTCATATAACTTTCTTTAAAGACAAGCAAATCATGATTGGAGGTAAAATATGCCCAGAAAAAAAGAAAAATGGAAGAAAAATAAAGACAGGTAAATGAAAATGACTCGGTCCAGAGATGCATATATCCTTACTGTGTGGCAAATATAAAAATGCTTGATCTCCTCTTACCAAAAACACAGACTTAAATCTATACCTGTGAATAAAAGCATAGAACCCATGTAATAGCTACAGTGTCATGTTTTGTATTCAGAAAAGGTTTATAACAGTGTTTCTCGGGACCCAGGAAAGAAGAGAAAGCTATGTTATTAGAAGTCACTATGTACACTATTATCTCCAGCTGAATGTAAACTGTGCTCTTGATGGGAATAGCTAAAGAAACATCAAATTTAAAGAAGGAGTCATTAGATAATTTTTCCATTTCAAACAGTGCTTTCTGTGCTTGCTGGTTTTGACCTTCTTCTATTCCTTCAGAGGCCATCTCCCCCTCTCTCTGGAAGAGACTGTAAATAACTAATTATTTTAGAACAAGAAAGAGGCTTGATTCCCTTAGCTAATGTAATATGCATACTAGTCTGTATGAACGCTAGAAATCATTTCTTTCAAAAGACATTACAACTTTTATTATCCATCAAACTAAATCATCAAAATTATAGCTTCCCTCAAGTTTTTAATAAGGTGATGCTGCTTGATAAACTACCACACATCTTTTGTCATCATATAAATATTTTAGTTTCATAACTCTCTCATAAATACTAGTAAGTATAGGATTGGAAATCCTTTCAGAAAGCAAATCATAGTGAAGCATCTATCCAGTTCTCCAACAAGACTCCCCAACTGATACATTAGTTCAAAAATAATCTTAAAAGCAGTCACCATCAAACTTATTACAAAACTTGCATTCATCAAGAAACTATGCCAGAAAATTTCTGAGTTTAAATGTGTTCAAATCTGACTTCGTAGAGCATTTGATGTAACATTCAGGATAGTAAGAACAGAAGTAAAAGCTATCCATCCTCTTTAAGCTCTTAACCTTAGAGCTCTGCACCTCTTCTTAGAAACATCATTCCTCCAATATTTCAGCCTAGATTTTTCTCACTGCTAATACTGCAATTCTGAGAAGAAGGCAAATTAACTAAAGTTATCATCATTAGCAGAGGAGTAACCTGTGTCATAGATATGAACTGTACCACTTCTGAATGCTTTAGACATTTTTCTTAGCAAAGAAGTATAGATACGGATAACCAGTACTATAACCTGAAATACTGCACAAAAGCTTATAATTTCTTATCTTGCATCTGTCATTTAGAGGTAAATTAATTTCCTTAATTGCTAGAGACTAAGGAATACATTTTTACTCTGTATTTTTCAATATTTAAGGGAACTATGTTGTTAGGTCCTCCTGCAATGTGAAAGGACTGCAAGGTCTGACTCTCACAACTAATTTAAAAATTGGGATCATTGTAGAAAGCCTCTTCCATCAAAGCCACGGGTTGTAAGAATAACCTTGCTTTTCAAGATTAGTTATACTGGGGCAAAACATTTTTTCCTTCTCTCTACTCAAATTCCTGAAGTCCCATTATACTTTTCTCAAAGAAGAGTTTATAATACAACCAGCGTGAAGTCACCATTCTCTATAGAAATGGCTTCTGATATATGAATTTAACAAATGATAGGATATAATTCTATAAAACACTGATACTTAGCACTTCCCCACAAACCACATAAAACTTGTGAAGTCACCATTCTCTACAGAAATGACTTCTGATATGTGAATATCATAAATGATAGGCTATAATTCTATAAAACCACTGATACTTAGCACTTCCCTACAAATCACATAAACTCGTAGACTGATTTTAACCAATACAACTATTTCACTTCTGTTTGAGGAAGTATTCAAACTCAGAATTTATTTTGACTGTTTTAAGACTTTGTAACTTGAGATGTCTCCAAAGAGAATGGTCTAAAGAAAGGTACCACTTGGCAATGCAATGATAGCATATGTAATTGACACACTCTTAGGGAATCACTCTGCAAACCCCTGAACTTATAAGGGTATAGGTACTATTAAGTAGACATCTCTGCTACAAAGCTAACAGGTTTGTGAAAGTATTCCTCTTCTTAAATTATTGCCAATTCTACCCACTTTGGTTAATCTATAAAATATTGATACGGTGGGCCCCCATCCTTACTCCTCCCATTAATTTGACATTGTAGGCTCTAGTCAATTATGATTTTTTTTTTTTGAGACAGAATTTTGCTCCTGTTGCCCAGGCGGGAGTGCAATGGCGCAATCTCGGCTCACCGTAACCTCTGCCTCCTGGGTTCAAGCGATTCTCTTACCTCGGCCTCCCAAATAGCTGGGACTACAGGTGTGCGCCCACTACGCCTGGCTAATTTTGTATTTTTAGTAGAAACGGGGTTTCACCATGTTGGTCAGGCTGGTCTCGAACTCCTGACCTCAGGTGATCCGCCCACATGGGCCTCCCATGAATTTTTACCTATAAAATGAAATCAAAGAAAGGTACAGCAGGGAGAAACCAGCTGGCTCTGTGTGATATAATCCCATGAGAAACAACATACAATGAAAGAAAATAACACTAATTACTACTATACCTATACTAAAACAGTAAATGAAGAAAAATTCTGGGTTCATAAATTGGTAGATCAATATCAGTAAGATGTCATGTCTCCCTAAATTGATCTATAGATTTCAGTGCAATCTTCATCAAATTTGTGGCATAAGTTTTTTTAGATATTAACAACTGGGTTTTTGCTTTTGTTTTTTTTTTTTAGACGAAGTCTCGCTCTTTCGCCCAGGCCGGACTGCAGTAGCGCTATCTTGGCTCACTGCAAGCTCCGCCTCCCAGGTTCACGCCATTCTCCTGCCTCAGCCTCCCGAGTAGCTGGGACTACAGGCACTCGCTACCGCGCCCGGCTAATTTTTTTTGTATTTTTAGTAGAGACGGGGTTTCACCGCATTAGCCAGGATGGTCTCGATCTCCTGACCTCGTGATCCGCCCGTCTCGGCCTCCCAAAGTGCTGGGATTACAGGCGTGAGCCACTGTGCCCGGCCCAACAACTGAGTTTTGACAAATGCATAGAGATATGTATCCCCACTGAATAATATTTCCTGATCTTGATTTAACCTTCAAGCCTTTTCTATTGCATTTACGCTTTGCATATTCAATACCATTACTTAATATATGCACGTAGCCAAAATAATTTTTAGCGCCCTATTTAGAAATAAAAATTACATAATAGGTCAGGTGTGATGGCTCATGCCTATAATCCCAGCACTTTGGGAGGCAGAAGTGGGCAGATGGCTTGAGCCCAGGAGTTTGAGACCAGCCTGGGCAACATGGTAAAACACTGTCTCTACAAAAAAACACAAAAATTAGCCAAGCTGGTGGTGTGCACCTGTAGTCCCCGCTACCTGGGAGGTTAAGGTGGGAGGACTGCTTGAGCCCGAAAGGTGGAGGTTACAGTGAGCCAAGGCTGTGCCACTGCACTCCAGCCTGAGTGACAGAGCAAGACCCTATCTCAAAATAAAATAAAATAAAATAAACATTAAGGCTGGCTTTCTTATTAGAAACAATTTCATGAAGAAAAAAATAAATATTTTCACTTTACAAGAACTATGCTTCTGGCAGAATGTACATGTTTGAGAAATGTTTGCTGAGTGAACATATGTAAGTATAAATAAACTTTAAACACATTCTAGGAAGTTGAGATGATGTAAAAGAAAGCGAGAAAGTTCCATAGTCATTTTCTACATGTTCTTCTATGCTCAAAAAATCTTTATGGTCTCATGGTACAAGGGAAGAAGTTTAGACCTATTAATGAAATATTAGGAACCATAAACAATTGGCCCCTAATGCCTTTCCAGACTTCTCTTCTGTTACAACCTAACATCCTTCCAAATCCAAAATAAATACTAAGCGTCAAGCAACTTAACATACTACTTCAGGACTTTTGCTGAAGCAGTGCAAATGCCTTTTCTCTTTAGCATGTGTTCAAGCTCCACTTACATTCCACTTACTGTTGCTACATAATAAATTAATCCCAAACATAGCTTAAATTAAGGATCACCTTATCATGGTCAAGGAGTATGGGGATTAGGAATTCACGTAGCACAAAGAGGCGATGGCTTGTCTTTGCTTTACAACGTCCAGGGCCTCAGTTAGGACAACCTGGAGACTGAAGATGATGCAACAGTTTGAGGCTGGAATCATCTTAAGTCTTGTCCACTCATACGCCTGGCACCTGGGCTAGGAGATTCAAAGGCTATGACTGCCAAACAGAGTACCAACCCTTGGCCTTTCCAAATTGCTTGATTTCTTCAAAGAATGAAGACCTCAGAGTAGTCAGACTTCTTACATTGCAGGCTCAGGGATCTAAGTGCAAGTATTCCAAGAAAAAGGAATACATCTGGATCATTATTTATGACCCAGCCTCAGAAGTGCATATTCTTTTGTTCCAATCAGTTATGAGACCACCCAGATTTAAGGAAAGAAGAAAGAGGTATACATCTTGATGGGAGGGGTATAAAAGAGCTTTAGGGCTGTGTTTAAAAACTACCACAGCTTTTATAATCATGACAAATTTTTACCTCCAAGAAAATGTTTACAAACTCTTCCTAGGCAAACTTAAATTCTCCCAAAATACTCTTAGTATTTTATAGTTATTATCATCACAGGACTTAATATAACCTTCCATTTAATTGGGAGTTCCTCGAGAGATGGGCTTCATAATTTGTATACCCCATTACAGCACCTGGTATAGTGCTCTATACTAATGTCACAAATACATTTTTTCAATATTTATTCTATAGTCAAACTATCCCTGTTTGCAGATGACATGATTCTACACCTAGGAAATGTCACGGTCTTGGCCCAAAAGTTCCTTCAGCTGATAAACAACTTCAGCTAAGTTTCAGGATACAATATCAACATACAAACACCACTAGCATTCCCATACACCAACAACAGCCAAGCTGAAAGCCAAATCAGGAATGCAGTTCCATTCACAATTGCCAAAAAAAGAAAGAGATACCTAGGAATACAGCTAACCAGGAAGGTGAAAGAGGTCTACAATGAGAATTACAAAACACTGCTCAAAGAAATCAGAGATGACACAAACAAATGGAAAAAACATTCCATGCTTATCAGAGAAGTATCAATATTGTTAAAATGGCCATATTGCCCAAAGAAATTTATAGATTTAATGCTATTCCTATCAGACTATCAATGACGTTCTTCAAAAACTAGAAAAAACATTTTAAAATTCATATGGAACCAAAAAAGGGCCAGAATAACCAAGGCAAATCTAAGCAAAAAGAACAAGGCTAGAAGCATCATGTTACCCGATTTCAAACTATACTACAGGGCTACAGTAACCAAAACAGCACGGGGCTGCCACAAAATCAGACACATAGACCAATGGAACAGAATAAAGAACCCAGAAGTAAGGCTGCATAACTACAATCATCCAATCTTGAACAAAGCCGACAAAAAACAAGCACTGGGGAAAGGACTCCCTATTTAACAAATAGTGCTGCAATAACTGGCTAGCCGTATGCAGAAAATTGAAACTGGACCCCTTCGTTACATCACATACAAAAATTAACTCAAGATAGAATAAAAACTTAAATGTAAAACCCAAAACAATAAAAACCCTGGAAGACAACCTAGGCAATACCATTCTAAATATAGGAACTGGCAAAGAGTTCATGACAAAGATGCCAAAAGCAATTGCAACAAAAGAAAAATTGACAAATGGGATCTAATTAAACTAAAGAGCTTCTGCACAGCAAAAGAAACTATCAACAGAGTAAACGACAACCTACAGAATGGGAGAAAATTTTTGCAAGCTATGTATTGACAAAGGTCTAATATTCAGCAACTCTAAGGAACTTAAATTTGCAAGAAAAAATAACCCCATTAAAAAGTGGGCAAAGGACATGAACAGACATTTTTCAAAAGAAGACATGCATGTGGCCAATGACCATATGAAAAAAGCTCAATTTCACTAATCATTAGGGAAATGCAAACCAAAACCACAATGAGATACCATCTCACACCAGTCAGAATGGCTATTATTAAAAAGTAAAAAAAAAAAAAAAAATAGATGCTGACAAGGTTGTGGAGAAAAGGGAACACTTATACACTCTTGGGAGGAGTGTAAATTAGTTCAACCATTGTGGAAAGCAGTGTGGAAATTCCTCAAAGAGCTAAAAGCAGAACTATCATTTGACCCAGCGATCCCATTAGTGGGTATATACCCAAAGGAGTATAACTCGTTCTATCATAAAGACACATGCACCCATATGTTTACTGCAGTACTATTCACAATAGCAAAGAGATGAAGTCAACCTAAATGTCCATCAATGGTAGACTGGATACAGAAAATGTGGTACAAATACACCATGGAATACTATGCAGCCATAAAAAAGAATGAGATCATGTCCTGTGCAGGAACATGAATGGAGCTGGAGGCCATTATCCTTAGCAAACTAACAGAAAAACTGAAAACCAAATACTGCATGTTCTCACTTTGAGGGAGCTAAACGATGAGAACCTATGGGCAAAAAGAGGGCAACTACAGACACTGGGACCTACTTAAGGGTGGAGGAGGGAAGAAGGGAGAGAATCAGGAAAAATAACTGCTAGGTACTAGGTTTAGTACCTGGGCAATGAAATAATCTGTACAAACAAACCCCCGTGACATAAATTTACCTATATAAAAAACCTGCACATGAACCCCTGAACTATAACAAAAGTTTAAAATATATATATTTATTCCACAACTACTACAAATTCTATAATCTACTAGTGATAAATAACAGTGAATAAGGCAGAGTTTGTGTCTGGTTCTTAAAACACTATTGTCCATCAGAATGAAATTAAGTAAGTAATTATGGTAAAATACAAACCCAATAAATAGCAGCTACTAGAAAAAGTTACTTATAAATGTTCTCAGCTTCAGATTCCTAAATCTCTAAAACAGGAATAACATTCACTTCTGATAAGTAACTATAAACAGCAAATAAGATGACAATGTGCTAAATGCTTAGCATGGTACCTAAAACACTGTAAATAATCAAGAAATGTTATTTTCTAAAAGTTATCAAAATAGTATAAATGTAAAATATTGATTTTTATATTTGTGCTTTACTATATAATACGAAGTTTACTGCTATAACCCAAATCTCAATGCCTTAACCCAATGAAAGTCTAATATTCATTAAATAATAATTTGGGGGTGGCGGTGAGCAGGAGTATCGCAGTAGAGAGAGAATACTTGGTACATGGTCATTTAGGGAACTAAGTTCCAAAAATCCTGTGAGATCTACTTTTGAGGACATAATTGAAAGGGAAAAGAAAGCAAACCCTACATTTGCCTCGAAATGACTTCTGCTCATATTCCATTGACAAGGCATAGTCACATAGCCTCCATACATGGGGGCTATCTGAGTCTATCTGTATGCCCCAAAAGAGCAAAGAGAGAATCTAATTAGTTTCTGGAACAATCCATTATTTAACTCACTAAATACCTATTTTTTTTTTAATTCTTCCTCCCAGATATAGAATGCACTCAAGCTCTCCACTAGGAAGATTACCAAAGGTCCCAGCCAGGACAAAATCTAGGATCTCCAGTTCATACATAATCTTCTTCATCAGATGTAGATGTCGCTCTCCATGTCCCCACAACATACGCCTTAAAGAGAAGATATCTGTCCTGTCTCCCTCTGTACAAAACACATACCATGGGGAAACAGAGAAAGGATCACCGCATTTAGAAATGCAAAAAAAAAAATGGAAAATATTCAGTGGTTGCTAATCTGTAGCATTATGAAATCCCACTGGATGTATGAACATTGTGAAGGAAGAAATTCCTTGTTAAGGCCCTAATTTTGTTCTCCAGGAGAAACTCCCTAGTCCTTTGTTGTTCTCCATGGCTCCTGGCTTCACCCTCTATGGGTTTTCCTTGCCTGTTATCTCCCGTGGCCACATATGAAGTTGGTGTTGAGAAGTATGCCACTTGAGGACAGCTTTTAGGGCTCAATGAACAGTCACATGCCTTCTAAGGCCAAGTTCCAAGTTTCTCTAGCAACAAAATTCCATCAGAATCATAGCAGCTTCCAGTCAGATCCAAATGCTAATAACCAACTCCAAAATTACTTTTTATCATTCTCAAATCTGCTTTATTTTTTTGCTTCTTTTCCCAATGTCTCATCTCTCTGTTAATTTACTGGTGGCTACTCTGACTTTTCAGGCTCAAGAAAGCCACACATCTTAATCTGACCATTATATCAATGTGTAGCCACTCGGCTACACGTAAGACTGAGAAGTCTTATGGGGTCTTTTTTGCTCAAAGCCTTCTTAAAATCCATCTTTTATTTTTGAGAGTTTAAAAACAGTCATTTTTTCCAATTCTGAATTTCTGGTTATTATTTTCTTTCACTCCTGTAAACCAAACAATAGTTTCCTAAACTCATCTCTTCCTTGACTACATTTGGCAAGGTAATGCAATTACAATGAACACACACTACTAACAACTTCTTTTCTTAAACCTTCAATCTTGGTAGAAACATGAAATGGCCTCCAAGTTGCCAAAGGTAAGAGTTTTACAAACATTCATCACATGACATAGATTTCTAGCCATCCCAATATGCTGTATGTGTTCCTCACTGCCCAACCCTTAGGCCAATGTCATATACTTTGGGATCTTGTTACAGTAGCAACACAATTCAAAATGTCAATTTCTATGTTGATCAGGGTAAGTAACTCTCTCTGCTGTAACAACTAACTCCAAAGCTTCAGTGGCTTACACAACAAAAGTTTTCCCTCTTATGTCACAATCAATTTGGGACAGGGAAAGATGGTCTTTCACTATGTGACTCAATGACATTTTGTCTACTAGTGTCTATCCTAGGGCCTTGGAAACTCCCACTAAATATTCCTCAATGAGGAGAGTATGGAAAGTTTTGAAGGAAATTTTAGGGTTAGTTCTAAACGTCATGCTCATTATTTTCATCCACATTCTACTCTCGAGAGCTAGTATCATGGCCCCACCTAATACAAGAGGAAGTACGTCTAACAGTATGCCACAGAAGAGAGAAAATGGTTATAATAGAATAACCACCCAGTCTCTGCCATATCTGTATCCTTGAACAAAAATTGCATACTCTTATCTATGCCAAAATCCAAAACTATCTATCATTTCAAGCAGACCCTTCTCAGCCCACAGATGGAGAATACTAAATAAATGAAGTCCATAGGTTCATTTAGTTACTCTAGTATATAAAGTATAATTCTGATATAACCATATGAACTTAATCCAAATCAAATATTTCGTTGTCATTCTTTTAAAGATAAATTATCTTAGTCATGATTGGATAAAATTTATGACAGAAAACTCATTACTTTTTCAGGGGCGAAACACTATTTTCATTCCTGACCAAATGTCAACATAAAAGATTAAGATGAACAAATCAAGATCTATTATTTCTGGAGAATGGGATTACTGATGGAAGAGGGGGTACTTAAATGGAAATATAATAATTTAATATTTAAATTTACTTTGAAATGTTTTAAAATCTATTTCAAAGAAAAAAATTGTTTTGTTACAATAATCTGTCTTGTTTAAATAAGTAACAATATTTTATTGACTAGAAATCAACCCCAAAAGCTAGTTTTTAAGCTGTTTAGTTGAAAACTCTTTATCGACAAATAACTGATCATCTGTTTTAGTTCTACCTTAACATAAATGTCCCACATATTGTACCTGGATAAAACAGTAAAGACTTAAACACTTCAAAGGAAAACATACTTTAAATATAAATGGAGGCATTTAGTTATTTTTTTTTCCCTCAAGTCTATATAAAAAGGTCAACTGCTAAGTAAAAACAAGAATAGGAATGAAATGGGAGGATAAATCTTTTACCAAATAAGGATAAACGTAGAACTGGAGCAATTATCTAATATATTAAATTATTAATCACATATGACTTAAACCTTCTGGAATTGGCATGAAATCATTATAGAAACACCAGTCAGCATTTCTTGTAAGACTCCTAAAAAAGTAGAAGGTTCTTCCCAACTTTCTATGCTAAAGGTTGACATGTATTTCCCTTGGAGAACATGTCTATATGTTATCAAATCTTATATTCCAAAATACACAGTCTCTTGCCTTCAGGGACGCAATAACATTTGAAAACATCTATGCATACATACACAATACTTTATACCTCTAAAAATATCCAGTAATCTAGTTCTAAAGAGGTTCTATAATGCTAACCAGAAAATCCCTTGGCATCTCTTTGCTCGCTCAGCCATCTGGATCCATCTTTTTTCGCTGATTAGGGAGGAAGAGCACAAGGTTCCATATATCCATTGATATCTTTAATTAGGATTCCTTTCCTCCCCATGTTGTTGAAAGTCAAAGAAACAGCACACCCAAAATATCTTTGAAAATGGTAAAAGTGGTATTCAAATGTTACTACTGCATAGAGCTTATTTTCTTGGTTATAATAACTCCCATTCACATAATTCCTTATAGATCGCAAAGTATACAGCAGGTTAATCTGATTACTCCAACTAGTTGACAAATGTAGGAAATCAGAAAAAATGATAAACATCTCTGTTCATTTTAACTTAAAACATAAATGTACAACTTTTACTACAATAAGAAACTTTTAGATTTAGAAGAAATGTGATGATTTCCTGAATAACCTTTCTACTGTTTTTCATAAATTAAATTATTGAGTATAACATAAAATTATGGACTGGGGGACTTTGGCTACCACAGAAGAAATTTCTAGCTTTGCAGGTAATTTTTGCCCATCTTCCTCTTTATATTTAAATAGGTCTATTGCTGTCACTATGCATATGATTCCTATATCACCCATAATTTCATTTTCCAATGAATAGTCAACATTAATCAACTATTACTGTCATCTTCACTAAACGTTCAGGAACACATACTTTTATAGCTATCAGCCAATAAACTATATTTTTAGTTCTTTTTGTGATTCATTATTTTCTGTAGCATTGTCAAAGTTAGTTCTTGTTTTTCTCTAAGATTTACTAAAAATTAGGCTGGGAATTCTGCTTTACCTGTGGAACTGAACTGGGAATTCTGTTCTATTTGTAAAAACTATCCATAATGCAGATGACTTGTAAAAGACATCCTTATAGAATCTATGATTTTGAATCCAATTTATCTTAAAACATAACTTAAAAATTTTCGTCATGCCAGAACCCCTTGATCCATATGCTGAATTAAGGAAGGCATATTTATTAATTAGAAAACACCCCATATAGGCCGGGAGCGGTGGCTCACACCTGTAATTCAAGCACTTTGGGAGGCCAAGGTGGGCAGATCACCTGAGGTCGGGAGTTCGAGACCAGCCTGACCAACATGGAGAAACCCCTCTCTACTAAAAATACAAAATTAGCCGGGCGTGGTGGTGCATGCCTGTAATCCCAGCTGGTCGGGAGGCTGAGGCAGGAGAATCGCTTGAACCTGGGGGGCGGAGGTTGCAGTGAGCTGAGATTGTGCCATTGCACACCAGCCTGGGCAACAAGAGTGAAACTCCATCTCAAAAAAAAAAAGAAGAAGAAAAGAAAAGAAAGTACCCCATATATTGTCCTAATTTCCTCACAACTGAGATACAGTGAATGCCTACTGTATTTCAGGTATTAAAAGATTAGTAGAAAAAATGACATCTACTCAAAGGTGAGAACAATGACACAAAAAGTGTCACCCAAAGTCAAAGTATACCATAAGAAACATATAAATGGTGAACCAAAGATAAAGCAGGATTCTGACTAAGGGAATTAAAAATGTTCCACATGTGCTGCAGAATCAACCATGGGTATTAAATGAAAAGCAAGAAGGTGAGAGAAGGGGAATTCAAAGAGAAAGGAATAGCTTGATCAAAGGCACAGAGGCCTGAAAATCCGTAATACATTTTCTGGGGGAAAAAAAGCCAATAAAACATGGCTGAAATACAGAATGTTTGGGAAGAAGCAGCAAAGGGTGACAGTACTATACGAGGCTTTCATAGAAAAATAACTTATAGGCAAATAATGAAAGCATTTTCTACAATGATAAAGAGGATTCATTTCATTCTGTAGATAGTGGGATGTCCCTGACACTTCTGGAGTAAGGTAAAAGTGACAAGATCAAATTGGTGTTTAGGAATAGTAACTCTGGTGATAGTGAAATGTAAGCAATGATAAACTAGAGGAAGACTGGATAAGAAATTTTTATAATTACCAAGAAGAAAGATAATGAGAGCCTTAAATTTAAGCAGTAGAGGCCAAGGTGGACCATATTTGGGGCCACAAAACTAGCATTCATAAAATTTAAAATAATTTGAATTATACAAATCTACATCTTCTGACCACCATGCAGTTAAATTCAAAACCAATTTATCTACAAAATCTCACAATATTAGGAACACAATTCTAAATAACTCACGGGTCAAGAATAATTCAAAAGAAAAATTTAAAAATATTTTAACTGAATAAAATAAAACACAATTTAATAAAGTTTGTGAGATGCAGTTAAAGCAGCGCTTAAAGATTAATTTATAGCACTAAACAGTTTTACCAGAAAGGAATAAAGGTCTCCAATCAATGACTTCAGCTTCTATCCTAAAAACTTGAAAATGTAATGCAAATTAACCCAAAAGTAAGCAGAAGGAGGAAAATAATAAAGTTGAGAATGGAAATCAATGAAAGTGGTAACAAAAGTAACAGAAAAAAATAAATGAAAGCTGGTCTTGAAAAGATCAACAAAATTTATAGATTGATCAGGGAAAAAAGAAAGAAGGAAGTTTTATAATTTTAGAGTTTACATTTAGGTCTATGATTTATTTGGATCATTTTTAATACACTGAGAGATGGATTGAAGATCATTTGTTAATATGCTTATTCAGTTATTCTGCACCATTTGTTGAAAAGACTATCCTTTCTCCACTGAATAATCTTTATACATTTTTTTTAAAAATCGGTTGTCCATATATGTATGGGTCTATGTTTGTATTCTCTATTTAGTTCTATTGATTAAATTAATATTGTTTATCGTCTATCTTGTCTACAGTATTAAACTATTTTAATCATTACAATGTGTCTTCAAGTTAATTAGTGGAAGTCTTCAAACTTTGCTCTTACTTTTCAAAGTTGTTTTGCCTAGTGTAGGTCTTTTGCATTTACATATAAATTTGAATTCCAATAGATTATTGCTATCCTATACAAAAATAATTTTTGTAAATTGATCTTTTATCTTGCAACTTCTAAGAAATCCTTAATTAGTTTTAGTAGTGTTTGGAGATTCTGGAAAGTATTCCACATACAGGATCATTTTATCAACTCTTTTCTGTATTTTTTATTTTTTTAAGAAAATCCCTATGAAATAGTTTCGGTATTTTCTTCTGGCCTATATTTTAGTTCACGAATTTTCTTCAACAATACTCAATGTGTTGCTAAGTCAATCCTCTGAGTTGCTAATTTCAGTTATCATACTTTTTCAGTTCTCGTATTTGATGTAATTCCTAGTTTCTAGTTCTCTGCCACATACTAAGTCTTCTTCCCCCTTAAACGTATTAAGCACAGCCATGTATGATAGTCCCATTAGCTAAATCCCCTGTGAGTCTGTTTCTAGTAATATTTCTCTTAGTTTCTTAATCACATTGTCTTACCTCCTTGAATGTCTGACTATTTTTGATTGAATGCTAAATGCTGTATGTTTTTTATGTGGCCATAACTTGAGATTCTCAATGGTGCTACCTTCATCCAAATTAAACTTATGTTTTCTTTTAGCAGGCAGCTAGCCTAATGGCCTTAGAAATAACAAATCACCTTAATCCAATCAGAGGTTAAAATTATTCAAGGCTAGGATTCAGTCTCAGTGACAGCTGATCTATTTCTAGTTCACCAATACACATACAATGTAGTCTATTTTGACAAACTAAATTCAGAAACTGATTTAAGTTAAAAGAATGAAAGTTACCCAGTTTCTGACTCCATTAAAGTCAGAAAATTCTGACTATCTATTTTAGTACTGAAAGCTCTCTCCAAAATTAAATGCTCTCTATCTTCTGTTTTTGTGTTAAACTCCACCTGGACTTCTTTATTAATTATAAAACAAATAAACCATTTGCAATGAGCTATAATGCTAGTCACATGGAAAACACGTTAGGCAAAACTACTTTCTGCATATAGTTGTAATTCAGTAATTGTTTCACTATCACTCAGAAGAGAATTATTTTATACACTGGTTGCATTTAGTCCACAATTTAAATCATTTTCCCGCATTAGAGAATAGTAAAATGTAAGAGAAATATAAATTTCATGTTTTTAATTTGTTCAAAATTTTAAAACATTAAATTTTGTAACACTGTTGCCATGCTCTGTTGACAGTTATATTAGAAGAGGGTGGAACAAACTCATAAGTATGAGGCCTCCCTGGTTCAAAGAAAGTAGAGACAGAACATTCAAATATATATTATTTCCATTTATTTGTTTTTTTAAAGGGGAACTTTGGGGTAATGCCAAACAATAATATTTATGTTTATAGTCTAGAACTTTATGTGTTCTTTTGTTAAAATTTCCCACCAATTTTATTCTCATTTCAGAGGGGAAGGTCATACATATTTTAAAACTTCACATATATAAAGGATTAAATAGTTAAATAATGTTTGTATTTCTGACAATTTTCAACTCTACCTTATTCTAAAATAAAGTAACATTTTAAATGTCTTCATAATTTTATTTTTCCAAGCCTACTGGTATTTTCACATTATTGAAACAGTTACAAATGGGGAAAATTACCATGTACTTTATACTATTTGTATCTTTTCAAGGATACAACTTATCAAGCTATCAGATCATTTACTTTACTGAAAGAATGAA
Source organism: Homo sapiens (assembly GCF_000001405.40). Classification (NCBI taxonomy): domain Eukaryota; kingdom Metazoa; phylum Chordata; class Mammalia; order Primates; family Hominidae; genus Homo; species Homo sapiens. The sequence goes on from NC_000011.10 coordinate 10,155,867, forward strand.
TACAAATTGATGGTGGCAGTGGCCAGTTTGGAGGAGCCCCTGTGGGGATGCCAGCTGCAGTCAGGGACGTGTGGCTGGGGCTGTGCATTCCACAGAGCCCACGGGGGTGGGACAGGTGGGAGCCCCGCCCCCTACCAAGTCCCGTGCTACCAGGCACAGCTGCAGCCGCCCAGCTGCAGCTCTGGACCCGGGCATCCCTGCACTCTCGGAAGCCCAGGAAGCCCCCCCTATCCCCACAGGCTTGGAAGTGCCTGCTCCTGTTCCCTGGCCTCTCCTCGCTCCCAGTGCCCACTCTGATTTCAGAGAAAAGCTGTGGCTGAGCCTGGATGCTGTCGCCACCTGGCCAGGTGTGTGCACTCAGGGTGGTGCTGACATGACAGCCCTTTGCTGACTCACCCACCTCTGGACTTTGGTAACCATGGTAACCAGCGAGCATGGGAGGGTGGCCTGGGGTGAAGACAGATGGGTGCAGGCTTGCAGCTGCCCCTCGGCGCGAACAGCCTGGGCATCGTGGACAGCATGTCGATGGCAGTGGAAGACAGAAAGGTTACCAGGCATGAAGGGGCCGGTCCTCGGTGAAACCCCCACCTTCAGGCCAAGGATAGCCTGAAGCCTGGGGTCCAGGCCATCCAGTCCTGGGTGAAGTTGGCACGTCAGTTCTGGGTGAAGTCTGGGGCTCAGAGTGAGAACTTCATTGATGGCTGTTCAGCCAGCCAGATGGTGCTTTTTCCAGGCCTGCCTGTGGCCACACATGGACCAATCAGCACACAGAGCCAAATCAGGAATGAACTTCCATTCACAATGGCCACAAAAAGAATAAAATACCTAAGAATACAGCTAACCAGAGAGGTAAAGGAGCGCTACAAGAAGAACTACAAACCACTGCCCAGAGAAATCAGAGATGACACAAACAACTGGAAAAACATTCCATGCTTATCAGAGGAACAATCAATATTGTTAAAATGGCCATACTGCCCAAAGTAATTTACAGATTCAATGCTATGCCTATTAAACTACCACTGATATTCTCCACAGAACTAGAAAAAAACTATTTTATAATTCATATGGAACCAAAAAACAGCCCAAATAGCTAAGGCAATCCTAAGCAAAAAGAACAAGGCTGAGACATCATGCTACTCAACTTCAAACTACACTACGGGGCTACAGTAACCAAAACAGCATGGGATTGCCACAAAATCAGACACACGGATCAATGGAACAGAACAAGGAACCCAGAAATAAGACTGCACACCTACAACTATCTGATCTTCAACAAACGTGACAAAAACAAGCCCTGGGGAAAGGATTCCCTATTCAATAAATGGCGCTGGAATAACTGGCTAGCCTTACGCAGATTATTAAAACTGAACCCCTTCCTTACACCATATACAAAAATTAACTCAAGATGGATTAAAGAGTTAAATACAAAACTCCAAACCATAAAAACTCTGAAAGACAACCTAGGCAATACCATTCTAAACATAGGAACTGGCAAAGAATTCATGATGAAGATGCCAAAAGCAATTGCAACAAAAGCAAAAATTGACAAATGGAATCTAATTAAACTAAAGAGCTTCTGCATAGCAAAGGTAACTATCAACAAAGTAAACAGAAAACCTACCGAATGGGAGGAAATTTTTGCAAACTATGCATCCAACAAGGTCTAATATTCAGCATCTATAAGGAACTTAAATTCACAAGAACAAAACAAACAACCCCATAATAAGATGGGACCTTCTAGTTGCAAGAAAATAAGCTTAGGGCTCCCACTGATTCTACCTTATGGTGAGTTTTATAATTGTTTCATTATATATTACAATGTAATAATAATAGAAATAAAGTACACAATAAATGTAATGCACTTAAATCATCCTGAAATCATATCCCCCTGCCCACAGTCCATGAAAAAACTGTCTTCCATGAAACTGGTCCCTGATGCCAAAAAGGTTGGGGACCACTGCTCTGGAACAAATGGACCTAACAGACCTATACAGAACATTCCACCCAACAACAGAAGGATAAACATTTTCCTAAGCACACATTAAACATTCTCCAGGATAGATCAAGTTAGGCCACAAAACAAGTCGTAACAAATTTATGAAAACTGAAATCATAGCAAGAATATTTTCTAAATAAATTGGTATGAAATTAGAAATCAATAATGGGAGGAAAAACTGGAAAATTCACAAATCTGTGGAAATTAACACACTCTTAAGCAACCAATGTATCGAAGAATAAACTAAAAGAGAAGTAAAAAAATATCTTGAGAAAGTGAAAATGAAAAAAATAACGTATCAAACCTTATGGGATGCAGCAAAAGCAGTTCTAAGAGGAAAGTTTATAGTAATAAATGCCTACATTAAGAAAAAAACAAAGATCTCAAACAAACAACTTCACTTTATACCTCAAGAACTAGAAAAAGAAGAGCAAACTAAATCAGCGGAAGAAAAGAAAATAATAAAGATTAGAGTAGAAATAAATGAAATATAAACAAGGAAAGCAAAAGAAAAAAATCAACAAAACTAAGAGGTGGTTTTTTGAAAAGACAAGCAAAATTGACAAGCCTTTAGCCAGACTAGGAAAAGAGAAGACTCAAATAAATAAAATCAGAAATAAAACAGCCAACACTACAATTGATATCATAGAAATAGAATCATAAGAGATTACTATGAACAATCATATGCAAACAAATTGAATAACCTAGAAGAAATGTATCAATTCCTAGAAACATAAAACCTACTAACACTGAATCATGAAGAAATAGGAAATCTGAGTAGATGAATAATAAGCAAGGAGACTGAATCATACAGATCATAAAAAGCCATATAAAGACTACAGAAAAAGAAAATTACAAGCTAACATCCCTGGTGAATACAGACTCAAAAATATTCAACAAATGGAATTCAACAGCACACTGCAAACATCCTATACCATCATCCCCAGTAGGATTTATCCCTGGAGGGCAAGAATGGTTCAATATATGCAAATCCATAAATTTAGTATACCACATTAACAGAATCAGTATCACATGATCATCTCATTAAATCACAAACAACATTTGATAAAATCCAATATATTTTAATGATAAAAACTCTCAACAAATTAGGTAAGAAGGATGTACCCCCCAAATAATAAAGTCTATATATGTCAAGTCCACCAGTAACATCATATTCAATGACAAAAAGCTTTTCCTCTGAAAGTTTTTCCTCTAACATCAGAGACAAGCAATTATGAAACCACCTTTGCAAAATTATGACTGAGACAGTGAAAGAGATCTAACTTAACCGACTCCATCTTGCTTCTAACCTCCAAGCTGTCCTTGTTTGTTCCTTGGCGTAGGCTGAACTAACTTTGGGAGAAATGTAGTTTATAGTTTAAAAAAAGATGGTAACAGCCCTTTCCCAAAGCAGACCTCCTTCTGGCCTGGGGACTAGATTACATTTGTGGGACTAACATTAGCCACAAGATTAGAAATTATGGTTTAGGAGTCATACAGCTGGAAGCTACAAGATTCTGACCCTCCCTGAATTGCTCCTAAGATCAGAGTTTGAGATGTTTTGCAGACCCTGCACTTGACAGATCAGCTGGCACCACTCAGATCAATAAACTGGCTCATCTGATCTTGTGGCCCCCACCCAGGAACTGACTCAGCACAAGAAGACAGCTTCGACTCCCTATGATTTCATTCCTGACCAATCAGCACTCTTGGCTCACTGGCTTCCCCCTAAGTTATCCTTAAAAACTCTGCCCCCTTGGCCGGGCATGGTGGCTCATGCTTGTAACCCTAGCACTTTGGGAGGCCAAGGCAGGTGGATCACGAGGTCAGGAGATCGAGACCACAGTGAAACCCCGTCTCTACTAAAAATACAAAAAATTAGCCGGGCGCAGTGGCGGGTGCCTATAGTCCCAGCTACTCAGGGGGCTGAGGCAGGAGAATGGCATGAACCCGGGAGGCAGAGCTTACAGTGAGCTGAGATCACGCCACTGCACTCCAGCCTGGGCAACAGAGCAAGACTCCGTCTCAAAAAAAAAAACCTCTGCCCCCTAAATGCTTGGGGAGACTGATTTGAGTAATGATAAAACTCTGGTCTCCTGCACACCTGGCTGTGTGTGAATTGCACTTTCTCTATTGCAATTCCCCTGTCTTGATGAATCAGCTCTGGCTAGGCAGCAGGCAAGGTGAACCCCTTGGGCAGTTACAATTAGACACGAAAAAGAAATAAAAGACACTCAAAATGTAAAAGAAGAAGTAAAAAATATCTTTGCAGATGACATAATCTTATGTATACATAGAAAACCCTGAATACTCCACCAAAAATCTGTTAGAAGTAATAAACAAGTTCAGTAAAGTCGTGAAATAAAAACATGTGTTGGTAAAAAAAAGTGTTGGTGAAATAAAAGCATGTCTAATGACCAAATTCAAACTCTCCATTCCCCAAACTATACCTTTTTCTATAATATTTATTTCAGAAAATTATTCTAAGACAAAAACCTTGCCTCTTTCCATCCCTAATCTCTATTTTCAGTGAGTGCTTCAAGTTTTTGCTATATGGGCCAAAAAGATCTGGCCAGAGAAGAGGCAAAGAGAGGAAAAAAGGAAGAAGGAAAAAAGGAAAGACAGGAGGAAAAAGAGAGGCGGAAAAATAGAGGAATTACGGCAGTACATACACCACAATGTTAACAGTGGTTATCTCTGGTTGAAGAGATTATGAGTCATCTTCATATTTTTCTTTATACACCTTTCTGTATTTTGGAGATTGTCCTTAAAAACTGTGCTTCCTTTTTCATGAGAGAGAGAAAAAAAGTTGTTTTGAAAATGTCTTTAATGATATTCTGAAAGAACTCTAAGCCCTTCATTATGTGGTTCATACACCTCCTGCCACACCCCATACCCTTGTATCTTTTCATATCTGTACCTCTGCACAAGCAGCTATCTCTTCCTAGAACATTATCCCCATTTACCTGCACCTGGCTAATTCCTATTCATCCTTCAAAACTACACGTGTACCACTTCCTCCATAAAATCTTCTTGTACCACAAACCTCATTACAGGTTCATGCCTCTAATCCCAGCACTTTGGGAGGCCAAGATGGGCAGATCACTTGAGGCCAGGAGTTCGAGACACGCCTGGCCAACATGGTGAAACCCCATCTCTACTAAAAATACAAAAATTAGCTAGGCTTGGTGGCACACGCCTGTAATCCCAGCTACTCAGGAGTAAGGCAGGAGAATTGCTTGAGCCTGGGAGACAGAGTTTGCAGTGAGCCTAAATTGCACCATTGCACTCCAGCCTGGGCAACAAAGCAAGACTCTGTCTCAAAAAAAAAAAAAAAAAAAAAAATAGGTCATAAGAAAATAGCAGTTTTCAATCGTTTTTTTCTGGCTGCCACAAACATGGACACACCCAAAGTTATGCATTCTTCCCACAACAAGCTAAATAACTCTACTCCTAATAGGGTATGAAGCCTCACAGTGTTTGCCAGTTATACTGCCTCTTCTTTAAAAGCAAGCCAAAGCAGTCTAATTTACAAAGCCAAGAATGACAAGAGAAACCAATTTTAATTTCCTAACCACAAATGATTAGCACAGGAATGACTAGCTGAAGCCTGCACTGTTAAGAACTCTCCATATTGGATAATATGGGAGAGACGGCTGGCTGTTCACCAGTATCCATTTTCCATATTATATATGGCAATATGCCTAACTCAAACAAATACACACTAAATTTCTCTGCCTCCTTTGTAGTCAGACATGGTTACACATCAGTTCTGGCCAAAGAGATACCAGTAGGAGTGATTGGTACACTTTCAGGAAAATTCTTTTTAAAAGGAGGAAGAGGGTGGGCGTGGTGGCTCACGCCAGTAATCCCAACAAGGATTGCTTGAGGCTAAGAGCTCAAGACCAGCCCAGGCAACATAGCAAGACCTCCTTCTCTACAAAAAAAAAAAATAATAATTAAAAAATAAGGATTAGCCAGGCCTGGTGGCACATATCTCTAGTCCTAGCTACTCAGGAGGCTGAAGCAGCAAGAGTGCTTGAGCCCAAAAGTGCAAGCCTGTGGTGTCCTGTGATTGCACCACTACATTCTTGGCTGGGCAACACAGTGAGACCCTGTCTAAAAAATAAATAAATAAAAATAGTAGGAAGACTCGGTTGCATTTTTAGCACTGTTCCCCTTTCCTCTTCCTTCTGTGTAGGACGAGAACATGAAGATAAGAGTGATATCCTATATAGGAAGGAATAGAAAGCTGGACAGAGCATGAGTCTTTGACAACATCACAAAGTTACTGTTAACAGCCCCAAATCACCTACCTTGTCTTTTTTTTTTTTTTTCCAACAGGGCAGAAAAATACATCCCTACCTCATTTATTCCATTATAGTTTGAGCATTCTGTTACAGGCATTTAGTTGAATATAAGCCTCAGTGGAGGCTGAGGATAACTAGTGGAACTAACCGAAATCTCTATCCTTGGGGCAAAGGAGTAATATAATTGAGAATGACAAATATAACCAAGAGTGAAAAGACAAACTCTAATGCTGAGCACCCAAAGAGTTTCTGTTATGTCTTTGAAATAAGAACGCAGGGTTTCATGTTGTCTGAGCTTCATTGCAGGCCAGAGCAGCAACTAAAATAGCATTGGTTTCTCTTCCATTTAAAAAGATATCAGAATGCAGATAAGTGAGAATAACCTTATCTTACAGATACCCTTAAATGCACTCTTTTAAAAATTTTTAATAAAACAGTCACAAGTTTTGGCAGTCAAATTATCAGAACCAAATTACCAGTACTCCGTCACCCTCCGTATTCTAGCATCCTTATCTGGCATGCAGTTAAACAGACAGGCTCTATTTAAAACATTGAATGAACAGAAATGGATATGCATAATTTATTTAAATAGTGATAGATGGAAGGAAATCAAAGAGAAGAAACATCCAAAACTATATGACCTTTACAGATCCAAGAATAACTAGGAACAGTTCTGTTTATATGTGGGGCTTCCTCCAGTCTGACAGCATTCCTCAGACTGTCCCTTTCATCTGGAAATTTCCCAAAAAACCCAGCTTTTTCAGCTGAGTCTTTAGACTAGTTTTAGCTCCTCTAAGCATGCAAATTGCTTCCTATATGTTTCATGAAAATATCAGGGAATGTATGAGGGTCGAAGACAGCATAAAACATGAAGTCCAAAGGACTAGATAAATTCACTGAGGGACAAAGCTAATGTCATTAAGTGAGGTCTAGTAGGAGAAAAATAAAAGCTGAAATCACAACTCTGAACTTAAGCTAAACACAGTGTCCAGATGAGAATGACAGAAAGTGGGCAATAAACATTTTCAATATGGTTCTTTAAAATTCAAAAAGAATTGTAATTACAGCAAAAAAAAATTTTCAAAGACTCTCTCACATCCCTAAAATACACAATAATGACAAGATTTAATAATTAAAATTGCACAACTAATTTTCCACACCTTGGATCTACAAGTTTCAGAGGGCAAAGGTGGCCAAGTAAGGAAAGAAAATGAAGTCTCCTAGAACTGCTCCTAATGAAAGAAATCCTTTTGATAACATTAGGTTTTATACTGAAACCACAGCATTATTTTTGAAAACATACCCTAATAATGACAATAAGAGTAGCAACAGATTTTACTTTTATGCTTACTATATACCAGGAACCATTTTAAGCACTTGATGTGTATTAAGTAATTTGATCCATATATCTCTCCCTTCCAGACATATACCAAACACAAATTGGATAAGCAACACTTTAAAGTAAACTAAAAGAAATCAATCACATTTCCTATTCAAATGAAATGCAGAGCCTTTAAGATTTTAGTACTGGAAACATTTAATAGATACATAAGGATCAAATGACTTAATATACATAGAGTGCTTAAAATGGTTCCTGGTATATAGTATATGAAGTTTATCCCCATTAGACTGATAAAAAGAGGTATAGAGCCTTTAAATAATTTGCCCAAGGTCACAGTGTTACCAAGTGGAGAAGCCAGAACTAAAACTCAACAAGACTGTTCTAGAGTCCATGATATTGACCACTGTACCAAATTACTTTGTAAGTGTTATACCTTAAGTTCATTTAGAGAGTCAAGCTGGACAAAGCTGAAATTATTTCTGGCTTCTCACTACTCTATCAAGGTAGTGCTTCTCTCCCAGTTATCCAAATTTGAATCAGTGAGATAACTTTTGGTGCCTCAGTGCATTCCATATTCAATTAGTCATCCAACCAAACCCTGTCAATTAAATACTCCATTCCCACTCATATTGTCACCATCTTGGATATTCCACAGTCAAAAACTGCATCAGCTTTTCTATAAGCTAATAGCTCATGCCAGCCTTATTAATAAAACATCTAGGTCTTTTTCACATGAACTGCAGGTCTTACATCATAATTTTGTAGGACATAATTATAATAAAATATTTTACATTTCCTCAAAAAAATTCACTTTATTAATTTCAGTCCATTATTCCAGCCTATATATTAACTCTTCCTTCCAGATATATACCAAACACAAATTGGATAGGCAAAACTTTAAACTAAAAGAAATCAATCACATTTCCTATTCAAAAGAAACACACAGCCTTTAAGATTTTAGCACTGGAAATATTTAATAGAATCGATAGTCAAAGACAGTAGCTGAATCAAGTGACCTTTTAACACATAAGTTACACTTTGGAGTGGGGCGCTCTTAGTTCAGTTACCAAAATCCTAATTTATATAACTGTTACGGGAGCACGGTGCTTCCTTTAATCTATCTTGGTTCCACTGAGTATCACTGAGACAGTTTGAAGACTAAAAAGACTACCAAATGGAAACAACCAAACAGCTAAAAACAGTCCACAGCATACAATAAATCACAGTGCTCTCCAACCTTTTTCACTTCATGCAACATAGAGGATGTTATCTATACACCCATACCACAGCTAATCACAAGACTGCTCACAGTCAGAGATCTCAATATCTCAACACACTTAGGGCTAAGCCAAGTGCCTCAGGGCATCTCTTAGCAAGTTTCACACTAAACTACCACAATTTATTTGCTCTCAGCATTAATAAATCCTCATCTATTCCAAACCAGATAGTCATCCAAAACCTTGGAACAACTCTGAAGGTCCCTCATATGGATTCCTTGCTTCCCAGCTCCCTTTACAACTGGATGTGAAAGGTGCTGTCTTCTGTACTTTCTCTTGAGAGGCAGAAAGAAATAAACAATGGCTAATTCTGACCTATACCTCGGGCCCTCCTATTTTCTATTTTTAATCTGGAGAAATACCTATTCTAGCAGCTTGGGTAACTTACTATATAAATGATTTTGGTCTTTAGGTGAGCTCTTGCCTCCACAGACAAGGGACAGCTACCTGATCCAAAGCGCTAAGGTGATGTGAGATTGTAAGATATAATGCATTGCTATTGGTATTTGAAGCTTGCCACAGATATTAATCCAGTGTGATATGGATTAGATCAACTTTACATTATCCAATGCCTTGCCCATGCTTTCATGCCCTAATAGCAATACAGCTAACATCCCTAAAAATGACTGCCAGAATAATAGCAAGAGCTCATGGCCCCATTAGCAATAGTTGGCACTAGTTTCCAGTTTCCAATATGATCTGTTGCAAAATTAGCCAAAAATGATGTCCAAAGATTTGCCGAAGTTGAATTTCTTTTTGAAATGCAGAGGACAACTTCATTAAGATTCTACTAGTACACTGTAGCATTGTACACTGTACCAGCACTAAACAGAACCAAATCTCCATCCCAGTCACTTCAACTAGATAGTATCTAAAATCTCACCCTTAGTATAATGTACTTAAATGAGATGGAAATACTCCACATTCTGCCCTGCCTAAGTTCTAGAAATTTTTATTAGGTTAAGGGTTCTATATTTATAACTTAATGACACATCCATACATATTAGGACCTTCAACTCTTGAAAAAGGAATTTGAATATGTATGTATTTTAATACAAATTTAGCAAATAGGCTTCTGAGAAGAAAAAGATCTCACAGTATTTTCAATTATAGTAACTGTACTTTTAGCATATGTCAAGTTAATGGTCCTATAAACTCACAGAAAAGAATAAGACTCTTAAAGATAATATGTATCAATGAAGGCGAGTATACATACAAGAGGAAGTTCACAATCACTTTAAAAACCATACAATACCGAGTCCATAAGGGCATTGCCACATTGGTTTTATTTACCACTATATTCCCAGCACCCAATACCTTGACTAGCACATAATAGGCACTAAGAAAATACATAAGGCTGAATGAATCATAGCAAATATTTAATATAAACTAAAATTAGATGATCACTTGACAAGGGTATTGTATACAAACTTATTTAATCAGTAAAAGGAAGGTTAGAATTTGACCAGGAAATCTTTAAGGTGCTTTCCAAACCTCAAGACTTCATAACATTTTCATCACTATGCCAGTGAAAGTATTAAATGAAGGTCATACTCTATTATAGAAAGGACTACTAGAAACATGTCTATCAATAACCACAGGATGCATTATAATCTACCAGTCAGCCTTTTTATACAAATAACTGTCAAGCGGGGGTGGGCAGGGGAAGGGACCACAAGAGAAACCATAAAACATTAGTAATCTTAAAGGATAAATTAATCTTGTTTATATACTTCTATATTTATACACAAAAAAATGTTAATCTAAAAATGACTAGGTCTATGAATTGTGTTAAAAGAACAAATCCAAAAATGATGTATTAATAATTAGGGGGAAAATCCCTGGTATCGAAAGTAATAGAATTATTTTTTCCTTAAAAGCTGCAAATTAGCTGGGCATGGTGGCTCATTCCTGTAATCCTAGCACTTTGGGAGACCGAGGTGGGGAGACCACTTGAGGCCAGCAGTTCAAGACCAGCTTGGCCAACATCACAAAACCCATCTCTACTAAAAATACAAAAATAAGCCAGGTATAGTGGCGCATGCCTGTAGTCCCAGCCACTCAGGAGACTGAGGCGGGAGAATCACTTGAGCCCGGAAGTCAGAGGTTGCAGTGAGCCGAGATCATGCCACTGTACTCCAGCCTGGGCAACAGAGCAAGACTCTGTCTCCACACACACACACACACACACACACACAAAAAGGCTACTAATTGAAAAGTTCAGTACCAGTTAAGCAACTGCTCAGTTACAGAATTAGTTTAGAAATACACAGGATTTTTATACTTGTACTTAATGATAAGCTGCAAATATCTGACTATATTTCCCTACTCTTTTCTCTGTCCTTCTATAAAATACAAATATTTTTGAAATTTTTGAATTATATACAAATAGGTCACACATTAAATAATGGTTAATTTAACGCAAGAAACTAATGTCCACCGTTAATGAACTTCACATAACTTCCCATAATATACTTCACATTAAAGATATTTTCTTCAGTAATTTGTTAAGATTAAAAGTCTAGTTACAGGCCAGGCGTGGTGGCTCACGTCTGTAATCCCAGGAATTCTAGACCAGCCTCAGTAACATACTGAACCCTGGTCTCTACAAAAATAAAAATTAAAAAATTAGCTGGGCAAGGTGGCTCATGCCTATAGGCCCAACAACTTGGAAGGCTGAGGTGGGAGGATCACTTGAGCTCAGGAGGTCCAGGTTGCAGTGAGCCCTGACCACAGACTGTACTCCAGCCTGGGCAACAGAGCAACACTGTGTCTTCTAAATGAATAAATAAATAAATAAATAAAATCTAGTTGCAATTTGCTTGGTAATATAGGAAATATGAAAAATGCTAAAAGCTATTTTACCTAGATCATTTGCTTTTCTTAGACTCTGTTTGGCAAAAAGCAGCAGGAAACTGGTTGCCTTGATGAAGTAATAGGCCACGGCCAAGCACGGTGGCTCATGCCTGTAATCCCAGCACTTTGGGAGGCTGAGGAAGGCGGATCACCTGAGGTCAGGAGTTCAAGACCAGCCTGACCAACATGGTGAAACCCCATCTCTACTAAAACTACAAGTATCAGCTGGGTGTGGTGGCACGTGCCTGTAATCCCAGCTACTTGGGAGGCTGAGGCAGGAGAATCACTTGAGTCCCGGAGGTGGAGGTTGTGGTGAGTAGAGATCGTGCCACTGCACTCCAGCCTCTGCAACAGAGTGAGACTCTGTCTCAAAACAAAAAACAAAAACAAAGTAACAGACCACATTCCACCCATCACTGTTTTACTGTTTTTTTACAGTACTTATCAATTATCACATACTACATAATTTACTAACATTATGGTTAGTACTGGTCTCTCTCCACTAGAAATTTAAGTTCTGAGAAGACAGCTTTTATCTGGTTTACAGCTATATCTTCAACCCTGATCTCAGTTCCTGGCACATAATAAGTACCAAATAGATATCTGTTAAATGAATAGACTAGAATCTATCATTGCTAAATATTCAAAAAGGCTATAAATTTTAAAGTAATATTCTGCATAAATGAGCAACGACCAAAAAAGGTTGTTTTTCTCTAAGTACCTGCAAGCCAGCTGTTGGTGATCTTTAACTAACTTATTAGTTTCTAGACTCCACCCTTACCCCTGTTTCATGTTCAAGAACCAATTCTTCCCTTTTACTAATATCAGCATCACATGGTCATTCTACTCAAATTTGTCACTGTCACCAATAGGAAACAGGCTGCTATGCGAGATGAAATTACAGATAATACCCAGGTAGAACAATATTAATCCAGGTAAATATTTATATGAATTTGAAATGTACCTTCCGGAAATTTTAAAGAGGCCAGAATCAGTCTAAAAGAATCTGTAGTTAATAGAATGAGTGGAAGATATTATTTATGAGCAGGTGGCTTTCCTGTGCTGCTTCTCAACTAAGGACATGTCTCTTCTTCTGCTTCTTTGGCTTGTCAGAAAGTAAAATATTTAAAACAACGCAGGGTTCCACCTCATCTTTTTATCAAAGCTCAGAAGTCTCAGGAAAAACAGTTATACTGCATAAGGAAAAAGAAAGTGAACTTCAAGCAATGGAAACCACAATAAATTAACCAATTGAGCACATTTTTCACACAAGTTTTAAAGCAGTTTAATACTCTTTCCAAAGTAAGTACATAATATTGTACTGTTTTTCTTTCTTTTGAAGAGCATTTAATTGGAGAAAAATACTGAAGCTGTTAGTACTCTCAATGAAATCTTTTTTGAATTTTTAATTTTTATGGGTACACAGGTATATACATTTATCAGGTACATGAAATATTCTGATATGCATATAATGCATAATAATCAGTAAATGGGGTATCCATCACCTCAAGCATTTATCCTTTGTGTTACAAAAATGCAATTATACTCCTTTAGCTATTTTTAAATGTACAAAAATTATTGTTGACTGTAGTCACCCTGTTGTGCTATAAAACACTAAATCTTATTCATTCTACCCAACTATATTTTTGTGCCCATTAATCTTCTCCATTACCTCCTCTCCCCCGCCACACTACCCTTCCCAGCATCTGGTAACCATCCTTCTTCTCTCTCTCTCTATGAGATCAATTGTTTTAATTTTTAACTCCCACAAATAAGTGAGAATGTGCAAAGTTTGTCTTTCTGTGCCTAGCTTATTTCATTCAACATGACTTCCAGTTTCATGTTGTTGCAAATGACAGAATCTCGTTCTTCTTATGGTCAAAGAATACTCCATTGTGTATATTGTCACATTTTCTTTATCCGTTTGTCTGTTGATGGACACTTAGGTTGCTTCCAAATCTTGGCCATTGTGAATAGTGTTGCAGTAAACATGGGAGTGCAGATTATCTCTTCGATAAACTGATTTCCTTTCTTTTGGGTATATGCCTAGCAGTGGAATTGCTAGATCATATGGTAGCTCTATTTTCAGTTTTTTGAGGAACTTCCAAACTCTTCTCCATAGTGGCTTTAGCAATTTACATTCCCACTAACACTGTGTGAGGGTTCTCTTTTCTCCACATCCTTGCCAGCATTTGTTGTTACCTGTCTTTTGGATATAAGCCATTTTAACTGGGGTGAGATGGTATCTCGTTGTAGTTTTGATCTGCATTTCTCTGATGATCAGTGATGCTGAGCACCTTTTCATATAACTGTTTGCCATTCATATGTCTTCCTTTGAGAAATGTCTATTCAGATCTTTTGCCCAGCTTTTAATCAGATTATTAGATTTTTTTTCACTACACAGTTGTTTGAGCTCCTTATATATTCTGTGGGTTGTCTCTTCACTTTGTTGATTGTTTCCTTTGCTGTACAGAAGCTTTTTAAGTTAATGTGATCCTATTTGTCCATTTCTGCTTTGGTTGTCTGTGCTTATGGGGTATTACTCGAAGTCTTTGCCCAGTTCAGTGCCCTAGAGTTTCTCCCATGTTTTCATGTAGTAATGTCATAGCTTGAAGTCTTACATTTAAGTCTTTAATCAATTTTGATGTGATTTTTTTTATGGCGAGAAAGAGGGGTCTAGTTTCTTTCCTCTGCTATGGACATCCAGTTTCTTCAGCACCATTTACTGAAGAGACTGTCTTTTCTCCAGTGTATGTTCTTGGCACCTTTTTCAGAAATGAGTTCCCTGTAGATATACAGATTTGTCTCTGGATTCTCTATTCTGTTCCATTGGTTTGTGTGTCTGGTTTCATGCCAGTAACATGCTATTTTGGTTACTATAGCTCTGTAGTTTAATTTGAAGTCAGATAATGTAATTCTTCCAGTTTTTTTAATTTTATTTTTATTTTTATTTTTTTGCTCAGGATAGCTTTGGCTATTCTGGGTCTTTTTTTGCCTCCATATAAACTTTAGAACTGTTTATTCTATTTCTGTAAAGAATGTTATTGATATTTTGACAAGGACTGCACTGAATCTATAGATTGCTTTAGGTAGTATAAACATTTTAACAATACTGATTCTTCCAATCCATGAACATGGAATATCTTTCCTTTTTTTGTGTGTCCTCCTCAGTTTTTTTTTCATCAGTGATTTATAATTTTCATTGTAGAGATCTTTCACTTCTTTGGTTAATTCCTTGGTATTTTATCTGTAGCTACTGTAAATGAGATTACTTTCTTGATTTTTTTCAGATAGTTCACTGTTGGCATATAGAAATGCTAATGATTTTTGTATGCTAACTTTGTATCCTGCAGATTTATTCAATTTGTTCATCAGTTTTAATAGTTTTTTGGTGAAGTGTTTACATTTTTCCAGATATAAGATCCATCATCTGCAAAGAAGGATAATTTGACTCCCTCCTTTCCAATTTGGATGCCCTAGACTTCCTTCTCTTATCTGGTTGCCCTAGCTAGAACTTCCAGTACTATGTTGAATAACAGTGGTGAAAGTGGGCATCCTTGTCACCTTCTAGATATTAGAGGAAAGGCTTTCAGTTTTCCCCCCATTCATAATGATATTAGCTGTGAATCTGTTGTATATAGCTTTTATTGTGTTAAGGTATGTTCCTTCTATACCCAGTTTTTAAACAGTTTGTATCATAAAGGGATGTTGAATTTTATCAGATGCTTTTTCAGCATCAATTAAAATGATCACACGGTTTTTGTACATTCTGTTGATAAAATGTATCACGTTGATTGGTGTGTGTGTCTTGAACCATCCTTGTATCCCTGGGATAAATCCTACTTGGTCATGATGAAGGATCTTTTAAACATTTTGTTAAATTTGGTTTGCTAAGATTTTATTGAGGATTTTTTGCATCAATGTTCATCAGGGAAATTGGCCTATGGTTTTCTTTTTTGCTGTGTCTTTGCCTGGTTTTGGCATCATAGTAATACTAGTCTCATAGAATAAGGTTTGGAAGTATTCCCTCCTCCTCAATTTTTTGGAATAGTTTGAGTCGAAATTGCATTAGTTCTTCTTTAAAAGCTTGATATTAATAGAATTCAGCAGTCAAGCCACTGGATCCTGGGCTTTCTTTTGCTGGGAGACTTTTTATTACGGCTTTGATCTTGTTACTTGTTATTGGTCTGTTCAGGTTTTGGATTTCTTCATTGTTCAATCTTGGTACGTTGTAAATCTCTGGGAATTTATCCATTTCTTCCAGGTTTTCCAATTTATTGACATATAGTTGGTCACAGTAGCCACTAATGGTCCTTTGAATATCTGCAGTATCAGTTGTAACGTCTTCTTTTTAATCTCTGGTTTTATTTATTTGGGTCTTTATTTTTTTCTTACTCAGGCTAAAGGTTTGTCAATTTTATCATTACAAAAAAACCAACTTTTTGTTTTGTTGATCTTTTGTATTGTTTTCTTAATTTCAATTTATTTCTGCTCCGATCTTTATTAGTTTCTTTTCTTCTCCTAATCTTGGGTTTGGTTTGCTCTTGCCTTTCTAGTTCTTTAAGATGCATCATTAGGTTGTTTATGTGAAGTTTTTCTTCTTTTTTGATGTAGGCACTTATAGCTACAAACTTCCCTCTTAATACTGTTTTCACTATATTCCATAGGTTTTGGTATGCTCTGTTTTCATTATTGTTTGTTTCAAAAAAAAATTTTTTTTTTTGAGAAGGAGTCTTGCTCTGTCTCCCAGGATGAAGCACAATGGCGCATCTCAGCTCACTGCAACCTCCACCTCCCAGGTTCAAGGGATTCTCCTGCCTCAGCCTCCCAAGTAGCTGGGATTACAGGCACCTGCCACCGCGCCCGGCTAATTTTTTTATTTTTTAGTAGAGACGGGGTTTCACCATGTTGGCCAAGCTGGTCTCAAACTCCTGACCTCAGGTGATCCACCGGCCTCGGCCTCCCGAAGTGCTGGGATTACAGGTGTGAGCCACCACGCCTGGCCAATACAATTTTAAATTTCTTTTCTTTTTTTTTGAGATGGCGTCTCACTCTGTCGCCCAGGCTGGAGTGCAGTGGCGCCATCTTGGCTCACTGTAACCTCTGCCTCCTGGGTTCAAGCGATTCTCATGCCTCAGCCTCCCGAGTAGCTGGGATTACATGCATGTGCCATCATGCTTGGCTAATTTTTATATTTTTTAGTAGAGACAGGGTTTTGCCATGCTGGCCAGGCTGGTCTTGAACTACCGATCTCCACTGACCCGCCCACCTTGGCCTCCCAAAGTGCTGGGACTACAGGCATGAGCCAGCGTGCCTGGCCTTAATTTCCTTCTTAAACTCTTCATGGACCCACAGGTCATTCAGCAGCATATTGTTTAATTTCCATGTGTTTGTATAGTTTCCAAAATTCCTCTTTATTGATGTCTAGTTCTATTCTATTGTGGTCAGAGAAGATACTTGATATTATTTCAATGTTTTCGAATTTTTAAAAACTTAGTCAGGAGAGGAGCCAAGATGGCCGAATAGGAACAGCTCTGGTCTACAGCTCCCAGCGTGAGCGACGCAGAAGACGGGTGATTTCTGCATTTCCATCTGAGGTACCGGGTTCATCTCACTAGGGAGTGCCAGACAGTGGGCACAGGTCAGTGGGTGCGTGCACCGTGCGCAAGCCGAAGCAGGGCAAGGCATTGCCTCACTCGGGAAGCGCAAGGGGTCAGGGAGTTCCCTTTCCTAGTCAAAGAAAGGGGTGACAGATGGCACCTGGAAAATCAGTTCACTCCCACCCGAATACTGCGCTTTTCCGACAGGCTTAAAAAACGCCGCACCAGGAGATTATATCCCCCACCTGGCTGGGAGGGTCCTACGCCCACGGAGTCTCGCTGATTGCTAGCACAGCAGTCTGAGATCAAACTGCAAGGCGGCAGCGAGGCTGGGGGAGGGGCGCCCACCATTGCCCAGGCTTGCTTAGGTAAACAAAGCAGCAGGGAAGCTCGAACTGGGT
Organism: Homo sapiens; assembly: GCF_000001405.40. Classification (NCBI taxonomy): domain Eukaryota; kingdom Metazoa; phylum Chordata; class Mammalia; order Primates; family Hominidae; genus Homo; species Homo sapiens. Next base: position 10,173,649 of record NC_000011.10, read on the forward strand.
GGAGCCCACCACAACTCAAGGAGGCCTGCCTGCCTCTGTAGGCTCCACCTCTGGGGGCAGGGCACAGACAAACAAAAAGACAGCAGGAACCTCTGCAGACTTCAATGTCCCTGTCTGACAGCTTTGAAGAGAGCAGTGGTTCTCCCAGCACGCAGCTGGAGATCTGAGAACAGGCAGACTGCCTCCTCAAGTGGGTCCCTGACCCCTGACCCCCGAGCAGCCTAACTGGGAGGCACCCCCCAGCAGGGGCAGACTGACACCTCACAGGGCCGGGTACTCCAACAGACCTGCAGCTGAGGGTCCTGTCTGTTAGAAGGAAAACTAACAAACAGAAAGGACATCCACGCCAAAAACCCATCTGTACATCACCATCATCAAAGACCAAAAGTAGAAAAAACCACAAAGATGGGGAAAAAACAGAGCAGAAAAACTGGAAACTCTAAAAAGCAGAGCGCCTCTCCTCCTCCAAAGCAACACAGTTCCTCACCAGCAACGGAACAAAGCTGGACGGAGAATGACTTTGACGAGCTGAGACAAGAAGGCTTCAGACGATCAAAGTACTCTGAGCTACGGGAGGAAATTCAAACCAAAGGCAAAGAAGTTGAAAACTGTGAAAAAAGTTTAGAAGAATGTATAACTAGAATAACCAATACAGAGAAGTGCTTAAAGGAGCTGATGGAGCTGAAAACCAAGGCTCGAGAACTACGTGAAGAATGCAGAAGCCTCAGGAGCTGACGCGATCAACTGGAAGAAAGGGTATCAGCGATGGAAGATGAAGTGAATGAAATGAAGCAAGAAGGGAAGTTTAGAGAAAAAAGAATAAAAAGAAATGAGCAAACCCTCCAAGAAATATGGGACTATGGGAAAAGACCAAATCTACGTCTGACTGGTGTACCTGAAAGTGATGGGGAGAATGGAACCAAGTTGGAAAACACTCTGCAGGATATCATCCAGGAGAACTTCCCCAATGTAGCAAGGCAGGCCAACATTCAAATTCAGGAAATACAGAGAACGCCACAAAGATACTCCTCGAGAAGAGCAACTCCAAGACACATAATTGTCAGATTCACCAAAGTTGAAATGAAGGAAAAAATGTGAAGGGCAGCCAGAGAGAAAGGTCCGGTTACCCACAAAGGGAAGCCCATCAGACTAACAGCGGATCTCTCGGCAGAAACTCTACAAGCCAGAAGACAGTGGGGGCCAATATTCAACATTCTTAAAGAAAAGAATTTTCAACCCAGAATTTCATATCCAGCCAAACTAAACTTCATAAGTGAAGGAGAAATAAAATACTTTACAGACAAGCAAATGCTGAGAGATTTTGTCACCACCAGGCCTGCCCTAAAAGAGCTCCTGAAGGAAGCGCTAAACATGGAAAGGAACGACCGATACCAGCCGCTGCAAAATCATGCCAAAATGTAAAGACCATCGAGACTAGGAAGAAACTGCATCAACTAATGAGCAAAATAACCAGCTAACATCATAATGACAGGATCAAATTCACACATAACAATATTAACTTTAAATGTAAATGGACTAAATGCTCCAATTAAAAGACACAGACTGGCAAATTGGATAAAGAGTCAAGACCCATCAGTGTTCTGTATTCAGGAAACCCATCTCACGTGCAGAGACACACATAGGCTCAAAATAAAAGGATGGAGGAAGATCTACCAAGCAAATGGAAAACAAAAAAAGGTAGGGGTTGCAATCCTAGTCTCTGATAAAACAGACTTTAAACCAACAAAGATCAAAAGAGACAAAGAAGGCCATTACATAATGGTAAAGGGATCAATTCAACAAGAAGAGCTAACTATCCTAAATATATATGCACCCAATACAGGAGCACCCAGATTCATAAAGCAAGTCCTGAGCGACCTACAAAGAGACTTAGACTCCCACACAATAATAATGGGAGACTTTAACACCCCACTGTCAACATTAGACAGATCAACGAGACAGAAAGTCAACAAGGATACCCAGGAATGGAACTCAGCTCTGCACCAAGCGGACCTAACAGACATCTACAGAACTCTCCACCCCAAATCAACAGAATAGACATTTTTTTCAGCACCACACCACACCTATTCCAAAACTGACCACATACTTGGAAGTAAAGCACTCCTCAGCAAATGTAAAAGAACAGAAATTATAACAAACTATCTCTCAGACCACAGTGCAATCAAACTAGAACTCAGGATTAAGAATCTCACTCAAAACCGCTCAACTACATGGAAACTGAACAACCGGCTCCTGAATGACTACTGGGTGCATAACGAAATGAAGGCAGAAATAAAGATGTTCTTTGAAACCAACGAGAACAAAGACACAACATACCAGAATCTCTGGGACACATTCAAAGCATTGTGTAGAGGGAAATTTATAGCACTAAATGCCCACAAGAGAAAGCAGGAAAGATCCAAACCGGCTCCTGAATGACTACTGGGTGCATAACGAAATGAAGGCAGAAATAAAGATGTTCTTTGAAACCAACGAGAACAAAGACACAACATACCAGAATCTCTGGGACACATTCAAAGCATTGTGTAGAGGGAAATTTATAGCACTAAATGCCCACAAGAGAAAGCAGGAAAGATCCAAAATTGACACCCTAACATCACAATTAAAAGAACTAGAAAAGCAAGAGCAAACACATTCAAAAGCTAGCAGAAGGCAAGAAATAACTAAGATCAGAGCAGAACTGAAGGAAATAGAGACACAAAAAACCCTTCAAAAAATTAATGCATCCAGGAGCTGGTTTTTTGAAAGGATCAACAAAATTGATAGACCACTAGCAAGACTAATAAAGAAAAAAAGAGAGAAGAATCAAATAGATGCAATAAAAAATGATAAAGGGGATATCACCACCGATCCCACAGAAATACAAACTACCATCAGAGAATACTACAAACACCTCTATGCAAATAAACTAGAAAATCTAGAAGAAATGGATAAATTCCTCGACATATACACCCTCCCAAGACTAAACCAGGAAGAAGTTGAATCTCTGAATAGACCAATAACAGGAGCTGAAACTGTGGCAATAATCAATAGCTTACCAACCAAAAAGAGTCCAGGACCAGATGGATTCACAGCCGAATTGTACCAGAGGTACAAGAAGGAACTGGTACCAATCCCTCTGAAACTATTCCAATCAATAGAAAAAGAAGGAATCCTCCCTAACTCATTTTATGAGGCCAGCATCATCCTGATACCAAAGCCTGGCAGAGACACAACCAAAAAAGAAAATTTTAGACCAATACCCTTGGTGAACATTGATGCAAAAATCCTCAATAAAATACTGGCAAACCGAATCCAGCAGCACATCAAAAAGCTTATCCACCATGATCAAGTGGGCTTCATCCCTGGGATGCAAGGCTGGTTCAATATACGCAAATCAATAAATGTAATCCAGCATATAAACAGAACCAAAGACAAAAACCACATGATTATCTCAATAGATGCACAAAAGGCCTTTGACAAAATTCAACAACTCTTCATGCTAAAAACTCTCAATAAATTAGGTATTGATGGGACGTATCTCAAAATAATAAGAGCTATCTATGACAAACACACAGCCAATATCATACTGAATGGGCAAAAACTGGAAGCATTCCCTTTGAAAACAGGCACAAGACAGGGATGCCCTCTCTCACCACTCCTATTCAACATAGTGTTGGAAGTTCTGGCCAGGGCAATTAGGCAGGAGAAGGAAATAAAGGCTATTCAATTAGGAAAAGAGGAAGTCAAATTGTCCCTGTTTGCAGACGACATGATTGTATATCTAGAAAACCCCATTGTCTCAGTCCAAAATCTCCTTAAGCTGATAAGCAACTTCAGCAAAGTCTCAGCATACAAAATCAATGTACAAAAATCACAAGCATTCTTATACACCAACAACAGACAAACAGAGAGCCAAATCATGAGTGAACTCCCATTCACAATTGCTTCAAAGAGAATAAAATACCTAGGAATCCAACTTACAAGGGATGTGAAGGACCTCTCCAAGGAGAACTACAAACCACTGCTCAAGGAAATAAAAGAGGATACAAATAAATGGAAGAACATTCCATGCTCATGGGTAGGAAGAATCAATATTGTGAAAATGGCCATACTGCCCAAGGTAATTTACAGATTCAATGCCATCCCCATCAAGCTACCAATGACTTTCTTCACAGAACTGGAAAAAACTACTTTAAAGTTCATATGGAACCAAAAAAGAGCCTGCATTGCCAAGACAATCCTAAGCCAAAAGAACAAAGCTGGAGGCATCACACTACCTGACTTCAAACTATACTACAAGGCTACAGTAACCAAAACAGCATGGTACTGGTACCAAAACAGAGATATAGATCAATGGAACAGAACAGAGCCCTCAGAAATAACACCACATATCTACAACTATCTGATCTTTGACAAACCTGAGAAAAACAAGCAATGGGGAAAGGATTCTCTATTTAATAAATGGTGCTGGGAAAACTGGCTAGCCATATGTAGAAAGCTGAAACTGGATCCCTTCCTTACACCTTATACAAAAATCAATTCAAGATGGATTAAAGACTTAAACGTTAGACCTAAAACCATAAAAACCCTAGAAGAAAACCTAGGCAATACCATTCAGGACATAAGCATGGGCAAGGACTTCATGTCTAAAACACCAAAAGCAATGGCAACAAAAGCCAAAATTGACAAATGGGACCTCATTACACTAAAGAGCTTCTGCACAGCAAAAGAAACTACCATCAGAGTGAACAGGCAACCTACAAAATGGGAGAAAATTTTCACAACCTACTCATCTGACAAAGGGCTAATATCCAGAATCTACAATGAACTCAAACAAATTTACAAGAAAAAAACAAACAATCCCATCAAAAAGTGGGCGAAGGACATGAACAGACACTTCTCAAAAGAAGACATTTATGCAGCCAAAAAACACATGAAAAAATGCTCACCATCACTGGCCATCAGAGAAATGCAAATCAAAACCACAATGAGATACCATCTCACACCAGTTAGAATGGCGATCATTAAAAAGTCAGGAAACAACAGGTGCTAGAGAGGATGTGGAGAAATAGGAACACTTTTACACTGTTGGTGGGACTGTAAACTAGTTCAACCATTGTGGAAGTCAGTGTGGCGATTCCTCAGGGATCTAGAACTAGAAATACCATTTGACTCAGCCATCCCATTACTGGGTATATACCCAAAGGACTATAAATCATGCTGCTATAAAGACACATGCACACGTATGTTTATTGTGGCATTATTCACAATAGCAAAGACTTGGAACCAACCCAAATGTCCAACAATGATAGACTGGATTAAGAAAATGTGGCATGTATACACCATGGAATACTATGCAGCCATAAAAAATGATGAGTTCATGTCCTTTGTAGGGACATGGATGAAATTGGAAATCATCATTCTCAGTAAACTATCGCAAGAACAAAAAACGAAACACCACATATTCTCACTCATAGGTGGGAATTGAACAATGAGAACAGCTGGACACAGGAAGGGGAACATCACACTCTGGGGACTGTTGTATGGTGGGGGGAGGCGGGAGGGATAGCATTGGGAGATATATCTAATGCTAGATGAGGAGTTAGTGGGTGCAGCACACCAGCATGGCACATGTATACATATGTAACTAACCTGCACATTGTGCACATGTACCCTAAAACTTAAAGTATAATAATAATAAATTAAAAAACAAACAAAAAACAAAAACAAAAAAACAAAAAAAAACAAAAACAAAACAAACAAACAAAAAAAACTTATTTTTGTCACCTAATGTATGGCCTATCCTTGAGAATGATCCATGTGCTGAGGAGAACATATATTCTGTAGCTGCTGGATGAAATGTTCTATAGATATCTATTAGGTACATTTGTTTTATAGTGCAGATTAAGTGTGATGTTTCTTTATTGAACTTTCTGTCTCGATCTGTCCAATGCTGAAAGTGGGGTATTGAAGTCTCCAGCTATTATTGTACTGGTGTCTATTCTTTAGCTCTAATAATATTTGCTTTATATATCTGGGTGCTCCAGTGTTGGATGCATGTGGCAGGACTTACTCCTGCCATTTTGTTATTTGTTTTCTGGTTGTTTTGCAGTCTTCTCTTCCTTGTTTCCTTCCTGTCTTCCTTTTAGTGAAGGTAATTTTCTCTGGTGGTATGTTTTCATTTATTTTTATTTTTACCCCCTTTTGTTTTGTGTGTATTTGTTGTATGTTTTTCAATTCAAGGTTACCATGAGGCTTGCAAATAATATCCTATAACCAATTACTTTAATGACAAGTTAACACTAATTGCATAAAAGCAAGCAAAAAGAAAAATAAAAACTCTATACTTTAACTTTGTTCCCCCACTTTTTAACTTTTTGTTGTTTCTATTTCTACCTCATTGCTCTGTATATGTCTTGAAAAGTCCTTGTGGTTTTTATTTTTTATTGGTTCATCTTTTAGTCTTTCTATTTAAGAGGAGTTTACACATGACAGTTACAGTGTTATAAGTATTGCCAGTGAGTTTTGTACCTTCAGATGATGTCTTATTTCTTATTAATGTTTTTTTCTTTCTGATGGAGCTATTCCCTTTATCATTTCTTGTAAGACAGGTCTGGTGTTGATGAAATCCCTCTACTTTTGTTTGGGAAAGTATTTCTCCCACGTGTTTGAAGAATATTTTTGCTAGATATACTATGCTAGGATAAAAGCCTCTTTCCTTCAGCACTTTAAGTATATCAGGCCACTCTCTCTGGCCTGTCAAGTTTCCATGAAATAATCTGCTGTCAGACATACTAGAGCTCTATTGTATGTTATTTCTTTCTTTTCTCTGGTTGCTTTCAAGATCCTTTCTTTATCCTTGACCTTTGGGAGTTTGATATTACATGTCTTGATATATTCTTCTTTGGATTAAATCTGCTAGCTGTTCTATAACCTTCTTGTACTTCAATATTAATATCTTTCTCTAGTTTGGGGTAATTTTCTGTTATTATCACTTTGAGTAAACTTTCTACCCCTATCTCTCTCTACCTCCTCTTTAAGGCCAATAACTCTTAGATTTGCCCCATTGGGGCTATTTTCTAGATCTTGTAGGTATGCTTCATTCTTTTTTCTTTGGTGTTCTGCCTGTCTTCAAGCTCACAAATTCTTTCTTCCACTTGATCAATTCTGCTGCTGTTAAGAGACTCTGATGCATTCCTTAGCTTTATTGAAATCTTTCACTTGGTTTTGAATCCAATAGTAAAATCTAACTTTTTCATTAGAACACTGTGGCTGTCATAATCAAAGCTATTCCTAATTTCACAGATATTAGAGGTTTTTCTGGTAAATATGGTCTATCTTTGGAAAAAATAAAAGCTGCCAACTCTCTAAGCACCGAGTACTCATGTCATTACACTCTTCTGATTTTAATGTTAAAATGCTTTTTCTCTAAGTGTCTTTCTAACGCCACTTAAACCATCCTAATTGGAATCTAGGGCTTAGTCTATTAATTTTTTAAGTATCAGAAATAAAGAAAACTTTTTTAAAAATCAGCTTTCTCATATAATACTACTAGCAGAATAGTTTTAGAAAAGCTTTAGCAGAGAATCAAAAGACCAGGGTTTTATTATCATCTCAGCAATTACTAAGTAGCTACATAACACTGAGCAAGCTATGAAATCTGAGATTTCAATTTCTAATTTTTTTAATGAATGAATTTTAGCATTTAAGAAATAAATATAACTTACCTAAAACTGTCACTTTTCTCTTTGGTTTTCTAAATCTTAACTTTATACAAATTTTCCCAATTTTTGAAGTGATTTTTCTAAATTTCTACATGCAGTTCAGATTCTAGATAATTTTTGGCCAGACTTAAAGTATCTTTAAGAGTTAGCCAGAATTAACTGTTTAAAAAAGTACATTTTACTAAGGACTTTTATCTTTATAATTAATCTATGAAATTGTGACTCCCTTTTTAGCTTTCATTACATTTCAAAAGAGGTCAGAAATATTCCCACCATCCTCCTTCCTGGACACATCTCAATTCAATGCAATAGTAAACTATTTCTGAATGTTAAATACAAGTTACATAAAAATTCTCCCAATTAAGAGATATGAGTATAATTCCAAGGCATTTCTTGAAAGTGAGGAAAGTTTAGTGGTGATAATAATTTGCTATAAAAGTAGATACAGCCATATCATTGATAAATTTATATTTGATTAATGAGCTTTTAGTTCTCAAAGACTAAAAAACTTTTCTTCAATAAATACACATATGTGTTTACTTTGTCACCTTAGTAACTCTCACCCTAAAATTTTGTACATTGGTGACTTTTTATAGACACATAAGTACCACTAGAGGCCACCAAATACTTCATCTTATTAAATCAACAGATTTGCAAGTTATTCTGGCTAGCTTAAAGGTACTTTAAATTAAGCTAAGTTACAAGGAGATGACCATACATGGTAATATCCGTAACTGGAAACTCTCAAAGAATTATTCAAAGTCAAGCAAAAAGATGTAAACATATTTCGTACAGTAATTAGGATGTATGGATGTATAGATGTATAATTCGACAAAAAGCTTTATGAGATCAAAATGGGGGGGTAGGTAATATAAAAATTCATTCCTTACGTACCTTTGAAAGTAGACCTAGAGAGATGACCTACAGGAATGACCTAGAGAGATGGTGTTCTCTCAAATTGCTGTTGTCCTTTATAAGCAAATTATGTATTTAAATATACACCTCTCTATATATACATAAATATAAACATACAGATACATAAAATCCTAGAGTTCAGTATTCTTTCTTGCATATCACAAAGTCTTTCACATAATGATTTTAATATCTCAAGTTGGCTACCATTTACAGCAATCAAAACTTCAAGAAAGAAGTCTTATTGTCAAAATCACCTGACTTTTTTTTTGTCTGTTTATTTTAAGACAGGGTCTTACTCTGTCACCCAGGCTGGAATGCAGTGGTGCAATCTCGGCTCACTGCAATCTCTGCCTCCTGGGCTCAAGCGACCCTCCCACCTCAGCCTCCCAAGTATGTGGAACTACAGGCAAGCACCACCATGTCCAGCTAATTTTTCTATGTCTTTTTGTTGTTGTTGTTGTTGTTGTTATTGTTTGTTTGTTGTTTTTTAATTTTTTTTTTTGAGACGGAGTCTTGCTCTGTCGCCAGGCTGGAGTGCAGTGGCGATGTCTCGTCTCACTGCAACCTCCGTGTCCTGGGTTCAAGTGATTCTCCCGCCTCAGCCTCCCGAGTAGCTGGGACTATAGCACGCGCCACCACGCCCAGCTAATTTTTGTATTTTTAGTAGAGACAGGGTTTCACCATGTTGGCCAGGATGGTCTTGATCTCTTGACTTTGTGATCCGCCCGCCTCGGCCTCCCAAAGTGCTGGGATTACAGGCGTGAGCCACTGTGCCTGGCCAGTTTTTCTATGCTTTGTGGAGACAGGGTTTCACCATGTTGCCCAGGGTGATCATCACCCCACATTTTCTAATATACCCAAAATTCTGGCTTGAAGAAGAAAACCTGGCATCTGGCAAAAATAACACCTGAGTAAACTTTGCTCTCCCTTTCTAGGTGAAAGCGCTGCTTAAAGCGTCCCACATCCTCTCATTTCTTCCAGCGTCCTCCTCCTTTCCAATGGTAAATAGTAAAAACTAGAAGGCCCAAGTAGCATCCAAAGATTCTGTAGATCCAAGGGAAACTTCTAAAAAAAATGGGGCTTATTGCTATTGTATTATCCACCTTTTCTGCATGGTTATATACTATTTTTCAAGGTTTTTCAGGAAATCCAGAGAAACTTTAATCAGTCACGGTTTTGACATTCTCTCTAAAAAATCTTGGCTTAACTAAAGGTCTCAAAATCCTAAGTTTTCTTTTAAAAACTTTATAGTGTTAGCTTTTACATTTAGACTATGATCCATTTCAAGTTACTTTTTGTGTATGGTTTAAGGGTCAAGGCTCATTTTTTTCCTAAATGGATATCCAGTTGTTCTAGCACCATTTGGGCTTATCACTTCCACAACTGAATTACATTAGCAACTCGGTCCAAAAACCAATTTATGAAGTCAGGCACAGAATGATAACTACTGTGTGTTCTCATCCATATGTAGAAGCTAAAAACACAAAAAACAAAAATTTGAGCTCATAGAAGCAGAGAGTAGAATTGTGGTTATTAGAGGCTGGGAAGGATGTGGGGAGGGAAGGAAAGGAAGAGATTGGTTAACAGACACAGAGTCATAGCTAAATGGGAAATATAAGTTCTCGTGTTCTGTAGCACCGTTAAGGTGAATATGGTTAACAATAATTTAGTGTATATTTTCAAAAACTTAGAAGATTCTGAACGTTCACAACACAGAGAAATGATAGGTATTTGAGGTGATGGATACACTAATTTGATTCCACCATTATACATTGCATACATGTACTGAAATATCACCCTGTTTCCCATAAACATGTAGAATTATTACATATCAACTAAAAATAAAAGGAAAAAACAAAAAAGATAACACATGCTTTTCTTTCAATAAAGTGGAACATTTCAGAAAAAAGAAATAAATTCATGATATATATGTGAGTTTGCTTCTAGACTGTACCATGGATCTACATGTCTATTCCTTAAGCTAATACCATACTGTCTTGATTATTGAGCCTTATGGGATGTCTTGAAACCAGGTAGTATAAGTCTTCCAAACTTTGTTCTTTTTTTCCCAGATAGTTTTTGGCTACTTGCTATAAAATATGCCTTAGAGATTTATTCATTTCAGTACATAAAGCTTTATTTCATACTGTTTTAAAAAGTTAACTACAGTAAAATATATATAACACAAAATTTATCATCTTAACAATCTTAAGTGGACAGTTCAGATAGTGTTAAGTACATTCACACTGTTGTGCAACTAAACTCCAAAACTCTTTCCATCTTGCAAAATTCACAATCTATACCCACTAAACAACTTGCCATTCCTCCCTTTCCCCAGCCCCTGGCAACCACCATTCTACTTCCTGCCTGTATGAATTTGATTACTCTATGTCTCTCATATTAGTGAAATCACACAGTATTTTGTTTTGTTTTTTATTGTTGTTGTTGTTGCTTGAGACGGAGTCTCACTCTGTCGCCCAGGCTGGAGTGCAATGGCGTGATCTCCGCTCACTGCAAGCTCTGCCTCCTGGGCTCATGCCATTCTCTCACCTCAACCTCCCAAGTAGCTGGGACTACAGGCGCCCACCACCACGCCCGGCTAATTTTTTGTATTTTTAGTAGAGACGGGGTTTCACCGTGTTAGCCAGGATGGTCTCGATCTCCTAGTATTTGTGTTTTTTTGTGATTGGCTTATTTCCCTTAACATAGTGTCCCCAAGGTTCATCCTTCAGGTTGAACCTTGCATAACACAACAAATGTTGGCACATGTTGTAACATGTGTCAGAATTTTCTTCCTTTTTAAGGCTGAATAATATTCTGGGGGGGGGTGTGTGTGTGCGTGCACACGTGTATCACATCTCACTTGTCTATTCATCTGTCTATGGACATTCAGGTTGCTTCCACCATTTGACTACTGTGAACAATGCTACTATAAACATGTGTATGAATATCTGTTTGAATCCCAGCTTTCAGTTCTTTTAGGATATACCCAGAAGTGAAATTGTTAGGTCATATGGTAATTTTATTTTCAATTTTTTTTGAAGACTCTCCATACCATTTTCCATAGTGGCTGCACCATTTTACGTTCCCACCAACAGTGCACAAGAGTTCCAGTTTCTCCCTAATCTTGCTAACATTTGTTATTTTCTGGGATTTTTGTTTTGTTTTGGGGCTTTTTTTAGAGTTGGAATCTCATCTATCACCCAAGCTGGAGTTGCAGTGGTGCAAATCATAGCTCACTGCTGCCTCCAACTACTAGGCTCAGGTGACCCTTCCATCTCAGCCTCCCCAGTTGCTGGGACTGCAAATGTGAGCCACTGTGCTTGGCTTTTTTTTTTTTTTTTAATAGCAATAATAATGGGCATGCAATAGTATCTTATGGTGGCTTTAATATGCATTTCCTTAATAATTGGTGATGTTAGCATCTTTTCGTGTGCTTGTAGATCTCCTTATCTCGTACTTTTTAACAGCTGTACTATGTTCTGATGAGTGGCTGTGGTACCGCTAATTCAACGAGTCCCCATACTAATGGTCATTTAGATAGTTTCCAACCTTTTGCATACAGGTAATTCATACATACACATATATATAAGTAACCATACAAATCAGTTGGTTCTAGATAGCTCCAGTTTATGCATATTTTTGATTCAATCCTTTTCACTCTCAAAAACATTCTGGTTTGAATAAGACACAGTTACCCTAGTTTCAGATTAAGGATAAGATAAATTGCTGAAACTGAAATTAGGCATGAACGAGCTGTGATTTAATCTTCCAGGCTATTTGTTACCCAGAACTTACCTCATATTAGAAATTTAGTATTAGAAAAAGATATTTATATTTACCACTTGATTATAAAGGATACAACTAAGAAACAGACAAGTGGGAGAGATATACAGAGTGAGGTATGGCAGGGACCATGCCCTCTCTCAGGTGTACCACTTTCACAAGACATTAGTGTGTTCATTGGGCAAGCACAGCGGCTCATGCCTGTAATCTCAGTGCTTTGGGAGGGCGAGGTGAGGAGATTACTTGAGGCCAGGAGTTTGAGACCAGCCTGGGAAAGACAGACTCTGTCTCTAAGAAAAATAAGAAAATAGCTGGGCATGGTGGCACACACCTGTAGTCCTAGCTATTCTGGACACTGAGGCAGGAGATCGCTTGAGTCCAGGAGTTCGTGGTTACAATGAACTAAGATCACACCACTGCACTCCAGCCTGGATGACAGAGTATGTAAGATCCTGTGTCTCTTTAAAACAATCAAAAAAAATGTGTTCATCAACCCAAAAGCTCTCTGAGCCCTGTTATCTAGGGGTTTTAATGGAGGTTTCACTAAGTAGGCATAACTGGTTAAATCATTGCCATTGGTGACTAAACTCAATCTCCAGCCCTTCTCTCTCCCCACTGGGGGTGAAAGTTCCAACCCACTAAATGCATAATTGCTTCCTCTGGTGACCAGCCCCTATCCTGAAACTATTTAGGGCCTCTCAACCCAAGAGCCATCTCACTGGCATATAAAACACAGTAAATCACAAAGGTTTCAGGAGCTCTGTGCCAGAAACTGGGGGCAAAGACCAAACATTTATTTTTTCATTATACCACAAAGACCAAATTAATGAGGTCAAAAAATAAAATGGTCAAGGAAAATTAAGATAAGGGAAACAATCTTTGGATTCAGCATGAACAGTGTGGCAGAGGAAAGCTATTTGTTCAGTAAATCTGTTTCCTTCTTCTCCTAAGCACACATCTAGGGTTTATTTACCAATCTCCTATTACAGCTAACTGGCTTTGTGATTGACTTCTGATTAATAGAATATGGATAATATATACTGCCTCCAGACATATCCCATAAAACTAACTTTTACTATCCTCCATGCTTTCTCTTACTACTCTGACGACCAACTACTGCTGCCTAAGAAGACCCTGAGGACTGTAACCAAGTACCCCCATTTTTCTGTAGGTGATTTAATTATTCTCTTTTTCCTCTCTCTCCTCTCTCTCTCTCTCTCCTTTTTCTCTCCTCTCTCTCTCTCTCTCCCTGCGTCCCCTCTCCACCTGCCTCAGAACTTACACCTACTTGGAGGGCTTGCTGAAAGCATGTCCACTTGGCACCTTTTACAACTTTTCCCAGGAAGGTGCCAACCCAACTGCCTAGTAGATAACTGCCTGGTAGCAGGGGGACCCCTGCCTTCGCTCATCTCCTCCCCTGCCTTATAAAAATGCCTGCTTTCTGCTCCAAAGGTGAAGTGGGACATTTAAAAGAAGAATGCTTTGTGCCTCTTCCCCCCAATGAGCTTTGGAATAAACTCACTTTTTTTTTTTTTAATCAGACATCACTCTTGTTAATTGAACTCTACATTTAGTGGGCATCTAACTTGCTTTTTCGTTACAAGACCACATTTTGAAAATGGCAAACCCCACTCCCATCTACCCTACTGCCACTAATTAGCCATTATGTAAATAAGGGGAAAAAAAACCTTCTATTATGTTAAGTTACTAAGATTTCCAGGTATATCTATTACAAAAGCTAGCATTACCTTAACCAATTCAGAAAAAATTAACTTCAACTTTGTGATTTCAGAACAGACAGGACATAAACTATACTTCAGAATAAATCCCTGCAATGTGCGTGAGATAGAGGTATGAAATGAGAGTAAATAACAACAAATTGTAACATTACAAATATTAAAATATTAACAGATGATCATCTAATAACATCCCTGTAGGAAAATTATTATTATCAGAGAGAGTAAATTAACTTCGCTCAAGGCTTTTAAATTTCAAATCCCGTATTCTTTCTACTGAACCACATTAGTCTCTTAGAGAAATTGGGACAGCAAATGAAGACTCACTGAAAACATTTTATAATAAAGAAGAAATAGGATAGTAGCTAAAACATAAAGTCAAGAAATTTTTTTTTGCTAAAATTATAGATACAATGGAAATGGGATGAATAGAAATAGAATAGTAGCAAAAAGGAACTGGAACTTAAGAAGTACAGGATAAGCCATAAGGGTGATATGACAGACAAGCACATGAGAGATGAGTAGCAGTATGATACCATGTAACGAAGTCCAGGCTGTCCGCAAACAATACACAGATGTAGTGGGTCAGGCCTGTGTAGCTCTACATCTTCCTCAGGAAGTTCTCTTTGGTCTTAAAGCATCAGGTAGAGCAGAACCCTAGCATGACAAGAAAACTTTGTCTAAAGTGGTTCTGAGAGCAGAAGTGAAGTACGTGACTGTAGGGGAAAGATTTTCTAGCATAACTGAGGGTATCGATGCACTGACAAAATAAGCAGAATTGAGAGACACTAGTTCTAGTACAGGATAAACAAACCATTGTAGTGAGTATGGAGGAGTGTATTAGAATCATAACACCAAGATTAATTAATCTCTTCCTCAGAGATGATAAAATAATCTACTACCTCACATGCACTTTCCAGACTTCATGAGGTTCCCTGCCCTGTGGTTTTATTACTTCAAAGAGACAACAGTCTGGGAGTGGGTACCAAAAATATGAGCTCAAACCACCATTTTCTAGCTTAAACTCCATTTATATCCACTTGCTTTGTTGTGAACATAACTTTTAAAATCCTTTTTATAGTTCTTAGTATGTTTTAAAAGCCAGGTCTTCATACTTCGTAGCAGTTTTCTTAAGTTTTCAGCCTCAACTCTATGCCAAATCAAGAGTCCTTCCACACACGGTTTATACCAAGCTTTGGACCATCTTTAAAACTGTGTATTTTACCTCGCACCTTACCTCAGGACAGAGGCTTTAGATTCCATCTACAGTATCTACCATACATACCTTTTATAAACTTTTTAAAATCTGTCTTCTTCTATTTCTCAAACCTCTCTAGCTGGATAGTATCTGCCTATCTTTATTCTAAATAATTACTTATAAATCTAGCTTTATATACTCACATGCAAGAACTTAAATTTTTACTTATTATATTTCATTTTCTTAAACATCCCATAACTCCTGCCTTTTAAAATGTTTGTGAACCCTGATTCTGTCATCTCATTCTCCTTTCAAGCATATTCTTCTACAAAAAGGAAGAGAAAAGTCTCTTCTAACCAAACAGTATTTACATCTATGTCAGATGGATGATTGCTACCCATTTATTGTATGTATTGCATTCTAAACAGCTTAAAGAATTAAAGCATTACATGGTACTTATATTTACCTCTCTGTCCTCAAATAACATCCCATATTAAAGCTACTTTTCCTATGTTACACCTGCACAATGTGGAATACAAGCTCTTTTTCCTCTCTTCTCCTCAATCTACATTTACAGAAGACTGAATTCATAGGGCAGGTAGTCAAATTGCTAGTGTATAATTTAAATAACAGAACCAATTTCGTAAGAACATTAAAGTTAGAAATTCTAACTGAATGCTTCTCTTTTTCAAGCCACAAAATTTATTTACTACAGTACTTTAGTCTTCTAAAAAAATCAGGTACATCTAACAAAAACCTTAGTACAGGCATGCCCTACTGAGATTGTGGCATATTTTCTGAATAATGATATAAAAAAATTCACTCCTAAAACAGGGCATCTTAAAAAGGAGCTAAGGTCGGCTGGGTGTGGTGGCTCACATCTGTAATCGCAGCACTTTGGGAGGCCAAGGCAGGGGGATCACCTGAGGTCAGGAGTTCGAGACCAGCCTGACCAACATGGTGAAACCCTGTCTCTACTAAAAATACAAAATTAGCCAGGTGTGGTGGCACATGCCTGTAATCCCAGCTACTTGGGAGGCTGAGGCAGGAGGACTGCTTGAATCTGGGAGGCAGAGGCTGCAGTGAGCCAAGATTGCGCCACTGCACTCCAGCCTGGGCAACAAGAGTGAAACTCCGTCTAAAAAAAAAAAAAAACAGGAGCTAAGGTCAAAACAATACAATTTTGCTTTAATTCTTTAAGCTGTTTAGATGTCTCTGATCTAGCCAATAAAAATATTGTTCATATAATCAGGAATAGATTGTTAACCATAGAATGCCTCTGAAAAACAATTTTCTTTGAAATGCTGTCACTAAAATTAACTGCAACTTTATTTATATGACTGTCTGTGGTTTTCGTGTATGCCTAAAAAGCACAAGAGAAAGATAAAAATATCCCAGAATTGGAAAAGTAGTCATTATGTTTGGTTTAGCTTACTTTCATATTTTTATTTTTAAAATCCATCCGAATTAAAGTTTACCATTTTTCAATAGAAAAATAGAAGGCAATTTCTTTATGTAAAAATGGAAAAAGAAATTCAGCATCCTCTAAATTAAATTTGGAATTTGATTAGTGAATGAATGCCTAAAATCCTTTTCCACCAGTTGTAAGGCTGAACACATATCTATTTTTCATTTAGAACTTACATACATCAATTATGTGTTCCCTGGGAAGGAGAAGTGGCAACAGAAAATAATTTGAATATAATATTATATTGTGAGCCCATGTGTGTTCTCAGATAAAATAAATAATAAAGTTGGTCCCTATTCAATAACACAGCCTTCTCTTAACATTTCTCAACCTTAGTTCTTCCAAATCACAGAATTCTACATTTACACTAAAAGACTAACCATTTACACTAAAATGCTAACCACAGCTAAAAGTGTCACTCCTAGAAATCTCTCAGATCTTGGCTGACACTAAGAGTCAAAAGATCAGGGTTTGAATCCTAGCTCTGCTGTATCCTTGCTGTTAGATCTCAGTAAAGTTATTTAAATTTCCTAAGCCTCTGTTTACTTATTTGTGAATTAATATACTACCACCATTATGTACGTGAGTTCATCACAATCTATTAATCCTATACAACTGCTACATATTAACATGAATGTTACATGCTAATGTTGTTCCACCATTATGGAAGGGGTAAGAATTTTTCCCATAAATCATCAGAAAAGGGTCACGACTACACTGGAAACAACAAACCACTTAAGGATTAAGCCAGATCACCTTCAATTAGACTAAAATTTTATTATATCTATCTTTGGTCTTGAAGCCGCAGGGTTACTCAAGATCACATAAGGCATCACAATTATTCAAGCTATTGTTGTTCATATACAGAATATTCACACTCTCTAAAGATATGCAAAAATAAGGCAATAAAGACTGGACAATAAAAAATTAATAGTGATTTATTCTGTTTTTAAAATGGACTTTGATAGATGTAAGATAAATTTATTTTGTACTTGACAACACCATAGACATTAAAGAATTGAAATTGCGATCCATTATGGAAAAAGGAAAAGGAAAAAGAAAATTTCTGACGTAATCCAACAGATTACTCTTTAAATATTAATCTAGCCCAACAAATCTTGAAATGCTATGCTAAGAATATGCCAAGAAGTCATCTAGGAAAATCTTAGGGAGGAAAAGTTCTGTCTAACTCTTAGCACCTCCATTTCACTATTCTAACAGCACATGACTCCACTTATTGGAGAAACATTTATAGCACTTGAACATGGCAGTGTCTGTCATACAAAGAGAAAATATCTATTTACTAAGTAGTAAAATCAGTATGTTTCTCTCCCTTGCTACTGGAGAAATAAGAGAGGTATCATAGGTATCTATTCTCTTGGTTTTCAAAACAACACTATCCTTTCTCTGTCCTAGCTAAATAGCTATGCCAATCCATGATTTCCCTTCTCCCTCTATGATGTCTGTTGGTTCCTGAAACTTATGAAGGTGAGTCACTGCTCATACTGTTAAATTGGTATAGTTTATATCTCTCCACACTTTGATGTGAATGGAGGTAGGAACCCACAATAAGTTCTAACAGGTCCCTAGCACCAAAAATTTCCCCTCAATCACACTAAAAGGGACATTGAAACAGGGTTTAAAAGCTTTTATAGAACAAATGCCTGCTTATTCACACTGTAAGGCCAATTACTGGTATTTGCAGGCATATGGGGAAAAAGAGAAAGGAATGCAAAGGGCTTTCCAAAAAGCCATTTTCCTTGGATCCTCACATTCCTTCCCCATTTTTAATGCCAAAATTCAAGATTTACCCCCTCTGTAGGCCTACAGAACCCTCAGCTTTCTTTACATGGCTGAGTTATAACAATCAAAACTAAGCACCTAGCAATGTATCTTTAATTTTCAGTGAAGCAAAACTGGACAGTTATTAGCTACGACGAGAAAATTTACAATTTTCAATACAAAATATCTAACAGATATTTCTGATCCATGCCAACAAGAGAATGAACAATTGTTCCTGTGGGTAAGGTGCTGAGATATGTTGAACAAACAGCAACAATACTAATTAAACAATGGGACAACTCATTTATGGAAGACATTGTTCTAATCATTTTATGTGTATTTTTTCCACTTTATCTTTACAACAACCTATGAGATTAATATAATCATTATCCTCATTTTATAGATAAGTATTCTGCTGGCTCAAAGTAGTTGAGCAACTTGTCAAAAGTCATACCACGCAGCTGAGATTTTAACCTAGGCACTCTGCTCCAGAGCCTGCACTCTTAAGTATCATGTTATACCAAATGTCCTCTCAACAGGACTGCTTTGAAGACACTGCTTCTATGTGTTTATGTGTGTGCATATCCATAAACACAATATAAATAAGTACACACACACACCCCCAG
Organism: Homo sapiens; assembly: GCF_000001405.40. Classification (NCBI taxonomy): domain Eukaryota; kingdom Metazoa; phylum Chordata; class Mammalia; order Primates; family Hominidae; genus Homo; species Homo sapiens. The sequence continues at coordinate 10,192,887 of NC_000011.10, forward strand.
TAAATCTGGAGAACCAAACTTCGTAGACATATTACAAAGTACTTTAGTAATCACCTTTCTAGTCCCTCAGTTTACCACCATGGATCCACCACCAGATAGAATATCTTGGGTAGCATAAATTATGTTCAACCAATAAATTCCTTTAAAACGGGTAACAACAACAACAAAAGGAGTTGAACTGCACTATTATAAAATAACCTTCAGACCTTGTAGCTAAAAACAAAAGAAATCTAATTTGTGATTTTAAGATCAAATTCAAGCCATGACTGGTCAACATTAAATGAACTTTTGGTTTTTTATTTATCTGTGTTTTTTGTTTTGTTTTTACTAAGACAATAACCTGGACATTTTCAGGAAAAAAAAAATATATATATGTGTATCCCTGAAGTTACTAGGCTAAGACTTTTACTAAAGAAGCAGTGGAATTTTTCTGCTTTTGAGTATATGAAAATCATCAATTTCATCTTTTTTTTTTTTTTTTTTTTTGAGAGGGAGTCTTGCTCTGTCGCCCAGGCTAGAGCGCAGTGGCACGATCTTGGCTCACTGCAAGCTCCGCCTCCCGGGTTCATGCCATTCTCCTGCCTCAGCCTCCTGAGTAGCTGGGACTACAGACGCCCGCCACCACGCCCGGCTAATTTTTGTATTTTTAGTAGAGACAGCGTTTCACCGTGTTACCAGGATGGTATCAATCTCCTTACCTCGTAATCCGCCCGCCTTGGCCTCCCAAAGTGCTGGGATTACAGGCATGAGCCACCGCGCCTGGCCCTCAATTTCAGCTTTAATATTAGAAATTTAAATGAGAAAAAGAAGAGCAAAATAGGCATTCTAGAATTAATATATTCAAAGATGACCGTACTTGAGGGACTAGGAGGGAAGATAACTATTTCTAGTACTGTAATATCTTACAATTAAATTATCAAATTATTTAACAGCAAATGTAACATAAATGTAAAAATCAATGTGACAAAAAAGAAAAGTAACATTATAAATATGCAATAATACAACAACCACTTACCAACTCAATTCCCTGTGGAAAAGGTGTATCATCCCAGTCCTTCTGTGGAAATCTCTGGATTATTTTCCCCAGACCTTCTCCTGATCCTGTTAATAAAATCAAAGTGAATCATTATTATAGGACACTAAAAACTACAAATACTCATTCTACTCTTACTTATTTCTAAATGAATATTTGGTAAATAAGTTAATAAACTGATTAAACATTTTCAAGTTTTAAAAAACATGTGAGTATGCATCATCTAAACATTATGCAGTAGGACCTCCATATCCATGGGTTTTGCATCTGCAGGAGACACCCAACCATGAATTGAAAATATTTGGGATGAAAAAAACAATAAAATTAACAATGCAACAATTTAAAAATGCAAATCTTAAAAATACAGTATAACAAATATTTCCATACCATTTTCATTGTATTAGGTATTATAAGTAATTAAGAAATTATTTAGAGTATATAGGAAAATATGCATAGGTTATATGCAAATACTACACCATTTTATATAAGGAACTTGAGCATCCATGGATTTTAGTATCCGTGAGGGTTCTGGAACAAATCCCCTGCAAATACCCAGGGATGACTATACAGAAATAACAGGCAATCTCTATTCTATAAACACTTTTTTTTGAGGCAGAGTCTTGCTCTGTTGTCTAGGCTGGAGTGCAGTTGTATGATCTTGGTTCACTGAAACCTCCGCTTCCCGAGTTCAAGCGATTCTCCTGGCTCAGCCTCCCGAGTAGCTGGGATTACAGGCACCCACCACCATGCCCAGGTAATTTTTGTACTTTTAGTAGAGATGGGGTTTCACTATGTTGGCCAGACTGGTCTTGAACTCCTGACCTCAAGTGGTCCACCTGCCCTGGCCTCCCAAAGTGCTGGGATTACAGGTGTGAGCCACTGCACCTGGCCATTATTCTGTAAGACTGACTGATACGTATGAAAAGCTAAAAAACACTAGCCAGAGGCATTGAAATCTAGTCTCTACCACGTTATGGGAGTAACTGCCCTTTGTGCCCCAATAAGGAAATTAATCCCAAATTGAAATTTAAGAAGAACTTTTCTATGGAGATGAAATAATTTCAAGTAACAAATGAAATGGCACTGCTAGCACTAAGTTTCAGTTATGGGCTATAAATACTGTTACTGGTTAAAGTTTCTGAGGCTGGCCTGGGAACTTGACCATTGTTTAGGCAGGGTTTCCCAACATCAGCACTACTGACATTTGCAGATGGATACTTCTTTGGGGGAATGGGGATTGTCCTGTGCATTGTAGGATGTTTAGCAGTATTCCTAGTCTCAATTCCTAGATTCCAGTAGCACCCTCTACCACCAGCAAGATGTTACAATGAAAAATGTCCCCAGATGTTGACAAACGTTCCCTGGGTTGAAGACCACAGATCTCTATCACTGTTGTTATAAAATTATCCTGTGACACCGAAGAAGGAATCAACTTCCCATTGAACTTTGGGGATGTAATTTGTGAGTAAACTGGGGATGGAAGGTACATGTTAAATCTAAACTAATTCTTGCTATAGTTTTTTAAGATCTTCATGTTCCTTGCATATTCTACATGTTGTCCTAGTTCATATGAAATGAAGGCAACAATATTCTGATTATTTGTTTTGTATACCTAACTTGAGGAAGTCTTCACAACGAATTCATTTTGTTAATATACTGTAAAAATCATCCACTATGATTTCTCAACCTCATCTCTATGAATGCAACTTCTCCCTTGCCCCTCACCTAAACTGCAATCAATTTACGGCCAAATTTTTATGTTTAAAATATAAATGGAAAGTGACATTCACTTTACTGACCAACTCAGAACTGTATTCTGAAACGAGGTCAAACCAAAATCCATTTGAAAAAGACAAAATAAAAATATTCTCAATTAAAATGAATAATTGCTGCAGTACAGTAACTTATCTATCTCTTGTTATAGGGGAATGAAGGATTTTGTTAAGAGTAAACCAACTTTTTATCATAGGCACTCATTCTTCAAAATCCACCTCAAGCATCATCACTTACGACATCCCAAGCAGGGTTAATGAAACAAATTGCTAGGTGTTGGAGGTACACAAATGAAAAAGACATAGTCCCTATCCTAAAGGAACTCATAATCAATTCGGGGAAACAAACAAATGAACTGATAATTTCAGTTATGTTATCGTAAGCTCAATGATAGAAAGACCATACAAAACTTTCTGGAAGAAATGACAGCAAGCTTACTTCCTTTCAGTAACCAACTTGTTTCCCCAAGCACCTGGCATACTGAATTCCTGGCATATAGTCTATACTGAGTAAAATGTTTACTTTAATAAATTCATTGGTACTGACTGAAATTGTTTTAAGTTTATTCCTCCCTTCTTTTTAAAGAGATAAATTAATGTACTTATTCTATCATGTTTAATCACATCCCTACATTGTTTTTTCAGTTCTGAAAGCCATACTAATGTATTTTACGTTCAAGAAATATTTATCATATTAATTATTTTTTGGACAGGGTCTCACTCTGTTGCCCAGACTGGAGTTCAGTGGCACAATCATCGCTCACCGCAGCCTTGACCTCCCAGACTCAAGCGATCCTCCTACCTCAGCCTCCAAGTAGCTGGGACTGCAGGTGCAGACCACCACAACCAGCTAATTTTCATATTTTTTGTAGAGACCGGGTTTCGCCACATTGCCCAAGTTGGTCTTGAACTTCTGGACTCAAGCAATCCACCCGCCTCAGCCTCCCAAAGTGCTAGGATTATAGCGTAAGCCACCGTACCCAGCCCAATCATATTATCTTTTACTAATTATAAAAGTAATGTTAAGTGCAGAAAGGATTTTAAATACATAAAAATATAAAGAAGAAAGCACCCATAATCCCACACCTGGAGACAATTATTATTAACATTTTGGACTATCCATTTATTCCTAGGTTTCTTGCATAAATATATATATATATATATATATATATATATTTTTTTTTTCCTACAAAATGAATACCACACTGAACCTAACTTTATACACTGGCTTATTACTTAATATTTTACAAAGGGCCTTAAATGTTGTTGAACATACATTTTCTAGTTTCTCACTATTATAAATAATACTACAATAAACGTCTTTATTTACAAATCTTTAACCTCATCTCACTTCTCCTGAAAAAATACTCTTTTCCAGATTCTACCTCTAGTAAACTGTGGCAGCACTGTAGCATCTGTCAGCAAATGTCTGAGGCATTCTGACAACATTTCTTCCTTTTACTGAAGCTAGAATTGGTGTGTATCCCTTATAAGAAAAGAACCTAAATGGGACCACACTACTCTAAGAGGCACTTTGATAGATAGATTGAGTTCTTTCAAACTGGTAGAGGATCTGGAAACAATTACAGTCATACTTGGGAGATACTGCAGGTTTGGTTCCAGCCCACAGCAATAAAGTGAATATTGCAATAATGTGAGTCACACAAATTTTTTGGTTTCTCAGTGCATGTAAAAGTTATGTTTACACTATACTGTAGTCTATTAAGTGTGCAACAGCGTTACGCCTAAAAGATGTACATGCTTTAATTTAAAAATGCTTTATTGCTAAAAAATGCTATCAATCATCTGAGGCTTTAGCAAGTTGTAATCTTTTTGCTGGTAGAATGTCTTGCTTCGATGCTGATGGCTGCTAACTGATCAGGGTGGTGGCTGCGGCAATTATTGAAAACGAGACAACAGTGAAGTTTGCCATATCGATTGACACTTTCTTTCACAAAAAATTTATCCATAGCATGCAATGCTGTTTGATGTTATTTTACCCACAGCACAACTTCTCTCAAAAATTGAAATCATTCCTCTCAAACCCTGCTGCTGCTTTATCAACTAAATTGATGTAATATCCTAAATCCTTTGTCATTTCAATGAAATTCACAGCATCTTCTCCAGAAGTAGATTCCATTTCAAGAAACCATTTTCTTTGTTTATCCATAAGAAGCAAAGCTTCATCTGTTAAAGGTTTTATCGTGAGATTGTAGCAATTCAGTCACATCTTCAGGCTCCACTTCTAACACTAGTTATTTTGCTATTTCCACCACATCTACAGTTCCTTTCCCCACTAAAGTCTTGAACCCCTCAAGGTCATCCATAAGGGTTGGAATCAACTTCTTCTAAGCTCCCGGTTAATAGGTTCATATTTTTACCTCCTCCCATGAATTATGAAGTTATAATGGCATCTAGAATGGTGAATCATTTCCACAAGGCTTTCAATTTACTTTGCCCAGATTCAATCAGAGGAATCACTACCTATGGCAGCTACAGGCTTATGGAATGTATTTCTTAAATAGTAAAACTTGAAAGTCAAAATGACTCTTGATCCATGGGCTGCAGAATAGATGTTGTGTTAGCAGGCATGAAAACAACATTAATCTCCTTATACATGTCCATCAGAGCTCTTATGTTACCAGGTGCACTGTCAATGAGCAGTAATATTTTGAGAGGAATATTTTTATGAGCAGTAGTTCTCAACAGTGGGCTTAAAATATTCAGTAAACCATGCTATAAATAGATGTGCTGTCATCCAGGCATTGTTGTCCCATTTACAGAGCACAGACAGAGTAGATTTAGCATAATTCTTAAAGGCACTGGAATTTTCAGAATGGTAAATGAGAAACAGCTTTAATTTGAAATCACCAGCAACATTAGCTGCTAAAAAGACAGTAAGCCTGTTCTTTGAAGCCAAGCATTTACTTCTGCTCTCCAGCTATGAAAATCCTAGATGGCATCTTCTTCCAATACAGCCTGTTTCGTCTACACTGTTACTGTAGTGTGGCTGCCCTCATCATCTTAGCTAGATCTTCTGCATAACTTGCAGCAGCTTCTACATAAGCACTTGCTGCTTCACCTTGCACTTTCATGTTATAGAGACAGCTTCTTTTCTTAAACCTCATGAACCAACCTCCAGCTTCAAACTTCTTTTGCAACTTTCTCAGCCTACACAGATTTGAAGAGAGTTAGGGCCTTGTGCTGAGGATTAGGCTTTGTCTTAAGAAAATGTTGTGGCTAATTTCATCTATCCAAACCACTCAGACTCCATATCAGTAATAATGCTGTCTCATTTTCTTATTATCTGCATTCACAACTTGGCTGTTTGGTACAAGAGGCCCAGCTTTTGACTTATCTTGGCCTTTGACATGTCTTCCTTACTAAACATAATCATTTCTAGATTTTGATTTGAAGTGAGAGACATGCAATTCTTCCTTTCACTTGACCACTTAAAGGCCATTGTAAAGTCATCAACTAACCCAATTTCAATACTGGCGTGCCTCAAGGAATAGAGAGGCCTGAGGAGAGGGAGAGAGATGATGGAATGGCTGGTCAGTGGTGCAGTCAGAATACATAAATCATTTATGGATTAAATTTGCCACCTTTCATGGGTGTAGTCTGTGGCATGCCAAAACAAAACAGTAATATCAAAGATCACTGATCACATATCACCAAAATACATATAATGGAAAAGCTTGAAAACTTGTGAGATTACCAAAATGCGACACAGAGACACAAAATGAGCCCAAGCTGTTGGCAAAATGGAGCTGACAGACTTGTTCAACATTGGGTTGCCACAAATCTTCAATTTGTTAAAACAAACAAACAAACCCACCCATAATATCTGTAAGGCACAATAAACAAATAATAAATAATAAGCAAAGAACAATAAACCAAAGTATGTCTGTCTATAAAAAGGAGATTTAGTCAGAAAATTTGAAGCAAAAAGTAAAGCCAGGTGCACTGGCTCACACCTGTAATCCCAGGGATTTAGGAGGCCCAGGAGTGAGGAGGCCAGAAGTTTGAGACCAGCCTGGGCAACATATGGAGACCCCATCTCTACAAAAATTAGCTGGGAATGGTGGTACAAACCTGTAGTCCCAGCTACTCAAGACTCAACTGGAACCCTTGTGCATGTTGATGGCAATGTCAAATGGTGTACCTACTATGGAAAATATGGAATATGGAGGTATGGAGTATGAAGGCTTCTCAAAAAATTAAAAATAGAACTATCATATGTTCCAACAATCCCACTTCTGGGTATATTTCCAAAGGAATTAAAAGCAGGATGTTGGTCAGGCATAGGGGCATGCTATTGTAATCCCAGCAATTTGGGAGGCTAAGGCAGGAAGACTGCTTGAGCTGAAAAATTAACATTTATCTGCGTTTTGATTGTGACCTATCATGGGAGGTTTTATATACATATGAAACAGGGTTAAGAATATGGACTCAGGATCCAGGTTACCTATACTCTAGTCCAGTTCCACCATTCCATCCTGGGAAAATTACATTACTTCTCTGTGCTTCATTTTCCCCCATATAAAAAATGAAGATACTATTACCTAACTCTTAGAGCTCTTGTGAGGAAGAATTTAAGTTAATGTGCATGTAAAATATATACCAGTATGAGTAGGTGCATGTTTCTCAGAACAGCACTCCAACCTGAACATAATAGTTGAGATTACTGAGCCGGTCTGAATAACATAGTGTAGAGAAGAAAACTATTATTGTTCTAGACAATTATGTTATTAACAATGAAGAATGGTGTTATTTAAGGTCTCTTGGTGGCCACAAGACTCTTGATTTACTGGAGTTACTTTTGAATGAAACATGTAAATCCCTTTTTAAAACATGTTTAATGCTGTTCTGTACCTGTACAAAAGATTTTTCAGACTCAAGTTTTATCCCTGTTAAATTTCTTTAGTCAGCTCAGTACATGCATTTTTTGGATCCTATGTCAGTTACCCAGTGTATTTATATCCATTTTTTATTTAATTAACTTACTTTTTTTAGTTACAGATATATACTACAAAATGCAACCATTTTAAATTAACAGTCTGATATATATTGACAAACTCTCAATAAAAACAATTGCAGTAGAATAAAAACAAAAATGGAGAACATGGAAATTAATTATGTTATATTAAAATATTGCTTAAGGAGTTCCTCCAGAAAATATTTCCCGAAAAAAAATTCATCAATATTGGCATAAGTCCAATTATAATTTCCCGATAATAATCAAAATTTCCTGAGGATAAAAGTCTTGGTCAAAACATGCTATATACACATTACTGACACTGGCACCAGTGCTTCTATTCCATTCTCTCCCAAAACAATCTGCTTGGAACTTCAGCATTGTACCTAGCACCTGTTCTTCTCTCTTCTTCATTAAGAATATCATCTCAGAAGAAATGGCTAAAGCAAACGCACAGCACTAGAAAATCAGACTTTTGGGTACATGTATTGATTTACTCATTTTAATAGAATAGAAGCTGATCTAAAGATATCTGTCCAAAGACAGAACTAAGATGAAGGCCATATTCAACTTGCAAGTTCCAAGTATCCCATTTGTGATTTGGAAAATCTGCTTTTGAGCAAATGATTTTTTTAAAATGTTATTTTCATGTTCTCTAGAAGACCTGTGTTATAATGCCAAGACAGCCAGAAAATCAAAGTTCACCAGAATAAGTAGATCTAATTGTGCCAGTATAGACCAACTTTCAAAAGATAAGGAAAATAAAAGCTGCTCATTCACTGAAAAGAAAGCATGCAGGAAATCATTCTACAAAAGGCTTTCATATTTGATCCATTTAGCATTTAATGAGAGAAGTCTGTTTGTTTCAACTGACATAAGCCTTTTTTGTGGTTATTTAAAAATTTAGGTAGGAATGTAATGTGATTTTCTGATTTTCCAGTACAATCTCCTATTATTCAAAAGGTTTATTTGGAACATACAAGCTATTTTTCCCAGAGTTAAACTTAGGAAAGAGTCCATAGGCTTTTACAGAAGTGAAAAAGAATGCATTTTTACTGACTCACGCCTGTAATCCCAGCACTTTGGGAGGCCAAGGCGGGCAGATCACTTGAGGTCAGGAGTTCGAGACCAGCCTGGCCAACATGGTGAAACCCCATCTCTACTAAAAATACAATCACTGGGTGACAGAACGAGACTTCATCTCAAATAAAAAAATGCATTTTTAAGTTGAAGAGAATACATAACGAACAAGGTATGTCATTAAAAATAATAAATAAACAGCAGCTACACAGCTTTAATCCTTATAAACTCACAGTTCACTGAGAATGTATAAATCCAGCAATTTAGAGAATGTCAAGATTAAGAAAAACTGAGAAATGAATACAAACTGAAATTAAAACTAAACATATGATCTAGCACTTTCATGAAATTCTTCAGAATGCATCATTTTACTGAATTAAAATGTCTTCTTTAACAGCAATGAAGAAAGAATGATTGGCAGTCTGGAATGCTGTGAAAACTATATGGTTGTACATCAACATTTAAGAAAAGAAAGTCTTATCAAGTCCCTTCTCCAAATATGCATTGAATGTGTTCCCACCCCCAGCATCATTCACAATCACTCTAGTAGTTCAAACTCTCATCATCTTCATCTGGGTAACAGCAGCAGCCTCATCATCTCCCTGCTTCCTGTTTCACTTCACTCCGAGTCATGTTCAAGTTTCCGGCAGTCTAGAAATAAGCTCTGCAAAATCAAAGTTCTTCACACTAATTTCTCTGATCAAAATAATTCAGTAATTCTCCCACTAGCTATATAATAAAATAGTCCAAAACTGGCCGAGCGAGGGGGCTCAGGCCTGTAATCCCAGCACTTTGGGAGGCCGAGGCGGGTGGATCACGAGGTCAGGAGATCGAGACCATCCTAGCTAACACGGTGAAATCCCGTCTCTACTAAAAATAACAAAAAAAATTAGCTGGGCGTGGTGGCGGGTGCCTGCAGTCCCAGCTACTCCGGAGTCTGAGGCAGGAGAATGGCGTGAACCCGGGAGGCGGAGCTTGCAGTGAGCTGAGATTGCGCCACTGCACTCCAGCCTGGGTGACAGAGCGAGACTCCGTCTCAAAAAAACAAAAGGTCCAAAAATCATTACCTTAGGGACTTCTACCTCATCCAAGGTGAAGTAACAAGGTCTGAATTTACCCTCCAACCTACAACAACTAAAAAAACAAAATCTACAAAACAATGGTTTTCAGACACCTGACATCAGGCAATAGAGGACAGTGAACCCAGAGAGAAAGAAAACAAATTATGTGAGCCCTATAATTGCCCCAGCTTACTTCTTGGTAAGAGTTTCCATGCAGGATCTAGATGTTTAGCTGGGGTGGGGGGGTGAGAGGGGGGTGCAGTTTCTAGACTGCAGTTCAATCAAGGAAAATCCAGAAGTCCTGGTAAAACTGAAGCAATTGAGGTGGGAATCTAGGGAACCCAAAGAGGTTAGGGTTCACAGAGTATCAAAGAGAAGAGAGATTAACAGGGAGAAAGAAGTTCAGAGACCTGCAGAAGGCTGAATGAAGCACACGAAAGGAACAGAAAGGACAATCCCTAGAAATCACACAAGGCCAGGGACTGTTTTTGTTCCCAACAGCCAAGAGGAAAAAACGAAAAAACTTGCATAATTCACTAGGCATCAGGCAGAGAACCCAGAGGGTATTATTGCCTCAGTGTGAAAAATTAACCCTAGATAAAATGTTGCTGTAGATCTACCTAACAAAGCTGGGAAACGAGCCTCAAAAAGATCAAACTATTTCCAAGTGACTTAATTACATCTCAGAACGAAGTTCAAGAATATTTACAGGAACACAGAAATATCCAGCAATCAAGAGAGTAAAATTCACAACTCTAACATGCAAACAAAAATCACTAGGCATGAAAAGAAGCAGAAAAGTATGGGCCACAAGGAGGACAAAAATCAATCAACTGAAATAGACTCCAAAATGATGTAGGTATTAATTAGTAGATAAAGATATTCTAAATTATCATTATGTTGCATATTTTCAGTAATATAAATGTAAAAAATATATTGGATATAGCTAATGAATTAGACACTACAAGGAAAAAAAGGTTAATGGTTGTTATATGATAGAAACTTCCAAAATGAAACAGAGAAACAGACTGGGAAAAAGACAAAAAAACAAAAACAGAGCTGTGCAACAACTTCTAGTGGCCTAATATGCATGTAACAGGAGTCAGGAGTCCCAGCATGGAATGGAGGGAATGGAGATATATCTGAAGTAATAATGGCCAAATTTAATGAAATTTGACTTTTCCAAATTTGATGAAAACTATAAACACACTGATCATAGAAGCTCATCAAATCCCAAACACGAAGAACACACAGAACTCACAAAGGCATATCATAATAAATTACTTAGATATAAAGATAAATATCTAAAAACAGCTGGAGAAAAAAGATACATTGTGCAGAGTAACAAATATAAGAATGACAGCAGACTTCTCATTATAAACAGTACAAGCTAGAAGACAGTGGAGCTACATCTTTAAAATACTGAAAGCAAAAAAAAAAAAAAAAATCAACCAAACGTTTTATACCCAGAGAAAATATCCTTCAAAAAAAAAGCTGAGTATATCTATATAATCGAATATTATTTGAACTTAAAAAGGAATGAAAGCTGGGTGTGGTGACTCACGCCTGTAATATTACCCAGCACTTTGGGAGGCCAAGGCAGGCAGATCACGAGGTCAAGAGATCGAGACCATCCTGGCCAACATGGTGAAACCTCGTCTCTACTAAAAACACAAAAACTAGCTGGGTGTGGTGGCAGGCTCCTGTAGTCCCAGCTACTCAGGAGGCTGAGGCAGGAGAATGGCGTGGAGGCAGGAGAATGGCGTGAACCCAGGAGGCGGAGGTTGCAGTGAGCCAAGATCATGCCACTACACTCCAGCCTGGGTGACAGAGCAACACTCCATCTCAAAAAAAAAAAAAGGAATGGAGTACTGATACATGCTACGTATCATGGATAATCCTTGAAAACCATATGCTAATTGAAAGAAACCAAACGCAAAAGGCTACATATTGTATGAGTCCATTTATATGAAATGCCCAGAAAAGTCAAATTCAAAGAGACAGGAAGTAAATTCATGGTTGACAAGGGCTTAAGGGGGTAAAGGGAGTGATTGCTAACGGATATAGGGTTTCTTTGGGGTGATGAAACATTTTAAGTAAATAGTGGTGATGTCGCATGTTCCCACTTGTATGTGGAAGCTGAACAATGACAACACATGGACATAGGGAGGGGAACAATACACACCGCGGCCTGTTGGGGGGAGGTGGGAGGGGGGAGGCAGAGTATCAGGGTAAAATAGCTAATGCTTGTGGGGTTTAATATGTAGGTGACGGGATGATAGGTGCAGCAAACCACCACGGCACATGTTTACCTATTTAACAAACCTACACGTCCTGCACATGTATCCCAGAACTTAAAATAAAATTGAGTTTAAAATAAATAAACAAATAAATAAATAGTGGTAATGGTCGCACAACTCTTTGAATATACTAAAACCACTGCATTTTACATTTTAAAAGGATGAACTTTACGGTATGTAAATTATATGTCAATAAAGGATTTTCTTTAATGAATCTCTGATCAGACACAATGGTATAGACTCATTTTTTCTTGCTCTTCCCCACTAAGTATAAGCCTATAAATAACACAGGAGGCAACCAAAGGAGAACTCTGAAAGGTGGTAAGAGGAAAGTAAACTGTTTTGTAACCCTCGGAATGGAGGAACAACACAATGGCAGGACATCTTACCTATCTCTACCAAACAGAAGAAGGCAACCCAGGCCTAGCATGTCCCAATCCCCAGGTTAACAACAGAAGGCAGCCAAGGTAGGCTCACTCATCTCCCAGATCAAACAGAAGTTCCACTAACAACACAGGGAAAGCCCAGAACCATGAGCAGGGGATAGACAGCCACAGTGATAATAAGCAGCCAGGGAAAGCACTTTCCTTCACTCCTGGCCCTGACTCCCTTTCCCCAAAGGCAGATACCATGTGAGTAGGCATCACCAGCAAGAGAGACCCCATCACAATAAGCAGGATGGCCTGGGAAGCCTTTGTCATCACAGGCCTAAGGCTCTCCTACACAACCAAGAGAAACTGAGGTGTCCAGCTAGCACCAGCAAGAGGTATCTCGCTGTATCAAGTAACCTCGGCAGACATTTTGTTTCTATGGGCTTAAGAATTCCCTCCCCAATCCAGAAACACTGGGGTAGTCAGAGGACACCAGTAAGAGAGACTCCACTGTAACAAGCAGTCTGGCCCAGGTAGTCTCTTTGTCCTCATGAGTCAGAATCTCTCATGTACTCCCCAGTGACATCAGGGCAGTGAAATAGCACCAATAATGAACATCGTGCCACACAAAGTAGCCTGGTCCAGCAAAACCTCTTTGTCCCTGTAGCCTGAGAGTCCCCTCCCCCACCAAGAGACATCAAACAGCTCAGCCTGGGGAATGATTTCTGCCACCTCAGGCAGCACCAGTGGGAGCTCTAGTGCTGCCTGAGGTGACAGAAGGGCTATATTTAATGGCCCCAGCATTAAATAAACAAAGAAAACCAAATAACCAAGAAAATCAAAATAACACTGAAAAGGCTCTGAAAATTAAACTGCCACTGGAACAACAGCCTACAAAATTAGACTATGGTCTACATGCTAACTCTAAACACAAAAACTAACATAACAGCCAAAATGTCCAGGATATAGTAAAAAAGCACCCATTACACCAAGAACCAGAAAAGATCACAACTTGAATGACAAAAAGACAATTAACTGATGCCAACACAGACATGAATCAGATGGAAGAATTATCTGCAAAGATTTTAAAGCAGCTACCTTAAAAATACATCAAATCATAAACTCTCTTGAAACAAATGAAAAATAGAAATATCAGCACAGAAATACGTTATAAATCAAACAGAAATTATAAAACTAAAAAATAAAATATCCAAAATTAAAATCTCACTGGATGGTTTCAATAGTAGAGTGAAAATGGCATAGCATAGAATCAGTGAACTTGAGGTGAAATCAGTAGAATTTACCCAGTCTGAACAACGGAGAGAAAACAAATTAAAATATAAAGAACATTGGGAACCCATGGGAGGTCCACAGACCATAACAAAAGATCCACTATTCATATCACTGGAGTCCCAGAAAAGAGGAGAGGAAGAGGGGAACTAAAAGAATATTCAAAGAAATAATGGCTAAAACACTCCCAAATTTGGTGAAGCACCAAACATATTCAAGAAGTTGCGTGACTCTCATACTGGATAAACTCAAAAGAAATCTACACTAAGATACATCATAATTAAACATCTGAAAATTAAAAACAAAGAAGTCTTGAAAGAAGCCAGAGAGAAACATTTTACCTACAGGATAACACCAATTCAAATGACAGCAAATTTCTCATCAGAAACCATGAAGGACAGAAGAAAGCAGCACAACATTTTTCAAGTGCTGAAAGAAAGAACTATCAACTATGAATTCTATTTCCCACGAAACTACCCTTAAGGAATGAGAGGAAAATCCAGACATTCTTGGACCAAAAAAAACAAAGCAAAAAAAACTACACTAACATTGAAGATTGGCTGAAGGAAGGTGTTTAAACAGAAAGGAAATTACAAAAGAAGCAATACCGGAGCATCAGTGGCAAAACAAAAATACAAATCCAAGTCATCCTCAATCTAGTACTTAAATACTTCTCCAGTCCAATAGCTGGTGTTCTGATATCAGCTGGCTCTAAACCTCTTCCCAGGGCAATATTCTTCATGCTTATTCCAACAACCTTTAAGATTGCTTAAAACTTCTCTGTCCTTGAAGCTTACTGCTTGCCTGATTTGCAACCTTTAGTTGCCAGGGTAGGGTGAGGAGGGACCAGAAGGCACTGTCAGAATTGATTCTTTTTTCAACACAAAACTTAATCTGAGTATGACCCTAACAGATAAGTTTAGTCCTAGGGCCCTCTCTCCTAATACTTCCTTTTCTATGGGAAAAAAAAACTAGATCATACAAGGGCAAGCCCAAAGGCACAATAATTAATATTTTTTCTCACTGTAACAAATGGAAAACAAGCTCAACCCTCTCTCACAAGCACTTATTTAACTACTTAAAGAAAACTACTATGTCTTATCAAAGGTAAATATGATATCCATTTCCCTTAACTTCTGAGTACAAGGGCCTATTAAAACACCAGTACATTAAAGCTATCAACAGTAATTATGAATACACAGAAATCATCTAAAATATAAATACCTTCCCATGGTTGATAAACTAATCTAAGAAAGTCCTCAAGAAAAACACTGCCATGTTTTGAAAAGAATACTACATTGGTAATCAGGAGATCTGAGGCTTATCTTAGCTCTGTCACTAACTGGTGACCTTAAGCAAATCCTCTAACTTCTCTAAGCCTTGGTCTCCCACCTGTAAAGTGATCTTAGGTCCCTCCTGGCTCTAAACTTCAGGCACGGTAAACCAACAAAAAATGTGAAATACATACATCTACCACTAGATGGCATAACACTATGATTGCTGATCTGAAAAGCAGACCAAAATCTCCTCCAGATAGATTATGTTGTTAGGAAAACTATACCAGTTTAAATTATACCAATTTAAACTAAGCCTCAATAACTTGTCTGCTGGCAAAGAACTCCCGGCTACTTCATAAACACCTTCATTTTGTATGATGTAGAATGAGAAACCTCTTTCTGAACTTGTTACAGTTATCATGAACCAAACTGAAAATTTACAAAGACATGATTACAGAATTCTGAGAAACTAAGTTTACAGCAAAGGAGGGGGTGAAGGAGGCGGTGAAGACGTGTGGCAGGAAAGAACACAGGTGGAGGGACAGAATGGAGAAAAAAAAAGAAGCTGTTTTTTGGCAATTTCTGCAGTATTATCTATGCCTATCAAGGTATTACGAAAATTATTACCACTATACCACAGAATATTTAGCCTCCCTTGATAATTCAGCAGAGAAAACACTGCCACATTAAAATTTCAGACAAATTTCTTGGAACCAGCTTTAAAAACATTAATATATTGGTAGTATCTATAAAACATTGATCCTTTCAGAAAAAAAATACAACTGAAAATTTAAAACACAATTCTCTATGACTTAACTGTACCACTTTCACTATGTTTAAGTTATATTTACGTTTTCTTCCAATTGCAGATAAGACTAGTACATAGCAAGTGCTTAGTTTCAGCATAGATTTTTTAAATACAACATTTTTAAACTAGGGAGGAAAGTTATTGATTAAAAAACAGCAAAGGCTATTATGTTAATCTTCCTTAAACAAGAAATTCGTATCTGTTGCATAATGCAACTGGACATGATACACATAAATTTCTCATTAAAACTCATTCAATGTGTCCCTATCAATGTATTCCCTAACCCTAAGTCAATAAAGGAGAAGTTACAAAAATCCTTAGTTCTCCAGCAACCTGTGCCTTCAAAATCAAGTAGGCCTTTCTCATTACACAAATACAGGTGACAAATTTCTTCTTCCCAAATACAGTTTAAACATGTCCCCTGCCTACAATGCTCTCCTCTCCACAAATTTGTTTTTTTTTTTTTCCCATCTCTAACTTCCTATCTGCAACTCAAAGTTCACCCTGGAGCATCGCATCTACAGCACAGATAATCCAAGCCGTGTGTTTTCTGCTCAACTCTTCTCTCAAACGCAAACTTCCTATCCTGCAAAAAGCATTACAGATTGTTTATCTGTCCAAACAAGTTATGAGGCTGGTTATAATATACTTTACTACCAGCTGTTTTCCTTAACGTTTCACTCTCCTGAAGACAATCATTTCCTTCTTGTAACAGATAGAGTATTTCTCAAGCTCCCAATGCTGTTTGTACCCCCTATTAAGCATTTCCATAAACACAGCAAATTAATCATGACCAAATTGGGATTTTCTATTATTTCTATAAAATCTGTATCTTCTCTCCCTCCATTCTCTATCTCAGAGAATGGCACGTTATCCATCTAAGCATTCAGTGTCTCCACTAGGATTATGTTCCACTGCATATGACAGAAAACCTAAAACATTAATAGCTTAAACAAGATAAAAGTATATTTCCTTTCATATAAAAGATGTCTCGAAGACAACACTCAGGATCAATGTCAGATCTATGGGCTCAAAGATCCAGCTTCTTCAGGTTCATCACTCCACTATCTACAGGTTTAGACCCTTGTTCTCATGGTTTAATATGTCTGCTAGAGCTGCAAACATCACATCCATGTTTCAAGTAGAAATCAAGAAGGAAGGAAGGAAGCTGGGCACAGTGGCTCATGCCTGTAATCCCAAGCACTTTGGGAGGCTGAGGCAGGAGGATCACTTGAGCCCAGGAGTTCCAGTTCAGCCCGGGCAACATGGCAAAACTCCATCTCTACAAAAAGAACACAAAAATTAGCTGAGTGTGGTGTTGCACACCTGTGGTCCCAGCTACACAGGAGGCTGAGGTGGCAGAATTGCTTGAGCCTACAAGGTCAAGGCTGCAGTGAGCCAAGATTGCTCCACTGCACTCCAGCCTGGGAAACAGAGCAAGACCCCATGCTCCCTTGCACAAAGAAAAAAAGAAAAGAAAGAAGAAGAGAAGAGGAAGAAAGGAGGAGGAGGGAGAGGAGGAGGAGGAAGAGAAGGAGGAAGGTATAGAATATTTTAAGGAGAATTTCTGGAAGAACAATTTCACTTACATATCACTTGCCAAAGCCTTGTCACATGATTACACCCAATAGCAAGGGAGTCTCTTAGTCTCTTAGACAATTGCCCTGCTAAAACACAAGAGTTTTATTTCTAAAGGAGAAAAAAATAGTATTAGGAGACAACTGGCCGTTTCTACCAGAGTCAGCTCTTAGTCTGACAGGTGCCAACACATCATGTAGAACCATCTGTTAACCAAGAACACAGCAGACTCCCCAGGAATAAAACCATGGGTGTGGGGTTGTGAAAGGAATCACAGTATGGAAAGGGCCTCTTGTGGCCAGGCGCGGTGGCTCACACCTGTAATCCCAGCACTTTGGGAGGCCGAGGGAGGTGGATCACCTGAGATCAGGAGTTAGAGACCAGCCTGGCCAACGTGGTGAAACCCCGTCTCTGCTGAAAGTACAAAAATTAGCTGGATGTGGTGGCAAGTGCCTGTAAACCCAGCTACTTGGGAGGCTAAGGCAGGAGAATCGTTTGAACCCAGGAGGCGGAGGTTTCAGTGAGCTGAAATTGCGCCACTGCACTCCAGCCTGGGCGACAAGAGCAAGACTCTTGACTCAAAAAAAAAAAAAAAAAAAAAGAGCCTCTTGCTTGCTCAATGTACATGTGTTTTCAGTACTTCCATTTTGCCCAATCCCAGGTATACTGCTTTTATTTGACAATGTAACACTGCTATGCATGCTCATGTCACTGGTATCCAGTATTTAGAAATTTGTTCTCTATCACATCTAACAACAAAGCCAGTAGCCTTCTCAGAGAAGATACAGTTAGCTCTAAAATGAAGGAGGCTTCACTGTGATTCTCCTGTCAGAGCCTGCCACAAATTCCACATAGCAACCAAATGGCAGTTTTTATAGATTGTTGAGTCAAGAGGTTGGAACAGTACACTTAAAATTTAGTATATCCTGACTTCAAACCCAGAGAGACCCACCAGTTACTGTACTTCTTTTTGGTAGCAGTGAATACAAGATGCAGTAGCTTATCTTCTACTTCAGAAAGGACATCCCAATATATCCCAAAATACTGTTACCTCAGAAATTTCACTAAGGTGTCAGGTCCTCCAATTTTTTATGGACTTCATGTCCCATCATCAGCTGTGTCTTTAGTGTCTTTACAAAGGATCTAAGGTGTCTGCTAGTTCTCTATCACAATGTCCTATCAATTAGCATGATGTCATCACTGTAGGGGACCAGGATAACGTACTGTGGGATAGTGAGATGAACAAAATCCCTACAGACTAAATGATGGCACAGAGCCAAAATACTGACCTAACCATGGAGGCAATATGATGACGGTGTACTATACTGCTGGGTATTTCTGATGTTCTCGGTTAATTAGATTCAGTAAGGCATTTGATAGATCAAATAGTTAACTACCAAGTGCCTGTTTCTAGCAAAGTTCTGTTTCTAGCAAGTGCCTGTTTCTACCAAGTTCTGTTTCTAGCAAAGAGACCACATGTGGAACCAAATATACAACTGGAGTGGTAGAAGCAGCTTATGATAATACACCATCATTCTCCAAAATGTATCTATCTTCTGCATAGGTAAAACCAGAGTTAGCAGGCTGAACCTTTCAAGTCTTTAATATGGCACTAATCTCTGAGATTCAGGATGTGAGACTGCTTTGGTAAAAAGAACTTTGGGAGGTTACACTTGGCTCTTCCTACCATAAAGTCCATTAACCCATGGATATGGGAACTAATTTGGGGATTCTTCCACTTGTTGAACATATTTATTCCAGACATGCAGTAAGAAACAAGATACAACCACGGTACGAATTCATGGACTGTGAAATAATTTCAAGTCAAAGCTCCATTCCATGCCTGATTTCCACAAGCTCCCATCTGCCTCATGGAACACAACGGTGTCCTGAGTCGCTGGGAATTATCATTAGCTCAGCTTCCAATAACTCCTGAAAGGTTTCAGTATTTGTCTTCTGATGAACAGTTAGGCTTGTAAATAATAAAAGACCCCTTTCTTTAGGGAAGGCTATGAAGAAAATTAATTGTGCCTACTTGTGATATTATCACAAGGTCCTTCCTTAAAGGAAGATATGCTGCCTCTTTTTTCTTCAAGGAGTTCTAGATTTGTAAAGTGATAAATCTATAGGTATTAGACATTATGGAGACCTAAAATCAATCCTACATTCATTGGACCTTAAGTGTTCTCTTTTCATTTGTTTGTTTAGTTCCAGTATCAAGATCAAGACCTTAGTGAGCTACCCTTCCATGACAGTTCTAGGAACCCCTTAATCAATTTGCATACTATATTAAGCATGCCTATCTTGAGTCTGATGGTTAAGTTCTGTTACTCGCGGCAGGGCGCGCTGGCTCACGCCTGTAACCCCAGCACTTTGGGATGCCGAGGCAGGCAGATCACGAGGTCAAGAGATCAAGACCATCCTGGCTAACATGGGGAACCCCGTCTCTACTAAAAATACAAAAATTAGCTGGGCATGGTGGTGCACGCCTGTAGTCCCAGCTATTCAGGAGGCTGAAGCAGGAGAATCGCTTGAACCCGGGAGGCGGAGGTTGCAGTGAGCTAAGATCTCACCACTGCACTTCAGTTTGGCGACAGAGCAAGACTCTGTCTCAAAAAAAAAAAAAAGTTCTGTTACTTGCCTCTGCCATTCCAGGATTCCACTAAATTCAGAAAGCTCATTTTGTAGCAGCATCTCTTACATTCATACCAAGGCCAGAGAAGACAGCCAGTACAGTACTTTTTAAGGATGCCAGCATTTCTCTCACTGTTGTATTTTCTTAAAGGTAGTAGAGAACACCCATCTTGGAGGATGTTTTTAGAGAGTAAGGAAGCCAGCTGCACAAAATAAATCCACCCCAACTTTCCTAACTCCCCAAGTTTGGCATCTCAACTTTACTCAATGGAGGTCACTACTGAATCCACATTTCAGTCAAACAAGCAGACAATCAGAACCACTCCTAGCTGCTTCAGCAAGAACCAAATCTAAAATCTCTCATAGATGAATCTACATTAATAGATTCAGCCCAAACTAAAATTAGATTCCTCCTTTCCTGGTCCAGCACCTCTCTGAATTTGATTTCATATCAATTGCATAGGTTTTTGCTAACATAAACTAGTAAAATTCTTGCAATTCTTTTGATGCACAAAACTTGTCTTTCATCATGAAGTTAGCCCCTTGAACTTCCTGGGATCTGACTCTCGCTATTGGTCTAGAGGCCAAAAGGTGGTGGGAATGGGAATAAAAACAGCTATCACTCAACAAGCTGAAGTCATTACAGCATCTTTAAGCATCACTCAAAGGAAGAAGGGTTACTTCTGCTGGCAAGGGAGGCTCAGTACAAACCACAGGTTAAGAATACCTGGAGTCATTCAAATGGTTCCATGTCATGATTCCAATTCCTGAAATCTTACTCTTTCCCAATCAATAACTCAACTTACACCTATGAAATCTGATGAAGCTCTGAGTTCACTCTGCACTGAACACAGTTTAATAACTTGTTGGATCAGACTCTGAACCCGATTTAGACTATGACAGTCCTAGAGTTATAAGACAAAAGACTCTTTTAAGCCAATCACCAAATTCCTAAGTGTTCTAACCATAACTTCAGCCAAGATTTAAAAATTTAGCCCTGCAGTTTAAATTTTCTTTAAACCAGAATTTCTCAAACTAAACACTATTGACATTTTGGGCCAGGTAACTCTTTGTTGTGGTGGTGGGGAGGGGACAATCCTGTGCAGCAGCATTCTTGGTCTCTACTCACTAGATACCAGTAGCACCCTGCTCCCCCAGTTCTGATAACTAAAAAATGTCACCAGACATTTCTAAATACGCCTTGGAGAGCAAAATCACCCCAGGTTGAGAACCACTGCTTTAAACTCTACAGTGGAGTTAAAAACAGCCAATTGGCCGGGCGCGGTGGCTCACGCCTATAATCCCAACACTTTTGGAGTCCGAGGCGGGCGGATCACAAGGTCAGGAGATCCAGACCATCCTGGCTAACACGGTGAAACCCCATCTCTACTAAAAATACAAAAAATTAGCCAAGCGTGGTGGCACGCGCCTGTAGTCCCAGCTACTCGGGAGGCTAAGGCAGGATAATCGCTTGAACCTAGGAGGCGGAGGTTGCAGTGAGCCAAGATGGCACCACTGCACTCCAGCCTGGGCGACAGAGAAAGACTCTGTCTAAAAAATACAAAAAACAAACAAACAAAAACAGCCAGTCCTCTCATATCTTTACTTTCCTAAATGGATCATCAATCAGTTTAGCAAAGCTTTGCCTTCAACAGGTACTTCATCCCAGGTAACCACAGATGAAAAACACTAGATGCCACAAACTGGTTACCAGTGACCCTTCTAGATTCCCTGAGGATCTGTTGCCCAAAACAGTTTTACATCTATTTAATGGTCCAGGATCAGAATCCACTCCAGGTAGTTTAAGCAAAAAGGGGGCTTAAGATAAGAATCAGATGCTCACAAAATCTTTGGAAAAAGTAGAGAGGCAGGGTCCAGAGTGACTGAGCTCCTAGAAACAACTCCTAGCCCACAGAACCACTCTGCCTCAGCCACAATCACAAAAGCTGGTACCATCAGTGTAGGAAGCTGGCAAGCAAGGAAGCTCCTGTAGAAGCTACAGAATTAGAAACCCACTGCTAAATGACAAGGCTGCCCCACAAACTACTAGCTCAGAGCCATTCTACTTTTCTCATAATCTAAACCCATATCCTTCCTCTCTCCCCAGGTGGTTCACTTCCAAATCAAAGTGCATCTGAAGGGTGGAACCTAAATCATGTCCAGAAAACAAAGCAGCCTATAGGGAAAAAAAAATTTTACTAGCCAAGAAGACTATTAGGCACTCTCATTCTGAAAGCTATGTTTTTCACTGTCATCTTAAAAATTGGTATTCTCCAAGAGATGTAACCTATCAATTATTGCATTGTTGCATTTTTAACCTATCAATAATGCAGTTCCCTGAGCATGAATTACTAGAATATAGATTCCAAACCAAGGTTAATGTCATCTTGTAGGAACCTCTTTGTGTAACCATCTGGACTTCCATAAAGGAAAATCCTCTGCATCAATAACAACCAAGGTGGGAGGATCGCTTGAGCCCAGGAGGTCAAGGCTGCTGTGAGCCGTGACCGTACCACTGCACTCCAGCCTGGGTGATAGAGCAAGACCTTGGCTCAAAAAAACAAACAAAAAACCATGTACCTCTTATGATTCTGAACTGCAACATTCTCCCACACTTACTACAATGAATCCATATCATTTCTTGCATAGACTACTGCAATACCTTCATAACTGCTCTCCCTGACTTTACTTGTTGTGCACTTCAAATCATTTTCCCCAAAGTACCAGAATTTATATAACATGTTACTCCACTTAACTGACTTCTCATCACATTCAGGATAATGACTGAATTTCCATCTGACTTACCAAATGCTCATCTATGTCTTTAAGAGTGCTCTAGTTTCAACAACCTGTTTACAGCTCCCCAAGTAAGTCAGGTCCATTCAAACTCATTTATCTGCTTTTAAGTATACTGTCCCTTCTGTGGACATTCTCCTCTTTAATCTTACCTCCATTTCTCCCATTACCAGGTTAACATTTACACATTTTAAAGTGTCATCTCTTTTTAGGAATGTTTCCTGACACCTTGTTCCCCTAGGCTAAGAGTGGTCCTTCCCGATGCTTCCATAATATCTTACTCAAAATCCTTAAGGGAGGAAATGCAAACAGTTATGTAATCTTCTCCAGTAGGACTTAAGTCTAAGACATAAAAGAAAAAAATAAAAATGATTATAAGAGAAGGCTGAGAGATTATTTCATTCTGTTGTTGAAAGATCTAAATCATTTAGAAACTTTCTTTTTCCTTACACTGAGTCAAAATCTTTTTGAAGTACTCTCACCAACTGATGTTACCTAGAATAAGAAAAAATGCGTCTATTCCTTCTTTAAGATGATAGCGATAGCTTCTCAGCTGTTTGAAAGCCATAATCATGATTCTCCATTCCTCTCTAATGTAACTAGTTTTCCCATCTTAGACTGCTCTAATCCTTAATAGTGTTCAACTAAAGTGAAACACTTTAAGGAACGTAGAAGAATTAGTTCAGAGTAAGAACTTCTAAAAGGATTAAAAAGTAAAAAGAGGGCTGGGTGTGGTGGCTCACGCCTGTAATCCCAGCACTGTGGGAGGCCAAGGCGGGTGGATCACTTGAGGTCAAGAGTTCGAGACCAGCCTGGCCAACATGATGAAACCCTGTCTCTAATAAAAATACAAAAACTAGCCGGGTGTGGTGGCGGGCCCCTGTAATCCCAGCTACTCGTGAGGCTGAGGCAGGAGAATCGCTTGAAACCGGGAGGCGGAGGTTGCAGTGAGCCAAGATTGCACCACTGTACTCTAGCCTAGGTGGCAAAAGGAGAATCTGTCTCAAAATAGTAATTTTTAAAAAAAAGTAGAAAGGGATAAAAAGTGGAACTCATCTTAAGAAAATGCAAATATTTAAATGATATAAATAAATGCCTAAATGAATCTTTTAAAAAATCATAAATAATACAGGAGCTAAAAATAGAAAGTATAAGTATACCACTTTCCTTGCCTTTCATAGTAGGTAATCAATGGACACTATACATTTGATAATTCAAGAAATAGAGGTTTAATGTAATAAAGTATCCTCTAGACTGACAATATTAAATATTAACATAGCAAACAGATATCAGGAGGTAGAAGGAGAAGATAATTATTAAAAATACAAAATTCCCCATCCTTCATATTGGAGAACTAATAGATGCTGTCTAAAGTTGTCCAATATATTCATTGCTCATAAAGCATCCACCAACAGAACAAAAACTGACAGAAAAGAGGTCTTATTTTGAGGAAGTAGGACTGAGTGTGCAAGATTATTTCTTTTTTCTTGGAAAGGAGACTTTTTACTTTATATTCTTCTGTTTAATGACTATTTTGTTTACAAAAAACAAAAACAAAACACACACACTCAAGTAGCTTAATAAAACAGTTACTAATGCTATATAACATGGTAGAAAATAAGTGGCAAATCTGTGATTACATACTTAAGACAATAAAAGGCAAATAACCCCTGACAACTTTACGTAGTTTCTTCTATTTATTAGTTCTAAAGTATCATTGCTATAAAATCACAAAATGTTCACTGCTACAAGTCAGAGATGATGAGATGCCTCTATCAGAGGCCAAACTGTGCTGCTACTTCCTCATAATTTTTATGAGAGAAAAAACTCTAAGCCTTAGAGAGGTATTACTCTATTTTATAATAATCTGTGAAGGAAAGGATAACCTCTGTACTAGTCTGTTCTCACCCTGCTAATAAAAACATGACCGAGACTGGTTAATTTATTTAAAAAAAAGAAGTTTAATAGACTAACAATTCCACATGGCTGGGGAGGCCTCACAATCATGGTGGAAGGCAAATGAGGAGCAAAGTCACATCTTTTTTTCTTCTTTGAGATGGAGTCTCGCTCTGTCGCCCAGGCTGGAGTGCAGTGGCGCGATCTCAGCTCACTGCAACCCCCGCCTCCCAGGTTCAAGCAATTCTCCTGCCTCAAGCAAATCTCTAGCTGGGATTACAGCTGTGTACCACTGCACCCAGTTGATTTTTGTATTTTTAGTAGAGACAGGGATTCACCATATTGGCCAGGCTAGTCTCGAACTACTGACCTCAAATGATCCACCTGCCTCGGCCTCCCAAAGTGCTGAGATTACAGGTGTGAGCCACAGTGCCCAGCCGCAAAGTCACATCTTACATGACAGCAGGCAAGTGAGTGTGTGCAGGGGAACTCCCCTTTATAAAAGCATCAGATCTCGACAGACTTATCCACTATCACATGAATAGCACAGGAAAGACCCACCCCCCCCCCCACCCAATGATTCAATTACCTCCCACCAGATCCCTCCCATGACACGTGGGAATTATGGGAGCTAAAATTCAAGCTAAGATTTGGGTGGGGACACAGCCAAACAATACAATTCCACCCCGGCCCCTCCCAAATCTCATGTCCTCACATTTCTCAACCAATCATGCCTTCCCAGCAGTCCACCAAAGTCTTAACTCATTTCAGCATTAACTCAAAAGTCCACAGTCTGAAGTCTCATCCAAGACAAGACAAGTCTGTTCCACCTACGAGCCTGTAAAATCAAAAGCAAGTTAGTTACTTCCCAGATACAACGGAGGGTCTACAGCCATACCACCCTGAATGCACCTGATCTCATCTAGATACAACGGAGGTACAGGCATTTGGTTAATACACCATTCTAAATGTGAGAAACTGGCCAAAACGAAAGGGTTACAGGCCCCATGCAAGTCTGACATCCAATAGGGCAGTCATTAAACCTTAAATTTCCAAAATGATCCCCTTTGACTCCATGTCTCACATCCAGGCCATGCTGATGCCAGAGGTGGGCTCCCACAGCCCTGTGCAGCTTGATTCCTGTGGCTTTGCAGGGTATAGCCCTGCTCCTGGCTGTTTTCATGGGCTGCTATTGAGTGTCTGTGGCTTTTCCAGGTGCATAGTGCAAGCTGTCAGTGGATCTACCATTCTGGGGTCTGGAGGATGGTGGCCCTCTTCTCGTAGCTCCACTAGGCAGTGTTCCAGTGGGGACTCTGTGTGGCGGCTCTGACTCCACATTTCCCTTGTGCACTGCCCTAACAGAGGTTCTCCATGAAGACTCCACCCCTGTAGCAAACTTCTGCCTGGACATTCAGGAGTTTCCATACATCCTCTGAAATCTAGGTAGAGGTTCAACAAACCTCAATTCTTGACTTTTGTGTACCCACAGGCTCAACACCATGTGGAAGCTGCCAAGGCTTGAGGCTTGCACCCTCTGAAGCCATGGCCTGAGCTGTAACTTGGCCCCTTTTAGCCATGGCTGGAGTGGCTGGACGCAGGGCACCAAGTCCCTAGACTGCACACAGCAGGGGGGCCCTGGGCCTGGCCCAGGAAACCATTTTTCTTCTCCTAGGCCTCTGGATCTGTGATGGGAGGGACTGCCTTAAAGGTCTCTGACATGCCCTGGAGACATTTTCCCCATTGTCTTGGTGATTAACATTTGGCTCCTCGTTACTTACGCAAATTTCTGCAGCCAGCTTGAATTTCTCTCCAGAAAATAGGGTTTTCTTTTCTATTGCATTGTCAGGCTGCAAAATTTCCAAACTTCTATGCTCTGCTTTTTCTTGAATGCTCTGCCGCTTAGAAATGTCTTCCACCGGATACCCTAAATCATCTCTTTCTGGTTCAAAGTTCCACAGACCTCTAGGGCACGGGCAAAATGCTGCCAGTCTCTTTGCATAGCAAGAGTGACCTTTACTCCAGTTCCCAACAAGTTTCTCATCTCCATCTGAGACCACCTCAGCCTGGACTTCATTGTCCATATCACTATCAGCATTTTGGTCAAAGCCATTCAACAAGTCTCTAGGAAGTTCCAGATTTTCTCACATCTTCTTGTCTTCTTCTGAGCCCTCTAAACTATTCCAACCTCTGCCTATTACCCAGTTCCAAAGATGCTCCCACATTTTTAAGTATCTTTACAGAGTGCCCCCCTACCTCAGTATCAATTTACTGTTTTAATCTGTTCTGATGCTGCTAATAAAGACACACCAGAGACTGCGTAATTTAAAAAGGAAAGAAGTTTAATGGACTCACAGTTCCACATGGCTCAGGAGGCCTCACAATCATGGCGCAAGGCAAAGGAGATGCAAAGGAACATTTACATGGTGGCAGGCAAGAGAGCTTGTGTAGGGGTACTGCCCTTTCTAAAACCATCAGATCTCATAAGACTTATTCACTATCACGAGAACAGCATGGGAAAGACCCACCCTCGCCCCACCAGCCCATGATTCAATTATCTCCCACCGGGACCCTCTGATGACACACGAGAATTATGAGAGCTACAATTCAAGATGAGATTTAGGTGGGGACACAGCCAAATGATACCTCCAATCGTTCTAGATTCTTGTTCATTAACATTTACAGCACATACAACAAATCTGTTACCAAGACCTATAGCTTCTATTGCTAAATTCTCATGTGAGTTCATCCCTCCTTTCTACCACCACTCCCTTAGGCCTTCATAATTTCTTGCCTGACTTGGTATCCCTACCTCCTGTTTCTTACCCTATACATTGCTACCAAAATAATCATTCTAACATGCAAATTTGAAATCATACTCACATTTAAAATGCACCAATGGCTTCCCACTATCTATGATTTAAAGTTCAAAGTTCTTGACATGAGATTCAAGGCCTTGAATCATCTGGCTCCAGTTTAACTTCTCTGGCCTCATATTTTGACACTTCCCCCTTTCCCCATATATACCCTATACTGTGGCCCCACCAAAACTACTTGCAATTCTTCCAACCTGTCATTCATTGTTAGGCCCCCACATACATATTTGTGTTCTTCTCTCTTCTTCCTAGAAAGCCCTTTATTTAATTCCTCACTTGGCACATCCTATTTCTCATAGATAAAACACAGGAATCACCTCTTCTAGAAAGCCTTCTTTCATCTCCTCTCTTTCCTGTCAGACTGGGCTAAGCTTCTATTCCTCTGTGTTCTTCATAGTATCCTGTTTATACCTCTTATCATGGCTCCTTTCACTTATATTACTATTTTCTATTTACCTATTTGTCTTCCCTACTAGACTGTTACTTCCTTTTTTTTTTTTTTTTAATTGAGACTCGCTCTGTTGCCCAGGCTGGAGTACAATGCCGCAATATCAGCTCATTGCAGCCTCTGTCTCCCGGGTTCAAGTGATTCTCCTGTCTCAGCCTCCCAAGTAGCTGGGATTACAGGCATGAGCCGTCACGCCCAGCTAATTTTTGTATTTTTAGTAGAGATAGTGTTTCACCATGTTGGCCAGGCTAGTCTCAAACTCCTGACCTTAAGTGATCTGCCCGCCTCAGCCTCCTAAAGTGCTGGGATTACAGGCATGAGCCACTGTGCCCAGCCAAGACTGTTACTTCCTAAGAGCTGTGGCTTTTCTCACAAGTCAAGCACTTTACAATAGTGATATTCAAAATGACAATTTCTCAACTAATTTATGCATCATACAGCTACAAAGCTAGTATCTACATTAGGGGGCACAATCATGGAGGGAATTTCCCCACACAAAAAGTAACAAGAGAGAATTCTGCTTATGCTATGGCTGAGTAAGCACCTACTAGATTAACGTTCCCACAGGTAACAACTATAAATTCTGAACAAAATATAAAAATCAGCTACCTATATATAAATAGGTATATACCAAAATATAAAAATCAGGCACTGAAGAGTGACCAAAAGCAGACAAATATTAGAGGGCAGTCAGTACTTGGAAGAGTATGGTATTAGGTGAATTTCCCATCTACAACTTTTGGCCTGAGGGCAGATCCAGTCAGCACCATAGCAAGTACCTAAAACTCTAAGATAAACCCCACTGTTTTACTATCTTGAAGAATCAAAGGACAGAGTTCAGGAAGACCACAGTTGCTGAAAAGTGAGAAACACATCCTAGGAAGAAGAGACCCAGAAAGGTAGAGACACAAAATCTAGTTACAAACTCTGTACAAATTTCTGGCTGACCCCTGAACCAAACACGCAAAGGACAGACTGCAAGCAGTCCAGGTAGAGATAAAAGAACTGAACTAAGAACTACTGCTCAAGAGACAGAGCTTGCAGTTTTTGTCCCATCATGTTAACTGCCTGCTAACAAGCATCAACACTCTTTGGAGGAATATAATGGAATTCAGAGGCTCCACAACTTCATATTCACAATATCCAAAACACAATCTAAAATTCCTTGACTAACAAAAAAATCAGGAAAAAGTGGCCAAGTTGCAAGACAAAAGGAAACCAATAGAAACTAACTCCAGGATGATCCAGATGTTGGAATCAGCATAGATTTTCAAGCAACTATTATGATTCTGCTTAATGATGCAGAGAAAAATACAACACAACAAGTTTGAAAAATTAACAAAGCAATAGAAACCTAAAAAATAACAAAGTAGAAATTCTAGATCTGAAAAATACAGTATCTAAAATAAAAACATTCACTGATGGCTTAACAGCAGAATGAAGACGACAGAGAAAAAGGTACACTTGAAAACAGATCAATAAATTACCGAATTTGAAGAACTGAGAAAAAGCAAATTGGGGGGAAAAAGGAACAGAGCCTCATGACTGGTCTGCACATACAATGCTAAAAGATTTCTGAAGGTTGCTAGATGGAAACTCAAGTCTTCAGAAGGAAAGAGAGCATCGGATATGTCTTAAAATACACTCATTAATTCAACAAATATTTATTAACCCATTTATATTGGAGGTTGCAAATTTCTTTTGTGAAAAAATCAGACCTTGGCGATGACCCTGAGCAGCAGGATATAAATAACTTCCACAAGCTTAGCATTCCAATAATGGAACACTAGGCATAAATGGATTAATTACCCAGGACAGATAATGTCCTTTAGGCAATAAATGAGTTTCAATAACCTTATATATATATATCATTTTTATTAATTTATGCTACATCTTCAGAGACGTTTTATCGGTAGATCTCTATATTTAGGCCATCAGTCTGTTTACCTCTCAAACTGTATTTACAAGTTGTATTCATTTTATAAAACCAAGAATACAAATAAAAAGTAACTCAGTAGAAACAAATTATTTGTTAAGTAAATACTTTAACGCACTCACTGATTACATAAAATCTAACAAGCTAGAAGTACCAACATCAATTATGTTTCCCTCCTGTCCGATATTCAATTCCTTAATGAGTCCTGTCATTTTTATCTTCTAAATATACAGATGACCCTTGAACAACTTGGGAGTTAGGAACCCCAACCCCTAGAGCCGTCAAAAATCTGCACATAACTTTTAACTCTTCAACAACTTAGCTACTGAGAGCCTACTGCTGACCAGAAGCCTTACCAATAAACAACACATATTTTGCACATTATATATATATATATATATATATATATATATATATATATATATAGTATTCTTACAATAAAGTAAGCTACAGAAAAGAAAACGTTTTAAAATCATAAGGGAGAGAAAATGCATTTATAGTATTGTACTGTATTTATCAATACTGAAAGTTTATGTCATCTGTTTATAAATGAATCTCTGTCTGAAATGGTTGGCAACTAAAGCTGCAGACTTCAATCTACACTACATATCAAGCAATTAAACTTTTTCTTGTAATGGCATGACTTTTGTCTGTTTCTCAGGAACACTTCCAGCATCGCTAGTGGCACTGTGTATGAGTCCCATAGTGTTATTCAACTAAACATGATGAAAAATAATCAAGAGTGAGAATTTTTAACTATCGTATCCAACTTACTGGAGAGATAAACTGTTCACTTGGAGATGACTGGCATCATATGGTATTTTAAGGTATTTTAAGCAGATACTCGCAAGACTTGAGCTCACCACAATAGCAACAGGAGGCAGCTACAAAATTATTAACAATACTACAGTATATACTTCAGTATATTTTATGCAGTTTTAATACTGTATCTTTACATTTGTTTACATTTCTCAACTGAATGGTGTCATGTATAGTCTACAGTGTTTGTGGCGTAAGTTTTCATAAATTTTAACTTTTTATAATAGATTTGTGTATATTTTATGGTAAGATAGACTAGTATCTACTTATATTTTATGTATTCATGCAACACCTTTTTCTTAATTTTCCCAATATTTCTAGGCTATGCAGTTTGTCTGCAAGTTTTTTCAAATTGTCACACATCACCAAATAATTTTCCAATATAGTTATTGAAAAAAGATCCATGTATAAGTAGACCCATGTTGTCTAAGCTCATGTTGTTAAATGGTCAACTATATTTTGAATGCATACATTTCCCTCAATCTCTATTGCTTTTACACTAGATCCAGCCACCATCACTTCTTATTAGTCTCCCCACTCCCCATCCATAATTCTCACAACAGCCAAAATAAATTAGATCATGTCACTTTACTTCATTTGCTTCCCATTGCACTTTTAATAAAATCTAAGCTCCTTACTAAGCTTACAAGATCTGTATGATCTGGCCCCTACCTCCACAACGTCATTCATCCAATTCTAGCCTCAATGTCACCCACTATATTCCAGCCACAGAAGCATCCTTTCAATTCCTTGAACATACCAAGTTCTTTCATACCTAAAGTTTTTTTAATAGGCTGTCCCCTCAAACTGGTTTACTCCCCTTTCTGCATACATGGCTGGTTCCTTCGAATTCTTCACATGTTAGTTTGTATGTCACCTCTTCAGAGTACCTACCCTGACCACCTTGTTGAAAATAGATTTTCCATTATCTAACACTATATTTTCCCTTTATAGTACTTGTCACAAATTGCTTAATTATGGTGTTGTTGTTTTGTTTTGCTTTTATTGCCTAAGACCCCTACAGGCCTACAGCTCCATGAGAACAGGGACCACACCTGCATGATTTACCAGGATGCCCAATGGCTAATACAATAAGAGTAAGTGATGGTGCTTATAAATTTTATTAACTGAAAGCTCAAGATAAACTCAAATTTTCACACATTTCAAATAGTGTTTCATTTTAAATAGGTTTGCCATCTTGGAGATAGAGGGGTATGAGGAGACTAATTTAACAAATAAAAGCTCATAGTGTATTTTTATTAAAAATAAAGTGAACATAAAAACATTCCCTTCGTTGTCCCTGATAATCTATGTTACCTCAGAATTAGGATGAAAAACAACTGAACTTATATAAATTAAGAAACTCAACAAATCACTGGCAATCTTCCAAATGAACTCATATCTTAAAATATACCAATTTGAGAATATTATTGGTATTTAACTGTTTCAACAAACAAAAATAAAAACACTTCTTCTTTAAAAAAAAAGACACAAGTGGAACATGAAATTATGCCAGATAAATGAAAAAGATCTTTTTAATAGAGGCAGCATTTTGAAAACCCAATTTCCTATTAAAAAAAAAAACCCGTCGTCTAAGTGGTATAACAATGTTCTTAAGAAAATAGTAAACATCTAAATCCTAGACAAGGGCTGTCCCTAAAGACTAGTCATAGAGGTTGTATTTGTGCTATTATAAATAGAAATTTATTTCCTAATAAGTGATCCATTTTTGTGTCTTGTATTATCTTTACAGAAATTCTAGATGACACACCATTTTCAAAAAGAAAAAAGTGCTGGGTTTTTTGCCTTCATTTATTTAATTCTATCAAAAGCATTCATCCATTCTGTCATGAAAGTTCTTAAAATAACATTTTGTGCAGTTTACTTCTAACTATCTCACGGGAAATTATTCTGACTTCTTCCCAAGAACATTTCATCATTTTAGACTCAACCATTTGTAATAAGGTTGGCAAAAGTTAAATTGACTGACAATGCCCACAGCTGATGAGATCTTTTTTAAAAAGAAAAAAGCACTCATATACCCCACAGTTTGAAATAAAATGTAAAGGAGTCGATTAGCAGTATGTTTTTCAAAGTCTTAAAAAATATTCATGCCTTTTAAACCAGGATTTTCATTACCAAATTTTATCCAACAGAAATAAGCAGCCAGAAGACACATATAAGCCTGTTTACTATAAAACTGAAAACACTGAAAAAATTTAAATGACCTATGTGTCATTTGGATATTTAACACTGGCAATTTTTAAAATAAATTATGGCATATTCATGGTCACGACCCGGTCACAATAAAGGCTATTCATTTTTTTAAAAGACAGTGTACAGCTACTAAAAGTAGCATTTATCTTTATTAGCATAGAAAGATGTCCCAAAAAACCAAGAAAATAAACGAGTCACAAAACAGCATTATACTATGAAGTAACATTTAAGAAACAAAACATGTTTTTTGCATGTGGTACACATGTATTTTTTTCTTAATTTTATTATTATTATAGTTTAAGTTTTAGGGTACATGTGCACAACGTGCAGGTTTGTAACATATGTATACATGTGCCATGCTGGTGTGCTGCACCCATCAACTCGTCATTTAGCATTAGGTGTATCTCCTAATACTATCCCTCCCCCCTCCCCAACCCCACAACAGGCCCGGGTGTGTGATGTACCCCTTTCTGTGTCCATGTGTTCTCATTGTTCAATTCCCACCTATGAGTGAGAACATGAGGTGTTTGGTTTTTTGTCCTTGTGATAGTTTGCTGAGAATGATGGTTTCTAGCTTCATCCATGTCCCTACAAAGGACATTAACTCATCATTTTTTATGGCTGCATAGTATTCCATGGTGTATATGTGTCACATTTTCTTAATCCAGTCTATCATTGTTGGACATTTGGCTTGGTTCCAAGTCTTTGCTATTGTGAATAGTGCCACAATAAACATACATGTGCATGTGTCTTTATAGCAGCATGATTTATAATCCTTTGGGTATATACCCAGTAATGGGATGGCTGGGTCAAATGGTATTTCTAGTTCTAGATCCCTGAGGAATCGCTGACTTCCACAATGGTTGAACTAGTTTACAGTCCCACCAACAGTATAAAAGTGTTCCTATTTCTCCACATCCTCTCCAGCACCTGTTGTTTCCTGATTTTTTAATGATTGCCATTCTAACTGGTGTGAGATGGTATTTCATGGTGGTTTTGATTTGCATTTCTCTGATGGCCAGTGATGATGAGCATTTTTTCATGTGTTTTTTGGCTGCATAAATGTCTTCTTTTGAGAAGTGTCTGTTCATATCCTTTGCCCGCTTTTTGATGGGGTTGTTTTTTTCTTGTAAATTTGTTTGAGTTCATTGTAGATTCTGGATATTAGACCTTTGTCAGATGAGTAGGTTGCAAAAATTTTCTCCCATTCTGTAGGTTGCCTGTTCACTCTGATGGTAGTTTCTTTTGCTGTGCAGAAGCTCTTTAGTTTAATTAGATTCCATTTGTCTATTTTGGCTTTTGTTGCCATTGCTTTTGGTGTTTTAGACATGAAGTCCTTGCCCATGCCTATGTCCTGAATGGTATTGCCTAGGTTTTCTTCTAGGGTTTTTATGGTTTTAGGTCTAACGTTTAAGTCTTTAATCCATCTTGAATTAATTTTTGTATAAGGTGTAAGGAAGGGATCCAGTTTCAGCTTTCTACATATGACTAGCCAGTTTTCCCAGCACCATTTATTAAATAGGGAATCTGTTCCCCATTGCTTGTTTTTGTCAGGTTTGACAAAGATCAGATAGTTGTAGATATGCGGCATTATTTCTGAGGGCTCTGTTCTGTTCCATTGGTCTATATATCTGTTTTGGTACCAGTACCATGCTGTTTTGGTTACTGTAGCCTTGTATATAGTCTGAACTCAGGTAGTGTGATGCCTCCAGCTTTGTTCTTTTGGCTTAGGATTGACTTGGCGATGCAGGCTCTTTTTTGGTTCCATATGAACTTTAAAGTAGTTTTTTCCAATTCTGTGAAGAAAGTCATTGGTAGCTTGATGGGGATGGCATTGAATCTGTAAATTACCTTGGGCAGTATGGCCATTTTCACGATATTGATTCTTCCTACCCATGAGCATGGAATGTTCTTCCATTTGTTTGTATCCTCTTTTATTTCCTTGAGCAGTGGTTTGTAGTTCTCCTTGAAGAGGTCCTTCACATCCCTTGTAACTTGGATTCCTAGGTACTTTATTCTCTTTGAAGCAATTGTGAATGGGAGTTCACTCATGATTTGGCTCTCTGTTTGTCTGTTATTGGTGTATAAGAATGTTTGTGATTTTTGCACATTGATTTTGTATCCTGAGACTTTGCTGAAGTTGCTTATCAACTTAGGGAGATTTTGGGCTGAGACGATGGGGTTTTCTAGATATACAATCATGTCATCTGCAAACAGGGACAGTTTGACTTCCTCTTTTCCTAATTGAATGCCCTTTATTTCCTTCTCCTGCCTGATTGCCCTGGCCAGAACTTCCAACACTATGTTCAATAGGAGTGGTGAGAGAGGGCATCCCTGTCTTGTGCCAGTTTTCAAAAGGAATGCTTCCAGTTTTTGCCCATTCAGTATGATATTGGCTGTAGGTTTGTCATAGATAGCTCTTATTATTTTGAGATACGTCCCATCAATACCTAATTTATTGAGAGTTTTTAGCATGAAGCATTGTTGAATTTTCAAAGGCCTTTTCTGCATCTATTGAGATAATCATGTGGTTTTTGTCTTTGGTTCTGTTTATATGCTGGATTACATTTATTGATTTTGGCATGTTGAACCAGCCTTGTATCCCAGGGATGTAGCCCACTTGATCGTGGTGGATAAGCTTTTTGATGTGCTGCTGGATTCGGTTTGCCAGTATTTTATTGAGGATTTTTGCATCAATGTTCATCAAGGATATTGGTCTAAAATTCTTTTTTGTTGTGTCTCTGCCAGGCTTTGGTATCAGGATGATGCTGGCCTCATAAAATGAGTTAGGGAGGATTCCCTCTTTTTCCATTGATTGGAATAGTTTCAGAAGGAATGGTACCAGCTCCTCCTTGTACCTCTGGTAGAATTCGGCTGTGAATCCATCTGGTCCTGGACTTTTTTTTTTGGTTGGTAAGCTATTAATTATTGCCACAGTTTCAGCTCCTGTTATTGGTCTATTCAGAGATTCAACTTCTTCCTGGTTTAGTCTTGGGAGGGTGTGTCGAGGAATTTATCCATTTCTTCTAGATTTTCTAGTTTATTTGTGTAGAGGTGTTTATAGTATTCTCTGATGGTAGTTTGTATTTCTGTGGGATAGGTGGTGATATCCCCTTTGTCATTTTTTATTGCATCTATTTGATTCTTCTCTCTTTTCTTCTTTATTACTCTTGCTAGCAGTCTATCAATTTTGTTGATCTTTTCAAAAAACCAGCTCCTGGATTCATTGATTTTTTGAAGGGTTTTTTGTGTCTCTATTTCCTTCAGTTCTGCTCTCTTAGTTATTTCTTGCCTTCTGCTAGCTTTTGAATGTGTTTGCTCTTGCTTTTCTAGTTCTTTTAATTGTGATGTTAGGGTGTCAATTTTAGATCTTTCCTCCTTTCTCTTATGGGCATTTAGTGCTATAACTTTCCCTCTACACACTGCTTTGAATGTGTTCCAGAGATTCTGGTACGTTGTGTCTTCGTTCTTGTTGGTTTCAAAGAACTCTTTATTTCTGCCTTCATTTCGTTACGTACCCAGTAGTCATTCAGGAGCAGGTTGTTCAGTTTCCATGTAGTTGAGTGGTTTTGAGTGAGTTTCTTAATCCTGAGTTCTAGTTTGATTGCACTGTGGTCTGAGAGATAGTTTCTGATAATTTCTGTTCTTTTACATTTGCTGAGCAGTGCTTTACTTCCAACTATGTGGTCAATTTTGGAACAGGTGTGGTGTGGTGCTGAAAAAAATGTATATTCTGTTGATTTGGGGTGGAGAGTTCTGTAGATGTCTATTAGGTCCGCTTGGTGCAGAGCTGAGTTCAAGTCCTGGATATCCTTGTTAACTTTCTGTCTGGTTGATCTGTCTAATGTTGACAGTGGGATGTTAAAGTCTCCCATTATTATTGTGTGGGAGTCTAAGTCTCTTTGTAGGTCACTAAGGACTTGCTTTATGAATCTGGGTGCTCCTGTATTGGGTGCATATATATTTAGGATAGTTAGCTCTTCTTGTTGAATTGATCCCTTTACCATTATGTAATGGCCTTCTTTGTCTCTTTTGATCTTTGTTGGTTTAAAGTCTGTTTTATCAGAGACTAGGATTGCAATCCCTGCCTTTTTTTGTTTTCCGTTTGCTTGGTAGATCTTCCATCCCTTTATTTTGAGCCTATGTGTGTCGCTGCATGTGAGATGGGTTTCCTGAATACAGAACACTGATGGGTCTTGACTCTTTATCCAATTTGCCAGTCTGTGTCTTTTAATTGGAGCATTTAGACCATTTACATTTAAGGTTAATATTGTTATGTGTGAATTTGATCCTGTCATTATGATGCTGGCTGGTTATTTTGCTTGTTAGTTGATGCAGTTTCTTCCTAGCCTTGATGGTCTTTACAATTTGGCATGTTTTTGCAGTGGCTGGTACCGGTTGTTCCTTTCCATGTTTAGTGCTTCCCTCAGGAGCTCTTTTAGGGCAGGCCTGGTGGCGACAAAATCTCTCAGCATTTGCTTGTCTGTAAAGGATTTTATTTCTCCTTCACTTATGAAGCTTAGTTTGGCTGGATATGAAATTCTGGGTTGAAAATTCTTTTCTTTAAGAATGTTGAATGTTGGCCCTCAGTTTCTTTTGGCTTGTAGAGTTTCTGCTGAGAGATCCGCTGTTAGTCTGATGGGCTTCCCTTTGTGGGTAACCCGACCTTTCTCTCTGGCTGCCTTAACATTTTTTCCTTCATTTCAACTTTGGTGAATCTGACAGTTATGTATCTTGGAGTTGCTCTTCTCAAGGAGTATCTTTGTGGCGTTCTCTGTATTTCCTGAATTTGAATGTTGGCCTGCCTTGCTAGATTGGGGAAGTTCTCCTGGATAATATCCTGCAGAGTGTTTTCCAACTTGGTTCCATTCTCCCCGTCACTTTCAGGTACACCAATCAGACATAGATTTGGTCTTTTCACATAGTCCCTTATTTCTTGGAGGCTTTGTTCATTTCTTTTCATTCTTTTTTCTCTAAACTTCTCTTCTTGCTTCATTTCATTCATTTCATCTTCCATCGCTGATACCCTTTCTTCCAGTTGATCGAATCGGCTACTGAGGCTTGTGCATTCGTCACTTAATTCTCATGCCGTGGATTTCAGCTCCATCAGGTCCTTTAAGGACTTCTCAGTATTGGTTATTCTAGTTAGCCATTCATCTAATGTTTTTCTCAAGGTTTTTAACTTCTTTGCCATTGGTTCGAACTTTCTCCTCTACCTCGGAGCAGTTTGATCTTCTGAAGCCTTCTCTCAACTCGTCAAAGTCATTCTCCGTCCAGCTGTGTTCCGTTGCTGGTGAGGAGCTGCGTTCCTTTGGAGGAGGAGAAGCGCTCTGATTTTTAGAGTCTCTGGTTTTTCTGCTCTGTTTTTTCCCCATCTTTGTGGCTTTATCTACCTTTGGTCTTTGACAATGGTGATGTACAGATGGGTTTTTGGTGTGGATGTCCTTTCTGTTTGTTACTTTTCCTTCTAACAGTCAGGACCCTCAGCTTCAGGTCTGTTGGAGTTTGCTGGAGGTCCACTCCAGACCCTGTTTGCCTCGGTATCAGCAGCGGTGGCTGCAGAACAGCGGATATTGGTGAACTGCAAATGCTGCTGCCTGATCGTTTCTCTGGAAGTTTTGTCTCAGAGGAGTATCCAGCTGTGTGAGGTGTCAGTCCACCCCTACTGGGGGGTGCCTCCCAGTTAGGCTACTCAGGGGTCAGGGACCCACTTGAGGAGGCAGTCTGCCAGTTCTCAGATCTCAAGCTGCGTGCTGGGAGAACCACTACTCTCTTCAAAGCTGTCAGACAGGGACATTTAGGTCTGCAGAGGTTACTGCTGCCTTTTGTTTGTCTGTGCCTTGCCCCCAGAGGTGGAGCCTACAGAGGCAGGCAGGCGTCCTTGAGCTGTGGTGGGCTCCACCCAGTTCGAGCTTCCCGGCCGCTTTGTTTACCTACTCAAGCCTTGGCAATGGCGGACGCCCCTCCCCCAGCCTCACTGCCGCCTTGCAGTTTGATCTCAGACTGCTGTGCTAGCAATGAGCAGGGCTCCATGGGCATAGGACCCTCCGAGCCAGGTGCGGGATATAATCTCCTGGTGTGCCGTTTGTTAAGCCCATTGGAAAAGCACAGTATTAGGGTGGGAGTGACCCGATTTTCCAGGTGCCGTCTGTCACCCCTTTCTTTGACTAGGAAAGGGAATTCCCGACCCCTTGTACTTCCCAGGTGAGGGGATGCCTCGTGCTGCTTCAGCTCACGCTCGGTGCGCTGCACCCACTATCCTGCACCCACTGTCCGGCACTCCCCAGTGAGATGAACGCGGTACCTCAGTTGGAAATGCATAAATCACCCATCTTCTGCGTCGCTCACGCTGGGAGCTGTAGACTGGAGCTGTTCCTATTCGGCCATCTTGGCTCCACCCCTCAGTACACATGTATTTTTAAGAAGTCAGGAAATACATAGACCAAAATGTTAGCAGAATTACATGAAAGTAGTAGGGTTTCTTTTTTACATTTTTATTTTGTCTTAATTTTTTTTTTTTTTTTGTAAGGGACAAGGTCTTGCTCTGTCACCGAGGCTGGAGTACATTGGTGAGATCATAGCTCACTGCAGTCTTGAACTCCTGGGCTCAACCAATCCGCCTGTCTCAGCCTCCTGAGCAGCTGGGACTACAGGTACACACAATTGTGACCAGTTTAGAACTTTTAAAATGAGTATCTTCTACTTCTATGACAAGAGAAAAGATGCTTTCATTTGGGAAAAGTTTATTTCCTAAATATGAAGCCTATTTTCAAGCTTCCCCAAACTAAATTCTGTTACTTCTATAACAGCAAGGAGTCCTTCAGACAAGTCATTTACTTTGTACTTAGAATTAGAAGTTGTTATCTCTGATAGGGAGTGATAAATTTGTGCTGTTTCATTCAGGAAAACCAAGAGTACAAATTTGCCATCTGCATAACCCCAGTTGCCAGAGGTCATGAATCCAGTCTATAATAGAAAATGCTGAAAACATAAATGGTCTACACCTCCCTTTTAAGGAAATATTTTCAGCCAAAGAAGCTAATTAGCCACATACGAAGACCTATTTTTAGATTTTTAGTACTAATTTTCATATCTTTTCATTTACTCTATCATGTCTTCCCTTTGAAAGTTTCATATTTATATACAAATTGAACTCTTTAATTTTTCCTTACAAAGTAGTTATCTTGTCATTTCTATCAATTCTTTCCATTTTTATCATATTTTGACAAGATTTCTTCACATGTATCATAAGTATTATGTTCTAATCATCATCAAAACTGAATAGGAAGAATTCTATTCCTGTCTTAAAGTACAAGAACTGTGTAGTCAATCCTCTCCCCTACCCTCCCCACCAAAATCTTTGTACTGCCGGGTGCTCCTATTATGAATAATCCATATTTCATAATCTTAATCTTATACCACTGATTTTTAAGATCTCTAAGCTTAAAAGTATTCATTTTTTTTCTTAACCTCTTGGTGTATATC
Source organism: Homo sapiens (assembly GCF_000001405.40). Classification (NCBI taxonomy): domain Eukaryota; kingdom Metazoa; phylum Chordata; class Mammalia; order Primates; family Hominidae; genus Homo; species Homo sapiens. The sequence continues at coordinate 10,233,539 of NC_000011.10, forward strand.
CTAACCAAATATATATATATATCTCTCTCTCTCAAAGATTCTGTATCATTTTAAACAACCTGTGATAATTCTCCAAAAAAAAAAAAAAGGTATTGATTAGTAAGTCAGCCAAAGATATGAGCCACTCAGATCTCCTTTCAAGAAAGAATTTATGACTCAGCTGCAGGGAGGGTAATTAGCTATTAGAGCCTTCAGGTTCTGCATCAGCATTCCGGTTAAAACTATTATCTTCCCAAGTTATCTCCCAACCAATGACTAAGCACAGCTGTAATACTAAGGCCTGGTCATTTCTGCCTAACATGGGACTCCTTCGATATACAATCTTACTCTTGGTCTCCCTACTGGGCTGGCTGAGACTGTCAGCTCTGCATCATGGTGAGGAGACTCCCCTGGCCCTATGTTGTTTTCATTAATCCTTCACAGTCATTGTTCCTCAATCAACCTCTTGCACTCCTAACTCCACCTCAGCATCTTCTTCCCAAAGGACCTAACAGATATAATGATTTAATACTGACACATCAGTATTATTCATCAAAGATCCAGATTTAAAATTATAATTCTAATACAAATATCTATTTCTCTCATTTATATGTCCCCTTACATTCTGCCATACCTATCAGATAAAATTTTAAAAATATGGATAAGCTATTAAAAACAGGTATGCAGAGGATTTGAGATGTTGGTTGAGGTAGTTGTTTTTACCCCTCATTTTGATCTTGTAAATGCTTTTACCCTGGCATCAAGGATGTATCTTTTTTTCCTGAGCCAGTTTCACTGAGCCAATATCCTATCTTGATTTTCTATAGCATAGTTAGACCATTTATTTTATTAAAAAGTGTTCATTTCACTGAATTGCTGGAGCAATTCATGTACATTTTGTGATAACAATTTTAATTTGTTTTATAACCATATCAATTTTTTTAATGTTAGCTTGTATCACAGTAAAATTTGGGTGAGTGGCCCAATTTGTACCTTTTCCTAACCAAGTCTATTTTTCCAAAGTCAAATTTTACAGATCTAAATTTTGTCAAGATGATAGTGTTCCTATCAGATTTTAATTGACAACAAAATTTTCCATGTGCAGCTATAACAGCTTTTATTTGTGTTACATCTACCCTATCAAATGGTGGGATCAAAGATTATTCGGATTTAAATTCTCTACTTCAAAATTATCTTCAAATTCAGGTCACAACTTAAATGTCGTCTTCTCAAAGGAATAATCCTCCATCTCTATGATGAAAAGAATGCATGCATCCAAAACAGAAAGAACAAAGGGAACAAGCTTAGTGTGCTGGCTGGACAAAAAGAAAATCAGTGTGGTTATAGCTTGGTAGAAAAAGGGATACGGGTGGCCAGGTGGTACAGTATCTCTTATATGCCTCAGCCCAGACATGGCACATCAATTTGTTAAAATTTCATTGCCTAAAATTAGTTACATGGCACTTCCTACGTACAAAGAGAACTACACAGGGTTTCTTTCTGCCAAGGAAGGAGAAACAGGTGTGAGTAAGCACTGGTAGCCTCAAATACAAATACCTTCCTTACGGTACTTATAAAGATTGAAATGAGATAATATCAAGTTCATAGCTCATTGCCAACATTTTTGAGTATTGAATAAATAACTAATTTACACTTTATTGTTTTTCAAGTATACATCTAATTATACTTCCTTTTTTAAGTGAATTGAAGCATTTTTTAAAAGTCAATTAATTGAGGCCAGGCACGGTGGCTCACGATTGTAATCCCAACACTTTGGGAGGCCAAGGCAGGTGGATCACCTGAGGTGAAGAGTTTGGGACCAGCCTCACCAACGTGGAGAAACCCCGTCTCTACTAAAAATACAAAATTAGCCGTGATGCACGCCTGCAATCCTAGCTACTGAAGAGGCTGAGGCAGGAGAATCGCTTGAACCCGGGAGGGAGAGGTTGCGGTGAGCCGAGATTGTGCCACTGCACTCCAGCCTGGGCAACAAGAGCAAGACTCCATCTCAAAAAAAAAAAAAAAACCAAAAAACTCAATTGAGAACCTTGACCAACACTAACAGCAAAACTATTTACATAAACTTCCCTTTTTGGAAAAATTAGAAGATACTTTCAAATCAACAATCCTTCAAACGTTTCTATAGTTCATATTGTAATTTCTCAATGACTATCACTGACCAGATCCTAGGACTATCATTGACAATGTCCTAGAACTTCATTAATCCATAACAGGAAAATTGAATCATTGCTGCATCTAGATATCCATCATTCAAGATAGGTAGCAAATTTGCTTTTTAAAAATGTAGTCCAGGATGAGGCAGGAGGATCACCTGAGCCCAAGAGTTCAATACCAGCCTAAGCAACATAGTGAGACCCCCCATCTCCACAAATAATAGAAACAATTAGCCAGGTGTGGTGATTTGTGCCTGTGGTCCCAGCTACTCAGGAGGCTGAGATAGGACAATCATTTGAGTCCAGAAAGTCAAGGCTGCAGTGAGCCGCAATTCTACCACCACACTCCAGCCTGGGCAACAGAGCGAGATCTTGTCTCAAAACAAAACAAAACAAAAATAGGAGTCCTCATATAACCAGAAAGTACAAATGAACAAATAAAAACGAACAAAGAATATCTGAAATAACGTTCGATTTAGGTCCAGCTTGGTGGCTCATGCCTGTAATCCCATCAAATTGGGAGGCCCAAGCAGGAGGATTGCTTGAGGCCAAGATTTTGAGACTAGCCTGGGCAACATAGTAAGATCCCATCTCTATTAACAATTTTTTATAATAAAAAAATTATTTGGGTATAGTAGTATGCATATGCAGTCCCAGCTACTCAAGAGATTGACGGTGGGAGAACCACTTGGCTGCAGGAGTTCAAGCCTACTGTGAGCTATGATTACACCACTGTACTCCAGCCTAGACAACAGAGCGAGTCCGTCTCTTTTTTTTTGTTTTTTTGAGACGGAGTCTCACTCTGTTACCCAGGCTGGAGTGCAGTGGCGCGATCTCAGCTCGCTGCAACCTCCGCCTCCTGGGTTCAAGCAATTCTCCTGCCTCAGCCTCCCGAGTAGCTGGGACTACAGGTGTGCACCACTATACCCAGCTAATTTTTGTATTTTTACTAGAGATGGGATTTCACCCTGTTGGTTGGCCAGGATGGTCTCGAGCTCTTGACCTCTTAATCCACCCGCCTCGGCCTCCCAAAGTGCTGGGATTACAGGCGTGAGTCACCACGCCCAGACTCGAGTCTGTCTCTTAAAAAAGTTTAAAGAGTGTTCAATGTAAACAAATTACTTTCATTTCTAGTAATGTATATTCAGTAATTTGGACTAACTTCTCTGATGGAAACAAATAGAAAAGCTGGATAAATCTGATTAAAGGCATTAATGAGTCAAGAAAACAGAAAATAAATTACAGGACACAGATCTGGAAAGAAAAAAAGAAAACCAAAAGATAAAGTCAGCATTTGGGAGTACTTTTCCCCCAGGGTATTTGCCAATCTGAAATCCAGATGAAGGTTTAGAAGATAAGCAGGGCTACTGACAGGCACAAAGGAATGTGGAACAAAAACTGGAGCCACATTTTGGGAGGCTGAGGCGGGCAGATCACCTGAGGCCAGGAGTTTGAGACCAGCCTGGCCAACATGACAAAACCCCATCTCTACTAAAAACACAAAAATTAGCTGGGTGTGGTGGTATATACCTGTTATCCCAGCTATTTGGGAGCCTGTGGCATGAGAATCACTTGAGCCTGGGAGGCAGAGGTTGCAGTGAGCTGAGAGCGTGCCACTGCACTCCAGCCTGAGCAACACAGCGAGACTCTGTCTCAAAAAACACAAAAACAACAACAACAACAAAACTGGAGCCAAATAAGGGAGTGTTGTTAAATACCTGATGCTTGGAGACCATACACTGAAGGCTACCCTAGGGAACCTAAAATAAACTGACTATCCCTGGGAATACTGCCCAGCCTCAAATCATCTCAGTACTTAAAACTGGATTAAGGTGATACAGAATTACTAATACCCCTATCTTGTCTTTTACTTCTTTGAAAATATTGAGCAGGATTATTTTCTTCAGGTTTATTGTGCTATAATGTCAAATAAACTGCACATATTTAAAGCGTACAATTAAATGAGGTTTGACGTGTATATACACTGGTGAAACCATCATCACAGTCAACATAATTAACACAGCCATAACCCCCCAAAGATTCTTTAGGCACCTTTGTAATCCTTGCCTTCTACCTGTTCCTACCCTAGTACTCCACATTCCTAAACCACCACTGATCGGCCTTCTGTCACTATAGATTGGTTTGTATAATTAGTTTAGAATTGCATGTAAATAAATGGTATGTACTTTGGGAGGGGGTCACTTCTATTGTATAAGTAGACCTGAAGTTGTTGATCCATTAATCCACTGAAAGACATTTGGGCTGTTTCTGGGTTTTGGCTATTACAAATAAAGCTACTACGAACATCCTTATATAAGTCTATGTATGGGCATAAGGTATGAATATTTTGAAGCCTGTTTCTGATAACACTCCTATCAGATTCTAAAGTACAAGAATATAGAAAGAATAAAAGGATTCAAAAATATAACATGGAGGCTGGTGCACGGTGGCTCATACCTGTTATCTCAGCACTTTGGGGGATGGAAGCAGGAAGACTGCTTGAGTCCAGGAGCTCGAGATCAGCCTGGGCAACATGGTGAAACCCTATCTCTACAAAGAACAGGAAAACCAGCTGGGTGTGGTGGCGCACACCGGCAATCCCAGCTACTCGGGAGGCTGAGGTGGGAGGACTGCCTGAGCCTGGGGTGGTTGAGGCTGTGGTGAGCCATGATTGTACCACTGCACTCCGGCCTGGGCAACAGAGTAAGGCCCTGTCTCAAAAATGAAAACAAATAAAAATAACATGAAAACACTAACCAAAAGAAGGCTGGTGTAGCTCTATTAACTTCAAAGTGGACTTTCAGGAATACTTCATATTGAAAAAAGCTTGAATTCCACAAGAAGATTAACATTTTCTTATGTACCTAATGGTATAACCTTGAAAGATATGAAGCAAAATTGAGAGACACAAAGAGAAAAAGACAAATCCAAAATAACATGGCTGGGCGCAGTGGTTCACACCTGTAATCCCAGCACTTTGGGAGGCTGAGGTGGGTGGATCACCTGAGGTCAGGAGTTTGAGACCAGCCTAGCCAACATGGTGAAACTCTGTCTCTACAAAAAATACAAAAATTAGCCAGGTGTGCTGGCACACACCTGTAATCACAGCTACACAGGAGGCTGAGGCAAAAGAATCACTTGAACCTGGGAGGCAGAGGTTGCGGTGAGCCGAGATTGCCCCACTGCACTCTAGCTTGGGCAAAAGAGTGTGACTTCATCTCAAAAAACAAACAAAAAATAAATAAGTAAAATAATAGTGGACGATGTTAACGTAACTCTTGCAGCAACTGATGAGAACATGTGAACAAACAAAACAGGAATACAGAAGTAACAAAACTGACCTGAATTATACATATATACACACATATATGTTTATGTGTATATACATGTATAATATATGTATATTAACATAAACGTGTGTATATGTGTGTATATGTATATCTGCATGTATGTGAATATATATAAACCACTGCACAAACTACAGAATAAAATCCTTTTCAAGCTCATACAAAATTTTTACCAAAATTCAATTTGTTTGCAACATAAAGCAAGTTTCAGCAGATTTAAAAGGACTGAAATCATACACAGCTTCTTCCCTAACCAACTGCAATTAACCTAAAACCAATAAGACTAAGATAAATAGAAAATTGCCATATACTTGGAAATTTTAAAATATGCTCCTAAATAATCCATGGGTTAAAAACTAAATTTCAATAAAAACTGGAAAATATGTTAAACAAAATGATTAAAAATACAATATCAAAACTTGTGAGATGCTTCCTTAGCATTCATATTTTGGTGCCTAATACTCTACTAGTAAGTGAACCACAATATAATGGAGTAGGAGAAAAAATTGGATGTGTCTGTAACATCCTGCTGTAAATTTTACTTTCAAGATCATAGACATCACTAAAAAAGGAGGAAAAGGTAAATAGGGGAATTATACTAATTACATTTTGAAAAACTGCACATAAAATAAAAATACCAACTAATGATCATTAATGTTTTTTATTTTACAAAAGACCGTGACGTCACAACAATGGTCAAGAGAAAACGCAAAATGCACTATATAAACCTAATGGTAAATATAGTAGCTTGTTTTTATAATGTATAGAAAAGTATTGATATACATGTATATTTTGGGTTTTAAAATTTTGATTATGTTTTATGTGTTCATTTATAGAGCACATAAATGTGTCTGTTTTTATCTTTGTAAGAAGAACAGCATGAATAAAATTAGTAGTGAGCCAAACAGCACTAGCCAAAAGAAGGAATTATGCTACAAACAAGAAGACCCAATCAGCACTGGAGGTGCCCTTTAGTAACTAAGTATAAGGTGAGTCCCACAGCTGATTAGTATTGGTAGTTATATCCAAAAACCAATTAGAAGAAAGATTCTGCAATGTGTCCCAATAATACATGAGACAAAAGTCCCCAAAAGTAAGCTAACTATACAGACTTAAAACCTTATCTCAGGAGATGAAACCCTAGATGAACATGATAATTTTAATGAAGTGCAGGCATAAGTTGCTGATCATTTTAGGAGATATGCATACAATTAAAAGAACAAAAAAAAAAAAAAAACAGGATAACCTGTTAAGGCTGTCTGGCCAAACAAAATTTAAAGACTTCCTTATTTCTGAGAAAGGTAACCAATTTTCAAAATAAATTTATAGGAAAGATGGGAACTTAAAAGTACCATGATATAACACATAAAACTCAGATTAAATGGAGACTTGGTCTAGAGAACAATAGCTGAAATACGAATCATCATGGACTAAGAAATCAGTTTTCATGTCCAACACAAAAATCAAATGGTGAGTGACACAGAATCAGTATCTTTGCTGATCTGAGAACGCATGCTCTTTACCTTTGAGTTTGGTGGTATGACTAAAACCCAGAGAAGTAAAAAGCAAAATATAATTGCAACTGGTTGAATTACCTATACCTACAAAAACAGAAAAATTGGAGCAGTAGAATTATATTATCATCAGGATATGAAACAGTAAAATTCATGGTATTTAATGATGTAACTGGTTTGGGGTAATAATTTAGATATATGGTGCATTTTTTTCTGCTTCTTAATGTGTTTAGATCATTTGAAAAACACTTATTATTAAATTTTATGACTCCAATCAATAAAAGTATTAAAGTTCGCAATACGTGTTTAAATATCTGGGAATTTTTATTGCATTATCAGTAAGTTTGATTATTTGCATAAGGAATATAAGAATACTTAGAGGAATATTAGTGTTTAATATCTAAAGATATACCAATTGTTTGACAAATTAATATTAATAGATTAAACAAATTTGTGTCACAGATTAGAGTGCTTAAAAAAATTTATAGCTTGAAATGCATATACAAGAGAGAAAGTGGCCAGGAGCGGTAGCTCATGCCTGTAATCCCAGCATTTTGGGATGCAGAGGAAGGGGGATCACTTGAGGTCAGAAGTTTGAAACCACCCTGGCCAACACGGTGAAACTCCATCTCTACTAAAAATACAAAAAAATTAGCCAGGTGTGGTGGCACACGCCTGTACTCCCAGCTACTTGGGGGGCTGAGGCAGGAGAATCACTTGAACCTGGGAGGCAAGAGGTTGCAGTGAGCTGAGATCATACCACTGCACTCTGGCCTGGGTAACAGAGCGAGACTGTCTCAAAAAAAAGAGAAAGTAAGTAATGCTAAAAATCAATGATGTAAAAATTCATCCAAGGAACTTTGAAAATGGACAGCAGATTAAATCCAATGAAGGAAGTAAATAAAGATGAGAACAGAATTTTTAATACAAAAAAATATACAATAGAGAAGAATGACAAAGCTAAAAGTTGGTTGTTAATTTGATAAGCTCCCAGCAACACAAAACAAAAAAAGGCGGCAATAATAATCAAAATCAGGAAACATTACAGATCCTACTGACTTCAAAAAGATAAAAAAGTATATTATGAACAATGTTATGGTAATAAATATGAAAATCTAGATGAAACGGACAAATTCCTAGAAAACAACTTTTCGAAACTGGCTCAAGAAACTGAAAATCCGAGAAGCAGATATCTATAAAATGCCACAATAGGAGGTTCCAAAATTCATTTCTCCATGGAAACACAAAATTAACAACCATCTAAATAAAAAATTACCTTCAAGAGAACTCCAGAAATCAGCCTTCAGCAGATTCCCTTGGCCCACAAGTTCTCCAATGGGAGAAAGAAAGAGTAAGGTGAGTGTCTACCTTTGCCACAAATCCTAGCACCAGGCCTGTCCACCTACAGACCACACCACCAGACTGACCCTACTCCCTGCAGACCCACTTGCCCACAGACCCTAGGACCTAACATGCCTGCCCACAGACACAAAGGCAGGTGTGTTAGGTCCTAGGGTCTATGGGCAAGTTAGGTCCACTGGTGTCTATGGGCAGTGGTATGTCCAAGGACTGGTCCTAGCACCAAAGTATTTAAAAAATAAAAACTACCCACAAAAATGTGCTGATAAGATACACAACATAAAGAGTCGTTCTGACATAAATAACATAGAGTGTGTGGCAAAGGCATTATAAGTGTATAGTTTTTATATGCAATTGAAGTTAAGACTGTATCAGCTTCAAACAGACTGTCATAACTATTAAGAAATTTTATGCAAGCCTCAGGATAACCATGAGGAAAACACCCATAGTAGGTACAAAAAAAGATAAAAAGAAAAAAAAGTATATTATTACAAAAAAAATCATCATATCAAAGTGAAAACAGCAATACAAAACAAAAATAACTATAAAACGGACAGAAAAAAATTAACAATGGCAATAGTTCTTATCTATCAATCACGTTAAATGTAAAATTCACCAATCAAAGGAGGTAAAGTAATGAAAGGAGTTAAAAAACAAGATCCAACTGTATGCTGTCTGCAACAAATACACCTTAAATTTAAGAACACACACAAGCTGAAACAGAAGAGATGAAAAAGGGTATTTCATACAAATGGTAGCCAAAAGAGAGCAAGGGTGACTGTAGTTACATCAGACAAAATAGACTTTATGTCAAAAACTGTTAATAAGAGACAAAGAAGGTCATTACATAATAATAAAAGGGAAAACTGAATACAGGAAAATAAAACAATTATATATGCATGCAACATAAAAGCTGCTAAATACATAAAGATTGACAGATCTGCAGGAGAAATAGATAGCAATAGAAAAATACTAGGATACTTCAATCACCACTTAAAATAATGAACAAATCATCCAGACAGAAGATCAAAAGAAAATATCAAACTTGAACAACACTATAGATCAAATAAACCTAACAGACAGATATAAAACATTCCACCCAAAAGTAGCAGAACACACAGTGTCCTCAAGTGCAAACAGAACATTCTACAGGGTTGATCACATGCTAGGTCAGAAAACAAGTCCTAACAAATATAAGAAGTTTGAAATAATTCCAAGTATCTTTTCCAGCCACAATGGAATGAAACTAAATCAAAAACAAAAAGAAAAAAATTCAAAAATATGTGGAAATTAAACAATATATTCTGGAACAACTAATGGGTCAAAGAAGAAACCAAAAAGGGAAATTAGAAAATATCTTGAGACAAATTAAAACAAAAATCTATCTCAAAACTTATGGGATGCAGCAAAAGCCGTACTAAGATTGAAGTTTATAATGATAAATGCCTACATTAAAAAAAGAAGATCTCAAATCAAAACCTAACATTATACCTTAAGGGTCTAGAAAAAAAAGAACACACCAAACCTAAAGTTAAAAAAATGAATCAAATAATAAAAATTAGAGTCAAAATAAATGAGAAAGAGACGAGAAAAAAAATTTTTTAATGACAAAATAAAGAGTTTTTTGAAAAAATTAAATTGGAAAACCCTTAGCTAGACTAAGAGAAAAAAAACAAAAGAAGACTCAAAATCAGAAATGGAAGAAGAGACATTACAATTGATGCCACAAAAATAAAAAACATCATAAAAGACGATTGTGTACAATTATATGCCAACAAATTGGACAACCTAAACAGATAAATTCCTAGAAATGTATAATCTACCAAGGCTGAATTAAGAAGAAATGAAAAGGCCAAAAAGACCAATAACAAATACGGAGATTGAATCTATAATCAAAAACCAAACAACAAAGAAAAGGTCAAGACCAGATGACTTCAGGGATAAATTCTACCAAACATTTAAAGAATTATCACCAATTCTTCTTAAATTATTTCAAAAAAATGAAAACAAGGAAATTTGTAATCTTCTTTTATAAGGACAGCATCAACCTGATATCAAAGACAGACAAAGACACAAGAAAACTACAGGCCAAAATCCCTGAAAATAGATGCAAAAATCTTCAACAAAATATTAGCAAACCAAATTCAACAGCATGTTAAGATCATAAACCATGACCAAGTGGTACTTCCCTCCTGGGACGTAAACATAGGCCAATATACATAACTCAAGACAAGTGATTTTTTGTCTTTCTTGCCTGTGATTTTAGTGTCATATCCAAGAAATCATTGCCAAGGCTAATATCAAACAGCTTCTTCCTTATATTTTCTTCTATGAGTTTCATCGTTTCAGGTCTTACATTTAAGTCTTTGAGTTGATTTTTGTTTATGGTGTAAGGTAAGGGTCCAATTTCATTGTTTTGCATATGGATATCCAGTTTTCACAACACCATCTGTGAACAGACTGTTCTTTCCTCATTGTGTATTCTTGGCACCCTTGTAAAAGATCAGTTGAGTATATGCATGGATTTGTTTCTAGGTACTCTATTCTGCTCCAACAGTCTACAAGTCTGTTTGATACCAGTCCTGCACTGTTTTGATTGCTGCAGCTTTGTAATATATTTTAAAATCAGGAAGTGTGATGCCTCTAGCTTTGTTGTTCTTGCTCAAAACTGCTTTGGGTATTTGAATCTTTTTTGGTACCATACGAATTTTAGGCATGTGTTATCCTGTTTCTGTAAAAAATGCCAATGGGATTTTGACAGGAACTACACCAAAACTAAAAAGCTTCTGAACATCCAAGGAAACAATAAACAAAACACAAAGGCAACCTATGGAAGAGAGAAAATACCTGCAAACTATACAACTGATAAAAGATTAATATCTAAAATATACAAGGAATCCCTACAACTCAATAGCAAACAATAACATAATTTAAAATGGGCAGGCCAGGGGCGGTGGTGCATGCCTGTAATCCCAGCACTTTGGGAGGCCAAGGGGGGTGGATCACTTGAGCTCAGAAGTTCACGACAGCCTGGACAACACAGTGAAACTCTGTCTCTACAAACACAAAAAAATTAGCTGGGTGTGGTGGCACACGCAGGTAGTCCTGGCCACTCAGGAGACTGAGGTGGGAGGATTGCTTACAACCAGGAGGTCAAGGCCACAGTGAGCCGAGATCACACCACTGTACTCCAGCATGGGCAACGGAGTGAGACCCTGTCTCAAAAAAAAAAAAAAAAAAAATTAAAATGGGCAAACTAATTAGATATTTATCCAAAAAAGAAATACAAATAACCAACAGGTATATGAAAAAGTGGAAAACATTACTCATAAAAATCAAAACCACATGGAGGCCTGGTGTGGGAGTGCATGCCTGCAATCCCATCTACTCAAGAACCCGAGTCAGGAGAATGCTGCTTGATTCCAGGAGTTCCAGACTATAGTGCACAATGACCTTGCCATTGAATAGCCACTGCACTCCAGCCTGGGCAACACAGCGGGACCCTATCTATAACAATTTTAAAACAAACAAAATGAGATATCACCTTATGTAAGAATGGCTATTATTAAACAAAAAAAAAGATAAGTAATGTTGGCAAGGATGTGGAGAAAAGTGACCCTTTGTATACTGTTGGTGGGACTATAAATTGGTGCAGCCACTATAAGAAATTATGGAGGCACCTCAAAAAATTAAAAATAGAACAACCATATGAGCTAGCAATCTCACTTCCAGATATATACCCAAAAGAACTGAAATCAAGATATCAAAAAGATATCTGCACTCCCATGCTCACTGCAGCATTAATCACAATACTCAAGACATGGAAACAAGCTAAATGTCCATTGACAGATAAATGGATAAGAAAAATGTGGGATATAAATACAATGAAGTGTTATTTGGCCTTCAGAAAGGTATCTTGCCATTTGTGACAACATGGGTAAATCTGAAGGACACTACGCTAAGTGAAATAAGTCAGACCCAGAAGGACAAATACCATTTATAGGGGGAATCTATAATAGCCAAACTCACAAAAGAACAGTAGAATGGTGGTTACCATGAGTTGAGGGTGGAGAACTGGGGAGGTATTAGTCAAAGGGTATAAAGTTACAGTTATACACGTGAATAAATCCTAGAGATCTATTGTCCGACATACTGCCTATAGTTAACATTATGGTATACTTAAAATTATACAAAGACACTAGATCTTACGTTGTGTTCTTATCACACACAAAAAAAGAAAGAGTGGGGGGAAGCTTTTGAAGGTCCTGGATATGTTTATGGCATACACTGTAGTGACGCTTTAAAAGGTGTATACTTATTGCCAAACTCCTCAATTTGTATACATTAAATATGCACAGGTTTCTTTTCTTTCTTTCTTTTTTGTGTTTTTGAGACTGAGTTTCACTCTTGTCACCGAGGTGGAGTGCAATGGCGCAATTTCGGCTCACTGCAACCTCCGCCTCCCGGGTTCAAGCAATTCTCCTGCCTCAGCCTCCCGAGTAGCTGGGGTTACAAGCGTTTGCCACCATGCCCAGCTAATTTTGGTATTTTTAGTAGACACGGGGTTTCACCATGTTGGCCAGGCTGGTCTTGAACTCCAACCTCAGGTGATCTGCCTGCCTCAGCCTCCCAAAGTGTTGGGATTACAGGCAAGAGCCACCACACCCAGTTGATATGCACAGGTTTCTGTCAATAAAAGACAATCATATGTCAATTGATATATGATAAAAAGACAAGCATATGTCAATAAAGAAATTAAAACTCTGAAAAATACTATAACCATTAAAAACAATGAATCTAAAATCTTTCCACAAACAAAACTCCAAATCCAGATGGCTTCACCACTTAATTATAACAAACATTTAAGAAAGAAATAACACTGGCCTTGCATGGTGGGTCATGCCTGTAATCTCACCACTTTGGGAGGTCGAAGCAGGAGAATTGCTTGAGTCCAGGAGTTCAGGACCAGCCTGGGCACCATAGTGAGACCTTGTCTCTACAAAAAATTTACAAAAGTAGCCCAGCATGGTGCTGGGCATGGGGCATACACCTATAGTCTCAGTTACTTGGGAGGCTGAGGCAGGAAGATCACTTGAGCCCAGATGTTCGAAGTAAAAGTGTGCTATGATTATACCACTGTGCTAGGTGACATAAATAAGACCCTGTCTTTAAAAAAGGGAAGACAGAAATCACACCAATCTTACATAAACTTTCAGTGAAAGAAACATTGGGTGGAATGTAACACTTTCCCAGCCAGCACATTATTACCAAAAAATGACATGGAAAACACAAGAAAAGTTACAAGCCAATGTGACTCATAAACACACATGCAAAACTCCTAAAAACATTAGCAAACGAAATCAAGCAAACTACACAAAGGATAATATAGCAAAGCAAGTTGCATTTACTAAAAATGTAAAATAGGCTTAACATTTGAAAATCAGTCTCTGTCATTCACCACAATTTAGGAATTTAAAACAACAATCAGGCTGGGCATAGTGGCTCATACCTGTAATGCCAGCATTTTGGGAGGCCGAGGTGGGAAGATCACTTGAGGTCAGGAGTTCGAGACCAGCCTGGCCAACATGGTGAAACCCCATCTCTACTAAAAATACAAAAAAAAAAAAAAAAAATTAGCCAGGCGTGGTGGCAGTCACCTGAAATCCCAGCTACTCAAGGAGGCTGAGGCAGGAGAATTGCTTGAACCCAGGAGGCAGAGATTGCAGTGAGCCAAGATCGTGCCACTGTACTCCAGGCCTGGGTGAAAGAGCAAGACTCCATTGCAAAAAAACAAATGAATAAAATAAAATAACAATCAAAATAGGAGGCAAAGCAAGATGGCTACATAGAAGCCTACAACAATCATCCTCCTCACAGGAACACCAAATTGAACAACTATCCACAGAAGAAAACACCATCATAAAAAACAAAAATCAGGTGAGCCCTTACAGTACCTGATTTTAACTTCATATTGTTCAAAGAGGCACTGAAGAGGGTAGAATGAACAGTCTTGAATTGCTGACACCACCCCTTCCCAGTTTTAAAGATTATTGGTAAAATAAAAATGTCTTCAAAAGTGTAAACATTTGGTCTAAATTATGCAGGTCAGATATTAAGTTTGTTAAATGGTCTAAGGTCATAAGCTGCTTCTTTGACTTTTAAAAATTGTTCAATTTATTTTGGAGCATTACATTCTAGATAAGGCCTGGCGACCTGTGAAATTACCCATGCCCCCTAGCTAGGCAAAGAAGGTATTAAAGAAAAGAGATTTTATATATGAAAGGATCTTGTATAATAAATGTTTGTCCTAAAGCTAAAGTAAAATGACTGGTCATTTAAAAAGAGGGATGTTTAGGACAAGTCAAAAAGTCTAAGCATGTTGTAGGTGGTCTGTGTTAAGTCATGAAAGAATTGGTGAAAGGGAATTTATGCAAGAAATGCAGTACAATTTAAAGGTGATTAGGCCTCTTAAATGCTTCATAAAATGCCACTATGACTCTTAACTGTACTACTTGCCTGCTTTACAGTTAGGTAAGGCTTGGGACTTGTGGAGTGAGATGCTGGAAAGAGTCAGACCTTATCTTCATTTCTGTCTGGGTCCTAGGCTCCATGCCTAGTACATAATTAAAATGCTGAACTTACCAAGGTTTTTCACCAAAAGTAAAAATGCTAAGGGTTAACAGTGTAATGTATATTTGAAACTACTGAAAAAACAGTTTTACATGCAAGGTGTGTAAAGAAAGTTAAATGTGTTTTTGGTAAAAGATTATTAAAAGTCATGGGAATGTGAATTTTTTGCCTAACTTTAGTTAAAGGATTGTTTTAAGTGAAATAGGAAAAATCTAAAGGTTTAAACAACTTGTGGAAATTCTGTAAAAATTAACCCTGTAAAACAAATTCTAGGCCGGGCGCGGAGGCTTACGCCTGTAATCCTAGGGCTTTGGGAGGCCGAGGTGGGCGGATCACAAGGTCAGGAGATTGAGACCATCCAGGCTAACACAGTGAAACCCCGTCACTACTAAAAATACAAAAAAATTAGCTGGGGGTGGTGGCGGGAGCCTGTAGTCCCAGCTACTCAGGAGGCTGAGGCAGGAGAATGGCATGAACCTGGCAGGCAGAGCTTGTAGTGAGCCGAGATCGTGTCACTGCACTCCAGCCTGGGTGACAGAGCAAGACTCCGTCTCAACAAAAAAAAAAAAGAAAGAAATTCTATGTGTGAAAATATTGACTAAATTTAAAGGGGTATTATCTTGTTTTTCTGTAAATTGAACATCAAAATAAAAGCACAACAGGGTTTTCTTAAAGCACGAATCTGCTCTTTAACAAAAAAAATTGTAAAGGGTTATAAAAGGTTTATAAAAATCTCTCCTTATGGTCAAACTGATTAAGATTGGACAGATTTGTCTAATGAGGCTTTATTAAAAATTGGGGTTGACATTAATAATCTACTAATGTAAGAGTGAAATATGGCTTTCTCGAACAAGATTTTCATGTAATATTAAAAGATAATGAAAAATGTATTTGCCTTTTAAATACACTATCAAAGAAAAAAAAGAAGGGAAAGACAAAAGATTGTTTGAAAAGCTAAGTCTTCCCTCTATCAATGAGTAAACATTGTTGCCTTTTTAAAAATTTTTGTCTCATTATTTTGGCTAAATGAATGACTTACAGTAATGTGGAATTCCAGTTCATAATATCAAGTGTTTTATACCTTTAACATATTTAATAAGCTTCCCCAAATCAAATTTCAGCTTCCAAATAGTCTCTTCTGACTTCTAACTTTGGAATGCTATGGGGGAGTCCATAGCATTGGAATGCTATGGGGGAGTCCATAGCATTGGAATGCTATGGGGGAGTCCATAGCATTGGAATGCTATGGGGGAGTCCATAGCATTGGAATGCTATGGGGGAGTCCATAGCATTGGAATGCTATGGGGGAGTCCATAGCATTGGAATGCTATGGGGGAGTCCATAGCATTGGAATGCATATGGAATCCCTGAAGCATCTAAAAGAGACGTAAAGAGAATTATTTAACATGTTAAGTTACATGGGAAGCATTGTCAAAATAATGTTTAATCTTCAGGTTATATTTTAGTGAATATTAATATATGCTCCAAAATTGTATGGGATTTCTAAAATTCTAATACGTCTGAGTATATGCTACCAATCATAATTATGGTTAAGTTTTATACACCATAGAAACAACCAAATATCCTTGGGTAAAACTGCTAACCCAAGCAGAACCAAAAAGTTAATTAAATACCAAGAAAATACTTTGCCAGATTTTCATGTTAAACTAGCTGATACTAAAATTGTTTAGATATACAATTTGAACTCCATGGTCTAAGTTAAACTACCTATGATAACCCATTAGTTATCTGCGCTATGCACCTAAATTGTAGAAACAAGTGGTATTCAAGAGGATGTAAGTCCAACGCTAAGCATGGACTCAGAACCAGGACAGCTGCCTTGTCCTTCTTGAGTCCTTAAGGCTCTTGTTATTAAAGGGTCTGCATTCCATGACTCATCATGGGAAGGATAAAATGATCCAAATTGAATATACAGATGTGGTGACTTATAAATTGTGAAAATTAGTTTAAAACCAATGTTTGGTTCCATATTTCTGGGAAGACAATCAAACCTTCAGATACATTTGGCTACCTGATGGGTCATTTAAACATTTATAAAGGGATTTCATTCAATTGTCATTTTCAATGCATGTTTTATGTTATAATAGTTAATTATTACGCCACAGTATATTTTCACCAGGTAAAGAAAGTTTTTATGGTTCACTAAGGACAATCAACTCCTTCACAATATAGAACTTGAAGACTGGATGTTCTGAGAACATCAGAGAAAGACTGCCCTTGCCATTCACACTGCAACAAAACTTGGGAAGCTTGAACCTTGGGTTAATAATCTCACAACTGAGAAGGGTCCCTCCACACTCTTGGAAACTGTACACCCACTGGAACCCTTAAGGTAAAACTAACCAGGCAAGTTTCTCCCCAGAAGAAAATGGCATCCTTAATGTGAACAGCTTTTCCTAGGATCATGGATCAAGACTTCTACTATCATTAGACTCTTATCTTCGAATATTTTTTCCTTATTTATGCCTCCATGAACAATAGAAATGTAAAGGGGGTCTATTACGTGCACTTATAGGGTATACTTTTATTTGTAGAGGATTTTGCAGCCAGCCTTATACATGAATAACCTTATACTTTGGTAGATAAAAGATGAAGGCCCGATGTAGATGCGAAACCTTAATGGTACATATGTTGCCTCATAATCAGTCAAAACTCTCTTAACCCACATCATGGGCCAGAAAGAATATTGTCAGGAAGCCTTCACTCTTCTAGAAGGACATCATTTGTTAGATCCTTTTTCCATGATTTAGAATAAAAGAGGCAATAATAAAAAATGTATCCCTCATAATAGACTCTATAGCAGATTCTACTGTAAAGGCTATGGTTACACAACAGACTTTACATTTTCTTGTGAAAGACATGCTAAATAATAGAATTGGCTAAACAGAAAAGTACCTGTGCAGCTACTGACACTTGTGGCCTATGGACAAATCCATCAAATGTAGATTATAAAATTTCAGTTGTAGGGGATTAATGAAAAGACTACTTATTCAAGCGAGTAGACTCCTCATCTAGCTCCTTCTTTAATCTATTTAATCTTAGGTGGTTTGGTTTATGGGGACTCTGGATAAGGAGCACACTCCAAACTCCTGGCATTATCCTCCCAATAGTCATGATAATAGTCTCCCTGGTGCGCTGTATTCTCTCAAAGGTTTTAAATGTTTGCATGCAGCCATACCTAGAATGTCAAATGGTCTCTCTTCAACTGGAATGACAAAAGTTGAAAGAAATATGCGACTGTGAGGACACAGTAACCTATGAATGATGTGCAGAGACCAGAAACCCAAAATGATAGAAACAGAGAGTGGCACTAAGGTCCTAGGTTTTGGTCACTCTCTCACCTAAGGGAGAAGCTGACCAAAATGGGGAAATTTTTTTAAACAAAATTATGGGAGGCTAAAGTTTGGACTAAGCTCATGCACGAGGCCCCAACAGGCCAAACCAAACTAAAATGGAGTCATCATGCTAAATGTGACATAATCAAACTTAAGACTTCAAGGAAACACCTAGATCCTAGAACAGACCAGG
Source organism: Homo sapiens (assembly GCF_000001405.40). Lineage (NCBI taxonomy): Eukaryota > Metazoa > Chordata > Mammalia > Primates > Hominidae > Homo > Homo sapiens. Next base: position 10,252,091 of record NC_000011.10, read on the forward strand.
TTCTGTTTGCCTCCTGTAAACAGGATGTTCCAGCATAAGGAGGTACCCTCTACTCAGTCCTTGTTCTTGCTTTTGCAAAACTCACTGTTCTACTATTTCCCAGTGGGTTTCAAGACCAAATAAGTACATTTACAATGGTGATAGTGACATCAATAACTAAAGTTTTGGTCAATCTCTCAAAATTGAGAAAATGACCAAAAGTGGGAAATTGTTAAAGCAAACCAAATATGGCCTGAGAAGGACTCTGTACTTCTATATTTGAGTCCTTGTGGACGAACTGCAACCTAGCTTAATATGCAGACAAGACTGAAAACCTAACTTAGGAGTATGTGTCTGTAATAATAGCTAAATCTTGGCCAATCCCATCGGCCATACTTCAACCATTCATAGACTGCTGAGTGTTAAAACTGTGTTCAAATAAGGCAAACGCTGGCCGGGCGCGGTGGCTCACGCCTGTAATCCCAGCACTTTGGGAGGCCAAGGCGGGCAGATCACGGATCACGAGGTCAAGAGATCGAGACCATCCTGACTAACACGGTGAAACCCCGTTTCTACTAAAAATACAAAAAATTAGCCGGGCATGGTGGCAGGCGCCTGTAGTCCCAGCTACTTGGGAGGCTGAGGCAGGAGAATGGCGTGCACCTGGGAGGCGGAGCTTGCAGCGAGCTTGCAGCGAGCTGAGATCGCGCCACTGCACTCCAGCCTGGGCAAAAATGCGAGACTCTGTCTCAAAAAAAAAAAAATCAAAAAAAAGAAAATAAGGCAAACACTGAGCTGTAACCAATCCAGCAGTTCTGTACCTCACTTCCGATTTCTCTATGTCATTTCCCATTTTTTGTCTATAAATCTTCTTCCACCACGTGGCTGCACTGGAGTCTCTGTGAATCTGCTGTGATTCTGGGATCTGCCCAGTTAGCAAACTGTTCATTGCTCAATTAAACTCCTTTAGATTTAATTCAGCTTAAGTTTTAACATGGGAAAAACATATTGACAGACAACTAGCAACCTCCACACAAGAGGTAAATACCAAAAAAAAAAAAAAAAAAAAAAAATCAGCTTTAGAAGTTTCAGAATTTGCCTCTAGAGAAAAGAAAAATGATAGCAGGAATTAGAGCGTAGTGTTAAGGAATACTAGTTTCTATAATATGCTTCTACAGATCTGACTTTTTAAACTATGTGCATATATAATATAATGAAAATAAAAAGAGTTATGAGAGAAAGGAAAGCAGAAATGAGCCACAACTTGTTTCTGAAAGCCTGTCTTTTTCTTTTTGGGAGGAGATGCAAGAGATAGACGTAAGAACTATATAAAATCAAAAGTAAACCCTGTCTGCACATTAGTACTCTTTAAGACAGTGATTTTAACTGCTTGGAAACGCTTTTCTTAATTTCTTTTTGTTCCTGGATATATCCCTGATTCTGTGGAGAAACAGAATATTATGGCAAAGAATCTCTAAATCACAGACTCTACCAATACAAAACTACAATGATTACTTTTGGGAAGTCTGCATTACTTTTTGCTAAAAGGGGCACTTTTTCTCATAAAGGAAAAATCACCGCCCTGATTTTTCAATTTAATATCTCAATTGCCCTGAGATATTACTATAATGAATCACAGTATAATTTAGTTTGTCAGTTATTAATACCATAATTCACACATTAGGAATCTCCAAATCTCCAAAAAAAAACAAAAAGGCCTTCTTTGTTCTTCTGCCCCCTTATCACGCTGATCCCAGATAAAAAGCCTAGGTAAGCACTGAGTGAAAAATAAATCTGGCCACAAGATACATGAAAAAATATTCAACATCGATAATAGTATGGGAAATGCAAATTAAAACCACAGTGAAATATTACCTCACATCTGTTAAATAGTTATTATCAAAAAGATAAAAAATAGCAAGTGTTGGTGAGGATATAGAGAAAAGGGAACCCTTACACACTGTTGGAAGGAGTGTAAATTAGTACAGTTATTATGGAAAACAGTACGGAGGTTGCTCAAACAATTAAAAATACTCAGGTATGGTGGCTCATGCCTGTAATCCCCACACTTTGGGAGGCCCAGGAGGGAGGATCACTTGAGCCCAGGAGTTTGAGACCAGCCTGAGCAACATAGTAAGACTCCTAGCTCTACAAAAAATAACAATATTTTAAAAATTAGCTGGGCATGGTGCTGTGTGACTGTGGTCCCAGCTACTCAAGAGGCTGAGGTAGTAGGACTGCTTGAGCTCAGGAGGTCGAGACTGCAGTGACAGTGCACTCCAGCCTGGGCAACAGAGCGAGACCCTGTCTCAAAAGAAAAAAAAAAAAAAGAACTACCTATATGATCCAACTATCCCACTACTAGGTATATATCCAAAGAAAAGGGAATCAATATCTCAAAGCGATATATGTGCTCACATGTTCATTGCAGCATTATTCACAGTAGTCAAAGATATGGAATCAACTTAAGTGTCTATCAACAGATGAATGAATAAAGAAAATGTGGTATACATACACAATTGAATACTATTCAGCCTTTAAAAAAAAAAAAAGAGGATGGGCACCGAGGCTCACGCCTGTAATCCCAGCATTATAGGAGGCTGAGGCGGGTGGGTCACTTGAGGTCAGGAGTTCAAGACCAGCCTAACCAGCATGATGAAATCCCTATTAAATATATTAAAAAAGTTAGCTGGGCATGGTGGTGCATGCCTGTAGTCCCAGCTACTCAGGAGGCTGAGGCAGAACAGCTTGAACCCAAGAGGTGGAGGTTGCAGTGAGCTGAGATTGTGCCATTGCACTCCAGCCTGGGTGACAGAGTGAGACTCTGTCTCAAAAAAAAAAAAAAAAAAAAAAAAAAAAAAAAAAAAAAATCCTATTATTTTCAAAAACATCAATGAACCTGGAAGACATGATATTAAATTAAATAAGCCAAGAAGAGAATGATCTCACTTATACATGGAATCTTAAAAAACTGAAACTCACAGAAGCAGAGGGTGAATGGTGGTTATCAGGGACTAGCAGGTGAGAAGGATTGAGGAGATGGTCAAAGGACATAAAACTTCAGTTAGCCAAAAGAAAAAGTTCAAGAGAACTATTGTATGTCATGGGGACTATAGTTAAAAATAATATACTGTATTCTTGAAAAGCACTAAAAGAGTAGATTTTAAGTGTTCTCAGTATACAAAATCAGTAAGTTAATGTATATGTTATTCAGCTAGATTAGCTATTTCTCAATGTATACATATTTCAAAACATTATGTTGTACATGATAAACACACATAAATTTTATTTGTCAATTAAAAATAAAAATCTTTAAACAAAAGAAAAACAAATCTACTGGTTTGTCAAGTTCTTTGGGGGAAATGGTTATAAATATTTGAAATATAAATAAAGGAGAAAAAACAGAAACACATGGTAGCAAAAGTAAATAAGTTACTGTCAGTTCTGTGAAGATACATTATCCTCCAGATATTCGTTTTACATAAACAAAAGTGGTAGAGCAACACTGAACACTATTAGGCTTTCCTAGTGCAGCTGCATCAATATTTTAATGTTTACTTAGATTGACCATAATAGTTCCTCTTTTTCTAACTTTTTCACATTTATTATCTCTGACCATTTCTAAATACTATGAACAATGACCTAAAAAAGCATTTTTGCTGAATCAAAAAGTCAGTGTGACTAATTCAAATTATAGAAAGAAAATGGTCATCCATAAAATTAAGAGTTACCTAAGATCATACATAGCTAATGAATGGCAAAGATATAAAACCAGGTCTCTTTACCCCATTACTGAGGAAACTATGTCAAAACAGGAAAGAAGCACAACTTTAGTCATGTTTCCCTGGTCAACAGCGCCACAAGCAAAGTCCCTGTTGCTCCCACCTGTCAAATCAGTCAACACCATTCACATCAACTAAGTAAATTATTGTGCTTTACTTACAGGGTGTATTACACGAGATGGGCTCTTTCCAATTGCCAAACTATATGCAGACTCATTTGAGCTACTTCATAAAGAAAATTTAGTATAAGAAAATGTGGGGGAATATGAAAATATAAGAAAAATCTCCACAATCAGGCTTCACTGACAACTGCAGCACTGGCCAGGATAAAATAAAATTGGTTCCCAATAGGAAGGAATTCTGGTTGATTATTGTCAAAATTTAGCTTCCCAACTCTGCCCCTATTATGACTGTAGTTTTATTTTACTCTCCACAATAACTACTCTCTTTCTACTACATGATTTCTACTGTCCTGCAGCTTCTGCTTACTACATTCTCTGATATCTCACATTGAAATTCCCTAAGAAAGATAAGATTGATTTAATTCATCATTTACAGAGCTATTGGACAGAGTTCCTGGGCCAGGCCAAGCTATAAGCCACTGGCCTACCTATATATCACTGATGCCAGTTCCTGGTCCAGGTAATTGTGGCAAAGAAGAATGGCTTCATAACAAAGCATAACAACTGATACAAGCCCTTGAAGCCGCATTAGTCAGAAATGAGCTATGGTTGTAGCTTCCACTAAGAGCACTGTTTGCCCATATACATTTGGATTATAAACCAAAATCCTCATTAGATAAATTCAGACTTAAAAATCTGGCCTACCCTCTCCAGGGTATAGTCTCATACTGTCACCCCTATACACAATACTCCTTTCACAGCAGATCCAAAACAGCAATCTCATCTCACACCAGCCCCCATAATTTCTACTCCTGACCTGGAAAACGTAATAGCATCTCTCTCATCAAAATCTTTTCTCTAAATTGAAATTTTCCTTTGACCCAGTATTTATCCCATATTTATCCTATAACGAAGTCTGACACAAGAATTATGCTAGACGAAACTATTCAGATGAAAGATAATTATTTATTATAGAAGAATGATTGTACTAACTGGTACATCCAAACACTTCCTAGTAAAAATACAGGTAAATTTTACTGATCACCATTTATTAATTATTCACCACGTCAGGCACTGAGCTAAGCACTTGACAGGAAACATCACGCATTAGCAAACTCAGGCCCAGAAAGGTTAAGTTCTTATCCAAGATCACATCTAATAAATAGCACAACTGAAATTCAAACTCTATCTCTGTGATGCCAAAGTTCATGTTTTTAACAATTATCCCATACTGTCAATGACTGCAAAGTACAATCATCAACAGGATTTTATAGCATTGACTAATCCTACCTCTTTCCCCACAAAAAAATCTTCCAATGTGCTCTAATGCAATGATTCCCAAAACACTATGCAGTGAGATATCATACAGTAAGAAAGTTCTATGACCAAATAGGCATAAGAAATGTTACAGGCCAGGCTCAGTGGCTCACGCCTGCAATCCCAACACTTTGAGAGGCCTAAGTGGGAGGACCACTTGAGCTCAGAAGTTCAGGATCACCTATTATCAGTAGAAACCTTGTATCTACTAAAAATTAAAATTAAAAAAATAGGCATGGTTGTGTGTGCCTCCACTCTCAGCTACTCAGAAGGCTAAGGTGAGAAGATCACCTGAGCCCAGGAAGTAGAGGCTGCAGTGAAATACGATAGCATCACTGCACTCCAGCCTGGGTGACAGAGTGAGGCCTTGCCTCAAAAAAAAAAAAAAAAAAAAAAAAAAGAAATGCTGTACTAAAAAGAGCTTGGTCAGGCACAGTGGCTCACGCCTATAATCCCAGCACTTTGGGAGGCCGAGGTGGGTGGATCACTTGAGCCCAGGAATACGAGACCAACCTGGGCAACATGGTGAAACTCTGTCTCTATAAAAACTAGAAAAATTAGCCAGGAGAGGCAGGAGGACTGCTTGAGCCCAGGAGGCAGAGGTTGCAGTGAAACGAGATCGCGCCAGTGCACTCCAGCCTGGGTGATAGAGCAAGACTGTCTCAAAAAAATAAAAATAAGTAAAAATAAATTTAAAACAGAGCTCAAACTTCTATATTGTAGGACATATCAGAATTTTTAACATGCCAATCCAAACTATGAATCTCTAAGAGGTATAAATACACACACATACACACACACACACACACACACACACACTTTTTTTTTTTTTTGAGACAGGATCTCCCTCTGTCACCTGGGCTAGAATGAGTGGTGCGATCAAACCTCATTGCATCCTCAAACTCCTGGGCTTAAGCAATCCTCATGCCCCAGCCCCCAGAGTAGCTAGGACTATAGGTATGCACTACCACATCTAGCTAATTTTTTATTTTTATTTTTTAAAGGTAGGGTCTCTCTATGTTGCCCAGACAGGTCTGAAGCTCCCAGCCTCAAACAAACCTCCCACTGTGGCTTCCCAAAGTGCTGGGATTTACAGGCATAAGCCATTGTGCCCAGCCAAGAGGTAAATAAGTAAAGATATTAAGCAGAGTTTCTCATAATTATTTAGCTGAAGTTACCACTCTTCACAGGCCATTGCCTGGAACTCATGTTTTGTGGAATGCACCTTAGAAAATGCTTATCTAGTAAAAAAAAAATTTCACATGACCATCTTTTTCTTTGATAATTTCAACTAAACTAGGACAGTTACTAATCAGTAAATCTTATGATTACTGCTCATCCATACACCACTTCTAGGTGAAAATGTCATGGCCACGCTGAGGGCCAGTGACCATGTTTTGGATCATGTAACTTTACTCCCATTCTGAGATAACTGGACAGAATAGGCACCAAAGGAATATAGCCCATTCACTACATAGTCTGCCTCAAAAAGATTAGTTGGGCAAATAAGATATATCTTTAAAAATGGGAAACAAACAATAAAGCAGAGGGTCCAGAAGAGCCATATAGTGACAATAGGGCAGCAGATGGAAATCACAAAGGAGTAAGAAACTACTAATAAGCAAAGGAACAGAGCAAAGGCCAACAGAAAAAATGAGGGGCAGGGAACAGAGAAGGCATAGAGAAAAGTAAGAGATGGACTCTGTTCACATTTGGAGCTAGTTGTAGCTCCTGGGAACCTAGTCCTTGGACTTCTATGAGATCTTTATTGTACCCTTATAATATTGTACCCCTTTGGATTTAACTAGCTTGAGAAGTTGTCTTTTCCTTGCAACCAACACTATTTAAATTCACACAAGGAGAGTTTAATTTCCTTGTGTGAAATGAAGTAGTACAAGTCAGGTGTTAAGAGCACAGGTTGTAGAGTTAGAATACTTGTAATTAAGCCCACATCTTTTATTGTTAAGATGCAAAATTTGGGGAAAGTTAACTAAAGCCTCCAATTCCCATGTATAAAATGGAAATGAAAGTATCTCCACCTCAGTAAGGCTGCAAGGATTAAATGAGCTGTCTGTAAAGTGCTCTGTACATAGAAAGCACTGAATAAATGTTAGCTATTATTACTACTAATTTGCATGCATTTCTTTTCTCTCACTCAACAGGAAAACCTTGTCCTTAGAACCTAACTAAGAAAAAAGAAAAATCCTATTTCTAGATGTAAACATCTGATAAATATTGCTTTTCAAAAAATGTATTAGTACACTGTAGCCACAAGGCCTTAGCCACAGGGAATCCCTCACCCTTTGTACTTTTTATAGAACTAATAATATTAAATACTCTGAAAATATGTTTGATCTTAACAAAATAATTCTTCCAAAACAGGATAAAAATGTTACATCAACACCAGATATACCTTATCTAAAGCATCAACATTTTTAGAGATTCCGAAACATAACATATTTTAAAGGGCAACAAAATAAGCCTACTTTATAAAATAAAAAATAATTTTTTATTTTGAGATTATTATATTTGGAATAAACATGCAGACCTACTATAATAACAAAAAATTTAAAAGAAAAAATAGTAGCTTCTCTTGAGGACTTTTAATAACACACAATTTCAAATCCAAAAACAAGTGATCTCACTACCATTTATTAGCTGATTTTAACCCAACTAATGCCTGAATCATATTAATTTCACTCCATATATTCGAATAGTTATTTGCTTACTAGGAACAATTTATACTTAAGAAATTTATCTACATCATTCTCTGATTTGGATAGTTTGGGTTCTCCTGCCTGACAGCAAAATAGTTATTCAGATCAGCTTTAGAAATAATATAAAAAATTTTAAAAGGCCACAATAGTTTTTAATTTGCCCCCAACCCATAATGTGTTAATAAAATTAGAAGTCTGCATTATTTGTATTTCAATAAGACTATTACTCATCTTTCATAAGTAATTATGTCCACTAAGGGCACATTTTGGCATATGCAAAGAAGAGCCAATATCTGCAGAGCACAATGCCACACACCTGTAATCCCAGCACTTTGGGAGGCCAAGGCAGGAGGATCACTTGAGGCCAGGAGTTCAAGACCAGCCTGGGCAACATAGTAAGACCCCATCTCTACAAAAAAAATTTACAGGTCGGGCACGGTGGCTCACGCCTGTAATCCTAGCACTTTGGGAGGCCAAGGCGGGCAGATCACGAGGTCAGGAGATGGAGACCATCCTGGCTAACAGGATGAAACCCCCTCTCTACTAAAAATACAAAAAATTAGCTGGGCGTGGTGGCGGGCACCTGTAGTCCCAGCTACTCAGGAGAATGGTGTGAACCCAGGAGGCAGAGCTTGCAGTGAGCCGAGATTGCGCCACTGCACTCCAGCCTGGGCAACAGAGCGAGATTCCATCTCAAAAAAAAAAAAAAAAAAGATTTTAAAAATTAGATGGGCGAGGTGGTGTGCACCCGTAGTCCCATCTACTCAGGAGGTTAAGACAGGAGGATTGCTTGAGCCCAGGAGTCTGACATTGCAGTAGCTGTGATTGTGCCACTGCACTCCAGCTTAGGCAACAGAGAGACCCTGCCTCAAAAAAGAAAAGAAAGAAGGGGAGGGAGGGAGGGAGAGAGGGAGAAAAGAAAAAAAAATAGCCAATATTTAAGCACCACTACGTAAGTAGTAACAACTCTGTAATAAAATGGCAATCCAATTATAAAATAGGCAAATGATCTGAACAGACCCTTCACCAAAGAGCAGAAGAAAAAAACTGATCAACATCATTAATCAGCAGAGAAAACTAGAAATTAAAATCACAATGAGATACTAGTACATATACCTCAAAATGGCTAAAATCAAAAAGACTGACGATGCCAAATACTGATGAGATTATAGAGTAACTGAAATTCTCTTTTTGTTGTAGTTGTTTTGATTTTGAAACAGTATCTCACTCTGTCACCCAGGCTGGAGTGCAGTGGTACCATCTTTGCTCACTGCAACCTCCACCTCCTGGGCTCAAGCAATCCTCCCGTCTCAACTTACCGGGTAGTGGGGACTACAAGCACATGCCACCATACCCAACTTATTTTTATATTTTTTGTGGAGAGCGGGTTTTGCCATGTTGCCCAAGCTGGTCTGAAACTCCTAGGCTCAGGTGATCTGCCCACCTTGGCCCCCCAAAGTGCTGGGATTACAGGCGTGAGCCACTGTGCCCAGCCAACTGCAATTCTCATACATTGTCGGTGGAGACATAAGATGGTATACCACTTTGGGAAAAGATGTGGTCGTTTCTTATAAAACTAAGCATACACCCACCTATAACCCAAAAATTCAACTGCTAGGTATTTACCCAAAAGAAATTAAAAACTACACTCACAAAAACACTTATAAGAATATTCATAGCAGTTTATTCATTATTGCCAAACACTGGAAACAGTCCGGGTATTCATCAATAGAATGGATATGCAAACTTGTTGATTCACATAATGGAATATCATTCAGCAAAAAAGGGAACAAACTTCTAACAAACATAATAATGTGGATATACTTCAAAAACATGCTGAGTGAAAGAAGCCTTACATAAAGAAATATGTGCTATATGATTCCATTTCTATGATGTTCTAGAATAGGAAAAATTAATCTATGGCAGACAAAAAAATCAGAACAGTGACTGCCTCTGGGAGGACAGGGCAGGAAGTGACTCAGAAGGGGCATAATATACTGTATCTTAATACATGTTTAAATTACAAAGATGTGTAAAATTCCAGGAATGTAAATTTAAGATTTATTTCATTATATGTGAACATTGCATCAAAAGAAAAAAAAAGTCCCCAAAATTGCATTATGGTTAATTATATGCATGCCAAACTAGTTTGGGGGAAGATACTGGTATCAATAATTTACTGTGAAATACATCCAAAAAAAGATAGATTAGTGGATGATATAGGAATCAACAGATGGAGTAATATATGATAAAACAGGTATAATAAAATGTTAATTGTACAAAGTGTAGGTAGTACTATACAGGCGTTTGGTATAAATTCTTTCAACTTCGTTGTATTTGAAATTTTTCATAATCAAATGTTGTAGAGGAAAAAAAGCCTCATCCAATCCTTCAAAGTGCAACTCAAAATAAACTACTTCCATGAGCCCTTTCCTGTCACCCTCAGCCTTCTGAACCTAGTCTTACTGTCTAGAGCACTCACCTGGCAATATGATAATTATCTTTCCACAGACATCTCATCCTTATAAAATAGACTATAAGCCTCTTAGGGGCTGCTCTCTGATGCGAGGGTAGAAAAGAGTTTAGTGATCTGTTTATTATGCTTTCTATGTATGTATAAATTATTTTATTTTATAAACCGTAACTTCCAAAAGACAACTGTCAGTCAACTAAAATGTAAATACATAGATGTATATGCATACACTACACACACACATTGAAAGCTAAAAACTTTTAACCAAGTATCCTTGATTTTTTTGAGTCCTTGATTAATGAAATATCCTATACCTGCTGAATTCAACTTAATAGTTCATCTATGCAAAAATAATTGGTTGATGCTTTCTCTAAATGTTCTGCAAAGAGCTATGACACCAGAGGTCTCAGATTCTTTACCTGAGGATAAAAGGATCCTCAGGGAGTCTATAATTTTACTACCATATAAGACGAAAAAAAAACTTGCATTAACAAGTAATGACATTCTTTAAAATTAATAAATATTTTATCAGTGTTCAATACAACATTTAATCCTAAAGAAATTGTACTACTTCCCTGTTTTAAAAAATTATATACAATATACATTTAGAATCTTAAAATCTCCTCCTTATAGATACCTTCTTTCTATACCTATTGAAGGCCAATTGATAAATCATTCAAGAATCTTCTGTTATCCTTTTAAATAAAAAAAATCAGCACAATAAATCAACATTTCAGACAAAAGAAAATAAGCACATTATTCATATTTTATATGGTTTTAATAATAATTACACATTTTTATCCCCCAAAGAAAAATTATGAAGCTGGAAGTATCAGATATAGTAAAAATTCAAGTTTTTTTTTAATTTGTGTGAATTATAATGACATAATGCTGGAAGAAACCACACTTTACTTTCTGTTTAGAGGGGTTGCCCTGACTTCCATGTATGAATGATCAAGAGAATGAATTACAGTCTTCTTAAAACCTTAATGATAACTATGGTTAATTCAAGCTACAATAGGTTAATTACTAGTATCAAGAGACATGCAGTAACTTCTACTAGAATAAACTCTGACCTTTAAATAAGTCAGAGACTCTTACTACTAATAAGTACCTAATTAAACATTAGGTTCCTTATTTATAAAGTGAAGGGTTTGTATAAAATCTCTGCTGTACTTAAGAATAGAAGCCTTTGGCTACATTAGAGAATACTCAACTCCATTCACCCGGAAAAATGACATAGAAGAATATACCATATCAAATGAAAACTTTATCCTGGCTGAAATTAAACTCTCTGGAATATATTAAACACATTTGAACATCCTTACGGAAAAGGTGAGGAAACACTTGAACAGTCCAAATTATCCACTTAAAAACGAAAAAACAACAATATCCAAAAATCCCATCATTCAAGCATTATCTGAGGAAAATTATCCAAACAGGTCTTAACAATAACCTGATAACTACAAAAATATTCATGATTTATAAAGTTAATATTAAAAAATAAGAACTACAAGATAATCCAAGGTGCTTATGTGAATGTGCTTCTGCCTTAGGTAAAGCTTACTAAGGAATATTTGTCAACAGCAGGCAGCTTGGAGATCTTCAAGCTTTACATCATCAAATTCCAAGATGGTTTTACTGCCAAACTGCCCTCTTTATAGCTCTTGAGTATTCCTTATAATGGGGAAGGAATGCTCAGCAACCATAATCTTCCTCCCACTCCTATCAGTAACTGGTACAGTGATACTTGGTCACCTTCTTCTCTAATCCAAATACTCACAATACTTCAGGGAAATAAAGCTCAGCTTCTCATTAGAAAAAATGTTGAGAATAACTGACAGAGTTATAATAAAGATCTCACCTATGTATACTAAAAATTCTTTTAGGGAAGATTATATAGGGAGATGCATGCTTGAAAAGAAAATGGGAGCAGAAGGATAGCATCTAGGCTGCCATCCCATCTTAGTATAATTGCTCATTCAATATTAATTCAATATGTATTTACCAAGGGTCTTCCATGTGCCAGGTATTTTGCCAGGTACTACAAAAAAAATGAGCAGAAAACAGTTCCTACTTTATTTATTTTTTTATTTTTGTTAATTTTTAAAATTTTTATTATACTTTAAGTTCTGAGGTACATGTGCAGAACGTGCAGTTTTGTTACATAGTTATATACATGCTACGATGGTTTGCTGCACCTATCAACTCGTCACCTACATTAGGTATTTCTCCTAATACTATCCCTCCCCTAGCCCCCCACCCCCCGACAGGCCCTGGTGTGTGATGCTCCCCTCCCTATGTCCATGTGTTCTCATTGTTCAACTTCCACTTATGAGTGAGAACATGTGGTGTTTGGTTTTCTGTTCTTAGGATAGTTTGCTGAGAATGGTTTCCAGCTTCATCCATGTCCCTGCAAAGGACATGAACCCAACCTTTTTTAAGGCTGCATAGTATTCCATGGTGTCTATGTGCCACATTTTCTTTATCCAGTCTATTATTGATGGACATCTGGGTGGGTTCCAATTCTTTGCTATTGTGAGTAGTGTCGCAGTAAACATACGTGTGCATGTGTCTTTACAGCAGAATGATTTATAATCCTTTGGGTACATACTCAGTAACAGGATTGCTAGGTCAAATGGTATTTCTAGTTCTAGATCCTTGAGGAATTGCCACTCTGTCTTCCACAATGGTTGAACTAATTCACCCTCCCACCAACAATGTAAAAGCATTCCTATTTCTCCGCATCCTCTCCAGCATTCTGTTGTTTCTTGACTTTTTAATGACTGCCATTCTAACTGGTGTGAGATGGTTATTTCACTGTGGTTTTGATTTGCATTTCTCTAATGACCAGTGATGATGAGCATTTTTTTCATATGCATGTTGGCTGCATAAATGTCTTCTTTTGAGAAGTGTCTGTTCATATCCTTTGCCCACTTTTTGATGGGGTTGTTTTTTTCTTGTAAATTTAACAGTTTCTATCTTTAAAAGCTCACAGTCAAGTGCAGAAATCGGGGGGGGGGAGAGGTGGGGGGGTATCAACACAGGGTATCTTTTTAAAATATGTCAATGAATATACAAACATACAGTCAATATAAAAAATCTAGAGAACTCAATGAAAACCACATGCAGCTTAAATTCTGTGAAACACGCCTAAATATTATGGACTTATGTGAAGAACATATATGCACCTATGTAAATAATAATAGCTGCCTTCTTTTTGAGACAGGGTCTCGCTCTGTTACCCAGGTTGGAGTACAAGTGGTGCAATCATGGCTCACCACAGCCTCAACCTCCCAGGCTCAAGCACTCCTCCCTCCTGCCTCAGCCTCTCAAGTAGATGGGATCACAGGTGCACACCACCAGGCCAGGCTAATTGTGTGTGTGTGTGTGTGCGCGCGCGCATGTGTGTGTGTGTTTTAGAGATGGGGGTCTCATTTTGTTGCCCAGGCTGGTTTTGAACTTCTAGCCTCAAGTGATCCTCTCACCTTGGTCTCCCAAAGTGCTGGGATTACAGGCATGAGCCATCATGCCTGGCAGCCCAACCTGCCATTTTTTTTAGTACTTTTTCGGCTAGGCAGAAGACCTTGCTTATCAGTTCATTTAATCCTCATAACAATCACATGAGGCAGCTACTACTCATACTTTTATCCCAGATTTACAGAGGATAAACTCAGCTCTGTAGTTAAATGATTTGTCCACAGCCACATTCCAATAGGTGGCTAAGCACAAACTCAGGTTGTTTGACGCTAGAACTTAATGCTACTTGTGACCAGTCAATCGCCATGCTACCTCATACAGACCCTCACTGCAGAATTACAGAGGAGAGGACACTATTTGTGCAATTAAAGACCTCTCGGCCAAGGACAGAGCACTGAGACTGTAAAGGACTAGGAGACACTGATCACTATGGGGAGGGGATATCCCTGCATGCAGGACAACAGGACCCAGGCTAGATACGGGTAAATGCAGATTTCCTCTGCTACTGACACTGTTTAGATACCGTGAGACATTCTGAGTATGAAGTTGAAGCTAGTAGCAAACTACTCAAAGATTAAATACAAAGTGACATAAACATTCCTTTTAAAAAAAAATTACTCTGGTGGCAATATGGAACTAGCTAGAGAAGAATTTAACTGAAAGCAAGGAAATAAAGAGATGTCTACACTTGATTAGTTATTTCCTAACAGCTATGATGATGATGACAGTGATGATGATGGTGATAACAGAAGCTCCAATTTTAACATGAGGGATATGGACCACATTTCCCAGGATAAGTTTTGGCCAAAGGAAACGTAGTTGATTTTGGCCTTTAAACGGAAGAGGGTCCGGGCGTGGTTGCTCACGCCTGTAATCCCAACACTTTGGGAAGCCGAGGCTGGCAGATGGTTTGAGGTCAGGAGTTCGAGACCAGCCTGGCCACCACAGTAAAACCCCGTCTCTACCGAAAATATAATACAAAAATTAGCCAAGTGTAGTGGCACATGCCTTTAATCCCAGCTACTTAGAAGGCTGAGGCAGGAGAATCGCTTGAACCTGGGAGGATGAAGTTGCAATGGGCCGAGATCGTGCCACTGCACTCCAGCCTGGGTGACAGTGAGACTCCATCTCAAAAATAAATTAAATTAAATTAAATTACATTAAATTAAATTAAAAAGGGAAGGGGGCTATCTCTTCTTCCCTACTTCCTCCATCCTCCTACTTGGAATATAGATGGGATGGAGCTGAGATGCTAAGTACAAAGCTAGAAGCAGCCTGGTCCAGATGGCTATACAAACCCGAAACTGTCTACACCCAGACTTTAACTTTTAAAGAAATAAGTTTCTATATTGTTTGAGACACTTAAGTCCCTATTACTGGAAGCCAAACCTCTATCCTAACAGAGTGCACTTTATAGTAATCCGAGTAAGAACTGATAAGGGCCTAAACTATGGCAGTGACTGTGAAAACAGAGGAAAAAAAAGATGTGAGAAAATTTTGAGGGAAAAAAAAACAACACTTTGAAGTGAAGGTGAGAGAGAAAGGAGTGTGGCAAGTTTCTGACTTGAGCGAATGGCCAAGGGGAAGAGGTTTGAATGAGCCAGATATGCTTGAACATGCTGCATTTTCTTTTCTTTCTTTTTTTTTGAGACAGGGTCTTACTCCTACTTGGAATATAGATGGGATGGAGCTGAGTGGCTAAGTACAAAGCTAGAAGCAGCCTGGTCCAGATGGCTATACAAACCCGAAACTGTCTACACCCAGACTTTATTCTTCTACAACCAAATTCCTCAAACACACAATCTGAACAGTAGCAGTGAAAGGGAGTTTAAGGTGGGGGTGAGGGAGAAGGGAGTAATATGGTTTTTTAGTAATATAGTAATTTACATTTTCAAAAATCTTCAGTGTTTCACTATCTTAAATGAATATTTATTCTGTTGTTCCTCTCATTTCTTTCCTCCTGTTAAAAAAATGACTTTTATTAACTCCAATCTCATGTGGATTTGGGTTTACTCACGCTAAGATTTGGTAAAACATCTGTCTCCAAAGAAAAACAAGTAACATTCTTTTCAAATTCCCTAGAAGACCGCGTAGGACAAGTATATGAAGCATTTATAAAATTCACTCCAGTCCCAACTGCTACTTTCCACTGTGAATTAATTTTCATACTATTATTGTCCAAGTTTGTTCTGACACTTGATTTCTCTCTGTAAATGTTACTAGAATTAACTTAAGCTAGGAAAAACAAAGGACATAGTTTTACCTACAAGCAGATGTCATTAACTATACAGATTTTTTTTTCCACTTAAAAACTTGCCACAAAACCACTTATTTTCTTTAAACAAGAATCTTCCATTTTAAGTTCTTAAACCTATATTTTAAATTACTATAAGGACAGAATGTTTGCTTGAAGAAAAAAAATAGAGAGATGTCAAGTTCCCAAACAATTTGTTTTCTTCAAATCATGGTATTAGTGAACCTTGTAAATTATTAATACAGTACACAAAAAGCTACAATGGATCAACGAAAAAGATGACATTTATAGAATGGTGTCATCAGTGGAAAATAGCCCTTTCCAGAAACAACACAAATTCTTTCTCCTAACTCAGTCTGTTAGGAAAATCACCAAAAGCCCTTCAACTGTCTACTCAATAAACAATCAGTAAATAATTGTTTACTTCCCAGTGTGTAAAGCATTCTGCTAAAAAAGTAGTAGTCTCTCTGTTGAAAGGACATTTTTTCCAGTTTCAAAAGTTTCTCTACGGATAGCATACTGTGATATATTTGGGCCATGCTCTCAAGGAACTCTTTTTCAGTCTAAAAAAATTAGACAAATGTAAACGGAAAGACCTTGAAATTTTCAGAACTCCAATTCCTTGTTTCAAACATTTCTAGGACACAGTAAAGACCAAAGACAAGCAGCAAAATGTTTCAGAGATGTAATCTGAAGGTCTGATCTCTCTGAACCAGCCCCTTAGCATCTTCGTCTTCATGAAGCTATGCAGTTTCCTCTGTTGTTTCTTAAGCAATACCTCATTAAGTGATTTTTTTTTCCTAATTAAAATCTCCCTGAAGGAAGTAGGTATACTCCCATACTACTACTGAGAGTATAAACTGACACATCTTTCTGCAAGGCATTTTAGCAATATACCTCAAAACTATTCAAAATGTTCTTTTGGCTTTCAGAAACAGCTGGAACCAGAAGTTTAGATAATGTTTCCAGAGCTATGTCTGTCTTTTCATTTTTTGACTATCCTTGCCTCAGCTTGTGTTCAATACTCAGAGACTCTCTAAACACAGTAAGGAAAACACACACTGGCAGCCTCAACTTAATCACAGTATCTTACCTTAGTCATCCTAGTGGGAAAAGATAGGCGTGCCAGTTTGTTCCAAAAGAAAACACCCAAGCTCTAACCGGTCCAGCTTAAAGTAGAGGGTAGGGTAACTAGGACTGAAACTTTCCCTGGAACCGTAGAGAAAAGAAGGCATGGTTCCCAAAGGAAGGGATGCCAGGAAGAAAATTCACATATGTCCATATAAACATACATATCCTTGACCCGGCAGTTCCATTTCTATGATGAAAATGTGGCACTATTATTGTGTACCAGACACTGTTTTACTTTACATGAAATAACTCATTTAATCTTCACAACATCTCTATGAGGTAGATACTACTATTTACTATTATCCAATTTTATGAATGCAGAAACTGAGACAGAAAAATTAAGTAACTTGTCTAAAGCCAGAACTACTAGGAGGCAAAACCAAGAATCAAGCTCAGACTATGTGGCTCCATCCCACACTTTATCTATTTTTGTAGAAATGGGGTCCCACTCTGTCACCTAGGCTAGAGTACAGTAGTGCAATCATAGCTCACTGGAACCTCAAATTCCTGGTTTGAAATGATCCTCCCACCTCAGCCTCCCAACTTGCTGGGATTACAGGAGTGAGCCACCACATCTAGCTCATCCCACACTTCTAACTTTTCTACTACTAAAATTTACTGCCTCTCTATTTGATCCTGAGAAATTAAAAATCAATGCAAAAATCTGGCTAGAACAATTCATCACAGCACTATTTATAACAGCAAAAATTTGGAAATAACAAAATTATCTAACCATGAGATTAACTGATAAATTTATTTACTTTAAATTATATATTAAAATGATAAAAACATTTTGTAGTTAATAAAAATTGATGTTATGTTTTATATATACAAAGTTGTCCCTGGAATAACTCAAGGGTTAGATGCACCAACCCCTGTGCAGTCAAAAATCTACATATAACTTATGACTCCCCAAAAAACTTTACTACTAATAGCCTACTCTTGACCAGAAGCCTTACAGATAACATAAATGGTAGATTAATACATATTGTTAATGTTTATATGTATTATATAATGTATTCTACAATAAAGCAGACTAGAGAAAAGAAAATGTTATTAATAAAATCATAAGAAAACACAGTTACTATTAAGTGGAAGCAGATCATCACAAAGGTCTTCATCCTTATTGTCCTCATGTTGAGTAGGCTGAGGAGGAGGAAGAGGAAGGGTTATTCTTGCTGTCTCAAGGGTAGCAGAGGCAGAAAAAAATGTGTATAAGTGGACCAACGCAGTTCAAATCCATGTTGTTGAAGAGTCAACTGTATATAGAACATGGAAAGCTTCCAATAACATGCAGATAAGTTTTAAAAACACAGCTTATATAAATGGATAGATGCTATAAACATGTTTTTAAGAAGTAAAATGAGGACGGGCGCGGTGGCTCACGCCTGTAATCCCAGCACTTTGGGAGGCCGAGGTAGGCGGATCACAAGATCAGGAGATTGAGACCATTGTGGCTAACACGCTGAAACCCCGTCTCTACTAAAAAACGGAAAAAAGTTAGCCAAGCCTGGTGGCGGGGGCCTGTAGTCCCAGCTACTGGGGAGGCTGAGGCAGGAGAATGGCGTGAACCCGGGAGGCGGACCTTGCAGTGAGCCAAGATTGTGCCACTGCACTCCAGCCTGGGCGACAGAGCAAGACTCTGTCTCAAAAAAAAAAAAAAAAAAAAAAAAAAAGTAGTAAAATTAATTATACATATATACGTATATGGATGCACACAAAAATCTCTGGAAATACATATGTTAAAATGTCAGCAGTATGCCACTTCTTACCCACTGGAGTGGTTATGATCAAAAAGACAGAATAACAAGGGAGTAGCAATTGCAAAACCAAGGACAGCAATCTTGATTCTTTTTTTTTTTTTTTTTTGAAGTTAAGAATTCTTTTAGGTTGTAATATTTTCATGTTAGTTTTTAATCATTTACAATGTTCTGTGGGTCACATTTTAAACATTTTTAAATATATGAAATTCTGTATTTCTTTAAGTACAGCCACAACTACAAAGCAGAGAAACGTAAGAATACAAAAATCAAATCTGCTTCATTTATATACACGATGGGGCAGCCTAATGCACATCATAACATTAACTTTTCCAAAGAAGTTTGCTAAGAATCTGCTCCCATAATTAGTGTTAAAAATAAAGCAATCTTCCCATTTAGAAAAATCAAGACATCAGTTGATTAATAAAGCCTATTCTTCCTCCCAGCAATTTGTACTTTCTGGTCTTCATTTAGGAATTATAAATTCATGAGAAAAGAACAAATTTTTTATGGAATAAATAACTTCCAGGAACAACAGTTTATAAGTATTCAGTTGTTTAAATAAACAAAACTATTTTCCTTCCTAAAATGTAAACATCCAGTAAATGAAACATACATGATATTCCAGGTATAGAAATCTTAGTAACTCACTTATGAAAGAGGTGCATTTTGGTATGTTTGGTGGTAAGGTTTTTGTTTATCTTATGTATAAAAGTACTTGCACAAAAAAACAAGCAGTTATTACTATTTAAAATTCTATTCCTTCACCCAGTTTTCTCACTCAAGTAGAAACTCATGAATATCTGTGATTTTGGCTATAGGACCAGGCCACAGGAAAGGGCTGAAATATCTCTAAAAGTTAGGTAAAAGTGTTTTCTTGAGACTTGAAGGCAGTCATTCATCACTTTGTGCTTGAAGGCATTCCTCAGCAAACTTCTCTCGAGTCTTCAGAGTAAAGCACAGGATCTAGGCTCCCGGAAGGGGTTACTTCCAGCTGGAACACCCACCAGCAGGGCATCCTTGCAGGCATTCTGCATACAGTACTGTTGAAGCTCTGCAGCTGCCTGAGAGACCTTGATCCTCTCCACGCCAGCCTCCAACTTGAGCTGCTCTACCAAGAGCTGCAGGGCGCTCGCGCTAGCCCCGGAGGACATGGCGGCGGCGCTGGGCTCCTAGGGGCTGCAGCAATCTTGATTCTTTAGGAGAATGACAAGTCGTTCACTGTAACTAAGGCTTACTTACTTGCTAGTTACCAGTTACTCACACAATTTCCTTAAGTCTTGCAACAATTTCTTCAATAACTTCAAACCTCATGAGCCACAAGTACAAACAACCCTGGGCAAACACGGTGATTTCACCATACCATTTCTTTAAAATTATTCATTAAAAATAAAAAATACCAGGCCAGGCACACTGGCTTACGCCTGTAATCCCAGCACTACCAAAGTGCGAACTCACCAGTTCAAGACCAGCCAGGGCAACACGGCAAAACCCCGTCTCTACTAAAAATACAAAAATTAGCCAGGCATGGTGGCATGTGCCTGTAGTCCCAGCTACTTGGAAGGCTGAGATTGGCTTGAGCCTGGGAAGCAGAGGCTGCAGTGGGCTGTGATGATACCACTGCACTCCAGCCTGGGCAACAGAGCCAGACCTTGTCTTAAAATAATAATAATAATAATAACATGCCGGGCGCGGTGGCTCCCGCCTGTAATCCCAGCACTTTGGGAGGCCCAGGTGGACAGATCACCTGAGGTCAAGAGTTCGAGAGAGCCTGGCCAACATGGTAAAACCTCATCTCTACTAATAATACAAAAATTAGCCAGGCATGGTGGCACATGCCTGTAATCCTAGCTACTGTGGAGGCTGAGGCAGGACAATTACTTGAACCTGGGAGACAGAGGTTGCAGTGAGCCAAGATCGCGCCACTGCACTCCAGCCTGGGTGACAGAGTGAGACTCCGTCTCCGAAAAAAAAAATAAATAAATAAATAAATAAATGAATAAATAAATCCCTGGAGTGAGCCTTTTTGTAACATGTAAATAGAAGACCGTTTTTAGTTTTTGAATTATTTGATAACTAATTATTCTGTTTAATTATTAGTAGAAAGAACAGACCCATTGTACAAAAGGGAGTCAAATGAAAGGGATAGGACAAGCTTTCAGAAATCATTACTTCAACTTAATTGCACAAGTTAAATCAGCCCAGGATCTAGATGTTTTTGAACTCGAATTACTGTTTTTTAAAAAATTGCTTCAACATTCATGCTTACTAAGTAATAAAAATTGTATCATTATTTGTTCAGATTAAAATCAAACAGAAAAGACTACAATGAATCAATTAAAAATAAATATGAGCACATGCTTCTAAAGAACTTATTTTTCTTTTAGAAGAAACAGAAAATATAAAGCTTATTTAGCTGTGCTTTGATTTGTGTATGAATGTTATGACCATGTTTCTAGGTAACATCAAAGTTTTGTCAATGCTAGGACCATGGGTGGCAAACAGGTACAAAAACAAAGATGTCCCTTCCCACACTGCTGTATGTGTGTATCTCTTCTTCTTGTGCTAAATTATAATGTAGCAGACCAGTTAGTGCTGTAGTTTAAGGCCTTGGATAAGAAATGGAATATCTCCTGAAGCATAGCCCTGATATCAATCATACAGAAAAGAAACAGACATTTGGATGGAAAACTGGAACCAGGAAAATGGACCTCATTAGATAGACCTGACAGGAATAGGTTGTCTGTCTTGCCACCATCTAGGGCCTAGACTTAAGGAAACATGCTGAAAGGCAAGATGACCTTCATCATATGATGGCAGACCACAAACTAGGCAGGGTGGAATCCCTTTAGGAGACTACAGACTGAAAAGGAGGAAACTATACCTTGCAAACCAGACTACTGACTTAAAAGTTATTCTCTGGTTTCATTATCTTTTTATTTTTAACCTTTAGAAAAGTTTTATTTCACTGCTGCAGCTTTGCCTCAGCAAATAAAAGTATGAATGATTTGGCAGTGGGAGTTAGGCCAGAATGTTAAGAAAAAGTGGCACTCCATGAGATCACTGGAGAAATAGAAGAACTGGAGCTTTGAGTTCAAGCCAATCCTTCCCATACAGAGGCAGGCGCTCCTTCCGCTGTCAACCTTGGAGGACTAGGGTTTCATTTTATTAAGAGAATTTTAAAGTTTCTGTTCAGGTACCTAGAACTAAATTCATCGTGACAAAATCTGAAGAGATATGTACTACATTCAAGAGTCAGCAGGTTTCTGTAGTGTTTAAAATTACAGGGTTTTGTTTTATTAAGGGTTTCATTTTATTAAGAGAATTAGAAAGTTTCATTTTATTAAGAGAATTATAAAGTTTCAGCCAGAGTAGTCGCTCACGCCTATAATCCCATCACTTTGGGAGGCCGAGGCAGACGGATCACCTGAGGTCAGGAGTTCAAGACCAGCCTGGCCAACATAGTGAAACACTGTCTCTACTAATAATACAAAAATGAGCTGGGAGTGGTGGTGGGCACCTGTAATCCCAGCTACTCAGGAGGCTGAGGCAGGAGAATCGCTTGAACCTAGGAGGTGGAGATTGCAGTGAGCCGAGATTGTGCCACTGCACTCCAGCCTGGGTGACAGAGCAAGACTCCATCTCAAAAAAAAAAAAAAAAAAGAAAGAATTAGAAAGTTTCTGTTCAAGTACCTAGAAACAAATTCATTGTGATAAGATCTGTAGAGCTATGTACTACATTCAAGAGTCTGCAAGTTTCTGTAATGCTTAAAATTTTTAACAAGTATGTATTACTACTGTAAGTAAAACAGTTTAGCACAGGCACGTCAGTGGAAGCAATATGCAAATGAATATGCAGAAGCATGCACCAGAAATATGCAGCAGAACCACCACCATCCTGGTTATGAATTAAAAGTAAAAACTGGGTAGAAAAATAGATGAGCAGAGTTTCCAAATCACATGGACACCTGAACTCAATAGCCAGGGAGAAAGGATCAGTCCAGAAACTAAGTCCATAAGGAGGTAAAGTCAAATGTGAGTAAAACAAAACACAGTTTATAGAGAAAGGAGACCGAGAAAAGAGAGAGAAGAGAAAAAAAAGAAAGAGAGAACACCAGACAATCAATCTGAAAGCAAAGGCAATTAACCTGGTTCCTTTGAGAGCCAGAACTTTTCCCAAGGTGTTACCCCCATTTGTGCTTGTAACTATAAAAGCACAATATGGCTTTAAAAGTCTTTAGTGGCAAAACTCTAAATTCTAAGACCAAAGTATATTTGATTCTCTGTTGGAGCATCTTGACGGGTATGACACCCATCTCCGCATGACTTCCTACTTACACAAGATAAAACTAAAATATTTTAAGTTATTTGTAGGATGTACTGAATACTGTTTTACTATTCGTGTTCTTAGTTTCTACAGTAAAATACATGTATACCTTACAAAACTAAAATTGCTTTTTACTTACATGACTTTTCATTAACTTGTATTCTACGGTTTAACATTCTTTCATTAATTTAAAAAAAAAAAAAAAAGTATCCCAATCCTCCTCATTTCCAAGGCTGCAACAGAATCTTAAAACAAAACAAAAAAACCAATACACTAGAAGGAGTAAAACAAAAACTGCTTCTTGGGGAACAATTCATTGTTTCAAAATAAATATTTTAACAAAAAATTCTATAGGCTCTATCCATTTTTAATCATACCTACCAGTGAGAGTCTACTAGGTGACTTCTTAAGTCAACATTTAAGAGTGGGGAAAAAAATGTGATGTTTCATTGCTGTCTCTAAATTTATGTGGTATTCATAACACTACAGATTACAACATGCTATACAGGTTTCAACATTTGAAAATTCTCTGGAGTTGTAATCATAGTTAAAAGCAAAGCATTAAATTCAAGAAGCTTGAAAAAAAGCAATGTTTTCTGAGAATGATCTTTTAACAGTGGTCAATTTGCATAGTTTTTTACTTTCTACAAAATACTTTACTGATGAGGGGAAAAATTATTTTCTACCATAATTAGGAATCTGGACTTAACCTGTTATGCCAAAAACAGCAACCATACTTTGCAACAAAAAAAATTTTCAAAAGCATTTTCAATCTTCCTGACTACCAAAGTTTCCACTACCAAAAGTGAAAACACTTTTAAACCTTCCTGTGTAACAAGTTTTAAATTTTCTTTTATTTATTTGTATCAATTTTCTCACCTGTGGCTGCCAAAATATCAAGAATTTCAACTCCAGAGAAGGAGGACAGAAGAAACACAATGTAAAGTGGTTGGCCTAGTAAAATAGTTGGAAAAAAAACTGTTTTGGCTGCTCTAATATAATCTTCATTTATTACTCATTAGTTCTCTTCTTATGGTCCCAATATTCCAGCCAAATTGAGAATCTACTCACTGTTTATCAATTCAGTGCCTTTGCCACTACTCATCTCCACCTCCCAGTCCCCACAATGTATTTATAGACAAAAGTTTTGATTTAAAGCCAGAAAACTGGGTTCAAGTTTCATTTAATCCCTTTTAATTCCATTCATGATCAGTATGAACATGGACAAATTATTTTACCTTTATGCACCTTCAAGGATAACTCAGTGTAACCATGAAGAGTCAATGCAATAATGTGAACACACTCAATTTTTTTAAATGAATGAAGATTCAATCTGATAGTCTCTGCTTGTAAAACAAGTGTATAGAGAAATGTAGGCTGTGACACTAGATCCCAAGAAAGTATCTACTGGTTGTTATCAATATAATAATATGGAGAAAACAGGTGGCACTAGTAATTTAAAGTTAGAACAAGGAACACAACACAAATTTAAGCCTTTCTTAAAACTGTGTAAAACAGGCTCGGTACAATGGCTCATGCCTGTAATATCAGCACTTTGGGAGGCCAAGGCAGGAGGATTCCTTGAGGCCAGGGGTTCCAGGCCAGCCTGGTGAACATAGGGAGACCCCATCTCTACAAAAAACTTTAAAAAGATAGTGCCACTGCACTCCTGCCTGGGCAACAGAGCGAGACCCCATCTCAAAAAAAAAAAAAAAAAAAAAAAAGGCCTGTAATCTCAGCACTTTGGGAGGCCAAGGCGGGCAGATCGCTTGAGCCCGGGAGTTTGAGACCAGCCTAGGCATCACAAAGACTCTGTCTCTAAACAAACAAACAAAAAATCATGCAAAGCTATGTATCTGTCTTCCAAGGAATTCTGAATTTTCTACAGCTTATTTTTCAATGAAGTATTTAGAGTGGATGCTGATTTAACTTGTAATGTTGTGGGAGTGATTCCTATTTCATATGTTTGGCTTTTTGAATAATTTTGTTTGTTGCAAAATTGTTTTTAAAAAATTAAGCCTATTTAGCACTGTTCTATCCAGATAGATTTCCTAATATTTACAAACTACTATTATTATAATAACTGCATGAACCATTGTGTTTGTGGTGAGTTGAATAGCGTTGTCCAAAAATTCACGTCCATCAGAATCTCATAATGTGACTTTATTTGGAAACAGGGTCTTTGCAGATATAGTTAAGGATCTTCTGATGAAAATTATCATGGATTTAGGGTGAGCCCTAAATCCAATGATTAGCATCTTTATAAAAGAAAAGAAAGGGAGATTTGGACACAGTAACAGAGAATGCGGCCATGTGATGACAGAGAAAGAGATCAGAGTTATGCTACCACCAATCAAGGAGCCCCTGGGGCCACCAGATGCTGGAAGAGGGAAAGGAAGGATCCTTCCCTAAATCCTTCAGAGAGACTGAGGCCCTCCTGTCACCTTAACTTCAGACTTCTAGTCTCCAGAATTGTGAGAGAATGGTGTTTGTTTTAAATCACGAGTTTGTAGTAATTTGTTATGGCAACCCCAAGAAACTAGCAGAGTGTTGGAGCTTAACTAAGCACTATTGTTTAAACATTTTAAAGTGAGAATTCTCTGTACTTCCCTGCAATAGTATTAATTTTCCCAAAAGACCCAAACTTTTTTATCTTCTTAGTTAACAATCTTTTTGTTCCTATACTCTAGATCAATCTATACTGTTTGAAATTCATTTAAACTTAAGCAGTTATGTGAAATATTTCCCTAGGCAAAATTAGTTTTTAATTTTCTTTCAAGTAAACAATGAAACCTACAGCTATAACTAAAAACTTATGAAAAATTTTATGATGAAGACATTGATAAGTATATGGGAAAATAAAATTATCAACTTATAAAAGTTATATTTGCCTTCGCAATGTAAATTATGGTAATAACAATTTTAAATAAATAACTTTTACTCAATAAACAACTGCATAACCAACCCCAAAAATTTCGAGAGCTCAGCAATAATAGGATATTAAATCTTATAATATTTAATGATCTCAGTTCTGACCATAATAATGTTTTAAAATTAAGAAATACTGGCAGGGCGCAGAGGCTCATGTCTGTAATCCCAGCACTTTGGGAGGCCAAGGCGGGTGGATTACCTGAGGTCAGGAGTTTGAGATCAGTCCGGCCAACATGGTGAAACCCTGTCTCTACTAAAAATACAAAAATATTAGCCGGGCATGGTGGCAGGCGCCTGTAATCCCAGCTACTTGGGAGGTTGAGGCAGGAGAATAGCTTGAATCGGGGAGGCAGAGGTTGCAGTGAGCTGAGACCGAGCCCCATTGCACTCCAGCCTGGGCAACAAGAACGAAACTCCATCTCAATAAAAAAAAAAAAAAAAGAAATACAATTCCAGCAACACAATGATTTAATCAATGCCTTCACTTTCCTAACAGTTTTTAATAAAAATGATCTTTATCATATTGGGCATAACAACCTATAATATACAAATTAACCTACAATTAGGAAATAAAACTATTCAAAAAGTTATTTCAAGGCTGGGCGCAATGGCTTAATCTCAGCGCTTTGGGTGGCCGAGGTGAAAGAATGGCTGAGGCCATGAGTTTGAGGCTGCAGTGAGCTATGATCGCACTTCTGCAGGCATTCCAGCCTGGGCAACAGAACAAGACCCGGTCTTGTATTAAAAAAAAAAAAAAAAAAAAAAAAGCCAGGCGTGGTGGCTCATGCCTGTAATCTCAGCACTTTGGGAGGCTGAAGTGGGTGGATCACCTGATGTCAGGAGTTTAAGACCAACCTGGCCAACATGGTGAAACCCCATCTCTACTAAAAATACAAAAACTTAGCCGGGCATGGTGGCAGGTGCCTGTAATCCCAGCTACTAGGGAGACTGAGGCAGGAGAATTGCTTGAACCCGGGAGACGGAGGTTGTAGTGAGCTGAGGTCGCACCATTGCACTCCAGCCTGGGCAACAAGAGCGAGACTCCATCTCAAAAAAAAAAAAAAAAGTTATTTCAAGAGGTTAGGTCTCTTGGAATTCATTATTTAGATACTAGTACCTAAAATTTAAAAGCTTACCCTGAAACTTCTTGGCACATATCACCACTATCTTTTCCTAATACCTCCCTGTCTGTTAGTGCTAAGTTTACCTGTAGATTTCCAGTTCTATTATATGCCTACGTGACCTGTCACCTCCCACAGTGTCCTTACACCTGATCAGTGATATGTTTTTTTGTGTTTGTTTTTGAGACAGAGTCTCCCTCTGTCACCCAGGCTGGGGTGCAATGGCACAATCTCAGCTCACTGCAAGCTCCACCTCCCGGGTTCAAGTGATTCTACTGCCTCAGCCTCCTGAGTAGCTGGAATTACAGGCACGCACCACCACGCCTGGCTAATTTTGGTATTGTTAGTAGAGACAGGGGTTTCACCATGTTTGTCAGGCTGGTCTCGAACTTCTGACCTCATGATCCGCCCACCTCGGCCTCCCAAAGTGCTGGGATTACAGGCGTGAGCCACCACGCCTGGCCGATCAGTGATGTTTTAATGTGCATCATTATAGAACACAGTTTTCAGTATCGTTTATCTGAAATGTTTGGCATCAGAATTGTTTCAGGATTCTTTTGGATTTTTAAGTATTTGCATTATACTTACTGGTTGAGCATCCCTAATTCAAAAATCCGAAATCCAAAATGCTCTAATGAGCATTTCCTTTGAATGTCATATCAGTGCTCAAAAAGTTTCAGATTTCAGAGTATTTCAGATTTTCAGATTAGGGATACTCAACCTGTATCTCCAAGATTAACGAAATGACAATTTTAGTTTCCAAAGTACATACTCTTTAGAAGGGATGACTAAGAGCTGGACTGATATATTTGTATCCCAAATACATGTGCTTGAGACCCCCACAACATAAGGAACTTTATTCCTATACATACTATCCCCACTTTCTCCAGCATCAACTGTTCTCATTCCATTGATTTCCACTCTTCTACCTTTAAAATGGTCACATCTATTCCATACATTTTTAAAAACTCTCACTGGATCTTACTAAGTCTGCAATTTAATTCAACAAACATGTTACTGAGAGCAATAATAAGCCAGGCAACTCTGGGATACAAAAAATAGTCTTTTTACCCTGAAGAATAGGCATTCAAAGTTTTCCAACCAGATACTCTTACCTCTCAAAATCAGATTACTGAAACAAATCATCTTAATATGCTGCCTCTACTTCTTATTCTTTATCCTACTAAAATTCTGCAATATGGTTTACAATACAACATTCCAGCTGAAACAATCTGGGCTAAAACTACCCTTGATACAGCATGGTGTACTGCAGTATGGGCATGAGAAAACTTCTATTACAAGATTTGCCACTCAATAGCTGTGTAACTACTCACAGGTAACAACTGGGGATTGGGGGTGGGGGAGGCGGGCAGCCTTCACTGGTTTCTCCTTACCCAAAAATTGGACAGATATAGATTATGTGTACAGTTAACTTTCGGCCCTAAAGTTTTATGAAATGCAAAGCTTTTCATTAACTCCTTATCTCACTGATCGCTATCTGCCACACCTGACACTAAGAAATATTCCTTCACTTTCTATGACTTTTCTGATCTCGCCTTCTTCTGTGTATCTGGATTCAGATTACCCACATGAAGCAATAAACTCAGATTTATAATGGTTTAAACATGTAAGATTATAGCCTTTCATGTCAAAATAAATAAATAATTTAAAAATTCATATTAAAATAATAAAATAAATCCAGAGGGTAGCTATCCAGGTCTGCTATGACAATCCCACTATAAGTCATTAGGGACTCAGGTTCTTTCTAGCTTTTTGCTCTGATATACCTAGGGTTTGGGCCTTACCTACTTGGCCCAAGATGGCTGCTGGGGCTGCAGCCTTCATATCAGAATGCCAGTCTTAGGAAAAAGAAAAGCTAGGAAGGCATACCCTCATCCTTTAAGAACACTTATAGGATACTGCATTCATCATTTCCACTTACATCCAACTGACCAGAACTTATTCACATGTTTATAGCTGTCAGAAACTTGAAACAGTCTCTCTTATGCATGTCCACATGATTATTCAAAACCATCAAGGAGAAGAATCGCCATGGAGGAGAACCAAATGTCTCTTCCAAACTCTCCAAACCCTTCTGTGGTTCCTTTTCTTTTACATCCTCTTACCAATAGTGTTCCCCAAAGCTTGGTTCTCGGTACTTTATTCTTCTGTCTCTATGCCAACTTCTTGGGAACACCTACACAATTTCACAACTCTATATACTCTAATGACTCTCAAGTCTTTGTACCCAGTCCCTACCTGTCCCATCTTTTGAAGTCTCCACTTGGATAGCTGCAAAATAAACACCATTCTATGTCAATCCCACAAACACAAATGAGTAACTTTAAAAGAAAAACATTCTCAATCTTCCAATTTAAGTCATAACATCACAAGTACCCCCAGACCTCCAGGTCTGCAATTTTGAAGTTGCCTCTGACTCCTCTTTCCATTTTCAACAAGCCATGAGTTGCAGGTCATATTGAACTTCTAAAAAGAAATGAAACAAACTAGACTACATGAGGTTTATACAGCATATGACTTGGGGCATGTATTCATCAAAATGACTATGGCCCCCACAACTCTACTATAATGTTCGAAAGTTATCCTAATTATTAAATCCATAAGCCTATTTTTAGTCCTTATTATACATGACATTTTCAGCACATTTGACATTTGTTATTTCCTCCTCCTTGAAATTCTATATACCCAGGGTTTTCCATGATACCATATCATGCTATCTTGGTTCTTTTGCAATACCTCTGACTACTCCTATTTAGTTTCCAGGCTGCCACTGCTTTATCTACCTTTTGAATATTGATTTTTCTCTGAGTACAATTCTGAGGCCACTCTTTTTTTCACTCTTGCACATTTCCTAGGCAATCTCACATTTTTCTTCATATTTGACAATCAGCTGGCTACTGACAATTGCCAAGTTAAATCTCACTTTTCTCCTTACCTCCTGACTCACATGTCTAAACACCTAAATGACATCTCTACCTTGATTATAGACCATCACCTTTCACTCAGCATTTCCTTCCCTCATCCAAATTCATTTCTTCTCCTGAATTCCCTATTTGTATCCATAGCATCATGACACATATTACCTCTCATCCACTCTTTCTACTTTACCCCTCACATTCATTCATTACTAAATTTTACTAATCTGAACTTTCAAATTTCTCTAGCATCCATACCTTCCTTGCCATTTCCACCATAAAAACGTTTGAGCTTTCTCATACTGGTCTTTCTCCCTTCAGTTCATTGCCATTTGAGTCACATTTCTATGTTGTTTCTTGCTTTTTAAGAGCTACCATTTTTCAACAGACCCCACCATCTATAGAGTCAAGGCTCACCATCTATAGAGTCAAGGCTAAATTCTATAGCCTGATATACAGAGCTTTTCACAATTGTCAACCCACTCAAGCATCAAAGCCTACCTCAGTTTCCATCTACTTTCACTTCTCTCCATTCCTGTAACAAGACATTCACATACACACATTTTTCCTCTATGCCTATAATCTCCTCTATCCTCTTTTTCACATAGCAAATGTTTATGCATACCATACAAATTGGTTTAAATATCACCTCTCATAAGAAGTCTTCTCTTTTTCCCTCAGTAAAATGGATCCATCCTCTTGAAATAAGCAATTTATCATTACTTATTTCAAGACCTTATCCACTAATGACTAGGTTAGGGATAGAGTTTTAATCTTTACTCATTTGTATCTAGCCTAGCACTTAGCACAATGCCTGGAAAGCAATAAATAACTGTCAAATCAGTGAATCCCAAATGGTTCTTGACAGGTGGCAACAAACAGCAACTAGAAAATACCAACTACTTCAGGGGAGAAAACTCAGGCTATGTATTACAATGGTTTAACAATAATCAATTATCAATTTTTACAATGTCTCAAAATGTGGTATTTCAGGTGTTATACATAAATTTACATTCTAGCTTGTCTCTCTCATAGTGCTTAAATAAAACTGATTAAATGCCTAAGAAACATGTCGAATGTTCTCTAACATACTTAAACAGACTGATATGAAAAAAAACAAGAACTTCAAATAATTAACATAATTGACTCCAGATGAAATACCACCAAGATACATGAATTATAAATGTATTAATGGACAGAAGAAATAAAAAAAAGTAAAGGCATATAAAATTAACACAGGTAGTCATTATCAATTTTTCTGGACAAATCTCAGTAAAAGAAAGTAAAAACAATAAGAAAAATATAGTTGGCTAAATAACTTCACATATTAGAAGCTAATGATATTTCTTAATTATTCTGCCATAGTTCACAGGCAAAGTCAGAAAAATAAAGTCTTAATTTCAAATTATCAAAATCAAACTATCATAAAAATCAGTGGTTTTCAAGCTATGTTCTCCTCAGCATAACAGCACTATAAGAACACAAAACTGGAAACAAGGTCCAATAGTAAAGTGACTAAGTTAAAATGAAACACTCAAATGATATAATAATACAGCCACTGGACATTATGTTTTTCTAAAATTTTATAAAATAACTTATGTCATTAATAGCTTTTAAAAAGATAGTAAGGGTATCTTTCTATCTTCCTTATAGCTTTTTAAATTAAACTTTTAATTTTGAGATAGTTGCAGATTTACACACAATTGTAAGAATTAATACAGAAACCATATACCCTTTACCCAGTTCCCTCCACT
Organism: Homo sapiens; assembly: GCF_000001405.40. Lineage (NCBI taxonomy): Eukaryota > Metazoa > Chordata > Mammalia > Primates > Hominidae > Homo > Homo sapiens. The sequence continues at coordinate 10,284,175 of NC_000011.10, forward strand.
GGTGACGTCTTGCAAAATTAAATTACAAAATCACCACCAGGATATCATACAATCCACCAATCTCATTCACATTTCCTCAGTTTTACCTATACTCATTTGTGGTTGTATGTGTGTATTTAGTTCTATGCAATTTTATCACACATGAAGATATATGTATCCACCACCCAGTCAAAATATAAAACAATTTTATCACCACAAAAATTCCTCCCAATTACCCTTTTATAACCACATCCACCTCCCACCCTCCTTTTTTATAGCTTTTTCCCCCATATTTTCAACAACTGTGTGTTCATTCCATGTATCTTCCTTAACTACCTATGATGTACCAGGCACCCTTCTTTCTATATAATTCAAATAGCATGCATTAACTCTTTTTTCCAGTTTGTAAAAGAAATTTTTCAAAAGACAAGGGGTTTTTGCTTTTGTTTTTGAGACGGGATCTTGTTCCATTACCCAGGCTGGAGTTTGTTCCGTTACCCAGGCTGGAGTACAATGGCAAAAACACAGCTCACTGCAGCCTCGACCTCCTGGGCTCAAGTAATGCTCCCACCTCAACCTCCCAAGCAGCTGGGACTACAGGCATGCATCATCACACCTGGCTAATTCATTTTTATGTTTTTTTAATTTTTAGTAGAGACAAGGTCTCACTATGTTGCCTAGACTGGTCTCAAATTCCTGGGCACAAGTGATAACCCACCTCAGCCTCCCAATTACAGGTGTGAGCCAACTGCACCCAGCTGACAAGAGTTTTTTTTTTTTAATCCAATTATAAAATATAAATATTTAAAAATTCAACTGCAAGTATTGTTAATTGAAAAGACACTTTAGGAACAAAAATAAAGAGTGTATCATTTGGCCAGTGAGGTGACTCACGGCTGTAATCCCAGTGCTTTGGGAAGTTCAGGCAAAAGGACTGCTTGAGGCCAGGAGTTCAACACCAGCCTGGGTAACATGGTGAAACCCCATCTCTACAAAAAATAAGAAAATTAGCCAGGCATGGTGGCGTGCACCTGTAGTCCCAGCTACTCGGCAGGCTGAGGTGGGAAGATGAACTGAGCCTGGGAGATCAAGGCTTCAGTAAACTGTGATTGTGCGACTGCCTTCCTGCCTGGTCAACAGAGTGAGACGAAAGGAAAGGAAAAAGAGAAGGGAAGGCAAGAGAAGGAAGAGAGGGGAGAGGGGAGGAAAAAGGGAGGGAGGGACAGACTTTCTAGAATTAGAAAAAAAAAAAATCTCAATAATACTGAGGCAGGAGAATAGGACCTGGTGGCAGGGAACCTAAGGACTTCCTAGAACTAAATCAAACAGAAAAACCCCAACTTTCTACATCCAAGTAAATAATTGTGTAATTTCCCTTCAGCTATGTCAGGAAACATCCTCTTTATTTGCATAGGGTGTACACCAAGTAAATAACTTTGTAACTTCACTTCATCCTCTTCATTTACATAAGGCATACACTGCATAACCAATGGGAATCCTCTAGAGGGTATTTAAACCCCAGAAAATTCTGTAACCAGCACTCTCAAGCTGCTTGCTCAAGCCCATTCCCACCCTGTGGAGTGTACTTTCATTTCAATAAATCTGTAATTTTCTGTCATTGCTTTGTTTGTGCATTTTGTCCAATTCTTTCTTCAAAACACCAAGAACCTGGACACCCTCCACCAATAACAGTAAGAAGTCAAACAACCCAATAAAAAAGAGCACAAATTTGATCAGACACTTTACAAAAAAATACACAAATGGCAACAAGCACCCGAAAAGGTGTTCAGCATTATTAGTCACCAGGAAAACGCAAATTAAAACCACAAATGAGGTATGTTAAGAGAGTAGATCTTTTTTTTGGAGAAAAAAGCCTGTTGCCCAGGCTGGTCTCAAACTCCTGGACTCAAGCAATCCACCCACCTCAGCCTCCCATAGTGATGGGATTACAGGCGTGAGCTACCACGCCCAGCCAAAAGAGATTTTAAATTTCTTCACATAAACACGCACACGCACACACACACACACACACACACACACACGGTAACTATGTGAAGTGATGGATATGTTAATTACCTTGACTGTGGTAATCATTTCACAATGTATACATAAAACATCACGCTGTCCACCATAAATATATATGATTTTTATTTGTAAATTATATCTCAATAAAGCTAGAGGAAGTTTTTGTTCTTTGGTTTTTTTTTTTTTGAGACAGTCTTGCTCTGTCGCCAGGCTGTAGTGCAGTTGTGCGATCTCGGCTCACTGCGATCTCGGCTCACTGCAATCTCTGCCTCCTGAGTTCAAGCCATTCTCCTGCCTCAGCCTCCCACGTAGCTGGGATTACAGGTGCACGCCACCACACTCAGCTAATTTTTGTATTTTTAGGAGAGACGGGGTTTCACCATGTTGGCCAGGATGGTCTCGTTCTCCTGACCTCGTGATCCACCCACCTTGGCCTCCCAAAGTGGTGAGATTATAAGTGTGAGCCACGGCACCCAGCCTGTTTTTGTTTTTTGTTTTTTTGTCTTTTTAGTGAAGGCAAGTTTATTAGAGAAGTTAACAAAAAATGGCTACTCCACAGGCAGAGCAACCAAAAATATTTTTAAGTAATAAATTAAATTTAAAAAGAATAACTGAAACTCTCATACATTGCTAGTGAAAATGTAAAATGGCACAGCCAATTAGAAAAGTTTGTCAGTCTCACACAAATAAGACACTTATGACCTAGCAATTCTTCTCCTACGTATTTACCCAAGAGAAATAAAAACATGAACATGAAAACATTCAAAGATCTGTATGCAAATGTTCAGAACAATTATGTTCACCATAGCCCAAAACTAGAAATTCAAGTGTCCTTCAACTGGTGAATGGATAAATCGTATCATACTAAGCAATAAAAAGGAACAACTGCCAATAAATTCAACATAGATAAATCTCAACTGTATGATCCTAAGTGAAAAAAGTTAGACACAAAAAACTGTATACTATTTATATGACATTCTAGAAAAGACAAAAACATACAGACAGAAAACAGATCAGTGACTGCCAGATGCTAGAAAGGGAACTGACTACAAAGAGGCATGAGAGAACTTTTTGGAAGCATGAAAATGTTCCCTATCTATCTATCTATCTACCTATTTTTAGAAACAGAGTCTCAATCTGTCACTCAGGCTGGAATACAGTAGAGTGATCATGACTCACTGCAGCTTCGAACTCCTAGGTTCAAGCAGTCCTCCCATCTTAGCATCCGAAGTAGCTGGAACTACAGACATGTGTCACCACGCCAGGCTATTTTTTTTTTTCAAAGATGGGGCTCACCATGTGGCACAGGCTGGTCTCAAACTCCTGGTCTAAAGCAATCCTCCAGCCTCAGCCTCCCAAAGCATTGCCATTATAGATATGAGCCACAGCGGCCAGCCCTATATCTATATCTTGATTGCAGTAGTGGCTACACTAATGTATGTATTTGTCAAAACTCACTGAAATGTTCACTTAAAAGAGTAAATTTTATTGCATGTAATTTATACTTTATTAGATATTGTTATGGGATCTTTAGGGTGTCACTTTTCTGGCCAGAAACCTGTGGCTGGTGGCACCTCTGCCTGAGTTTTGCTCAGACCTGCTAGCCTCATTCCCACCCACTCGGCCTTGTAGGCTACACTCAGCTCACGCTACCAGCCTGGATCCCATGCCTCCAAGAAAGACTGGAGTCAGGCGTGGAGTGGTGAGGGGTGTGTAAGCGAGCGTACAGTCTGGCCATTGCCCAGTCAGACATGTCAGCTGCTGCCACAGGGTGGGCAGCTCCAGGTGCTGGCATAAGTGCCAGCTCTCTGCGAGGCTGTGGCTGGACCAGTTGCACCACAAACAGCTTCCCCGGCCGGCACCGGGGAATGTAGTGGCACTCAGAAGCTTGAAGATGCCAGGAACCACAGGGCCCCAAAGAAGGAGTCACAGCCCTAGCTTGGGGAGCTCCCAGGTCTGGGCTCCCAGAAGGGCCACAGCTCTTATCTCCCTTCCTTCACCTGCAACATGGTGAGCAAGGGGCATGTTTCAGCTCTGCTTGTGTTAGAGCTCTTTTACCCTCACCATTCAAGGGTCCCAAGTTCTTGTTCTGTGACCAGGAAGAATGAGGTCCTCAGACAACAAATGGAGGGTGAGCAAGACAAAGAGGAACTTTACTGAGCAATAGAACAGCTCAAAGACCCACAGTGGACAGCTCTTCTCTGTAGCAAGGGTATCCTGATGAGTGTTCAGCTCCTAGCAGAGAGGGTAGCTCCTTTATGCAGGCAGGTCACCCCAGCAAGTATTTTCTCAGCAGTGAGAGTGGCTCCTCTCTGCAGCTGGTCATCCCAACAGGTGTTCAGCTATCAGCAGAGAGGGCAGCTCCTCTCTGCAGCTGGTTGTCCTGCTGTCTGCAGCTCTCAGCAGAGAGGTCCTAGACTAGAATGGGTGGCTCCTCTCTGCAGGCAGATTGTCCCATCATCTCTTCAGCTCTCAGCAGAGAGGAGGCCCTACAGTGGGAAGCTCCTCTCTTTAGGCAGGTTGTCCCATCATCTCTGCATCTATCAGCAGAGAGGGTAACTCCTCTCTGTAACTGGTTGTCCCATCATCTCTCCATCCTCTGCTCTGCTCTGGGCTGAGCCTGCAACTTTTATGGGCCTCAGAGGGGACAAAGTGCACACCAATTGTCCATAGGTGGGCCCAGAAAAGGTACCACAAGTCCTCGCTCTAGTCCATAGGACTGGCAGCTGGGCCCCCAGTCTTCAAGCCCTCCCCGGCCTGAAGGTGGGGCCTCACCAGAGACCTGCCCCCTTCCGCCATCCACGACGCCCAGGCTTCTCGCTTCAAGGGGTACCTGCAGGCCAGCACCAAACCTCCCTCAAACCCCTCCCACGGTGCTTGTCAGGGCCCAAAGTCCAGAGGGGGCTGAGGAGGCAGGGGCCCAGTGTGTCAGCGCTGACCTAAGTGTGTACACACCCGGGGGCGCTGTGACAGCACCCTGGCTTGGCCCCAACCCCGCTCCGAGATTGGAGCAGGCGCCTCCAAGCCTACAAGGGCAGGAGGGATGCCTTCCCTGGCCCCTGAGAGTGCAAAGAGGCCTTGGTCCACAGCCCCAGCTTGGGCAGCTGCAGCTGTGTGGGGTGGGGGGGCCTCCTGCTCGTGGCCCCTTAGAACACAGGGAGAACTGGGTCCACAGCTCTGACTTGGGTGGCTGCAGCACACCCAGGAGGGCGGGGCTGCTGCCTGCTCCAGCCAGGTCCGTGGAGTGTGCAGCCCTAGCCATGCCCCCTCGTAGCCTGGAGCAGGGGCTCCAGGTCCTCGCTGGGCCCAGGCCAGTATCTAGGGCAGAGGTAACATCTCTACGAGCTCCCCCTCACCCAGCTTGTGGCCCTGCCTAGGGGGGTGCCTCCAGGAGCAGACTGTGGGCCCTGGGCCCAGCCCTTGGGAGTGTCAGGCCTGGCAATCACCCTGATGCAGGGTGGACCCCAGGGATGCGGCCCTAGGCGGCCCTGCTCAGAGCCTACCCCTGAGGCACAGGAACCCGGTGCCCTCGGCAGGGTGGGTGTGGTGACCACGCTGCTGGCTGGGTCCCTGAAGCAGGCACTGCTCCCACTTCCGGCCCCAGACCCCCATATCACACCTCCAGCTCCGCCTCCTCCTCACACCCTCCCCGCAGCATTGGTGGGCAAGAGTGGTGACACAGGGCCAGGGTCAGGAGCTGGGGAGGCTCCGGGCCTGAGGGCAGGTCCTGCCCAGAGGCACAAGGGCGGGGGCAGTACAGTCGGCTGCCTCAGGGATGCAGGGCACAGGGGACCCACCAGCATCATTGCTGCTCCCATAGCCGCTCCTGACACCACCGCCCGCACCTCTTCGCTGCCATCAACATGACAAAAGAAGAATTATCCCAAGTTAAAAAGTTATACATTTCACTGTTGACATTCTACAATTTATACAAGCTTCTGGATTGTATTACTTAAAAAATTAATCTTCCTTCTCCTTCCCTTTTCCTGCTGTGAGAAGAGCAGTTGTCATGGTACCCCTGGGGTGGAGGTGGATCCCTGGGGTGGAGCTTGTCATATTGTCATAGACCAAGAGAGCTAGGGAAGGAGTCTGTGTGGTAGGGGAAGAGGCAAACATTTTGCTTCAGAGCCCAAGCATTAAGGCAGGAGGGGGAAACTGGCAAAGGGCACTGGGGTACAACAGAGTGAGAAGGATATCTTCCAATGGAAGCAACTCACTGGGGTGTGTCAGAGTCTGAGTGGGGTACGAAGTGTGTCCACCGACAGTGGGGAGACCAACATGAGGAGTCATAACCAGAGTGCTGGGGAGGGTGTCCCTGTATGGAAGCATGCTGGTATGGACTCTTAGATCCAGACTGGGGTAGGGGGATGGAGGAGATGGAATGAAGAATCCAAGTCCCAGCAGGGAGAGGAGTAGATGGTAGTGAAGATGGGAGACTGAACAATAAGTAAATACATTCAGGATAACAGAAGCCAGATTTCTCACTGTCAGAGAAGAACGTTACAATATGAAAAAGGAGAACACTAGAATAGATCCTGGACTATTTGACTGAAATTGGAGGTATCAGTATGAATTCATAGTTTTCAATATACAGAGATAATAAATAAATATAGATATAAATGCATATGTATGTTTATGCATACATACCTATACTTACCAGCCCTGACCATTAACAGGACCTGGAAGGAGTAACAGCCCAACAGCAATAAACACACTAGCCTTGAGATCTTAGCTTCTAAATGTCATTCTCCACTAAAAGGAACCAGGGATCCCTAAATGGCTGATTACAGAACCAAGGCATGGAAAGTACAAGATGAGCCAGGAACAGGTTCTTGTGCCAAAAAGTACAAAGTTGTTCTCAAAGAGTGATGGGGATGTACCATAAGAACACAGAAGCCAGCTTGTACAACTCTCATTGGCCATATAAAGAACAATTTGAACATCAAAATAAATAATGCTATAGTCTGAATGTGTATGTCCCCTCCCAAAATTCGTATGTTAAAATCCTAACACCCAAAGTGATGGTATTATGAGGTGAGGCCTTTAGGAAGTGATCAGGTCATGGTGGTGGAGTCCTTGTGAATGGGATTAGTTCCCTTTTTAAAGAGACCCCAGAGAGCTCATTTGACCCTTAAGCCATATGAGGTTAAAGTGAGAACATGGCTATGAGGAAGCATGTCCTCACCAGACACTGAATCTGTCAGAGTCTTCATCTTGGATTTCTCTGCCTCCAGACTGTGAAAAATAAATTTCTATTGTTTATAAGCCACCCAGTTTGAGGTATTTTTGTTATAACAGCCCGAATGGACTAAGGCAAATAGTAACAGAATATAATCCGCGAGCTCCCCTTTCTGGTCTCACTTCGGCTGGATGTGCTTAGACTCTCCTATTTCCCACTCAAGCCAGTGCTTCGGGCAGGTGGGCTAGTGACTTTTTCCGAATAGACTAAGGCAAATAGTAACAGAATATAATCCACTAAACACACACACACACACACACACACACACACACACACACACAGACTCCATGTAGATGTCAATAAATGATTAAGAGTTTAGTGAGGAACAAGATATTTACATAGTTTCAAAGTACATGGCAAAAACAATTAAGTATTAACTTTACAGTGGAGAAGCCTCGCAGATATTACTTATATCAAGTAATCAAAGTAAAAATAACCAACAATGAAACAAAGTGAAATTGTGCACCACCTGACAGGATGCAGTGAGCATCACTTCTGTGATATCCTTCCCACGTGCATATTCGTATGTATCTAATCATGAAGGAACAGACAATCCCAAATTGAGGGGGCAGCCTACAAAGTGACTGACCTGTAATTGTTAAATATGTTAAGGTCATGAAAGTCAGGAGAAGATAAAGGAAATGTTCCAGATTGAGGGAGACAAAAGAGACATAACATGAATGCAACACATATTGCTAAACTGGATCCTTTTGCCAGTAAAGAGATTACTAGCACAATCAACAAAACTTGAACCAGTCTGAGAACTAGATGGAGTACTGTATCACTATCCATTTCCTGTTTTGGTTATTACACTGTGATCATGTAGGAGAACATTCTTGTTTGCAGAAAATGCACATTAAAGTATTCTGGGATGACAGGGCATCAGGTCAACAGCTTCCTCTCAAATTGTTGGGGGGCGGGTAGAATTTTTTGTACCATTCTTGCAACTTTTTTGCAAGTCTGTTATTGTTTCAACATTGTTGGCCGGGCGTGGTGGCTCAAGCCTGTAATCCCAGCACTTTGGGAGGCCGAGGCCGGTGGATCACGAGATCAGGAGTTCAAGACCAGCCTGGCCAGGATGGTGAAATCCCGTCTCTACTACAAATACAAAAATTAGCGGGCGTGTTGGCGGGCGCCTGTAAATCCCAGCTACTCCGGAGGCTGAGGCAGAGAATTGCTTCAACCCGGGAGACAGAGGTTGCAGTGAGCCAAGATCGCACCACTGCACTCCAGCGTGGGCAACAGAGCAAAACTCCGTCTCAAAAAAAAAAAAAAAAAAAATTGTTTAAAAGTGGGGAGGGGGGGAGGCGGAACAATGTCACTAAAAACTAAAGGTTAAAAAACTGATTTCCCACACTTAATCTTGATAGAAAAGAAACATCAGACTATGCCAAATTACTAGGAAATAAAATTTTGGATCCAGAAGTTTAAACATTTAAACTTTCTCTTTAACAATTGACCTCAATCAGGTCATGACTGGTGAAAGAGAAAAGAACATGAAAGGTTCCCACTAAAGGAGAGGAAGTTCTTAGGAGAGGAATAATGAAAGAGAGAGTGGACCAAGAGTGGGTAGAACAATGGTATTCTGAGCTACCAATGGCTGTAACCATCAGGAAAACACAATCTCAGCATCTCTGAAAAATGAAGGGGCTGTAGAGCTGATATCTCAAATTCCTTGCAAATGTGGGACTAGAATTGCCCTAAAATAGAAGTGGTTTCCCAGCTCAATTTGTTATTACATTATGCTTAGCTACATAGTAATACAAGAGAATACAAATACAGAAATAAACGTGCATGAACCCTGAATTCTCTTAAGTTGTGGAAGTCCGTCAATTAAAGTGTAAAATACAATGCATTTGCCCAATTGTTCCTTACGACGAAAATTCTGTGACAAATAAAAAGAACAATGAAAACACATTAAAGTGAAACAAGATCACCTTCAGCGGTCAGCTGGCTGTCCTTAGTTAAAAGACAAGTCATGTCACTGTGAAGTGACCGTCACATTTGTCCTGAAAGAATAGGGAGCATTTCCTAGAAAGGGGTAAAAGTGCAAAGAATCCTGTCCCCTTCCCTGGTACCACGCGTTCCTTGGGGAGGTCACTAGGCCCCCAACAGCACAGGGGTGAGTTAGCACTGGACTCTCAGCACTTCCTTTCGGAGAGGACAACCCCCTGCGTCACTGGTTACTCACTCAGGATGCAGGGCAGAAGTTTATCCCCGAGGAACTTAGCACAGTTGGCTCCCGCCCTCCCAGCCTTGCGGTCCTGGGCCCAATCTCAGGGCTCTCTCTGCCCCGGGTACCCTGCAGCCTCCAGCGGGAGGGTCGCGAGACCCCAACTCGCCTCCGGCCCGCCCAGCGGGTGCGCCCAGGGGCTGGGCAGACGCGGCGTCTTCCCTCCCCCTACCGTCGTGCCGGCCCCCCCACGCCCACCGCCAGGCTCAGCCCAGCCGAGAAGGCCGGACGCCGACCGCCCGCTCCTCCGAGACTCGGCCTGGCCCTCCCCGACGCCCGTCCCCGACGCCCGGCCCCGCGGAGCCCACTGGACAGCGGCCGGGGGGCGGGGAGGCCCGGGGGCGGTGCCGCCCCACACCCTTACCTGGCTTCTCGTGGTCATAGCCTACCACGATGAAGTAGTCAGCCAGCCGGGCCATGGCCGCCGCCGCCGCGCTCGGGAAGCGGGTCCCCGTCGCCGCCCTCGCCGCCGCCGCCCACCCGGCCCGGGAGGGCTCAGCATTTTCCCTGCAGCGGCAGTAGCGGCAGCGGCAGCGCTTCAGCCATGTTTGACAACCGAGGCGCGCTCTGCGCTTGCGCGGCGCCTAGTGCCCGCTCCTCCCCCGCCCCCACCCGCGCTGGCTCGGCTGCCCCAAGCCCGGGCGGCGAGCCCACCTCCACCCTCCGCGGGCCTCGCGGACTGCTGCGCTGGGGGAGTGGGCGGTCGGGCGTGTTCCCGCCACGCGCCGCCACCGCGGCCCCTGGAGGTGGTTCACTTTGAGGCCTGGATGCTGCTTCACGGCCCCCTCTGCCTCCCTATTTTTCCTAAAGCAGGGGGTCCTTCCTTCCGCCTTCTCTATTCTGTTTGGATTTGGAAGAAGGGATGTGGAGAGTTGAGGGGTCACTTGGAAAGCTGGCTGCTTCCTCTGCTCCCCACCACCACCAAAGATGAAATTCTCCCGCCCTCGGTTGGAAGCAAGGAATTTGCATCGACAGGGCTTTTGCTGCACGTTTCCTGTTTATGTTGTGTAGATGGGAATTTTAGAAACATGCCACCGAGCAGACGGGGGAGGGAGAGGCTTTTACGCAATCCTCCAAGGAGCCTCGGGTTTCAATGCCGGGTGGGCCGGGGGCGGTCGGCCTGGGCTTCCCCCGGAGCGCCCGGGAGAGCCAGATTCCACCGAGGAACGCGGCATCCCCGGGATCCTCCCGAACTGGGCTGGCCTCTCCCTGGGGAGCCCCGCACGCCTCGGCTTGCTTCCCTCGCAGCGGTCCCAGGGCTCTCGCAGCCCGAGCAGGTGGACTTCCAACTTCCCTGCTCAAACATGCACAAAAATGAATAGATGGTCCCGTCCTTCCGTCTCGGGATTATCAAAGTCGCTTGCTTTTTTGTTGAACCTCCTATTGACCATTTCGAATTTGGCTGGTGTGACATTCAGGTGAACTCACTTTGTCATTTGTTAATATCTCACGAAGTTTTAGTAGAATTTGTACAAGTGGTAGACCAAAGTTTTGGAAATCTCCGTGGTTTAGAAGTTGTCTTTGTGGTTGCTTATCACTGCTCACTATTAATTGAGGGTTTGATCCTTCATATTTACACATAAGACAAGGCCTCTTAGCAAAGCGTCTAGTATATAGTAGGTGCCTACAAAATATTTTAAATGAGTAAATGTGCGATTTTCCCCAACGACCAGCAGGAAGCCGCAATGGCTCCAACTCTGAACTGAGAGAGTTGACATCTCAGCTCCTGAAGATTTACTCTGCTGTAATTTACTATTTCCCCTTTCTCTGCCACACTTGTTTCATCTACAAATTGGGAGGGTTGGGCTGCACTAGAACTGAAACTGAAGGAATACTTTAACTCCAGGACCTCTATGTCAGTTGCTAATGGTAAAACTGAATCAGCTGAATTTGCAAACGTGGAGGGAAGATAGTTTGATCCTGAAAATAATTAAACCAAAAAAAAAAAAACCTCAGTCATACCCCGTGCAGCAATCCTCTCTGTAACTTCCCTGAGAGCTCATCATCCAACTTGATCACTTTCAGTAAAAAGTAATCTTACTTCCTTGGGAGGCAGCGCATTCCACTGTTTAACAGCCCTATTGTTAGAAAGTTCTTCCTTATTATTTCAGAGTTGTCTTACTGTAACTTCCCCTGATTCTGCTCTCCGGAACTATCCAGAAAAAAAAAATCTATCTTCATATGATAGATTTTTAAGGCAGCTATCATATTCCTTCCCAACTTTTCTAAAAATAGGGCAAAATTCACATATTGTAAAATTAGCCACTTGAAAATGTAGAATTCAGTGGCAATTAAGTACATTCCCAATGCTGTACAACTACCATGTCTATCTAGTTACAAAACATTTTCATCACCCAAAAGAAAACCTCACAACCATTAAGCAGTCATTCTCATTCTCCCCTCCCACAGCCCCTGGCAATCACCATTTTGCTTTCTGTCTCTATGGATTTACCTATTATGAATATTTCATATTCATATCATACAATATGTGGGTTTTTTGTGTCTTGGTTTTTCTCACTTAGTATATTGTTCTCAGCTTGTTTACGGGCAGATACAGTACAAGGTTGTAGCATCACATTGAAGTATCAATACTTCATTATTTTTTATGACTCAATAATATTCCATTGTATATTGTGTTAGACTGTTCTCACGGTGCTAATAAAGACATACCCGAGACTAGGTAATTTATAAAGAGAAGAGGTTTAATTGACTCACAGTTCCACATGGCGGAAGGCAAGGAGAGCAAAGCGGCAGACAAGAGAGCTTATGCAGAACTCTCCTTTATACCATCAAATCTCATAAAACTTATTCACTATCACCACAACAGCAGGAGAAAGACCCGCCCCCATGATTCAATTACCTTCCACCGGATCCCTCCCATGACAGGTGGGAATTATGGGGTACAATTCAAGATGAAATTTGGGTGAGGACACAGCCAAACCATATCATATGTATATACCATATTTTGTTTATCTGGAACAACCCATATGGACATATGGGTTGTTTCCACCTTTTGGCATTGTGAATAGTGCTGCTTCAAACATGCATGTACATGTATTTGAGTACCTGTTTTCAATTTTGGGGATATATTCTTGGGATTGGAATTACTGGATTAAGTAGTTCTGTTACTACTGTTTTCCACAGTGGCTGCATCATTTTACATTTTCACCAGCAATGCACTAGGGTTCTGATTTCTCTGCATCTTTGTCAACTCTTGTTTTCCTGTTGTTTATGTTTTGTTATAGCTATCTTAGTGTGAAGTGATATCTCATTGTGGTCCTGTTTTGCCTTTCCCTAAAGACTAATGATGTTGAGGATCTTTTCATGTGTTTATTGGCCATTGCTAAATCTTCTTTGGAGAAATGTCTATTCAAGTCCTTTGCCCATTTTTTAATTGATTCTTTGTCTTTTTGAGGTTGAGTTGTAAGAGTTCTTTATATATTCTGGATACTAGTCCTTGTCAGATATATGATTTGCAGATATTTTCCCATTCTGTACGTTGTCTTTTCATTTTCTTTTTAAAATTGTTATGCCCTATTCCCCCCCCCAAATATTTCCTATTTTTATTTTATTTTTCATTTTATTTTTATGTAGAGATGTTGTATCATGATGTTGCCCAGGCTGGTCTTAACCTCCTGTCCTCAGGCAATCCTCCCACCTAGCCCTCCCAAGGTACTAGGATTAGAGGCATGAGCTTCCACACCCAGACTTCATTTTCTTGATAATGTCCTTTGGCTCAAAAAAGTTTTTAATTTTGATAAAGTCCACTTTTTTAGTTTGTTTCTATGCTTTTAGTGTTATATCTAAAAAATTATTGCCATATTAAAGGTGAGATGAAGATTTACTGGTTTCCTTCATAGTTTTAGCTCTTTAGTACTTTGACCCATTTTGAGTTAATTTTGTAGTGGTAAGGGGTCTTGTTTTACCTTTTAAATGTCTTGGCTTTTATTTCATTTGCAAGTACTCATTTAAATTATTTTAATTTTTTAAAATCAAAGTTTATTGTTTTTAAGCCTAGAATCAAATGCTATTCTGCTTTTAGGCATATTTCATCTGTTACTGTCATAAGTAGACTTCCAGTCCATTTGCAAATGCCCATTTTGTCACACAGAGATTTTAACATATCCTAGGTACATGTAGAAAGGCACTGTGTGTTTGTATATACATGTGAACATATTTTGTATACACTAAAGCTGTGCTTTGCTTCTCAGCCAACAGCTGCCAGCCTGTTGAAACTGATAAGCCCTGACAAGGCAGCCTGATTACTGAGGTTGGCTGAAAGCCAGACCATCCCCTACAATAACCACCATCACCTTTCACCAAAGAGAGAGAGAGTAAAGCAAGCCCAGATTTGTTTTCCTGAAGGCTGATGGGAGCAGGAAGGGAAGAAGGGTATGTAACACTATCATGATGTGTATGTGGCAGATACCTTTCTTTTTTGCTTTAGAAGACGAAATAGATGGAATGCGGTGGCTCACACCTGTAATCCCAGCACTTTGGGAGGCCGAGGCAGGTGGATCACCTAAGGTCAGGAGTTCAAGACCAGCCTGACCAACATGGTGAAACCCTGTCTCTACTAAAAACACAAAAATTAGCTGGGCATGGTGGCAGGTGCCTGTAATCCCAGCTACTTGGGAGGCTGAGGCAAGAGAATTGCTTGAACCCAGGAGGCAGAGGTTGCAGTGAGCCAAGATCGCGCCATTGCACTCCAGCCTGGGCAACAAGAGTGAAACTCCCGTTCAAAAAATTAAAATAAAAAATTTTAAAAAAGACAAAATAGAGCTAATTATCAGTGAGCAAGGCTTATCAGCCCATTGCCCCTAGTGGGCTATTGCGGAGTAAGTGGTTTGATCTGTACAGTCATTTCAAGTGCTTGCTGTGGTTAGCCACAGTAGTTCAAGGAGGCAGTATGAGAGTCAGACTTGAGCAAACATCACCAGGCAGGGCTGAGGCCTCTTCAGATCGTCTCTACCAAAGCATAACAAAGGAGACTATGCAGCTGTGGTGGAAAATTCCCTGATCCATTGCTATATTTTCAACCATTTAGTTCCCTAAGCAAGAAATTTAATGAATCTTACCCTTGACAGCTGCCTCTCAGCCCCACATTCATCACTCAGTCCTATTGTTCCTACTTCCCAAATATGTCCGCTTCTCTCCACCCTCACTGCCACCCCACTAGTTTGAGCCGTTATCACCTTCTACCTTTATTATTGCAATAGGTTCTTAACTGTTTTCCCAGCTTCACCGATGGTTTCAAACTTTCTATATAGGTAAAAGTTAAGGACAGTAAGCAGGTTATTGAACCTGTCTCAAAATTAAATTTGTATAGCAAACACACCATTTCTACCTTGAGTGTGTGTTTGGGGTGCAAAGAAAAGGCTTCATAGATGACGTAGAAAGTGTCCTGGCCAGGTGTGGTGGCTCACGCCTGTAATCGCAGCACTTTGGGAGGCCAAGTTGGGCGGATCATGAGGTCAGCAGATCGAGATCATCCTGGCTAACACGGTGAAACCCTGTCTCTACTAAAAATACAAAAAATTAGCCAGGAGTGGTGGCGGGCACCTGTAGTCCCAGCTACTCAGGAGGCTGAGGCAAAAGAATGGCGTGAACCCAGGAGGCAGAGCTTGCAGTGGGTCGAGATGGCACCACTGCACTCCAGCCTGGGCAACAGAGCAAGAGTCCATCTCAAAAAAAAAAAAAAAAAAAAAGGAAGTGTCCTGCAGTTGCGGTCCATGTGTGATGAGATGAATGGTTGAATCTTAACATTCATTTGAAGTACCCCTGACATTAGCAGCTACAGTATATATAGGTACTGTAAGAGTTTACAAGCTACTTTTACTTAGATCACATGTTTGATGAGCAGGACTGGCTACATAATATGTGGAGTCCAGTGCAAAATGAAAATGTAGGACTGCCTGTTCAGAAATGTTGGAGAATTTCAAAACAGCTTCAGCAGAGCATTCCACCAAGTGTGGGCTCTTCTGAGAGCAGGCCGTGTGCTACTGAACAGAGTGTATGTCAGTGAAGCTGGTGAACTTTAGGATGGAATGAGTATGTGTATGTGGGGAGGGGGTATAATAAATGTTATGGGGGGACTAGACTCTCTGCAGTCTCTCCAGAGTACCACCACCGTGCTGCTTCCTTTCTTGCACCTTTCTAATCTATCTACCACATTCCATAGCCAAAACGATTGTTTAAATAAATGTATATCAGATCATGTCTCTCCTGTCTTCAAACCTGTCAATAGTTTTCCATGTCACCATAAATAAAGTGCAAAATCTTCATGTCGGAAAGGGTCCTATTTACTCTGACCCTGATGACCTCTTTAATCTCATTTCAGGCCTCTTTTCTCTATCATTCTATGCATTCCTATCAAACAGGACTCCTTTCATTTTTTCTAATGTACCAAGTTCTTTCCCATCTCTGAGTGTTTGCACATGCTGTTTCCTCCATTTCGAATATTAGATCCCCCTAGTCTTGCTTTTTCTTCAGAATACTTAACACAGTTTATAATCATGTAAATACATAATTCTGATAAGGATTTGTTTATATCTGGCTACGTCACTAGGCTGTAAGCTCGTTGAGGGTAAGTTTGTTGATGACTGCATTGGTGATTACTGTATGTTGAGAACTTAGCACAGTGCTGGGTATATAATATATAATCAGTAAATATTTGTTGAAAGAATGAAAAAACTATCAATTCATTCAGGCTTATAAATCAGAATTGCTTCTTGGCTGAGCACAGTGGCTCATACCTGTAATCCTAGCACTTTGGTAGGCCAAGGCGAGTGGATCTCTTGAGATCAGGAGTTCAAGACCAGCGTGGGCAACATGATGAAACCACATCTCTATAAAAAGAAAAAAATATATATAAATATATATACATATATAAAATAATTGCTTCTTTCCAGGTGCTTCTAATCTGATATCACAGGATCCCTATCTGGAGACAAGTAGCATGATGGTTGCTTTCATTAACACCATTCTCTTTGGCTATGGATGATTCAAATGGCCTAATCATCTCTTTTATCATCCATTCATTAATGCCATTTATTGTGCCCTCTGTAGCAAATTTCTCTTGAAGTAATTTCATTTTGTCCTGTTACAGGTATTATTGTAACAAGCTTCTTTAGGTTTACTACTTTCTCTTCTCTCTCTCTCTTTTTTTTTTTTTTTCTTTGTAGGGATGGATTTTTGCCATGTTGCCAGGCTGGTCTTGAACTCCTGAGCTCAAGAGATCCACTTGCCTCAGCCTCCCAAAGTGCTAGGATTACAGGCACGAGCCACTGTACTGGACCATCTCTTCTCTTTCATTTGTTCTGCAGTAATTTACCTTATTTAAGCTTCAGGGAGGTTTGCCTTCTGGCTTTACCATGTACAAGAACTGACTGTTACTCTCTGCCTGTTTTGTACAGGAGCACAAAAATGAGGCAGCAAACGCATTACTTTTCTTTATGCTGATGCTCTGGAAAATATTATGCCCTAAAGAGGGAGGTTAACTGTCCTCCTTGCCCTTACCACTATAAACCAGACAGAAATTTAAAATATGGAAACAGTGTTTTTTATTCTGTGTCAGGGTTTTAAACTTGGTCAACCTCCCGGAACTGTATGCCTATTTTATACTTTAATCGGTTTATGTACATGTTCATTTTTCTGGAAAGGATCTATATTTTTATTAGGTCCTTAGAGAAGTCAGAGATCCCAAAAAAGTGCCCTGGGCTTTGTATCCTGCTTTACTTCTCCTTGTAAGTGATCAAATCCACAAGGCTGATTGTGTTCTTTCTCTAAATCACTTTGTGTTATGACTTCAGGATGCATCTTGAACTTTGTTTTCAAGTGAACTTTGTAAACAAGTCCTCAGCTTAAAAGACATTTTGAACTATATTAATAATAAATGCATCATAAAATTTCCTGTTTGATAAAGGAGGCATCTGAGATAATTATGCAATGCACTTAGCTACTCACATTTTAGTTATTCTTATTAATATCATTGATATTTATTATTTTTCAATGCTTCTCTGAAAGACCTGAGTATGGCCACTCTGGCTTTAAGAACTGTGTCCACAGTGCTAGCTGAGAAACCACTACCACATATTTTTTTAAACTCCAAACTTTACTAAGAATCAGGCTTGGATATAGGGCCTAAAAATCATTCAATTGGAATGTGAAGAAGTTGAAACACCATTACGCAAAAACCCTTTAGCATATGTGTATGTGTGTCTCCCTAATGTCAGGATGTACACATTTATTACAGTGGTTTGGAGGTTTATTTGTAATCTGACCTTTTGAAATTCTGGAGCACACAAAAAAAGTAGATCTTCATTAACAAGGATTTTTTTTTCTTTTTCTTTTCTCTTTTCTTGCCAGAAATTTAAAGATGTTTCTTCCTTCACTTCCTTCCTTCCTTGTACTGTCCTTGCTCAACGTGAATCTACAATCACTGCCACTTGAATGGATGCAACTTATGTTAATAAATTGCCAGGATCAGAACTCCCACTGCAGCATTTCCTTCTCCATAGAACCACTGAACCAGAAATGCATTCTAGTGATTTTTTTTTGTCGTTAACGATGATTAATTAAACAAACTCGAGATTTCACGAGAAAAAACATAGATGCCCAGATTTAACAAACTCCTTATCTTTTTTCGACTTAAACCCACGAAGCTTTGGGGAGCACTCTAGCCCCTGCTACTCACCCATGCAAGCGGGGTGCGCGCTCGCGCACACACTCACTCACTCCAAGATAGGGGCTTTCTAGGAAAATACTTTGAGCTGCCAATCCAAGATTTTACTTAAAGAATTGACTTGGTTCTCAAGTGACAGATCTCTAAGTGCCAGAGCGGCAAAGTGCACCAGGCTGATAAAGTGCATGCCAAGACTCTCAGGTGGGAATTCTTGTCACAGCCAAGAGGTTGCTGGCATAGGCACCCGAGGCTGGCAGAGCCTAGCCTCTGAGTCTCCCTACACTCCTGGGCTTGCTTTCCTTTTTGAAGCTGCCTGCAGCTCAAAGAGGAGTTTGAACCAAGGGCACTTGCTTCGCGATCCTCCTGGCAGAGCCACAGCTCAAGTTTCCCCCACGGAATCACGAGCTTTTGTAAAGGGCAGCGAGGAGGCAGCGAGGTGGCAGCGAGGTACAGTCGCAGAGTTCTCTGGAGAACGAACACCCCCGCCGCGCCCCACCCCCCAGGACTGGTGGAGACTGGAAGGAACGAGTCCAGACCACGGGACCTTCCCTGGCCGTGGGCCGACGCCTAGCTGTCCTTGACCTCCCCAGCAGTCGGAGGCGCGCGCGGGAGAAATGAAAGTAAAACCTGTCCTGGCGCGGAACCAAGTGGAAGCTGGCGACAAGTAGGTCGCATCCTCAGAGCGACTGATAGCCAGTCCTGGATCTGCGCGAAGAGCTTGACTCGCAGAGGATAAAGTGAAAGGAAAAGGAAATGGGAGACAAGGGAGAAGAACAATAGTTAGGCTGGGGAGGCTCCTGGTCACCGAGCAGGCGTTCAGTAATAGCTGCTGTCTGCGGTGCAGACGGACTAGTCGCCCGGCCAGGCCACTTCGGTGACTGCCCTGCGCCCAGCCGGGCGGCCGGATCCAGACCAGTGCGCCGCGCTGCACTCCTCTAACCCTCCGCGTCCCAACCCCTTACCAGGGCCAGGGTCAGGGCCCGGAATCTGTCCTCCGTCCTCAGATGGAATTCAGGTCCGCTCAGGTGACTCCTTCCAGGAAGAGTCCTTAAATAACTTCCGCGCGGCCATTTCTTCCCCAGGTGCAATGTCCACTGTTGAGTCCCGAGAGTGAAAAGGCAGCTAAGCCAGCAGTGCGCGGCCCAGACAGACCACTCTGGGCAAGGTCCGCGCGACCCACTGCCCAGCCGCCTTTGCACCGGAGCTCAGAGCCATATGGCAGAGTAGGAAGGAAGCTTAAAGGTCTGCTGGGGACCGGCTCTAAGATGGGGACTCGAGAGATGGGACATGACTCGCCCACCTTCACACAGCGAATTGCCGGGAGGTGAGGACTAGAAGCCTGTTTGGCTAGTGGTCTCGCACCTTTGGCCTCTCCGTCGAGTCGCTGGGCTTCAGGACATTCGATTAGAGGAGTGGTTAGTAGGACCCCAGAAACCCACAAGCACGAAGCAGGAAGCCCCGTGGCTTAGCCTTTCCTTCCCAGTTTGGCCCCCAGGAGAGAAGTAAGAAAGAGAAGAAGCTGTGATGAAAGAGCACAAACGGGTGACAAACGTGTCTAGCGTGATTCATCATGAACAGGCACAAATTCTTTGGGCGGGGGCTAGGACTCTCCTTTGCCCCTTGAGAAGTTGGTGACCCCAGCCTAGAGGAATCCACGCCGCGCCCCAGTCGGCCGTGCTAGCGTGTCGGGCCGAGTAGGGACTCTGCTGCTTCCTACCTGCAGGGTGACTTCCCCTCTCTGCAGATACCTCCCCTCTCTGAGCTTGAATTTTCTACCTGCTGAAATGGGAAAAGGAATGTTACCTTCCTTGCCTGACTCAAGGGTGGCTGTGAAGCTCAAAGTAGACTGGGATGTGGCCGTGCTTGGTAAACTGTAAAATGATTAGCATACGTGAAGCGTTAGTGTGCTCCCTGGCAGTCAGTCCTCACGTTTACGATGGATTAATGAAGGCAGCCAGGCACAATCTCAGGTTATGACCTTATAAGGCATAATAGGATTACAAGGAGGCAAAATGAAACAGTATATTTCCTCCTAATTTTGGTTATTCCTATGTTTCCAAATAGAAATGAAAATTCTGAAATTTCAGATAATTCCCCCCTCCAAATCCCAATTCTCAATTTAGCTTTTCTGAGCCTTGTCCCTACCGTGAAATCTTACTAGCTCACCCCGAAACGCCGGGGTCTTGGTCCTCTGGGGGACTAGTGAGTCCTGCTCCTCTCGGCTTTGCTCCGTCCCTGCCCCGGCCCCTCCGCGGGAGTCTGGGGTCGCGGCCCGGTCAGGCGCCAAGCCGGCAGGGGGGCGCGGTCCACTTGAGGCCACAGCTCCCCAGGTCCAGGGCTCGGGCCATCCGCGCTGTCCCTTCCGCGGGCTCTTGCTGTTCTTCGCCAGGAGGCTTTGCACTCCGGGCCGCATGGGTCCTGGATAAGGACCTCAAGAGGTTGTAGTGGCGCCCCTTCGCTCCGGCGTACTGTCTGAACCCTGTGCCCAAAGAGGGCTGTGGCAGTTCCTGCACCAACCGCCTGGAGCCCATACCTAAGCCCTCTGGGCACGAGGGACCTCCTCTCCCCCGCTCCCCCCTCCCCCCATCCCAACTCCAGCCCCAAAGGAAGCAATGCGCGCGTCCGAGAGCAGGAGCGCGCGTGGCTGAGGAAAGAAAGGGAAGGCAACCGGGCAGCCCAGGCCCCGCCCCGCCGCTCCCCCACCCGTGCGCTTATAAAGCACAGGAACCAGAGCTGGCCACTCAGTGGTTTCTTGGTGACACTGGATAGAACAGCTCAAGCCTTGCCACTTCGGGCTTCTCACTGCAGCTGGGCTTGGACTTCGGAGTTTTGCCATTGCCAGTGGGACGTCTGAGACTTTCTCCTTCAAGTACTTGGCAGATCACTCTCTTAGCAGGTAGGTGCCGCAGACCCTGCGGGTTAAGAGGTGGGGTGGGGGGCAGTGCTTGCCAAGGCCCTAAACTGGGAGCGCTGGGTGAGGGGAACAACCCACTTTGGAGGGTTCTCTGAGAGATAGATACACCCCATATCCTGGGCCCAGCTCGTGCACACAGCTGGAGGTCCAGAGACCCAGTCCCCTCTGCTCCGTCAGCCAAGTTCCAAGAAGTTGAGCAGAGACCCTCTGGGAGCCTGGCGGGGTGCAGCGGCCTCCCCTGCGGGGCCTGTCACCCGGCCGGCGCGTGCAAACGCCTCTGGCGCCTCTCTGCGCGGAGGGAGATAAGCGTCTGAGCCAGGGAAAGCGCGGGCTAAACCCGCCTCGCCGGGGCCCCTGCCCGCCCTCCGTGCCCCGCCCGGGCGGTGCAGCTGGCCCGGGTGCTCACGCTCGACTCTCTTTCTTCTTTTCCAGGGTCTGCGCTTCGCAGCCGGGATGAAGCTGGTTTCCGTCGCCCTGATGTACCTGGGTTCGCTCGCCTTCCTAGGCGCTGACACCGCTCGGTTGGATGTCGCGTCGGAGTTTCGAAAGAAGTGAGTCCGGGCAGCGCCTTCCCCCTTGCTGGTACCTGGCAGGCAAGGGGAACTGACCGTTGGTCCCGAAGGTCTAGAAGTGAATGGGAGCAGGGACAGGCCTGGGCGTCACCTGAACGCACGCGAATCGGGTCTGCTTGTGTTTTCCAGGTGGAATAAGTGGGCTCTGAGTCGTGGGAAGAGGGAACTGCGGATGTCCAGCAGCTACCCCACCGGGCTCGCTGACGTGAAGGCCGGGCCTGCCCAGACCCTTATTCGGCCCCAGGACATGAAGGGTGCCTCTCGAAGCCCCGAAGACAGGTAACTACGCCCTGTGCTGTCCAGGGACGGGAGGGAAGGAAGGTGTGCGGGAGGAGTTCTCTGTCTCCACTCCCCTGGCCCGGGGGATCGTCGGGGCTGGACCGCAGCTCAGATGGCGCGAGCAGTTTCCAGCTCCCTCTGGCTCTAGAATGGCTCCCGTTCCCGGTGTTGGGGCCAAAGCTCTGCTTGATGGGGTCTCAAGTTGCCTTTCTTCCCCCTCCCCCCGCCCGCAGCAGTCCGGATGCCGCCCGCATCCGAGTCAAGCGCTACCGCCAGAGCATGAACAACTTCCAGGGCCTCCGGAGCTTTGGCTGCCGCTTCGGGACGTGCACGGTGCAGAAGCTGGCACACCAGATCTACCAGTTCACAGATAAGGACAAGGACAACGTCGCCCCCAGGAGCAAGATCAGCCCCCAGGGCTACGGCCGCCGGCGCCGGCGCTCCCTGCCCGAGGCCGGCCCGGGTCGGACTCTGGTGTCTTCTAAGCCACAAGCACACGGGGCTCCAGCCCCCCCGAGTGGAAGTGCTCCCCACTTTCTTTAGGATTTAGGCGCCCATGGTACAAGGAATAGTCGCGCAAGCATCCCGCTGGTGCCTCCCGGGACGAAGGACTTCCCGAGCGGTGTGGGGACCGGGCTCTGACAGCCCTGCGGAGACCCTGAGTCCGGGAGGCACCGTCCGGCGGCGAGCTCTGGCTTTGCAAGGGCCCCTCCTTCTGGGGGCTTCGCTTCCTTAGCCTTGCTCAGGTGCAAGTGCCCCAGGGGGCGGGGTGCAGAAGAATCCGAGTGTTTGCCAGGCTTAAGGAGAGGAGAAACTGAGAAATGAATGCTGAGACCCCCGGAGCAGGGGTCTGAGCCACAGCCGTGCTCGCCCACAAACTGATTTCTCACGGCGTGTCACCCCACCAGGGCGCAAGCCTCACTATTACTTGAACTTTCCAAAACCTAAAGAGGAAAAGTGCAATGCGTGTTGTACATACAGAGGTAACTATCAATATTTAAGTTTGTTGCTGTCAAGATTTTTTTTGTAACTTCAAATATAGAGATATTTTTGTACGTTATATATTGTATTAAGGGCATTTTAAAAGCAATTATATTGTCCTCCCCTATTTTAAGACGTGAATGTCTCAGCGAGGTGTAAAGTTGTTCGCCGCGTGGAATGTGAGTGTGTTTGTGTGCATGAAAGAGAAAGACTGATTACCTCCTGTGTGGAAGAAGGAAACACCGAGTCTCTGTATAATCTATTTACATAAAATGGGTGATATGCGAACAGCAAACCAATAAACTGTCTCAATGCTGATTCATTCTCTCGGCTCGGCTCTCACGTCTAGGAAGGGAGGGTGCCCTGGTCCCGGCCCGCCCAGGAGCCTTGGGGTCCCGCCGCCGGGCTTGGGAAGGTGGGACAGCGGCGCGTGCAGGTGCTGGCCCTACTCTGAGCGGGCTGAGCTGTCACGAGCTCTGTTCTCTGTGTGGGGCGCGCAGAACACGTGTCCTGGGTGCGAATCAGGGCTTCGCGGAGACGCCCGAGGTCACCGCCTGGCGTGGCGGCCGGCGGGGGGTGGGTAGGGGGAGCCCTAGTGGGTTGGCGAGCCTGGACTCTCGGGTTGCGCAACGGAGTCCTAGATTTATAGGGTTGCTCACAGAACCCGGCGCGAAAGCGAGCTTCGAAGAGTTGGGGTGGTCTCTGAGGCCTTCTAAGAGAGGCGTTCCCCCTGCCTGCCGCGGTTGTTAAAGTTCCAAGCCGCCCTAGCAATGCGTGGGGACACCTCCGGAAAACCCAGTAACCCCTAGTAACCCCGGGTCTGCCCGGGCCTGAGCGCCCGCGGGCCGCTGGCTCATGGGCGAGGCTGTAGCGCCCCCTGCAGGCAGCTGAGACAGGCCCAGCGCCGCCAAGCAGTACGTGCGGTTTAATAAGTTCTCCTACGTGGGAGTCAGCACACAGCCTTAATGAAAGAGGAAAGAAAGAAAAAAAAAAAGAGAGAAAGAAACAGTTTGCAGATGCCAACCAGGGCCGTCCTCCTACACCCCCCAGACCTGCACCGCGGCTCCCTGTTCTGGGACAGTGACTCAGCGCCCACACGCTGCGCTGCGTGCAGCTGCCGGCTGGAGGCGGGCAGGACGGACGTGCCGGCGGAACCGTGAGCCTCCGACGGCCTGAGACCTTCATTGTTCCGCCTCCCCTAGCCGCTCACCTCTTCCTTCCTCCTTCCCAAGCCTTTTTTCATTTTTTTCTTCACTTTTCTCCAGCCTTCCTCTCTCTCTCTCCTTCCTTCCTCCTTGCTTTCTTTATATGCCTTATCTTCTGAGAAGGTTGACCCCAGTTCCGGCGATAGACGGACACTAAGCCCCCCTTGAGTGACTAGAAAGGCAGGGGACATAGGAACAGTTAGGACATAAGGGAAGAGTAAAGAGAGGGACCCCTGATTTTGATTTCAGGGTGCCCTGTTTGTCTCATCCAATATCCTGAAGACCCAAGATGGAGACCAGCTACTTGTCCCTTCCAAAAAGCTTCCCTGGCCTTAATGTCAGTGCTTGTAGGTGATCTCAGAAACCTCCCTGGTGAAGAAAACCTGAAGGTGAGTTTGGAGAATGGAAATGTTTCCAGGGTAGCCTACGGCCTTCTGGGGCTTTTGCACATTACAGGGTCCCCTCCGAGGGGCTAGGATGTTTAGTTTCTTGCAGAAGAGGACTGCATACCCACTGAGAGAGAGGGGCCCTACTCTGGGGTCCAGAGATACCTCATTCCAAAGCAGTTTCAATTTAGAAGAAAGTAAACTCGAGTACATAGAATTTCCTTAAGACCATACAAAACCTCAGTTTGGGCACCTGGCTGTTGACAATGCCAATCTCATATAGTTTATTGTCCTGTTTGATCTTAATAATTGTGTGAGGTGTGCCAGAATTGAGGAGGTTAGAAATGCAGCTACAGACCATTCTTGTCCTCAAGGGCCTTTCAGAAAAAGATTCACTTTGTGGGAACTCTGTGCCAGGCACTGAGAAGGTACCAGGCATGTATGAATGAAAGAGTGACTCAAGATTCCTGTCATGGAATTTCTGTGCCAGTGAGTGGGTTCTGGGTGGTCTGAAGGGGCTACAGAAACTGCAGAGAGCAGCAAACACTTAAGCCTCGCAGACAGTGGCGCAAGATTACTCCTTTCCTTGAGCCAAGGTTGTCCTGTAGCCACAAAGCACTCCAGCCAAACCTCACCTTGGCACAGCGTCAGCCAGCAAACAAAGCTGCCAAAGGCAGGTTGGGCACAAGCTTCGGGCGGTTGTGAGCAGGGAACAGGCGTCTAGCCTTGTGCTGAGGAAGTCTTATGACTTGAGGGAATCCAAGGCAAGTGAAGGAGATGGTTCAGCCCTAAGACAAAAGAGGCAGCTGCTCAGCTGGAGTCCTTCCCGCTGAGAATCCTGTGACTGGAGACATGTGCGAGGAGACAGAGACCCTCCTAAGACCAGTTTGGTATGAGTTCAGGATTAACCAAAGGTCACCATCAAACCCCGGGCTCTTCTCTTTGAGGTGCTGAAGCTTATCAGGATAGGGACTATTGATGCCAAGAACACATTGTTTATCAACAGTGATGAGTCATTTGTGAGCTGATTCGACCTGTCCACAGCTGAGGAGTAGTCACAGCTTTTATCTTTAGCTACTGTTGCTTGCTGTGGGAATGATACCATACATTTGTAATCAAACACGGGGTATCAGGCAATTTCTTGAAAAGCCAACACCTTGGCTGAACAGCCAAGGGTGAAGGGGAGTGATGGGGAGGAATGGAAACAGATTCCTTTTTTAGCACTTGCTTGGTGTCAGATATTCTCTTTGCCACTTTATACACCTTATCTCATTTAATTCTTACAACAGCCTTGTGAAGTAGGTGTTATCTGTTTATTGATAAGGAAACAACCTCAGAGACATAAAGTAACTCAGCCAAGGTTACACAGTGAATAATAAGCGGTGGAGCCTGGATTTGTACCCAAATGCTACAGGCTATTTTGATCCTCTAAAGGCATATGGAGTAAAGTGGGATAATTTTAACGTTTAGATTCTCCAGCCAAATGTCCCCAAATGTCCTCTAAAACAGGGATAGCTTGTATAGGTGATTCACACCTGTGGTTCTGAAAGATTTACATGAGGGCTGGTAGAATAGGGAAGGAGAGCTGCTTCAAGCAGTAAGCTCAATGAGTGCAAAATAAATAAATGAACTGAGTTTTAAATTCTTGGTCTTGGTTTGAAGAAGGGATTATAAATCAACCTTTTTCCTCTCCTGAGCTAAGCCACTGACCTCTTTGGTTTGAATTGCCAAATATAGTTAAAATATACACTGAAGCTTCAAGAGCTGGTTTCGGGGGGGAAGGCCTTCTGAGCTATTCCTGGCCAAATACAGCCCCACACTGTAGGTCTTAAGTCGCCTGGAAGAACACCTGTGTCTACAAAACTGCAAATAGAGTTTCCACCCTTGAGGTGGGATCTTTTGTCTTGGCAACTGCTGCTCAAGGCACCTTTTTAGAGGATGTTCTGAACTGACTCAGAGAGAGAGAGAGAGAGAGAGACAGAGAGAGAGAGAGAGAGAGAGAGAGAGAGAGCGCTATGACATAAGGCCCCTCCTTTCCCCAGCTGAGAAGGAGAAGGCCTTGTTATCCTGAGTCTCACAGAGGTTTCTGCCAAAGCCAGGCTGGAGGCTTGGTCTTCATGTGCATGGGAAGAAGGGTGAGGCTAGATAGCTATCTGGTGGTCCCACTGGTCTTGTTCCAGAGCTATTTTGGAACATTCTGGAAAAACAATAAAATGACTGTGGCCACACAGGCAGCTGAATTTAGTAGGTTTTTGTACATTTATCCAACATTAGGAAAGTAGTTTTGAGTATTAAGATACAATTTTAGAGCATAAAAAATGCATTTTACTTATTTACAATATTTATTCAGTGTAGAAGAAAAAGATTCACCTGCAATACTACTTTCAGAGATAACCACTATTAATATTTTAGACATTTTAATCTTTTATTTATTTATTTATTTTTTTAGAGACAGGGTTTTGCTCAGTTGCCCAGGCTGGAGTGCAGTGGTTTGATCAAGCTCACTGCCTCAGACTCCCAGGCCCAAGCAATCCTCCTGCCTCAGCCTCCTGAGTAGGGGTGACTATAGGCATGATGCCTGGCTAACTTCCTTTTAGACATTTTTATGTATTATACCTATACACACTTTAAAAAATTGAATTCAGTGGAGAGAGCTGAATTAAACCTACTCAGTTTAAGGCAAATTGTCATTACCAATCTGCGCAAGGCTTCTCTCTTTTTAAAATTATTTTATTTTTTCTTCTTTAATTTCCATATCCCTTCACATCTCCTTTATAGGAACCTCTTTAATGTGTTTGATATCTGTGCTTATTATAGTACGCAATCTTGTAAAATCTGCTGTGTTATTTCACAACTTTACATGTTTTTAACCTGCAAACACATTGTGTTAAAATATTTATTGTTTCCTAATCTCACTCAACACTTTAAAAAAATTATCCAGGTAGATTTGTTTCCTCTTACTGCTGAATATTACTTATTTTATGGATCTGCCACATTTTACTTTTCTTGTCTTTTAATGAGGGACACTTGGGTTGCCCCCAGTAACCCTCTGCCACAAACAATATGTAAATTAACCTTCCATTTCATGTCCTCTTATGGGTCTAAATGGAAATTTCTTGGAGATATATACCCAGAAATGGCATCATTTAGTTAAAAGGCTTCTACATACAGATTACGCTAAATTGTATGAGATTGCTTTCCAAAATGCCTGTACCAGTATTCATTTCCACCAGCAGTACCTGAGAGTTCTCATCTCCCCATGTCATTGCAATATTTGTATGTATGATGGTTAATTTCATATGTCAACTTGACTGGGCTAAGGGATGCCCAGATAGATGGTAAAAAATTATTTCTGGGTATGTCTGTGAGGATGTCTCCAGAGGAGATTAGCTTTGGAACCGGTAGACTGAGTAAAGAAGCTCTCTCACCAATGTGGACAGGCATTATCTAATCTGTTGAGACCTGGAATAGAACAAAAAAGGCAGGGGAAGGGCAAATTCTCCCTCTGTTTTCTTGTGCTGGGACATCCATCTTCTCCTGCCCTTGGACATCAGACCTCTTGGTTCTTGAGGTTTCCAACTTACACCAGTGGCCTCACTCCATACTGAGACTGGGAGTTATACCATCAGTTTCCCCGGTTTTCAGTCCTTTGGACTCGGACTGAATTACACCCCCAGTTTTCCTGGTTCTCCAGTTTGCAGACGGCATATCTTGAGACTTACCAGCATCCATAATTGCATAAGCCAGTTCCCATAATAAACAAACCAACAAATCTATACATATCCTACTGATTGTGTTTCTCTAGAAAACCCTGAGAAATATAGCATGGATTGTCTTCTGATGTTTGCCATGCTGATGGGTATAAAAGTAATATTGTTTTACTTTCCATTACTGGTTGCTGGTGAATTTTGGCATATCTTCATTTATTTATTGGTCATTTGAACTTTTCCTAGTGGGCTACACAATTAAAAAGAAGTGAGATCATATTTGTCCATGATCTGCTGATGTGTTTTTTTTTTTTTTTTACTTCTCAGTATATTTGGGCATCTTTTGATGCCAATAAATATATCTATGCAACATCATTTTAATATCCTGCACAGTATTTCATTTTATTAAAATGAAATGAAACAAATTATGAAACAAATCATAATTTGTTTAACCATTCTTTGCTGTTGGATGTTAAGGTTATTTTGGTTTTGGGGTGTGTGTGTGTGTGTGTGTGTGTGTGTTTCTCACTCTGTCCCAGGTTGGAGTGCAGTGGCACAATCATAGCTTACTGTAACCTGAATACCCGGGCCCGACCAATCCTTCTGACTCAGCCTCTTGAGTAGCTGGGACTACAGGTGTGCACCACCATGCCCAGCTAATTTTAAAAATATTTTGTAGACTGGGGTCTCACTATGTTGCCCAGGCTGGTCTTGAACTCCTGGCCTCAAGTGATCCTCCTGTCTTGGCCTCCCAAAGTGTTGGGATTACAGGCATGAGCCACTACTCCTGGCTGAGTGCTAAGATTTTCCCTCTGTGTTTTTACCATTAAAAATGGCCCCAATATAGCTGGGTGCTGTGGCTTGCACCTGTATTCCCAGCTACAAGGAGGCCGAGGTGG
The DNA here is from genome assembly GCF_000001405.40 of Homo sapiens. Classification (NCBI taxonomy): domain Eukaryota; kingdom Metazoa; phylum Chordata; class Mammalia; order Primates; family Hominidae; genus Homo; species Homo sapiens. The sequence continues at coordinate 10,313,277 of NC_000011.10, forward strand.
GAGGATCACTTGAAGCCAGGAGTTCGAGACCAGCTTGGGCAACATAGGGGGATCCCATCTCTAAACAATTTTTTAAAGCCCTCAATGAACATTTTTATGTGCATTCAACTCATCTTTGAGTAATTTAATGACTATTTTTTAGGATAAATTATTACAAATAAAATTATTGGGTCATTGGGTCTGTACTCTTTTTTGTTAAAGCATTTGAGCCAGATTGCCTTCTGGAAGGATCAATTTTTACTTCTACTAACAGTATAAAAAAGTCAATTTCTGGCCAGGTGCAGTGGCTCATGCCTGTAATCTCAGCACTGTGGGAGGCCAAGATGGGTGGATCACCTGAGGTCAGGAGTTCGAGACCAGCCTGACCAACATGGTGAAACCCCGTCTCTACTAAAAATACAAAAAATTAGCCGAGTGTGGTGGCAGGTGCCTGTAGTCTCAACTACTCAGGAGGCTGGGGCAGGAGAATCGCTTGAACCTGGGAGGCAGAGGTTGCAGTGAGCCACGATTGCGCCATTGCACTCCAGCCTGAGTGACAAGAGTGAAACTCTGTCTCAAAAAAAAAAAAAAAGTCAATTTCCTATTTCCTTTGAAACACTGAACATTATTCTTCTTTTCAATTAATAATATTATGTCATGTAATAGGTAAACATGGTGTTTCCTATTGCTCTTTAAAAAGTTTTATTCTTTTCTCATGTTTTTGAGACTGTATTTTATATCCTTAATAATTTAAAACATTTAGTTTATAGTTTCGTTCTAATAACTCTGCTACCTTTATCTGCTGACTCTTATTCATTGTGATGTATTTCTTCCTATTTCCTGTAATTTGGGGTTCCGAGCTCATCTTATTAAAGCTTAGTTGATGGTAATTCTGTGTGGACTGGGTTGAGTCCCTTCAGAGAGATTTATGTTTGCTTCTGCCAATTGTCCCAAGGTTATTACCCATCTGAGACCATTCTTTATATTAATTTCTTAATTTTATGTTTATGAACCACGCAAAAGTGCATCTGTGCTGGTGATGTGGGGTGTAGCATTTTGAGAGTCCTTGGATTTACTTGAGTATCTCAGTTCCTTTTCTTCTGTCCCTAAACAAATCTCTGTTACCAAAGGGAGGAAACCCCTTCCGCAAAGCCCAGGCAACTGCTTTTCAGCTCAAGTTTTCTACTCTGGATTTTAGTTACCTTGGTTTAGTTTTCTGTGGCTTTCCTGTATTTTCATGGGGTTCAGCTATGCATTTAAAAGGATATTAAGTGTATTTTACTTAGCATTTCTAGATGTTTTATAGTAGCAGGATTTTCAACTTAGTCTGCTATATCACCAGAAAGAGGAATCAGCATTGTTTAAAAAACAAAACTTTAGACAAATTAAATTTAACATAGTTTAACTGCGTAAAGAAGGATTCATGAATCAGGCAGCCCCCGAGAGCCAGAGTAAGTTCAGAGCATCTCTGGTGCTGCCACGTGGTTGGAGAGGATTTATGGACAGAAAAACAAAAGTGACATTGAGAAAATGGAAGTGAGGGACAGAAACAGCCAGACTGGTTACAGCTCTGTGTCTGCCTTTTTAAAACAAGGTTTAAACACTTAGCAACCTGTGAGTAGTTGAAGTATGGCTTCTGTGATTGGCTGAGACTTGGCTGCTTGTTGCAAGAGTAGGTTACAGTGTGTTTTCACATCGTTAGGTTACCGTTCACTACGTATGCAAAAAGCTTTTGGCCAAACTTAAAATATTTAAGGAAGCAGATTTAGACTAAATTTAATTTAACAGCATCAACTCTTCTCACTACTTTAACTTATTTCCATGATTATTAGTGTAGCTTGAGTATTTTTGATGTCTTCATGATCATTTATATTTCCCCTTATATATATATTATTATTGTTTATTTATTTACTTATTTATTTTATTTATTATTAACAGACAGGGTCTCGCTTTGTCACCCAGGCTGGAGTGCAGTGGCATGATCATAGCTCATTGCAGCCTCCAGCTTCTGGGTTCAAGTGATCCTCCTGCCTCAGCCTCCTGAATAGCTATGACTATAGGCGTGTACCACCCTGGTTAATGTTTAAATGTTTTGTAGAGAGGAGGTCTCACTATGTTGCCCAGGCTGGTCTTGAACTCCTGGGCTCGAGTGGTTCTCCTGCCTCGACCTTCCAAAGTGCCGGAATTATAGGACTGTAATTATAGGATTATAAATGAGCTACCACGCCCTGCCATTTTTTTTTTGAGTTCTTGATTCATTCATTCTGTTGGAATATTTGTTTTTTTCCTGTTGATCTGAAATACTTTAATATTCTTATTGATTAAGAATACTAAAGTTTTGTCACATAGAGACACACCTTTTTTCTTTTTGTAGAGAGAGTGTGGCTTATTTTTTGCCATATAAAACTTATAAATATTTATATAATCAAAGATACCGATGTTTTCCTTTATAATTTCTGTCTTTACTGGCTTGCTTACGAAGTCTTTCTCTGCCTCAATATTTTAGAATAGCCATCTCTTTTTTTCTAATATTTTTATGATTTTGTTTTATACTTTAAACATTTTATTTTATTTATTTTTTTGAGACAAGGTCTCACTCTGTTGCCCAGGCTGGAGTGCAGTGGCGTGATTGTGGCTCACTGTAGCCTCGACCTCCTGGGCTCAGGTGATCCTCTCACCTCAGCCTCCCTAGTAGCTGGGACTACAGGTGCACACCACCACGCCTGGCTAATTTTTAAATTTTTTGTAGAGATGGGGTTTCACCATATTATCCAGGCTAAACATTTTAAAGCAAATGGAATTTATTTTGGCATCTGATGAGGTAGGGATTTAACTTTTATTTTCCCCTAAATTGTTAGCCAATTGTCCAGTATTTATACTGAGTAATGCATATTTTCTGTAGGACCTGAGGGTCTTCCTTCATCATATGCACCAGAGGTTTTTAAACTGTGTTCCACAGAGAGTTTTCCTGAGTTACTTCTGAAGTTTTCTGGGGAGAAAAAGGGGAAGAAAAAAATGCTAGTCTCTCTCTCCAGCTTCTAGTGGAACATCTCTATTCCTTTTTTGTTTTATTCCTTTTTGTTGGTGCTCCTCGTCAGATTTTATTTGAAGATTTTATTTGAAGAAAGAATTCATCTTCCTGCAAATCAGTAATATAATAATTCTTAAATAGTAAATATTTAAATTTGTTTCTGGCCCTTTTAATCTCTTCCATTGCTCAGTCTGTCTTTTTCTGCACCAGTTTTACAACTTAAAAAATTATGAAAGCTTTCAAACGCACAAAAACAGAGAAATAATAATATAATGACCCCCCATATGCTCATCATTAAAATTCAATAATTATCATGATATTGCCACATTTGATTCATCTATCCTTTTTTCTTTTTTGTTTTTAAAAAATTTTTTTGCCAAAGTATGTTTTTTCTTTTCTTTCCTGCCTATCCTTCTCTTTTCTCTTCTTCCTCTTTCTTTTCTTCTTTTCTTAATAACTTTTTCCTTTTCTTCAATTTTCTTTTGTCCAGTCATCCTATCATATCACCCACACATACTTCAGTATGCATCTGTTTTAAAAAAATGAAAATAATGTTTTCTTATGTAGCCAAAATGCTATTGTCACACTTAACATTAAAAATAATTCTGCAGTATCATCTCATAGCCAGGCCATAATCAACTTTGCCCGATTGCCTCAAAAAATGTCTTTTGACAATGGTTTGTTCAAAATAGAATCCAGACAAATTTGTTCTATCTCTAGTGTTTCTTTAATCTAGAGCAAGCTCCTCCCACCTTTTGTTTTTGGCCATTGGCTTGTTAAAGAAAACAATGATTTAATAATTGTGATTTAGAACTGTTATTATCAAGAAAAATCTTGGTTCTCCTCTTCACTCTGCCTGTGTGGACTCAGCCAGAACATCCTGGCCTGCTCACTTGTGGGGGCTTGCCTGAGGGGAGGTGTGGAGTGGCCAGTGTTGCAGTATTTCTTACATAGAGAAAGGGTATCTTGAAATGTTATTGTTCATGCTTTTCTTTGCTACACTTTTTCCACTTGACCTTTTCCCTAGTAAATCAGAGGCATTGCCTTGAGGAGAATTAGGATTGGTACAACCGGAATGCTAACAGAAAGAAACAGTCAGAATGAAACAGTAAATGTTCAGTTTTCTGACTTTAAAATAGCCTCTTGAAGCCCACATCAAAAACAATAGTTTTGAAAGCCAAAGCCTTTTGTTTGCAGAGAACCAGGTTTTGTTGAGAGAAGAAAAGGCTCTTGAGAATCAAAAGGGAAGGCCCGGAAGCATCAGGGATTGGGCTTTACCCACACTGGAAAGAGACTAGAGGGAGAGCTGGACTAAGCCGCCTTCATCCTGGGCGGGGGGAGAGCAGGGACCTATGAGGTTGCAGGGAGGCCTTGGGAAAGAGCCCACAGAGAGGAGGACATCAGCATGGAGAGACTGCAGATCAGTCCCAGCAAACCTGTGGAGGCCAGTTAAATGCCTGGAGCTCATCCCCTGCCATTCAAGTGAGTCCCACTGTTGCCTGAGCCAAAGAGCCATGTTAGTTGCTCTTTTTACTACTGCTGGAGATCTTTCATCAATAGCAGCCTGCAAGTCACGCTCAGATGGCCCAGCAGATGTGATACTTGCCTAAGTCTGGAGTCATTGCTGAACCTTACCCTACCCACATTGCCCTACATGGCAGAGGACACTAATAAGCCACCCCCAACTTCTTAGACCAAAGGGCAGAGCAATTAACACCAAAGGGGTGCTAGAGCTGAAGGAAGAGTCACCCACCCCTGTGTTTGGGAGGGACTGGACTCTGGGGAGGCGTACTCCACTACATTCACAAGTCACAGATGCGGGGGAATCCCCCAGCCTTGTTTTGCTCCTATGTTCAGCTAGTTGGTAACCTTTTGTCTCAATTTAATAGGTTTGTTCCACCAGATAGAGCAGTGATCCTTAACCTCTTCTGCCTATTAAAGTCATGTGGGGGAAGCTTCAAAAAAAAAAAAAAAACTGACACCGAGCCTTATCCCTAACCAATTGAACTGGATTGTCTGTGGGTGGGGCCTGATGTCATTGTGTGATTGTGAGTAACATTTTATCTTTGTGAAGCCACTTAACTTTGTTCGGCCTACACATTGTCCCCATACAGCTATTTCAAAAATGCACCCTGGTGGTGCTAACAGACTGAGACCAACAGTTTATTTATTTATTCATTTGTTGTAGATTGAGGGTTGTTTCCAGTCAAACAGCCAGAAATAGAAGGGTTAACTGCAGCCAGTGGGGCAGGTGTTTGGAGAGAAGACAAGCTGCAGGTGATGGGAAGGAGGCCAGCCCCAGCCGAGGGCAGAGTAACAGACAACAGGTGGTTGTGCTGTAGGGTGTTGGCATCAAGGAGGAACAGCAGGAAATGACAGGGCATCAGGCATGTCAGGGAGCACAGCAGCGCGCATTCTAGGAGCAAACTATAGGCAGGCCCAAGAGAGGTCCAGCTGGAGGCAGCAGACAGGACTGGAATTATTCCTTCTGATGGGCCTGATTGTGTCCCCTATCCCCATACACCAAATTCATATGCTAAACCCCTAACCCTCAGTACCTCAGAATGTGACTGTGTTTGGAGATAGGGCCTTTAAAGAGGAAATCAAGGAAAAATAAGGTCATATGTGTGGTCCTCAATCTAATATGACTTGCGTCTTTATAAGAAGACTATGGGAGGACACAGAGAGAAGGCAGCCACGTGCCAGACAACTAGAGAGGTTCCCAAAGAAACCAAACCTGCTGACTCCTTGTCCTTGGATTTCCAGCTTCCAGAAGTATGGGAAAATAAATGTCTGCTGTTTAAGCCACAGTCTGTGGTATTTTGTTATGACGGTCCTCACAAATGAATGTACTTCTGTCAAAGGGATTGATGAGAACAGGACCAGGCGACAGGCCTAGAAACGTGGTATCGTGGCTGGATTTCAGCACCAGACACGCAACAAGAGTTAGGGAATCAGGACAGGGTAACTGAGTCAGGGCAAACAGGATTTCATTTACTCATTCAATCAATGATATTTTAGATCAACAGTCTACTCCACGCAGGGCCCTGTTCTAGACACTGGGTAGCCTGCCATTGCAGCAGTCCAGATAAAAAAATTATGTTCATTTAGATTAGGAGAATGTCAGTGGCTAGGGTGATCTGACACTCAAACAACCCAATGTGGAGATGATGTCCTTTAAGTCTTCCTGATCAGGCAAGTACCTATTTGCAGAGGGTTCCAGTAACTTCATTTTCAGAGAGGGAACTGTGGGAGCAGAGACCAGGCAGGTTATTTATAACTAACCCAGGTATATGAATTTTCTCTTTGAGGGAAAGAAATTTTCAGTTTACAGTTTTCACTGGCACCTAGGTTAGCAAACTTAAGATGTTTGCCAGATGTCTTCATCTCATGCTGTTAAATTTAACACATAACATTCCAACTTGATCTTAACTTTGTTAGTTTTTCTAAAACATCAGTTTCTTCCCAAACCATGTTTCCATGGAAAACACAAGCATTTCCAGGCAATAACCCCATCATCTGTGCCACTATAGACAATCATCAGATAAACTTCCTTAATTCATACCACATCTGCTCTTTCAGCCCTGTACGACCTTGAGCATGCACGCACACGCACACGCACACACACATACACACACACACACACACACGCACAGAGAAAACAAAACTCCTAATTATTTTTTCCCAAAATAAGCATCTGACCCAAATTGCCCTTCCAATTTTCTATTAAATGAAAGACAAATTGTCAGGACCAAATCAGCCAACTTTATTAAAAACTGGGAAGTCTTTCAAAAGCTTTCAGGGTGAACTGTCATGTTAAACATGACAAGTAGTTAATAGGGGAGAATTGCATCTATATGGTCCCTGTTTATCTCTTGGCACATTCTGGTAAGTGAAGACTGCTTGGGCACAGGCATCTCTCTCCACTTTATCACTATGGAGGACTCTTTCTTCACCCCACTACTTGAAAAATTAAAGCAATGTGAGAGCCCAAGATATGCCAACTGATTTCTAGTCTGGCCTTGTTTCATTTGGCAGGCAGGATGGGGGCAGGGAAGTGGTATAGTCGAGGACATAGGCTTTGAAGTTAGACAACCTTGAGTTTACACAGACTCTCCCTCCTCCTAGCCCTGTAATTATGGGCACATCTCTTAACCCAAGTCTTAGTTTCATTAGCTATAAAATGGGGATAATAATATTTACCTTATAGGCTTGTTGTAAGGATGAATGATATAACATGGATGAAAGCAACAACCCCTGCCTGGCAGTATAGTATAAGCTCATTAAATGGCAATTCTGTTTAAGAGTAACGACTAAGGATGCTGTGGTTTAAAAAATAAAGAAAAAAAAAGCACCTGCTCTTTCTCAATGCCAGAACACAAAGGTAAAGCAGTGAATATACCATTTCTCTTTAGATTAATCATCTCTAAAATAAGGACATGGCATCAAGGATCTCAAAGATTCTTCCTCTATGACTCTAGCCTTCTGAGGTCTTATATTCAGGGAGAAATGAACATTGAAAAGCGGGAGAAATTAAACCACCTTTCTGACTAGTTCCTTGGGAGACCCAAGCTGTGCTTCATCAGTACTTTCAGTTCCAAAGCGTATAGGATCAAGTCAGTTCCAGAGAGCAGGGTTTGGATGAGGAGGCCTGGGTGGATAGTACCGGTTAACTCCATAGCTGCAAAAACAATTCTTTCTTCACAGTAATACAATGATAGCAAAGGGGACATTTGACCTTTTCAAGATTTTTAAAATGCAAAATACAAGGTATGCACATAATCTTGTTTACTGACTGATCCTTTAAAAAATCTGGCATATTAATAATTCCACTTAAAATACTGAAGATGGGAGCCAGAAGGAAACTTGTTCTTTCTATACAATGACTGAGAAGGGAATTCTAATGAATATTTTGGCACACATATCTCATTTTCTGGCTGCTTTAGGACCCAAGAGCCAGTAGGTCATAATTAAAGCCAATAATGGCAACTCCAGACAGCCCAAATATTTTCCTGGTGCTGTCAATTCACTGCATTAAATGTTTTAACATCATTTTTTGGGGAGTGTAGAACATACGCACAGAGGGGGAATTAAATGTTGATGTGAAATTTGGAACATTTGCTGCAGGTTGCTCCAAAAGATATTGTTTATTACATTCAAAGGAATTATACAATGTTTTCCTTATTAGATAATCTTAAATGACCCTTTCTGGGCTGAGAGCTGTGAAGTGTGTCCTTAAGTTGTCAGAACAAAATCATATTTTCTGCAGAAAAAGAAAACAAAAAACATGTTTGGGGCTGAGGCTGCATGTCATGTAAATAAATGAACGTCTTCTACCTCCACTGGATCTTCAGGAATGTTCTCTTTGGTCACCAGGAGTTGTGTTGCTACAGAGTTAAAGCTACTCACTTTTCTGTCAACTCTACTTCCAAAAAGAAAACCCACAAATATATGTTTGCAAAATCTGTTTGGGATCCTGGAGACAAGGTCCTTAACTTTATCTTTTTCCTGAACAAGTTTCATACTTAAAAAAAATAATAACAATTAAAATTCCTCCAGCCCTACCCCCACCTTCTTCCATCCTTCCATTTCTACTTTAAATGATAAGAAAGTTTCCTCTTGGATGGAAATTAAACATCTCAGCCTGGGTGAGGCAGCTCAGGCCTGTAATCCCAGCATTTTGGTAGGCTGAGGCAGGAGCCTTGCTTGAGGTCAAGGGTTCAAGACCAGCCTGGGCAACATAAGGAAATCCTCCTTCTCTAATCTAAGGGGAAAAAAAAAAAAGTATCTCAGTCTAAGGTGTGTCTGAGAGAGTTCTGAATCACCATTTTGGGATGGAACAAACTGACCAGTCACTTCTTTTTTTTTTTTGAGACGGAATCTCGCTCTGTCACCCAGGCTGGAGTGCAGTGGCGCAATCTCGGCTCACTGCAAGCTCCGCCTCCCGGGTTCACGCCATTCTCCTGCCTCAGCCTCCTGAGTAGCTGGGACTACAGGCGCCTGCCACCACGCCCAGCTAATTTTTTGTATTTTTAGTAGAGACAGGGTTTCACCATGTTAGCCAGGATGGTCTTGATCTCCTTACCTCGTGATCTGCCTGCCTCGGCCTCCCAAAGTGCTGGGATTACAGGCGTGAGCCACTGCTCCCGGCTGACCAGTCACTTCTTAAAGGCAAAACTGGATTTGCTCTGCAAAACAATTCAGCAAAAACTTGGGTTCCAACTCTGGTGCTACACTGTGACAATGGAAACTTTCCAGCTACAACTTGGAAGTTGGGAGCCAAGCACAATACTAAGTCAAGGAAGGTATTTGAGGCCAAAGCAGACAGTGGTCTTGGCACTGCCTGCTCCTGAGCCCAAGCTGCAGCAGCTGTGGGGTGGTGATGCAGCTTTCAGAGATCTCTAAATCTCTAAGTACACCAGAAACCAGATTTTATTAACTCCCCTTTTCCACTTTTTTTTGCCCCTACATTTCTGCCATGGATTATATCATAATAGATGGTGAAAATGCTGTGAGGTGTATACTCAATTCCTAGGCATTCTTCCACTTAATCATACTCAGTTTTCTTTGAGGGCCTCCACATTGTAAATGAGCAACACCTTGATACTGGGAAAATGAATATGAAACTCAGGGCCACAGCCTCTGTGATCTGGTCATTCTGGGGCAGTCATTTTCCTACTTGGCCTACAGAACCAGGCAGGTCTCTGGCCTGGGGGTGGCGGGTGATGTTGTATTCTCTTGTCAAAGTGCACAGAGCCCACTCTGAGAAGATGCTATACTCTTCACGTTACAAGACGGCAATATGCCCGTTTCTGGGCCAATTGGCTGACTCAGAGATGAGGAGATTATTCCGTGACACTTTGTTTTCATTCCAGTCCAAAGGGCAAAAAAAAAAAAAAAAAATGTAAAACTCTGCTGCCACCTGCTGTTTCTTTAGGAATAAATTCTTGAAACGGTTCTAGGTTGATTGTATATTGGTTATCTTAGCCAAGTGCCTTGGTGGTGAATTTGGGGGATTTTGGAATATAAGTTTATGTAGTTGTGTACCAACTGGACTGTCATTTCCTAGGATGAACTGTTGGACCACATGGGTGGCTTCTCTCTTTCAGTCCATTAAGTCCTGCCTCCCTCATCCCTTGCTGAGACTCAAGGGCAGACTCCTTGATCCCAGACAACTTTCCAAGGGAGTTCACGCAAGGCTCTGACCAGTGAGGCTCCAGAGCAAAACCCAGGAGGCTTATAGGTTTAAGTGTCTTTTCTTTATGGGCCAATGATGTCTGAAAACTGTAGCAGTAGGTAAATTCCCCAAGCACAGACTATTCTCTGCTGGGTGTCAGTGGGTGGTATTGGAAGTGCCTCTCAGAAGTGCTCTTCTCAGCTTGAGGTTCATTTGTGATGAGGTTCATTTGTGGTGTCTCCAGATGTTTTATCTTTGTCTTCCTTGAGGAAACTGAGGCAGATTAAGGAAGACGAGTGTCCAGGAAAGTAAAGGCTAGCTCCATTTGAATCACACCCAGGTGAGAATACTTGAGCTCAGGTTAGATGATGAGAGGGATGAGGAAAACAGTGGCTCCTCGGAGCTCAAATAAAGAGCACTGGAGCATTAATATAGTCATAAGCTTAGATGGGCTTGATAAAGCCCTTAGTCATCTTATTGGAGGCATCCAGAGGACAGAGGCTGCCTTGCCTTGACTATATTAGTGGCTTGTTGCTGCTCCAAATCAGAAAGTGGGATTTTCCTTTTTGCCTTCTTTGGGAAGATCCATTTGTATGTAAATGAGTTCTTTTTGATTGCAGTCATTGTTGTAGCTGAGAATTCTTTCAACCAAGATCTTTTTCTTGGCAGAGATTACTGAGTCTATTAAGTGTGTTTTCATATAATTCTAAGTGACTTTTTAGATGGACACAGAAAGAAGTGTTAAGGAAATGACCCTTGGTCTTTTCTCCTATCAAAGAGAAAAGGCATTTGAGTGGTATCGATAAGCATTGAAGGTAACTGATGGCTTATCACTGTGTCTGGCATTATAGCTGGCACATTTATTGACTGAATGGTCAAACTTATCACCCGTTGTTCTTCCCAGAAGGTTCGTGAGACCTGTTGGGGAGGGACGGGGATAGAAAGGAACAGAAGGAAGAGTCTCAGAGTTAATCAGGTGGAAAGTCTGTAAGTGGAGTGAACCATGGGAGCTAGAATGCTATGGTAGGACCAAAATTAATACTGTATATGTCAAAATAAATGTGTATTACTTATAAAGTATATACAGTTCCTAAAAATTATCAAACAAGGTTATTATGTACAACATTTCTCCCTTCTGTGTCTCATTCCCTAAATATTATGATTGTTAACATATTGCACAAGCTTGACCATGTTTATGCTTCATGTATTTTCTTGTTTATGTCCCCGTTGTTCTCCCTCAGTATTTTGTAAAGGCTTTGGAAAAGTTCCAGCCTATCTCAGCTATGTGAAGAAGAGTTCAGGGAAGGAGTTTGTATAACACTAAAGAAATGTCAGTATCTCCTCACAGGTAGGGGCTGACATGATGCCACGGCAATGGGAAATGAAGTGGGAAACCCGAAGCAGGAAGGAAAACTCAGGAGAACTGGGTTGGGATAGTGGTTTCAGCTTCTCCTCGCCTCCTAAAGAGTCTCTTGATAGTTCTCAGGCCTTGAAGGTTCTGCCTGCCCCCAGGTTCCCCACCCCAGGAAAATAAGCAACTTCTCAGGAGAATAATGAGGTTGGTGTTTACCTTTGTGCTTCATTTGAGTAGCATGAGAGCACCCCATTCCTCACATCTGTTCATTCTTCTCCCCTTAGAAATCTTGTCTCAGCTGAAAGGTCAGAGCTAGAAGCCCCAATCTGCTTCTAGCTCTGACCTTCTGGCTTTGTCAGGAATCCCTATGAATTTGTGCTGTTGATTTTCTTTGAACTAAATACAGAAATGTGTCTGCACTCTGGGATAGAGAAGAGAGTATAGTAATTGCCAGGAGAACTGAAGATGACCTTAAGGCAGGCCAGGTGACTGGTAAACCATACCCTTCACAAGGCTACCAGAGCTCTAGCCTGACCAATATTATTTTGAAAGGGAATACATTAGAATCCCTGGTGACTAGATGAACATGGCCATCACTATTTCTACAAACCTGTCTTCTGATGAACATATACTCCTGCTGGATGGTGTCAAGACATGCTTGTTTCTTGAGTGGTTTAGATACCAGTTATTGCCCCTCCTGTTATGCCTGGTAACTAGGATGCTGTCAAGAAAATACAGCAGGACTTCATTGAGCTTAAAAAGAGCGTTTCAAAAATATTGCATTAGCCTTTTGTCCTTTCAGTCTGTTTTTCATAGAACAAATGTAATCTTAGTCGCTACAAATTTGTTTAAAATAGCTCTTCTGGTGAGTCACCTAAAGTTAACTGCAGATATGGTATTGTTTTAGCCATGTCAAGCTTGAAATGTTATCCAAGTCCTAGGAACTACTCACTATGGGAAGCTGATGATGTATGTGCCCTCACACGTGTTTTGAGGGTGATCCTATAATGTCCGGAGAGAAAGAAATGCCTGAGATGAACTGGTCAGCATTACATTTCTCAGAACGGGCTGCAAGAGCTTCAGAAGCAAAAGGAGTGTTCTCTGTAGGCTCAGATGCTCACATGACCCAAGACACGTGAAGGGTCTGCCCATCATTCACCCCTCTATCCCCACAAGTGGTCAGAAAGTTAGGAAAATCTCCAAGAGACCATGCAGAAGGGTCAAAGGATCTTGCAGATGTTCTGAGCAAAAAAATGAAAACTTTAAACAGAACATTGTGCCATGACTTGAAAAGGTCATTATCTAGTTCACACTTACATCAGACTATAAATATTGTCAGAAAAATGGATATGTTTGCCAGGACCATGAACAGTAAAATTGCTTAAAATAGGCCACAGAAACCCTCAAGGCCAGTGGGGCCATGGCAGGCCATGACACTCAAACCTGATGCTGCCTTGTGAGAGACCTCAGCAGGAACAAAAGCCAACAGCTGCTTATTGGAAAATTTATACTCAGTGGCCCTCAAAAATTGCAAAAGCCTTTCAAGTCATGTAAGTTAATTTTGTCTCACTCTTCCACCAGGTAGAAGTGAGACAGGGAGACTCATGCTCCTTAAATGAGGTCCCTTGTCAAAGACTAGCTGTCTTATGGCCTTTGAATACTCTGCCCTTCCCCCTTCCTATGGTATAGCTTTGTGTCCAGTTAGCACTGAGCAGAAGCTGCTCTCCTGCTGTCCCCACCCACTGTTGGCTAAAGCCAGGTCACCTCCTGCCAGGCAGCGGCTGGGTGAAAGTCCAGAGAAGCTCTCCTGAATAAACAAGTCAAACAAAGGCAGTTCCCAGCAGTGGATGGGGCTGTACTCCAGAAGTCTATTTGCAAATCTGTCCTTTAGAACTCGGAAGACATTCCCCAGGAGGAGCAATGTTATGCAGTGTGGCAAGGTTCCCAGGCTAGCCCACACCTCTGATTTAACCCAGAATGGGCTGGGGAAACAGTGCTCTAGAACTCATCATTATGGGTAATACCTTTGTAGTCTCTGCTCTTCAGTTTACAAATAGTTGCTGAGCTAGGCATGGTTCCAGGTGATGTGAAGGTTCAAAGCTGCCTCAGCTTTGTGGAGTAGGTAGATTCAGTAGCTCCTGGGTGCACAGTGGCTGAGATTTTCCCAGTCTCATGAAATCCCTGCTTCTCTTTCCTATCTACATGTTTTAGGCTGAAAGTGAAGGGATGACCATTCCGGCTTTTCTTTGGTTTGTTTCTTCAAGATAACCTGGTGTAGGGAAGGGTGAGAGTCCTGGCTCTATCATTACACACAGCAGCATCTCCAAGCTTCAGTTTCTCCTCTGAAAAATAGGATAATATGTAGCTAAGAGAGCCTTGGAGTTGCCTCCCCAGCCCTTGTTCTTCTCTTGGTAACTACCATGACTTTTGTTAGGGTATCCACATCTCCCCCAATAGACCACTCCACTCCTGAAGACTCAGGCCTAGTGCAATTCCATTTTAAGGCCACTATTACAGGACCCAGTGATGGGTGCTGGCCTAATTCAGGCCAGTGAGCTTGCATAAGTTTATTGGCTTATTTCCAGAAAAACAAATTTCCTTTTTCCTGCTAGATAAGAATGGGACACATATGTGGTCTCACTAGCAATTCAGGCCAATGAGTTTGCATAAGTTTACTGGCTTATTTCCAGAAAAACAAGTTCCCTTTCTCCTGCTAGATAAAAGTGGGAGACATATGCAGTCTCAGCAGCAATAGAAAGCCACTCTGAGACTAAAACAGGGGCAAGCCCTAGATGGAAGCTCTCATTGTGAATGGCAGAGTGGAGTGATGGAAAATAGAACTCCCTGATAAAGTTGTTGAACTCCTAAATGGACCCATCCTCAATCCTGTCATACTTCTATTGTATAAACCAATCATCTCCTTCACTTAGTAACCCATAGTGAGTTGAGCTTTCTGCTCCTTTTAATGGAAGCCATCTTAATTAATACATTATAGCACAGGATTTACTATGGGCATTAAATGGGATATAGCATTCACAGTATCTGTCTCATGCTGAAAAAAGAAAAAAAATTCATAGTATTTAGCACAGAATTTATATATGACCCCTGCCCTTCCAGTCCAAGGGCATTAATGGAAAAGACCATAGTTTCTCAGGCCTTTGTTGGATAGGGAAGAAGAGGGCATGTGTGGACTCCAACACGACCTTAACCTGGTTTGAGGCTTGAATATCTTGCCTGGGCTAGAAAGGTGGCCCCTCTGGACTGGCTTTAATTTTAGGATCAGTCCCTTTAGAGGGAGTAGATCTTGTAAGCTGGGGTTTCCCTAGCCCTTGGCAAGTATACATGTTGAAGAGGGTTGGGAGACAAAGAGGGAAGAAAGGAGAGAACCATGACTTGCTGGTGTAATAACAAAAGGTCCTACCTATCTTTGGGATCGAGATTAATCTCTCCTGTCTTTCTTCTTTTTCCTCCTTTCTTCCTTACATTTTTTCGCACTCCCAGTTCTCATTAGGGCTGAAGAAGAAAGGGAAGTCAAAGCTGGGATGGCAAAGGAGTGGAAGTATATGCCAGAGGGAGAAAGGGGAACTTGTGTAAGCTAATTCTGATGACTTTGCATTCAAGTGTAGCACAGATCTCAGTTTTCAGACTAAATGGTAGCTTTAGACTCCTATCGGAGGTTGGCAAGGCTGGTTTCTTGGAGTTTTTGCATGAAGAACAGGAAACTAGGCAGAGCAGCCTGGTTCAAGGACAAAGGGTTATGTTATGACTAATAGGAAGGAGGAATCATTTGGAGTACACACAGTGGCTGTAAGTCAGATTTCGGTCATTTCATTACCCCCAGATTTAGCCTAAGTCACCAGGGAGAGGAGACTGCAATAAAAGAAAAATTAACAAAAAGCTGACATGACTGAAATCTGAAGGAACTTGATTCACATGACATTACTGCTTTGCAGTTGTGCTGTATTACAAGGGTAGAGCTCATTTGTCCTAGTGTTAGCATACTGCACTTGAGAGTATGCTAGAACACAGGATGGAAAAGGAGTGTGAGAAAACATTACTTCACAAAAGTGGGTCAAGGGTGCCATGTTCCAACTGTGAAATGGATGCTTAGAAATGAAAATAGAACTCCAGTGTGGTCTGACCAGAACAGGATTGAGCTGCCACCCTCTTATCGGGACACTAGATTTATGGCTGTGGTCAAGAATTGCCCTAATCTTGTTTTTATCAGTCACATTCCAATAATGCCTCATAATGAATCCATGGTCAATTAAAAGCCCAGTTGTTTTTTACATGAACTGCTGCCAAGTCAGGAATCCCTGTGAATTTGTGTTGTTGATTTTCTTTGAACCAAATACAGAACTTTACAATGATTCTTCTTGAAAGTCATGCTGGTCAGATTATTTTGCATCTTGCTTATTTTGTCTATTAGCTATTACTCTAAACTTTGTGCTTACCTTCTTCATCATTTAAGACACGTATAAAAATATTGACTAGGGCCAGGTGCAGTGGTTCATGCCTGTAATCCCAGCAGTTCTGAAGGCTGAGGTGGGAGGATTGCTTGAAGCCAGGAGTTTAAGACCAGCCTGGGAAAAAAAGTGAGACCCCCATCTCTACAAAAAATTAGAAATAAAATCAGTTGGGTCTGGTGATATGTGCTTGTAGTCCCAGCTACTTGGGAGGCTGAGGTAGAAGGATTGCCTGAGCCCAGGAGCTTGGGGCTGCAGTGAGCTGTGATCACTCTACTGCCCTTGTTCCAGCCTGGGTGACAGAGTGAGTGTGTGTATAGCTATTCAGTCAGTGGCCAAACCATATATATATATATATATATATATATATATTTTTTTTTTTTTTTTTTTTTTTTTTAGGCAGGATCTCACTCTGTTGCCCAGGTTGGAGTGCCGTGGCATGATCTCGGATTACTGTAGCCTCAACCTTCAGGGCTCAGGTGATCCTCCCACCTCAGCTTCCTAAGTAGCTAGGACTACAGGCACACTCCACCATGCCTGTATAATTTCTGTACTTTTAGTAGAGATGGGGTTTTGCCATATTGTCCAGGCTGGTCTTGAACTCCTGGGTTCAAGTGAACCACCTGCCTCGACCTCCCAAAGTGCTGGGATTACAGATGTGAGCTACCATGCCTGGCCTCATGGTACTTTTATACCACTTTCCCTCTCCACCTTATCCATCACTGGATCATGAGATGCATTATGTATTTTCTTTATGAAATCAAGTTACACTGACTCTAGCATTTCCACCCTGGTGGCCTGGCACTTACCCAGTATCTTGCACGTAATAGGCTCTCAATAAATGTTTGTGGAATTAAACTGAATTCTGTGAATCATCAGCATAATAAAATTTAAAAGAAGGAAATGAGGCATGATTCACTGATGAACCACTTGGGATCTCAGTGCTCTTTATATTCCTTTTCGTTGTTTTAAGTGAAAATGTCACACATTACAGGAAAATAAAATGTCAACTATGATTGACAATATACATTATGCCAACTATCATCATTATCAATACCCAAAATTATATTTTTTTCTTTTACAAAAAACATAATCATGTGCAACTTCATTTTTTAATTTAATCTATTTTGGCTACCTTTCTATTTTTCAGTAGAATTTCATTGCATGAACCTTAGTCTCTTCTAAGTGTTTAACACATTATCTGTTTAAATTCATTAGATTCTGACATAAGAATCATTTGTTTTCAAATTATGGAGTTAATCTATTCTTCTTTTTTTTTTTTCTAGACGGGGTCTTGCTCTGTTGCCTGGCTGGAGTGCAGTGGTGCTAACATGACTCACTGCACCCTTGACCTCCTGGACTCAAGTGATCCTCCCACCTCAGCCTCCCAAGTAGCTGGGACTCCAAGTGGGTGCCACTACAGCCAGTAAGTTTTTGTACTTTTTGTAGAAATAGTGTCTTACTATGTTGCCCAGGCTGATCTCAAACTCCTGAGCTCAAGCAATCCTCCCACCTTGGCCTCCCAAAGTGCTGGGATTATAGGTATGAGCCATCATGCCCAGCCTAATCCATTCTTCCTAATGTATATTAAACACCCACCATATGCCAGACCTTGCGTCAGAACATTGAGGAATTAAAAAGAAAAACTGGGCAAGGGCCTGGCCCTCCAGAGACTTGGAATCTGATAGAGGTCACAAAATAAGCACATTTATGGTGTTGGAACAAGGTTCTCTGTGTTAGAGTCTACTACAGGGGAGTGTGCCATGTGCTCTGGGGCCTTGATTAAATACAAAGGACTATAATTTTCTCTCCTGTGGGGCTCCCTGGAGCTTGGAGCAGCAGCCAAGAGATGTTCAGGCAGCTGAGACTCTCATCACAACCAAAGTTCTTCTGCCACTCTTGGACCTAGGATAGGAAAATTGATGGGCTCTCTGCCTTCAGGCAGCTCCTGCTCGGGCAGTGTGTGATAGAAGAGGAACTTACTTTGGGTGAGGGTCCACTGCCCCTTCCTTTCTTCCATGGCCATCAGGTAGGCCATGTGGTCTGACCACAGAGACCCTGACAGAGGGAGAAAGAGGAAAAGGCCAAAAAACAGAAACCATGAAGAAGCAGAAAGACTCTTAAGGTGACCTTCATGAAACCTCACCTCTGGAATTCATACCTTGGTATAATCCCCTCTCCTTGAGTGTGGATGTGGCCTGTGCCTTTTCTACCTAGCAGAATATAGTAAAGACGGTGAATTGTATGTGATTATTGATTATGCTGCGTATGATATGAATATTAGTGCTGTCTTACTGAACTGCTCTCTTGGCTTGGAGGAAGCAGATGGCTATGTTGGGAGCCCCATGTGCCAAAGAACTGTGGGCAGCCTCTAAGAGTTGAGGGTGGCCACTGGTTGACAGCCACCATGAGACTGAATCCCTGAGTCTTATTAATGCAACCACAGGAAACAGAATTCTGCCAAATGAATTCTGAGTGTGTTTGGAGCAGATCTTTCCCTAGACCAGCCTCAGATGAGATCACAGCCTTGGCTGACACCTTGATTACAACCTTGTAAGACCCTAAGCAGAAAATCCAGCTAAGTCAAACCTGTACTCCTGAACCACAGAAACTGAGATAATAAACTTGCGCTCTTTTAAGCAGTTAAGCTTGTGGTAATATGGCTAAGCAGCAATAGTTAATTAATATCCTAACAGTTAATCTCTTTTGCCTTCCATAAGAACTGCAGGAGAAAAAAATGACGTAGGGAAGGGAGATTGGAAGGGAATTCCAGCAACCTCTATGAAGAGAAGAAATTGACTAGGGAAAGGACTTTTGCTGTGAAGCTCTACCACATTTGTTCATTCATTCATTCATTCATTCATTCATTCGTTTGTTAAAGATGTTGAAGTAGAGATATGTGTATCAGCCTTCAAGAAAGGCTATTGGCATGGACTGAATTGTGTCTCCCTGTATTAGTCCGTTTTCACGCTGCTTTAAAGAACTACCTGAGACTAGGTGATTTATAGAGAAAAGAAGGTTTAATTGACTCACAGTTCTGCATGGCTGGGGAGGCCTCAGGAAACTTACAGTCATGGTGGAAAGGGAAGCAGTCACATCTGACATGGTGGCAGGAGATGGAGGGTGGGGGAAATTGCCAAACACTTTCAAACCACCAGATCTTATGAGAATTCACTATCATAAGAACAGCATGGGTGAAACTGCCCCCATGATCCATTCACTCCTACGAGGTCCCTCCCGCAACATGTAGGGGTTACAATTCGAGATGAGATTTGGGTAGGGATACAGAGCCAAACCATATCAGTCCCCAAATTCATACGTTGAAACCTTAACTCCTAACACCTCAGAATGTGATAGGGCCCTTAGTGGTTGTGGTGGCATATGCCTAAAACCCCAGCTACTTGGGAGGCTAATATGGTTAGGCTTTGTGTCCCCACTCAAATTTCATCTTGAATTGTAATTCTCAGGTGTTTAGGGAGAGACCTGGTGGGAAGTGATTGGATTACAGGGACAGTTTCCTCCATGCTGGTCTCAAGGTAGTGAGTGAATTCTCATGAGATCTGATAGTTTTATAAATGGTAGCTTTTCCTGTGCTGACACATGCTGTCTCTCGCCTACTGGCATGTCAGACGTGCTTGCTTCTCCTCCCACCAGGATTGTAAGTTTCCTGAAGCCTCCCCAGCCATGTAGAATTGTGAGTCAATTAAACCCCCTTTGTTTATAAATTACCGAGTCTCAAGCAGTTGTGTTTTTTTTTTTTTTGGAGATGGAGTCTCTGTCACCCAGACTGGAGTACAGTGGCGCAGTCTCAGCTCACTGCAACCTCCATCTCCTGGGTTCAAGCGATTCTCCTGCCTCAGCCTCCCAAGTAGCTGGGACTACAGGTGTGTGCCACCACATCTGGCTAATTTTTTTGTATTTTTAGTAGAAATGGGGTTTCAGCATGTAGCCAGGATGGTCTCGGTCTCCTGACCTCGTGATCTGCCTGCCTTGGCCTCCCAAAGTGCTGATATTACAGCCATGAGCCTCCTCACCTGGCCCAGGCAGTTCTTTATAGCAGCGTGAAAATGGACTAATACGGAGGCTGAGGTGGGAGGATCACTTGAGCCCATGAGCTGGAGGCTGCAGTGAGCTATGATCATGCCACTGCACTCCAGCCGAGGTGACAGAATGAGATCCTATCTCTAAACAAACAAACAAAAACAAAAATCTTGATAGGGCCTTTAAAGAAGAAATTTAGTTAAAATGAGGTCATTAGGATAGGCCCTAATCCAATCTGACTAGGGTCCTTATAAGAAGAGGAGATTAGGACATACAGAAAGATAACAAGAATGCACCCACACAGGGAAAGGCCATATGAGGACGGCACAAAGGCAACCATCTGCAAGCCAAGGAGAGAGGTCTCAGGAGAACCAAATCTGCTGACACCTTATTCTTGGACTTCTGGCCTCCAGAACTGTGACAAAATAAATTTCTGGTGTTTTAGCCACCCAGTCTGTGGAATTTTGTTATGGCATCTCTAGCAAACTAACACAAGTATAAAAACTACTGTAGATATTTTAAGCAGAGAAAGATTGAATATAGAAAGTTAGGTGCTTTCAAAATCATTGGAAGAGCTGGAGTAGCTGGAGTTGGGGCTGCCACTAGAACTAATGTATTTAAGAATGCACTGCCTGTGGTCTGGGGACTGTGAAGCTGATGCCTCTTCTGTTGGCTCTGCCATGGCCATCATAGCTGCCTCGTCACAATTGAGTCAGCGAAAAGCTGAGGTCAACTGCCCACCTCAGGTGCCCATGATCTCAACCGCCAGGAGGAAATGGTAGCAGGGCGATGGCCTCCATCCCAGTTATACCTTCCAAATCTCATGTGAGGGCACTTAACTGAATCTAGTATCCTAGCTGCAAAGGATCTGAAGTTTTTAACCTTCCAGCCTCTGTAGCACAGGAAGGTACAAAGAAAGGAGCGGGAAAGGACACTGAAGCACGCAGACATATCCAGCACAGTATGCTAGATATCAGATGAAAGCAAGTGCCCAATCTGTAGGTATTCAGAGTAGACACCTGAAACTGACATGATTCATTAAACTTCTCTCCTATAGCAAAGGTATCAGATGCATTAAAAAGGAGAGGATTTGTAAAGAGGATTTATTTGGAAAAGTTGTGCAGTGAGTTGTATTTGCATCAACCCTGAGGAATAAGGCTGAGTGCTTTTCCTAGCATCTCAGGTCAAGAGAGAAGGGATTAAACAGGACCACCCTGAGAACTTGTTATGTATCTCCTGCCATCGTGTGGTGGGAGGGTCCATATTGGACTTTCGTCTGGCTTCTGCCTGGAAAATTTAAAAGATGGAGATGGTTTGACTAGATGCTTGAACCTTGGGAATAAAGGGAAGATGGTTGACCTGGGCAGCTTGCTCTTCTAGAGTTTGTTGTGAGCAGAGAGTGTGTGAATGTTTAAGAGCTGTAGGATGACACAGGAGAAGTCAACTGGGAGAGGTGGGGAAGCACTGAGTTGAATAATTGAAATGTTAGCTAAGGTGAGAAGGGCAGAGTATGGCATTCTAGGTAGAGGGACCAGCATATGAAAAGGCTCAGAGGCATAAAAGGGTCTAGAATGTCCAAGGAAAAGTAAAATGTTCAGTGTGACTAGGGTGTAATTTGGAGGCATGAGAAGAATAAGAAATTCACTTGGGAAAATGTCCTAAGCAAATGCTGTTTGTCCTTTGTCCTTTGGGAACTAGGGAATTACTGTAGAGTTTTTTTTTTAATTAATATACTTTATTTTTAGAGTAGTTTTGGAAATATAGAAAAACTAAGCAAATAGTATAGAGAGTTCCCACACAGCCTCCTACTTTCCCCTATTATTAATCTCTTACATTAGCATGGTCCATTTGTCACAATTAATGAATCTATATTGATACGCTTTTTGTTGTTGTTGTTTAAGACAGAGTCTCACTCTGTCATGTAGGCTGGAGCACAGTGGCGTGATCATGGTTCACTGCAGCCTTGACCTCTCTGGCCCAAGCGATACTCCCACCTCAGCCTCCTGAGTAGCTGGGACCACAGGTATGCACTACCAAACCCAGCTAATTTTCAAATTTTTTATAGAGACTGGGTCTTGCTATGTTGCCCAGGCTGGTCTTCAACTCCTGGGCTTAAGTGATTCTCCTGCCTTGGCCTCCCGAAGTGTTGGGATTATAGGCATGAGCCACCGTGCCTGGCCTTATATTGATATGCTATTATTAACTAAAGTCCATCATTTATTCATATTTCCTTAGTTTTTGCCTAATGTTCTTTTTCTGTTCCAGAATCCTATCTGGATACTACATTTTTCACGTCTCCTTTGGCTTCTCTTGGCTGTGACAGTTTCTCAGACTTTCTTTTCTTTTTTTGATAAATTTGAAAGTTTTGAGAAGTACTGGCCAGGCATTTTGTAGGATGCCCCTTTATTGGAATTTTTCTGATGTTTTTCACGTGACAAGATTGGGGTTGTGGGTACTATGGGTTTTAAAGACCATTTGATCTGTGTTTTACAAAAGCGATATGGGGCCAATGTGGAAGGTGAACTAGTTCAAATTTATTAAGTCAGTACCCTTTCATTTTGAAGCCCTGCAATGTCTTACCTTCACCATTATTAAAGAAACAAAACAAAATAACTCACTCCTTAATGTGGCTCACACAGCTTTCCAGGATCTGGACCCAGTCTGCCTCTCTGACTTCATCCGCTGACACTCTTTTCCCTGCTCTTTACGCCAAACTTATGAGCTTCTGTTTCTTTCTCTTCTTTTTTTTTGGTTAAGAGATGGAGTCTCATCCCTGTTGTTCAGGCTGGAGTGCAGTGGCATGATTGTAGCTCACAGCAACCTCTAACTCCTGGGTTCAAGCAATCCTCCTGCCCCAGCTTCCTGAGTAGCTGGGTAGCTGGGACCACAGATGCATGCCACCATGCCCAGCTAATTAAAAAAAAAAATTCTTTTTTTTTTTTGAGACAGGGAATCTTGCTATGTTGCCCAGGCTTGTCTTCAACTTCTGGCCTCAAGTAATTCTCCTGGCCAGGTGTGGTGCCTCATGCCTGTAATCTCAGCACTTTGGGAGACTGAGGCAGGTGGATCACTTGAGCTCAGGATTCGAGACCAGCCTGAGCAACATGGTGAAACCTTGCCTATAAAAAAAGTTTTTGGCTTGGTTCTAAGTCTTTGCTATTGTGAATAGTGCCGCAATAAACATACGTGTGCATGTGTCTTTATAGGAACATGATTTATAATCCTTTGGGTATATACCCAGTAATGGGATTGCTGGGTCAAATGGTAATTCTAATTCTAGATCCCTGAGGAATCGCCACACTGACTTCCACAATGCTTGAACTAGTTTATAGTCCCACCAACAGTGTAAAAGTGTTCCTATTTCTCCACATCCTCTCCAGCACCTGTTGTTTCCTGACTTTTTAATGATCACCATTCTAACTGGTGTGAGATGGTATCTCATTGTGGTTTTGATTTGCATTTCTCTGATGGCCAGTGATGATGAGCATTTTTTCATATGTCTTTTGGCTGCATAAATGTCTTCTTTTGAGACGTGCCTGTTCATATCCTGTGCCCACTTTTTGATGGGGCTGTTTGTTTTTTTCTTGCAAATTTGTCTGAGTTTATTGCAGATTCTGGATATTAGCCCTTTGTCAGATGAGTAGATTGCAAAAATTTTCTCCCATTCTGTAGGTTGCCTGTTCACTCTGATGGTAGTTTCTTTTGCTGTGCAGAAGCTCTTTAGTTTAGTTAGATCCCATTTGTCAATTTTGGCTTTTGTTGCCATTGCTTTTGGTGTTTTAGTCATGAAGTCATTGCCCATGCCTATGTCCTGAATGGTATTGCCCAGGTTTTCTTCTAGGGTTTTTATGGTTTTAGGTCTAACATTTAAGTCTTTAATCCATCTTGAATTAATTTTTGTATAAGGTGTAAGGAAGGGATCCAGTTTCAGCTTTCTACATACGACTAGCCAGTTTTCCCAGCACCATTTATTAAATAGGGAATCATTTCCCCATTTCTTGTTTTTGTCAGGTTTGTCAAAGATCAGGTAGTTGTAGATATGCGGCATTATTTCTGAGGGCTCTGTTCTGTTCCATTGGTCTATATCTCTGTTTTGGTACCAGTACCATGCTGTTTTGGTTACTGTAGCCTTGTAGTATAGTTTGATAGACTGGATTAAGAAAATGTGGCACATATACACCATGGAATGCTATGCAGCCATAAAAAATGATGAGTTCGTGTCCTTTGTAGGGACATGGATGAAGCTGGAAACCATCATTCTCAGCAAACTATCACAAGGACAAAAAGCCAAACACCGCATATTCTCACTTATAGGTGGGAATTGAACAATGAGAACACATGGACACAGGAAGGGGAACATCACACACCGGGGCCTGTTGTGGGGTGGGGAGAGGTGGGAGGGATAGCATTAGGAGATATACCTAATGTTAAATGATGAGTTAATGGGTGCAGCACACCAACATGGCACATGTATACATGCGCAACTAACCTGCACGTTGTGCACATGTACCCTAAAACTTAAAGTATAATAAAAAAAATTTTTAAATTAGCCTGGTGTGGTGGCCTTTATTTCCAGCTACTTGAGGGGCTGAGATGGAAGAATCACCTGAGCCCAGGAGGCTGAGGCTGCGGTGAGCTGTGATCTGGTCACTGCACTCCAGCCTGAATGATGGTGTGAGACCCTGTCACAAAAACAAAAATGAAACAAAACAAAACAAAAGATTCTCCTGCCTTGGCCTCCCAAAGTGCTGGGATTACAGTGAGCCATGGCATCCAGCCCTCTGTTTCTATTTCTTGAAGATGCTAATAGTCCAGGTAGAAGATGATTAGGTTAGAGGAGGAGGAACAGATTAGAAAATATATATGTGGTAGAATTGACAGGATTTTGCTGATTGGATCTATGATATTAAAAAGAGAGAGAATTTGAGCACAGTTCTGAGATTTGTAGTTCAAATGACTTGATCAACAGTTGTGCCATTTACTGAGATGGGGAATACAGGAGTTTGGAGGGGGAACATAATGAGATCACCATGACATACTGAGTTTGATTTGTCTATGGGGTATTGAGGTGTTCTTGTCCAGCAGGAAGTTGGAAATCATGAGTCTTAAGTTCAGGAGGGATGTTGGAATAAGTGTAATTGGCAAACAAGAGATTGTGGCAGGGGCTGTGATTATTAATTCAACTGGGATAAACCCAAGGGCCATATTTGCAGTAATTCAAACCCTTGGCAGTAAACAGTTGAATGTGAACTTCAGGTCAGCAGAGAAATTAAATTTATTTTGGAGACTATCAGGCAAGAGGAGGCCAGGACTTTGGGGAGGATTTTGTGGTCTTTCTACTCTCCAGGCTTAAAACTAAATGCTGCTTCTTTTCTACCAGAATGAAACTCTGAGACTTAAAAAGGCTGCTATATTAAACAATTAACATAGCCTCAGAAAAAGTAACAGAGAGATTTGGGGCTTGGGCAGAATGACATAAACAGAAAATAGAGTATTAGATAGGCCAGGTTATGATGAAATTATTCCCAGGTATGTTGTTTCTGTAAGGCCTTTTCTTTTCTTTTTTAAAGACAGGGTCTTACTCTGTTGCCCAGGCTTCAATGCAGTTGTACAATCATAGCTCACTGCAGCTTCAAACTCCTGGGCTCAAGCAATCCTGCCCCACCTTCCCAAAGTGATGGGATTACAGACATGAGCCACCATGCTTAGGCAGTTTCCTTATGCTGTAGTCCTTATGCCACTATATTTACATTTTTTGGTTTTTTTTGAGACAAGGTCTGTCACCCAGGCTGGAGTGCAGTGGTTCTGGTGCTATCTCAGCTCACCACAACCTCCGCCTCCCAGGCTTAAGTGATCCTCCCACCTCAGCCTCCTGTGTAGCTAGAACTACAGGTGTGCACCACTGCACCCAGCTAGTTCTTTTATTTTTTTGTGGAAATGGGGTGTTACTATGTTGCCCAGGCTGGTTTCAAACTCCTGGGCTCAACCAATCCACCTGCCTTGTCCTCCAAAAGTGCTGGGATTATAGGTGTGAGCCACTGCGTCCAGCCTATATTTACATTAAAAAAAATTACAAAAGTAGTACATTCATGGATGGCAGATGCTGTGGACTGGCTCACTCAATAACCGTCCCAACTGCCTTCTCTGTTGACTTTTTCTATTATAGAGGCTGTAAACAACACACACAAATTCCCAGACTTCATCACAATCTAAGACAGCTGTGTAATATAGTGTGGTAAGTAAGCAGATGTCCCTGAGGTGGGCTTCCATTTCTGAATAAAAAGGCAAAGACTTGGGGTTTCTTCCAAGATGGCTGAATAGGAACAGCTCCAGTGTGCAGCTCCCAGCAAGATCGATGCAGAAGACGGGTGATTTCTGCATTTCCAACTGAGGTAGCTGGTTAATTTCATTGGGACTGGTTAGACAGTGGGTGCAGCCTATGGAGGGAGAGCCAAACCAGGGTGGGACGTTGCCTCACCCAGGAAGCACAAGGGGTCGGGGGATTTCCTTTTCCTAGCCAAGGGAAGCCGTGACAGACTGTACCTGGAAAACTGGTACACTCTGCCCAAATACTGCGCTTTTCCCACGGTCTTAGCAACTGACAGACCAGGAGATTCCCTCCTGTTCCTGGCTTGGCAGGTCCCATGCCCACAGAGCCTTGCTCACTGCTAGTGCAGCAGTCTGAGATCGACCTGCAAGGCTGAAGCCTGGTGGGGATAGGGGTGTCCACCATCGCTGAGGCTTGAGTAGGTAAACAAAGTGGCTGGGAAGCTTGAACTGGGTGGAGCCCACTGCAGCTCAGCAAGGCCTACTGCCTCTATAAACTCCACCTCTGTGGGCAGGGCATAGCTGAACAAAAGGCAGCAGACAACTTCTGCAGACTTAAACATCCCTGTCTGACAGCTCTGAAGAGAGCAGTGGTTCTCCCAGCGTGGTGTTCGAGCTCTGAGAACAGACAGACTGCCTCCTCAAGTGGCTCCCTGACCCCATGTAGCCTGACCTCCCAGTAAGGGCTGACAGACACCTCATACAGGTGGGTGCCCTTCTGGGATGAAGCTTCCAGAGGAAGGATCAGGCAGCAATATTTGCTGTTCTGCAATATTTGCTGTTCTGTAGCCTCCACTGGTGATACTCAGGAAAACAGGGTCTGGAGTAGACCTCCAGCAAACTCGAACATACCTGCAGCTGAGGGTCCTGACTGTTAGAAGAAAAACTAACAAACAGAAAGAAACAGCATCAACATCAACAAAAAGGACATCCACACCAAAATCCCATCTGTAGGTCACCAACATCAAAGACCAAAGGTAGATAAAACCACAAAGATGGGGAGAAACAGAGCAGAAAAGCTGAAAATTCCAAAAACCAGAATGCCTCTACTCTTCCAAAGGATCACAGCTCCTCACCAACAACATAACAAAACTGGATGGAGAATGACCTTGATGAGGTGACAGAAGTAGGCTTCGGAAGGTCGGTAATAACAAACCTCTCCGAGCTAAAGAAGCTTGTTCTAACCCATTGCAAGGAATCTAAAAACCTTGAAGAAAGGTTAGATGAATGGCTAACTAGAATAAACAGTGTAGAGAAGACCTTAAATGATCTGATGGAGCTGAAAACCACAGCATGAGAACTTCGTGATGCATGCACAAGCTTTAATAGCTGATTCAATCAAGTGGAAGAAAGGATATCAGTGATTGAAGATCAGATTAATGAAATAAAGCGAGAAGACAAGATTAGAGAAAAAAGAGTAAAAAGAAACGAACAAAGCCACCAAGAAATATGGGACTAGGTGAAAAGACCAAATCTATGTTTGACTGGTGTACCTGAAAGTGACGGGGAGAATGGAACCAAGTTAGAAAACACTCTTCAGGTTATTATCCAGGAGAACTTCCCCAACCTAGCAAGGCAGGCCATCATTCAAATTCAGGAAATACAGAGAACACCACAAACATACTCCATGAGAAGAGCAACCCCAAGACACATAATCATCAGATTCATCAAGATTGAAATGAAGGAAAAAATGTTAAGGGCAGCCAGAGAGAAAGGTCGGGTTACCCACAAAACGAAGCCCATCAGACTAACAGCAGATCTCTCAGCAGAAACACTACAAGCCAGAAGAGAGAGGGGGCCAATATTCAACCTTCTTAAGAAAGGAATTTTCAACCCAGAATTTCATATCCAGCCAAACTAAGCTTCGTTAAGTGAAGGAGAAATAAAATCCTTTACAGACAAGCAAATGCTGAGAGATTTTGTCACCACCAGGCCTGCCTTACAAGAGGTCCTGAAAGAAGCACTAAACATGGAAAGGAACAACCGGTACCAGCCACTGCAAAAACATGCCAAATTGTAAAGACCATCGATGCTATGAAGAAACTGCATCAATTAATGCGCAAAATAACCAGGTAGCATCATAATGACAGGATCAAATTCACACATAACAATATTAACTTTAAATGTAAATGGGTAAATGTGCCAATTAAAAGACACAGACAGGCAAATTGGATAAAGAGTCAAGACCCATCAGTGTGCTCTATTCAGGAGACCTATCTCACGTGCAGAGACACACATAGGCTCAAAATAAAGGGATGGAGGAAGATCTACCAAGCAAATGAAAAGCAAAAAATAAAAAATAAAAAAATAAAAAAATAAAAAAGCAGGGGTTGCAATCCTAGTCTCTGATGAAACAGACTTCAAACCAACAAAGATCAAAAGAGACAAAGAAGGCCATTACATAATGGAAAAAGGATCAATTCAACAAAAAGAGTTAACTGTCCTAAATATAGATGCACCCAATACAGGAGCACCCAGATTCATAAAGCAAGTCCTTAGAGACCTACAAAGAGACTTAGACTCCCACACAATAATAATGGGAGACTTTAACACCCAACTGTCAACATTAGACAGATCAACAAGACAGAAAGTTAACAAGGATATCCAGGACTTGAACTCAGCTCTGCACCAAGTGGACCTAATAGACATCCACAGAACTCTCCACTCTAAATCAACAGAATATACATTCTTCTCAGCATTACATCACACTTATTCTAAAATTGACCACATAGTTGAAGGTAAAGCACTGCTCACCAAATGTAAAAGAACAGAAATGACAACAAACTGTCTTTCAGACCACAGCGCAATCAAATTAGAACTCAGGATTAAGAAAGTCACTCAAAACCACATGACTACATGGAAACTGAGCAACCTGCTCCTGAATGACTACTGGGTACATAACGAAATGAAGGCAGAAATAAAGATGTTCTTTGAAACCAATGAGAACAAAGACACAATGTGCCAGAATCTCTGGGACACATTTAAAGCAGTGTGTAGAGGGAAACTTATAGCACTAAATGCCCACAAGAGAAGGCAGGAAAGATCTAAAATTGACACCCTAACATCACAATTAAATGAACTAGAGAAGCAAGGCAAACAAATTCAAAAGCTAGCAGAAGGCAAGAAATAACTAAGATCAGAGCAGAACTGAAGGAGATAGAGACACAAAATCCCTTCAAAAAATCAATGAATCCAGGAGCTGGTTTTTTGAAAAGATCAACAAAATAGACTGCTAGCAAGACTAGTTAAGAAAAGAGAGAAGAATAAAACAGACACAATAAAAAATGACAAAGGGGATATCGCCACCAATCCCACAGAAATACAAACTACCATCAGAGAATGCTATAAACACCTCTATGCAAATAAACTAGAAAATCTAGAAGAAATGGATAAATTCCTCGACACGTACACCCTCCCAAGACTAAACCAGGAAGAAGCTGAATCTCTGAATAGACCAATAACAGGCTCTGAAATTGAGGCAATAATTAATAGCTTACCAACCAGAAAAAGTCCAGGACCAGAAGGATTCACAGCCAAATTCTACCAGACGTACAAAGAAAAGCTGGTACCATTCCTTCTGAAACTACTTCAATCAATAGAAAAAGAGGGAATCCTCCCTAACTTATTTTATGAGGCCAGCATCATCCTGATTACCAAAGCCTGGCAGAGACACAATAAAAAAAGAGAATTTTTGACAAACATCCCTGATGAACGTCAATGTGAAAATCCTCAATAAAATACTGGCAAACTGAATCCAGCAGCACGTCAAAAAGCTTATCCACCATGATCAAGTCGGCTTCACACCTGGGATGCAAGGCTGGTTCAACATGTGCAAATCAATAAACATAATCCATCACATAAACGAACCAACCTCAAAAACCACATGATTATCTCAATAGATGCAGAAAAGGCCTTTGACAAAATTCAACAGCCCTTCATGCTAAAAACTCTCAATAAACTAGGTATTGATGGAACGTATCTCAAAATAATAAGAGCTATTTATGACAAACCCACAGGCAATATCACACTGAATGGGCAAAAACTGGAAGCGTTCCCTTTGAAAACCGGCACGAGACAAGGATGCCCTCTCTCACCACTCCTACTCAACATAGTGTTGGAGTTCTGGCCAGGGCAATCAGGCAATAGAAGGAAATAAAAGGTATTCAATCAGGAAAAGAGGAAGTCAAATTGTCCCTGTTTGTAGATGACATGATTGTTTATTTAGAAAACCCCATCATCTCAGCACAAAATCTCCTTAAGCTGATAAACAACTGGAGCAGTCTCAGGATACAAAACCATTGTGCAAAAATCACAAGCATTCTTTACACCAATAACAGACAAACAGAGAGCCAAATCATGAGTGAACTCCCATTCGCAATTGCTACAAAGAGAATAGAATAGCTAGGAATCCAACTTAGAAGGGATGTGAAGGACTTCTTCAAGGAGAACTACAAACCACTGCTGAATGAAATAAAAGAAGACACAAACAAATGGAAGAATATTCCATGCGTATGGGTAGGAAGAATCAATATCATGAAAATGGCCATGCTGCCCAAGGTAATTTATAGATTCAATGCCATTCCCATCAAGCTACCAATGACTTTCTTCACAGAATTGGAAAAAAACTACTTTAAAGTTCATATGGAACCAAAAAAGAGCCCACATAGCCAAGAGAATCCTAAGGAAAAAGAACAAAACTGGAGGCATCACGCTACCTGACTTCAAATTATACTATCATGCTGCAGTAACCAAAACAGCATGGTACTGGTACCAACACATAGAAATATATATATATATATCTGTGTTGTTATATATATATGTGTATATATACGTATATATACATATGTGTATATATATGTATATATACATATGTGTATATATATGTATATATACATATGTGTATATATGTATATATACATATGTGTATATATATGTGTGTATATATATGTGTGTATATATGTATATATATATGTGTGTATATATGTATGTATGTATGCATGTATACACCAGTGGAACAGAACAGAGGCCTCAGAAATAACACCACACATCTACAACCAACTGATGTTTGACAAACCTGACAAAAGCAAGAAATGGGGAAAGGATTCCCTATTTAATATATGGTGCTGGGAATATATATATATGTATGTATGTATGTATGTATATATGTATGTATACACCAATGGAACAGAACAGAGGCCTCAGAAATAACACCACACATCTACAACCAACTGATGTTTGACAAACCTGACAAAAGCAAGAAATGAGGGAAGGATTCCCTATTTAATATATGGTGCTGGGAAAACTGGCTAGCCATATGTAGAAAGCTGAAACTGGATCCCTTCCTTACACCTTATACAAAAATTAACTCAGATGGATTAAATACTTAAATGTAACACCTAAAACCATACAAGCCCTAGAAGAAAACCTAGGCAATACCATTTAGGACATAGGCATGGGCAAAGACTTCATGACTAAAACACCAAAAGCAATGGCAACAAAAGCCAAAATAGACAAAAGAGATCTAATTAAACTAAAGAGCTTCTGCATAGCAAAAGAAACTACCATGAGAGTAAACAGTCAAGCTATAGAATGGGAGAAAAATTTTGCAATCTACCCATCTGACAAAGGGCTAATATCCAGAATCTACAAAGAACTTAAACAAATTTACAAGAAAAAAACAAACAACCCCATCAAAAAGTGGGCACAGGATATGAACTTCTCAAAAGAAGACATTTATGCAGCCAAAAGACATGAAAAAAATGCTCATCCTTACTGGTCATCAGAGAAATCCAAATCAAAACCACAATGAGATACCATCTCATGCCAGTTAGAATGGTGATCATTAAAAAGTCAGGAAACAACAGATGCTGGAGAGGATGTGGAGAAATAGAAACACTTTTACACTGTTGGTGGGAGGGTAAATTAGTTCAACCATTGTGGAAGACAGTGTGGTGATTCCTCAGGGATCCAGAACTAGAAATACCATTTGACCCAGCCATCCCATTACTGGGTATATACCCAAAGGATTATAAATCATGCTACTATAATGACACATGCACATGTAGGTTTATTGCAGCACTATTCACAATAGCAAAGACTTGGAACCAACCCAAATGTCCATCAATGATAGACTGGATTAAGAAAATGTGGCACATATACATCATGGAATACTATGCAGCCATAAAAAAGGATGAGTTCATGTCCTTTGCAGGGACATGGATGAAGTTGGAAACCATTCTCAGCAAATTATCACAAGGACAGAAAACCAAATACCGCATGTTCTCATTCATAGGTGGGAATTGAACAATGAGAACACATGAACACAGGGTGGGGAGCATCACACACCCGGGCCTGTCAGGGGTCGGGGGCTAGAGGAGGGATAGCATTAGGAGAAATACGTAATGTAGATGATGGGTTGATGGGTGCAGCAAACCAACATAGCACATGTATACCTATGTAACAAACCTGTGTGTTGTGCACATGTACCCTAGAACTTAAAGTATAATAAAAAATAAAATAAAAAAATAAAATCAGGAACATAGTATCAACCAAAAAGAATTAGTTACTTCAGAGGATTGAAATTAAAAGAAAATTATGAAAATGTTAAAAAAAAAAAAAAAAAGGCAAAGACTTGTGAGGAGGAGTGTTTTTGCCCTTCTCCCTCTCCCTGTCTGGAGCTTTGATCCAATGCGGTAGCAGCAGCCATTTATTTACCAAGACAATGAAAGCTGAGAGCTAAGTATGGTGGAGCAGAAAGATGGAAAGATCCTGATTCCTTGATGACAACCTTTAGCAACTATGCTGGTTTTGGTCCACCCACTTCTGGATTTTGTGTTATGTTTAAAAAAAGCCTTTACTTTTTGTTTTGTTTTTTGATTCAGGGTCTTGCTCTGTCACCCAGGTGGGAGTGCAGTAGTGCAATCACCGCTCATTGCAGCCTCAACTTCCTGGGCTCAAGTGATCCTCCCACCTCAGCCTCCTGAGTAGCTGGGGCTACAGGTGCATGTCACCACACCTGGCTAAGCCTTTACTTTTTTGAACTAGTTAGTAAAGTGGCCCTCAAACTTAGCTACCCATTAAAATCACCTGTGGAGTCTTAAAGTTCCCAGTTTTAAGATCTCCCTATACACCCCCAAATGAATAGGAATTTTTGGTGGTAGGATCTAAGCCTCAATAATTGGAAGCAGGATTTCATTCTGTCTCCCAGGCCAGAGGGCAGTGGCACAACCATAGCCCATTACAGCCTTGAACTCCTGGTCTCAAACGATTCTGCTGCCTTAGCCTCCCAAAGTGCTGGGATTACAGGTGTGAACCACTGCACCCAGCCCTAGCTTCAATAATTTAAAAAACTCTCCAGCAGATTCCAATGTGTAGCCCAGATTAAGAACCAGTGGTTTAAACCACCTGTTTTGGTTTTTAATATTTTTTGTTATTCCCAGCTGGATACATTTGTAATTAATACATGTTTTGAAGCTATATTCAAAAAATTGAAGCACGTAAGTTCTCCCATTTCCAACCAGCTTCATCTCTACTCCCATCCCTAGCAGAATCATAATCCTCAGATTGCTGTACCTCTTTCTTCAAAATTTCTTCTCTGCATCTACAAATGCATATTAGTTTTCTATTACAAAA
The DNA here is from genome assembly GCF_000001405.40 of Homo sapiens. Lineage (NCBI taxonomy): Eukaryota > Metazoa > Chordata > Mammalia > Primates > Hominidae > Homo > Homo sapiens. The sequence continues at coordinate 10,347,284 of NC_000011.10, forward strand.
ATCCTTCCAGGGGCTATTCAAGTGAGGCCAGAGAGGTGACATTGCCATATAAGTTAGAAAAACCAGGACAGTGCTGACTTCAAGTTTTCTATCTCCATAAGCCACCAGAACACCTGGAAAATATCAATGTTTTAGCATCCAAACTATAACTTCCAGCCTGCCTTTTGTAGTCTGAAATATCAGGAAAATAATATTTCATTGATACAGTTTAATTTTCCACTTCAGGTGTTTTAAACCGTGTATACAACTTTTTGTCTATGATTATTTAACTGTGAGAGACAGAGGATGTTGAAAATGATGTTTCTGGGCTTCAACATGTGGAAACTCTCAATTTTTTTGTAGTGAAGTTCTCTTCTTTGAGTTCTTGCCTTAAGTTTCAGTTGTTTGAAGGTAGTTTCTGTTGAAGAGACATTATCTTTGAATAACAAGCATCATATTTTTTGTCCTGTGTTGTTTCATTTTAAGTTGAAAATCACATTGAGATCTAAGAGCCGTTGAAATTGGCACATCATAACATTTCCAGCAGCCCTATTGCACCTGTTATCATATCTAAAAATGTGTATTAAAATAACCCTCTGTTGAAAAGACACAGCTCCAGGGTTAGGATTCCTATGGCAATCAAAGTATTAATTTTGGGAGTTTACAGTGTAACTTGCAAAAACATATGCAAATTTGTTTTATCATGGGAGGCAGAATTGCATGACAGGTTTTAGAATGAGAAGGTATGGGTTCTAATCCCAACTCTGCCACCTAATGACTATGTGATTTGGAGCAGGTTACTAAATCTCTGTGCCTCACTTTGTCATCTATAAAATGGGAATGTTATTGTGAGAATTAAGGAGATAATACATGTAAAGCATCTAGAACTGTGTCTGGTACACATTACATATTAAGTAAATGTTATCTATTATTATTATCTGTATCAATTTGAAATCTATGTTAATTAATTTCTCTTCCCTCTCAACCTGCATCTGTGTCTTTTTGGGTAGTTCCCTGTAACAAGTTGGTTGAAGAGGAAAAATTCCAGGCCTTGTTTAAAGATGGTTCTGTCCAATATGCTGGCACTACCCAAAAGTAGGTGGTTGTACCGTTGCAGTTCCACCACAGCATGGCCTTGAAAGACAGGGTGAAGGAAAATCTTCCCAGTGGACAGTATGAATCTATATTGACTTAGGGTAGCGGCTAATGGTTTGGCTGGATGGTCAAACCTTAAAAGGATCATGATTAAAAACCTGGTGGCAGGGAGAGCTGAGAAAGAGGTTTGTAGGTAGAATGTTACGAATTTGCACGGAATGGGAAGATAGTATATCCCATGTGAATGCTCACCAAACAGCAATCTTATCAGAAGAAGATCTTAATAAGTAGGTGGATGAGATTGCTGGTTTTGTGAACATTTGTTACCCTCTTTCCCCAGGTTCCCCTTTTTTGTTCTATGGAAGCCACATAAAATGGTCCATAGGGCTATCTGGGGGCTCAGCAACATGGACTTTGAATCACCGCTGCTGAGTGTCCAACCTGCCAACAGCAGACATCAACACAGCATTTATTTGGCACCATTCCCTGGGAGTACCAGTTTAGCCACCTGGTGAAAAGTTGATTATAAAGGATCACTTTCATCATGGAAGGGACAGAACTTTGTTCTCACTGGAATGAATAGACACTTACTCTGGATAAAGATTTGTTTTTCCTGCTCACAATGCTTCTTCCAAAACCACCATCCAGGGATTTACAGAATGTGTTATTCACATGGTGTTTCACAGAGCATTGCTTTTGACCAGGGAACTCACAGCAAATGAAGTGTGGTAATGGGCTCACGCTCATGGAATTCACTAGTCTTGCAAAATACCCCATTACCTCGAAGCAGCTGTCCTGATAAAGTGGTAGAATGACCTTTTGAAGGCATAGTTACAGGGCCAGCTGGGTGGAAACACCTTGTAGAGCTGGGGCAGTGTCCCCTAGTATGTAGCGTATGTCCTAAATTAGTGACCAACATATGTTGCTGTTTCTCCTATAGCCAATTTTTCTGGGTTCAGGAATGAAGGAGTGGAAATGAGAGAGTTTCTTCTTATTATTAAATTTAGTCATCCACTATGAAATTTTATCTTCCTATCTCTAGAACTTTAGGCTCTGCTGGTTTAGAAGTCTTGGTTTTCAGAGGAATAATATTTCCTCCAGGGAGCACAGCAACTGTATCATTAACCTGGAAGTGAAGATGACCACCTGGCCACATGGGCTCATCATGCCAGTGAATCAACAGGAAAAAGAGAGGGCTACTAAACTGGCTTGGGATAACTGATCCTGACTATTAAGGAGAAATTGAATTTCTCTTCAGAGAAGTTCTCTTAGAGGCTGGTATGACCCATATATCAAGGCCAAGTCTGCTGGATTAGACCTGTAGTTAGTTAAGACTCATTAATGGCAAGGCATAATGTCCTAAATCAAACCAGCTTGAGAAAAATGAGGTATTTACTTACAGAATTGTCTCTTGGAACTCAATGAAGTGGAACCAGCCCTCAAATGCTGGTACAGCTCCCCATATCCTGTCTCCACTTCTATCTATTTGCACACCAATTTCATTCTTTGTTCTTACTGCAGACTGATTTCTGCTCCTCAGTTCATGTGGCTGAAAACATGGCTGCTAGTAGTAACAGCTTTAGCTACCTGGAGACTAATTTCTTTCCTATTCCAGTGGCAAGCTTTCTGGGAAAGGACTCTGATATGTCAAGCTTGCTTCAAGTGCCTGGGGGAGAGGTCATATTGTACCAACATGTGGCTTCCATGGAGACGTCATGGATAGAGTTGGTTGATCAGGAGGTTGGGGATGGGTGGGGAGGTGATTGTGAGAAAGTCTGTTCCCAGAAAAAGAAGGGAGCTGGGCTGACAAATTATGGGGCTCTATTACTAAGTAGACCCATTTTTATACCTAATAATAATTACAAATATAAATAAATAAGTGGTAACTAATATTTACAGCATTTACTCTGTTAGACCACATACACATATATGATGTTTAGCACAACATAGGGTTCTGAGAATTTAATGATTGTGTCTGTGTATATATATACACAGTGTGTATACATGTAATCACAGTCTTTAAGGTAAGTTTAATTTTTGTCCCCATTTTATAGATGAGAAAACTAAGACTTGGAGAGAATTAAGTAACTAGTCCAAGTAAGTAGCTAAGCTTGAACTTGAACCCAATGTATTTGTTTCCAAGGGCTGTCCTTGTAACATGACACTTGAGTCCCTTCCCCTCATTCTCCAGGCTCTAGGCACCCAGTCTCACCACCAGATTCCAGAGTGCTGACTGGGCCCCTGAAGCCCTCATTGGGTCCTGCTAAATGCTTTCTCTGGGCTGGAATTTGCCCCTGGGCCCCAAGTGTCTGACTCTGTTGGATAAATTGAGTCCAAACCTCTGTTTTTTTAATATGTAAAAATGGATTGCTATAAGGATTATGGAAGCTACATGAGGGCAGATATTTTTGTCTATCATGTTCACTGCTAATCTCCTGCACCCAAAACAGTGCTGGGCACTTGACAACTATTTGTTAAATGAATGAATGAGACAAACTGAGGCTCACAAGGATTTTGCTTAAGGAGTAATTGGATATTCTTGCCTTTTGGCTATGATTAGGCTTTTGTGTGCGGGGTTAGGCAAGTGACAGGGGAAGACGTGGAGGGGATTTTGAAGAAGCTGTGTATATGGGGAGGCAGAGAGAGAAATAGGGAGAGAGAGAAAGAGAGAGAGAGGAAACTGTCACAGGGAAGTTAGAGAGAATGGAAAGGGAGAGAAGGGAGAAGACAATGGAGGTGTTAAACTAAGTATTTTTTTCAAATTTATCTATGTATTTAATTGACAAATAAAATTGTATGTATTTATTGTGTACAACATGATTTTTGAAATTTGTATACATTGTGGAGTGGCTAAATTGAGTTAATTAACATATGCGTTACCTCATGTACTTTTTTTTTGTGGTGGGAACACTTGAAATCTACTCTCTTAGCAATATTCAAGAATGCAAGACATTGTTATTAACTATAGTCACCGTGTTGTACAATAGATCTCTTGAAGATTAATATTTACCTGTGGTCTGCAATATAAATGTCCCTTCTATGTCCCCATGGAGTCAGTGGTAGAATCTGCATTATTCACTATTGCTTTAAAGGTATCTTTGTGAAGTGCTGGCCTTAAGGCAGGTCCAGAGTAAGGCCATGGGGCTGAGCATACTTGGGGTATAATTAAATGAGATAAGGTAAGTTAAATCTCCACCCAGCACCTGGCCCACGGAAGCTAATCAGTAAATATTTCCTTGGGAGCCCATGACCTTGGCTGACCTCGTGTGTGTCCCTTCCCACAGCACGGGGCTCTTTGCATGCCGGGAAGTCTCAGAATGTCTGCCTCCTTGCTAAGCCGATTTTGCAAGGAGTCTTCTTGATGGTATCACCAAGCTCTGAGATATGGAGACTTTGTGCCACTTCACTCTAGGCAGAGTTCCTTCATGCTGTGTGAGGTAGGAGCACACACGCTCACCAAAGAAAACACCCTTTAGCCTGGTTGGGAGACTCCCGGGTTAGGCGCTGATGTAATTTGTTTTCACAAAAACTGTAGCAGCCTTCTGAGTTAAGCATTTGCTCAGCTGGTCTTTGCCAGACGACAGATGCTTTGTGTCATTGCCTGTTGACAGTGGCCTTAGTCACACATTGTACCTCAAAGGCTGAAACATCCCAGGGTAAAATGATTATGAGGAAGGCGAGCTGCTCCAGAGATCTGGAGGGATCACGTTGGGTACCCAGCCGGGCTGGCCCCAGGGATTCTACTCCAGGTGTAAGAGAATTGGTTAAACAAAGGAAATGACAATCAGTTCAGGCCCTTACTGTGATTGGGCACGAATGTTCTCAGAGCTGCCATAGATATTTTAATCAGGATGTCCTTTTCACTTGAATGAGAGGAATGCAGGTTCTATATTTACTTGTTTGTCCCTTCTATCAGATTGTGAGGCCCAAGGGGGCAGGCGCCTCTAACTGATTCATCAGCCTGTGCCTGCTGCGTAGCACAAAGCCAAGCACAAAGCCGGGCACAAAGGACTCACTTGGCGAAAGTTTGTGGGATGGAAGAATGAATGCGGTGTCTTCCTCGGAGTCCCCTCTTTTCAGGCTCCGCTTTATACCCTTTCTCTGGCGCAGGTCCCTGCTCACTGCAGGTGTCTCCTAAGAGCTTATGTCCCTATGTTTCCTTCTCATCCTGGAAACGGAAGTTTATTTTGAAGCCTGCTCTATTGTTCGTCCGGCTTGTAATCCCAAACTGAATGGGACTGATTTGTTGTATGCTTGGCTGGTCTTCACAACGCATGTTTTTGTGATATGTAACATTTCCTTTTAGATCAAGTGTGGCCTGGTATAGTTGCAAGGGCCAGAGCGTCCAGGGCAGCTGGTGTTCTGAATTTCAGCCTTCCCATTTTCTATTGTTTTATTTTTTTAATTATTATTATTATATTTTATAGAGATGGGGTCTCCCTGTGTTACCCAGGCTGATCTCTAACTCCTGGGCTCAAGTGATTCTCCCTCCTTGGCCTCCCAAAGGCATGAGCCACCATTCCCAGCCCCATTTTCTAATTGTGTAATTCAGTAAATTGGATTTCATAGAACCTCAGCTTCCTTTGTCCATAAAGTGGATATAACAAGGTGAACTTGGCTGAGATTAGACCCAAATATTTTTGGATCACTTGAGAAGTAAGTAGAGACTGAAAAAGAACTGTCATTTGTAATCCGTACACATTTTTGTGTTTCTAAAAAGAGGAAACGTCTCAGAAAATGCTTCTTATAGGCCGTATGCAAATATAGAGAAAAAAATCTTACCTTGGGATGGGGGAAGTTCTGCTACTATGACTCCAATAACTAAAATGTTTGGCAAAATTGTGTAAAATGTCAACATATTAGGCAGAGTTGATCTCTTCAAAAGGTTTTATTTGGAGCATTTTATCTTTCTTTCTCTTTCTTTTTCTTTGTCTGTCTCCTTCCCTTCTCTGCCTTCCCTCCTTTTCTTTTCTTTTTCTTTTCTTTTTTCTTTTTCTTTCCTTTTCTTTTCTTTTTCTTTCCTTTTTCTTTTTCTTTTTCTTTTCTTTTCTTTTCTTTTCTTTTCTTTTCTTTTCTTTTCTTTTCTTTTCTTTTCTTTTCTTTTCAGATAGGGTCCGGCTCTGTCACCCAAGCTGGAGTGCAGTGACACAATCATGGCTCACTGCAGCCTTGACCTCCTGGGCGCAAGCAGTCCTCCCATCTCAGTCTCCTGAGTAGCTAGGTGTATAGTTATGTGCCACCATGCCTGGCTATTTTTTTTATTTTTATTTTTTTGCAGAGATGGAGTCTCACTATGTTGCCCAGGCTGGTCTCAAACTCCTGGGCTCAAATGATCCTCCCACGTCAGCCTCCCAAAATGCTGGCTTTATAGGTGAGAGCCACCATGCCCAGCCTAAAATTTCCTATGTATTTACAATGCCATTTGTCACTTTATTATTGCTTGCTCTTGAAAATTTTTTAACGGATAAGCCATTTTTCTTTTTTTCTGAGACAGAGTCTTGTTCTGTTGCCCTGGCTGGAGTGCAGTGGCATGATCTCTGCTTACCGCAGCCTCAATCTCCTGGGCTCAAGCGATCCTCTCACCTCAGCTTCCTGAGTAGCTGGGACTATAGGGGCACCATGACTAGCTAATTTTTGTATTTTTTGTAGAGATGAGGTTTTGCCATGTTGCCCAGGCTGGTCTTGAACTCCTGGGCTCAAGCAATTGGCCCACTTTAGCCTCCCAAAGTGCTGGGATTACAAGCGTGAGCCACTATGCCAGGCCGAATAAGCCATTTTCCAACTAGACAATCATAGAAACTCAAGAGCTGAGACACTGAAGATGGCTAGACAACTGTATAACCATGATCATAGACTCATGCTAGAGGAGAGAATGGGGAAAAGAACTTAACTGGGCTTTATGGGACTCAGCATTGACTGGGCTGTTATTATCACACACAGTGTTCTATGGTTAGAATGCTTGTTATGTTATTGTTTAGAAGTTGGAGTTTTCCACGAAATAGACACATTAATTCTCAGGCCTCCTGGAACACGATCAATCCTAAGGCAGGAAATAAAGACTAAGGACATGGAGCTTAGGTTGAAGTGTGAGGGAAATAACTGCCTCCTTGATCTGAACCTCAAGGATTTGTAGAATGAAGTATCTTCCCACTGTGGGGAGGCAGGCTGGCCCTTCCTCCATGGCAGCAGTAGAGAGCAATGTAGAAGTCAAACCCAGAGACTGGGGAATCTGGGCAAAGGTACTGAGTTTCAAGTTTCTCTCTGTTGTAATTCTCTTTTCTCTCCAAGCCTTTGGTAATGTCTTGTTAAAAGTTTCAGCCTAGTCTGCTTTATCACAACAGGGAAATGGTGGAGGAGTCTGTACAGCCCATGCTGGGGCACAACAGTGGAGTTAGGAAAGTTGTACCCTGAAGGAAGCAGGTGTTCAGACATAGGAGTCCCCCATGTGGGGCCAGGCAGCTGGCAGAGATGAAAAGTACAGAGGAAATGGGTGGACCACGTAAGTGTTCCCCAGCGGAATTGGATAAAATCCTGATTTCACGAAGTCAAGTAGGATGAGGCTCAAGCTACAATGATGGTGCATTAAATAGAAGCATGAGTTTACAAACTGGTGAAGTCTGACATACTTGAGTTCTATTAGACACTAATGTCTACTTCATTCAGCTATAAAGGACATACTATTATAGTCAGATCTCACTAAATAAATAAATTCAATTCATAGCTATGATCGTAGCTACATTTCCAGTATAAATTTAATTGATCGATCTTTGAGATTCCTTCGTGTTCAGAAGTTCTGTGAGTTTATGGGGTACTGGAAATACCACTGGAGTCAGCCCCGCCCGAGTGTCCATTAGATCCCCCAACCACATCCCCCTCATTCACTGTCTTCTTTCCCCTCAACTGGCATGGAGTGTGGGGCAATACAGGAATGTTTCAGAACGTGTAGCCAGGGCATGTTGTAATTTATTAGGAGTCACTCTTAAGTGGAGAGGATCTTATTCTTCAGATAGTCATTCACATTCTTGGAAATTATGGTTCTGAGGTCTCCTTGGTTGCAGGAGGGGAAACTCCCATTAATCTTGTGACGTGCTGATGAATTGCTTGAGAATTTCTTAAAAGCAGAGGAGACATGTCAGGAGGAACATAAACAAAACCTCAATTTCAAAATAGCAAAACAACATAAATCTTCCTTGAAATTTTCACATGAGTAGATCAGGCCATGCTACAGGTCAAGGCCAAAGAGCCACAAGGCAGACTGTGTTCCCCAAAGATGGCCACAGCAGCATCTCTCCTCCCACATGTTCTTCCTATGATGACATGTTGGCACTTGTACAACCCTCCTTGTGAGAGATGTGGTCTATATTCCATCTGCTTGAATCTGTACAGGCTTGTGAATTTGGGGGAAATTATGCTATGTAATTTCTGAGCCTAGGTCATAAAAGCTATGGTTTCTGCCTGGTTCTTGTGAGATATTTGCTCTTGGAACTTATAGTAGATATCTATTGCTATGTAACAACCCCAAAACTTAGTAGTTTAAGACAATACACATTTATTATCCATCCCACAGTGTTTCTGAGTTAGGAACTCAACCACAGTTTAACTGTGTCTTCTGCTTCAGAATCTTTCACAAGGCTATAATCAAGATTTTGGTCAGGGCTGGGGTCTCATCTGAATGTTTGAATGGAGAAGAATCTACTTCCAAAGTCACTTACGTGGTTTATTCGTGGTTTTTGGCAGGATTCACTTCTTTAGGGATTGTTGGACTGAAGACCATTAGTTTTGTATAGCTATTGGCCAGGGTAACACTCAATTCCTTACCATGTGAGCTTCTTCATTGTGGCAGTTTCCTTCATCAAAGCCAGAGAAAGAGAGAGATTATCTTGTGACCTAATCATAGCAGAAATATTCCTTCAATGTTGCCATATTCTATGAGTTAGAAGCAATTTAATCAAGGGGATGAGATTACACAAGGCTGTGAATACCAGCAGGTGGAACTCATTGGGGACCATTTTAGAGGCTTCTTACCACAGAATTTAACCAGCAAACTATGAAGAAGCCCAGATGAGGAGGTCATATGCAGACTTTCTGACCTCAAGCACCAAGACACATGAGTGAAAGAGCCTTCAGATAATTCCAGCTCCCAGCTATTCAGTAATCCTCAGCCTTGAGACTTTCCAGCTGAGGTTCTAGATGTTGTAGAGCAAATACAAGCTGTCCTTGTCATGTCCTTCCCAAACTCCTGACCCATATAATCCTTGAGAATAATAAACTGGTTGTTGTTTTACACCATTAGGTAGCAAGTGGAACAAGCCACATATCTTGAAGTTTCATTGTTCAGCTAGTCACCTGATTTGACCATATGAAATGACCATTGCATTTTTGCTCATGCCAATTTTTGCAACTGAATTGATATCACAGTTCAGCTAAAATTTTGCGAGCTGAAAATACCTTAAGAGTCCACACAGGTCTGAAAAACCTCGAAACTTTCTGGTTGCCATAGGTACCTTTTTGTCTTATCTAATAAAAGCAGCACCCCATTTTGGGTATCTTGCCTGTAGCAGCAGTTTGTAAAATTCTTTCAAAGGGCACAAGACAAATCAAGTTTTCCCAGGCTCAGTTCTGGGATTCAGCTGAGCTTTTATGGTCAAGGGCATACTCCTAAATCAGACAGGATGCTCTAAACATTCTCATTAGTCCATTTTGAATAGGACTATCATAGTGCTTGGTCTGGCATGAACTATCCATCAGAATAACTCTGCATACTTTTTGTTTACACATGTGTATTGAGTAATTTTTTGAATTACCTTAATAAACATCTGGCACTAGAATTCTTGATGGGAAGGAAGTGTTTTTGCTTGGAAAAAAAAAGAGTTTAATAATGAAGCAAACGAGGTATAATTCCTCCTTCCCCCACTAGAGCCTCTCTGCATGAGATAAGGAAAGGAATTTATGTCTGACTTTGGAGAGATTGGATGGAGAAGAAAGAACAGAGGAAAGAGAAGACAGAAGGAAGACAGAAGAACCAGAGGAGCATGTGAGGATGGGTGCAGTGAGGTGAGGGTGGGTGTAGTGTTGAAGCCAATAGAGAAAACCATCTTAAGTGGGTGGCTGACAAGGACTGCAGGGAGCAAGAATGTGCAATGATGAATGAGACTTTTAGGTTGTCCAGGGTACAGTGAATGAGCAGACTCACTTTCTGTGAAACCCCTCCCAACATTTTCAGCAAAGTCTATTAAATTCATATATGGTATATTAAGATTTTTTTCTGTGAAAGAGCTAAATTTATGCTTTGATTGATGTAGCACAGAGCAAAGACTACTCAAAGAACATTATCCCTGAGAGACTAGGACAGGAGAATGTATGTGTCCTGGGTATTTACAGAAATTTCGGAGAAAGCTGTAGACTTCCATAGGCCATGGGGATGTGTATTTTAAGTCAATTGTTACCCAAGACTTATGAAGCAGAGAGGTCTCAACTGACATGTGGGCTACTTGAACATCTCTGTGTCAGGTCCAGCCTGGTTCCTCACCCCCATATCCTTCCTCAATTTTCTACCCTGTCTCTTCTCACCTATGAGCCCAGCCCTACTCCAGGTTCCTGGTACATTCTTGAGATGTAAGAAGCATCTTAAGATGACTAGATCCAGACTGATGGTCTAGGGCTCCACATAAAATCAGTCCTGCTGCTCAGGACTTTCCTGATTCATGCCCCTCTTTTGAAAAGTAGAACTAATTTTATTCTCAAACACTGGGGTCTTCTCTCCTCCTCCATCCTGTGGGTCTCAGGCCTTGTAATTGGGCTTCTGCTTTGGAATATTTTCTAAATTTCTAGGCATAAACTAGGAGGAAAGCAGTTTACCCTAGAATGGGGCTAAGTCTGCCTATGGAGGGGACTAGATTGCAAAAACCTTGAGTTCTAGGCCTAATATGATACAAACTTGCTATTTGACTGTCACAAAGTCATATTTATTCTGTAGACCTTGGGGTCCTCACCTTTAGAACACTGTACTTATTATTAATAACTTAGCAGGCTTGGACATAAGTTGTATAGGGTTCTCAGCACCATGGACTATTCCCACAAGTCAACTGGTCTGCTGCTTGAGAGCAGCAGCTAAAACTGGAGGGAGTTTGTCCACTTCAAACACACAGACTCAACCAGTGGAGCAGGGTCAGCCCCGACGTGAAAGGATGCTGGCCAGGGAAGGCAGGGACTCAGAACCACAACCAGAACCCAAGCCAAGAGGACCTGGGTTCAGGACAAGTCTCAGTTTTCGGGGTGGGGGGGCACTGAAAAGACAGACTGAGGGAAACTGAGGCTGGAAGTCAAGGATATGGACTGAATCAATATAGCTGTTAGGATGTGGCTAGGAGACCCTGGGGTTACTTCTAGCTTACCAGTTCTGGAGACAGAAGTATCAAGATGATATCGGGGCAACTGGATCAGCTGGTGCAGTTGAGGTTGCTTAGGCTCTCCCTTTCCTGCTCGGGCCTGCCCTACCATGGTACCAAGCCTGTCTATGGAATGGGCTAGATTGCTAATACCAGATCTGTCCAGGCAAGAGATTCCAGGGTTCCACGAACAATCTCAGACATGTTGGAAGGGGTGCAGGAACTCTGGCGAGGACAAGCTCCAATACCTTTCATAGTCCTCAGAGAGGATAGGCCAGGGCACATCTGGATTGGGTCTCTTTAAATTCTGTGTATTAGATTCACTTCTGGGATTCATTGCAGTGTGGCAGAGAGAAATCATAGTGCCTGATACATAGTAGGCTCCTAATAAAGGTTGGTTAAATGAATGATGAAAATTGAATAAAATAAATAGGAAAGGCTGATGGCTGGAGAAAAGATAGATTGGCAGTGATCCTGGGCTAATGGGCTCAGGGAAACAGGCCTGTTTTCCTCATGTGATCCTTACCACCAACAACTGAGCTTCAACCTTTCCCCTATAATAAGAGAAATAATTCTCAAAACACATTTTCAGATTATAGATTGCCAGAACCAGGGAGATGTTTCTACTCTTGACCCAATAATCCTACTCTTGGGATTTTATCATAAGAAAATAATTCAGCAACAACAAAAAGCCAAGTGCATAAAGATATTTATGACAGCATCATCTGAGGCAGCAGAAAAATGGAAACAGCTCACAAATCCACCAATAAGGGACAGGCTGAGTAAATTTTGGTATGGAATATTCTGTAACCATAAAAACGATCACTGTGAAGATTAGGTACCAAATGCAGAAAACACAGAATAAATAATTTAGACAAAAGAAGTATACCAAATGCTATATATGTTATTAGTGCAAATGTGTTGAGTGTTTCTTCATCTCAAGCAATTAATTTTTCTGAGTTCCTATCACTGTAGTTAAATCCCAAAAATAATATAAGATTTACTTCAAATCTGCACTCCAGCCTGGGTGACAGAGCAAGACTCCATCTCAAAAAAAAAAAAAAAAAAAAAAAAAAGAAATCATGGAACTAGCAGAAAATAACTTTAAAACAGTTATTATAAATATGCTCAAGTATTTAATAGTAATATGAACATAATAAGGAAGGAAATGATAGATATTAAAAAGAATGAAATGGAAATTCCAGAGCTGACAAATGGAATACATAAAATGAAAAATTCACTCATGGGCCTAATAATGCATTGGACACTGCAGAAAAGATCAGTGAACTTGAAAACAGAGCAATAGACTATCCCAACTAAAATGCAGAGCAGGGGAAAAGACTGAAAAAGATGTTCAGAGCCTCTGTAACTTATTGGACAATATAACAAGAGGTATAACAGATGTGTAACTGGAGTCCTAAAAGGAAGGGGAAGATGGAATAATGGCAGAAAAAGTTCTCATATTTGATAAAAACTATAAATCCACAGACCTAAGAAGTTCAATAAACCCCAAGCAAGATAAATACAAAGTAAGTCATACCAAGGTAAAACATAATCAAATTGCTGAAAGCCAATGACAAAGAGAAAAATCTGAAACTCAGCCAGAGAAAAAGAGATACCTTACTTATAGGGACACACAGATAAAAATGAATGCAAAAATAAGCCCTTGTTTCTAGCAACACCTTCAAAGTACATATTAAAACAAAAAAATCTGCCAACCTAGAGTTCTCTGCCCAGGAAAAATATCCTTTAAAAATGAAGGTAAAATAAAGACTTTTTTAGACAGATAGAAGCTGAGAATTTGTGACTATCACCTGGACTACAAAAATGTTAAAGGAAATCTTTTTTTTTTTTTCCAGATATGCTCTTGCTTATTTTTGTAAAAACATTTTGTAGAGACAGAGTCTCTCTATGTTGCCCAGTCTGGTCTTGAACTCTTGGCTTCCAGTGATCCTCCCACCTTGGCACCCCCCAAAGCTCTGGGATTACAGGCATGAGCCATCACACCTGGCTATGAAATTCTTGAGACTAAAGAAATATGATACTACGTGGGAACTTGGAGCTACATAAAGGAAAGCAGAGTGGAGGAAATGATAAATGTATTTATGGAATTTTTAAAAATTTAAACATTTTATTAAAAGATAATTCACTATTTAAAGATAACAACTTTTCATGATGCTTATAACATTATGACCACAATAGCACAAAAGATGGAAGGGTAAATAGAAGCATGTTGTTGTAAGATCTTATACATGAAGTGGTGTAATATTGTCTGAATGTAGGCTGTGGTAGGGTAAATATGCATATGCAAAACAAGAAGCAACAGAACAAAACATGTCCAAATAAGTGCAGTAAAAAACCTCAAATAACAGGAGGTAAAATGGAATACTGAAAAAGCAATCAAATAATTCAAAAGAAGTCAGGAAAAAGAAAAAAAGGAACAATGAAGAACAACAACAAAAAAAGAAAAAATGGAGGCTGGGCACCAGTGGCTCACACCTGTAATCCCAGCACTATGGGAGGCTGAGGTGGGTGGATCACCTGAAGTCAGGAGTTCAAGACCAGTCTGGCCAACATGGTGAAACCCCATCTCAAAAAAAAAAAAAAAAAAAGAAAAAAGGCCAGATGTGGGGGCTCACGCCTGTAATCCCAGCACTTTGGGAGGCTGAGGTGGGCAGATCATGAGGTCAGGAGTTCAAGACCAGCCTGACCAATATGGCAAAACCCCGTCTTTACTAAAAATGCAAAAAAAATTTAGCCAGGCGTGGTGACGTATGCCTGTAGTCCCAGCTACTCAGGAGGCAGAGGTAGAAGAATCACTTGAACCTTGGAGGTGGAGGTTGCAGTGAGCCAAGATCACGCCACTGCACTCCAGCGTGGGTAACAGAGTGAGACTCCGTCTCAAAAAAATAAAATAAGGAAAAAAAAAAGCAAAACAAACAAACAAAAAAAAAAAAGAAAAAATGAGACACGTAGAAAACAAACAGCAAGACGATAAACATAATCTAACCATATAGATAATTACATTAAGTATAAATGGTCCAGATAGTCTGGTAAAAACAGAGATTAACTTTGTGCTATCTATGGAAGCCCACTTTAAATATAGAGGCACAGACGGTTTAAAATTAAAAGGACAGTAGCTGGGCATGGTGATTCACACCTGTATTCCTAGCACTTTGGGAGGCTGAAGTGAGAAGATCACTTGAGCCCAGGAGTTTGAGACCAGCCTGGGCAACATGGCAAAACCACATATCTACAAAAAATACAAAAAATTAGCTGGACATGGTGGCACACACCTGTAGTCCCAGAGAGTGAGGAGGCTGAGGTGGGAGGATCACCTGAGCCTAGGAGGTTGAGGCTTCAGTGAGCAATGATCACACCACTGCACTCCAGCCTGGGTGACAGAGTGAGACCCTGTCTCATTTATTTATAATTAAAAAAAAGGATAGAAAAAGATAAGACATCACAAACACTTATCAAAAAAGTGCAGTGGCTATATTAATATTAAACAAAGTAGACTTCAGGGCAAGAAATATTACCAAGGATAATGAGGGACATTTTCTAATGATGAAAAGATCAATTAATCAGAAGATTTTAAGTATATATATATATACCCAGTAACAGCGCTTCCAAATATATGAATTGCAATTAGACAAAAATAAAGAAAAAAGAAAAAAATGAATAAAAAGTAACAAAAATGAAAGGAGAAATGGAAATATTCACAATTATGGTTGGAGATATGAACACTGCGTTCTTAGTAATTGGTAAAACAGACAGATAATCAGTAAGAATAAAGAAGGCTAGAACATTATCTACCCACTGATCTAATTGATAGGTAGAGTGTTAACACCCAGTGACAACAGAACACACATTCTTTTCAAGTGCATGTGGAACATTGAACAAGATAAAACACATTCTGGGCCATAAAACAAATCTCAATAAAATGAAAAGAACTGAAATTACACTGAGTAGGTTCTCTGTTTAAAAATAAAATTAAATTAGAAATCAACGACAAAAACATAACTGGAAAATTCACAAATATTTGGAAATGAAATGACATTGTTCTAAACAACTCATAGGTCAAAGAAGGGAAATTATATTTTGGAGTGAAGGAAAATGAAAACAAAACAAATTAGAATTGGTGGTATGGGCTGAGCGCAGTGGCTCATGCCTGTAATCTCAGCACTTTGGGAGGCCAAGGTGGGTGGATCACTTGAGGCCAGGAGTTCGAGACCAGACCACCCAACACAGTAAACCATGTCTCTACTAAAAATACAAAAATTAGCTGGGTGTGGTGGCCCGTGCCTGTAATCCCAGCTACTAGGGAGGCTGAGGCATGAGAATTGTTTGAACCCAGGAGGTGGAGGTTGCAGTGAGCCAAGATCATGCCACTGGACTCCAGCCTGGACGACAGAGAGAGACTCTGTCTAAAACAAAACAAAACAAAACAAAATGTAAAAAAACAACAACCGCCCCCCTCCCCCCACAGAATTGGTTGTATGAAGCTAAAGCAGTACTTCCAAATAAATTTTAGCATTAAATGTTTTTATTAGAGAAAAAAAGGTCTAAAAAAAAATCAATGATCTAATCTTCCACCTTAAAACAAAAACTAGAAAAAAAGCAATTGAACACAAAATAAGTAGATGTAGAAACAATTAAGAATGTAAGGAAATGAGAGTGAAAATAAATGAAATAGAACACAGAAAAATAATAGAGAAAGTAAATAAAACCAAAAGCTGTTCTTTGAAAAAAAAAAAAAAAAAAGGCAATAATAAACCTCTCACCAGGCTAACAGAGAAAGAGAGAGAAGAGAAGAGAGAGAAATTGCCAGCATTACGAATGAAAGAATGAAAGAGGGGACATTATTATAGATCCTATAGATATTTAAAAAACAAAGGAATATTATGAACAACTTTATGTTTAACGGGTGAATTCTAGTATACATTAGAATGGAATAATACCAATTCTATACAAACTCACTTAAAAAATAGAGGAGAAACATCGCCCAACTTGTTTTAGGAGATTAGCATTATCTTGGTACCACAAACAAAACTGAAGACCAACATGTCTCATGAATAGAGGTAACAGATTAAAACCAATGGTAATACTTTGGCAAATTAAAACCAATAATATTTGAAAAAGAAAATATATCATGACCTAGTGGGGTTTATCCCAGGAATGGAAGGTAGACTTAACATTTGAAACAGAAAATCATCAACATCTAAAGATCAGTTAACTACTTACATATATTTCACCTAGTTTTTATATAGTTCTATTTTGTACATTTAAAATTTTAAATAATCTGAAATTAATTTTGGTATATGGGGCTAGGGTAAGAATATAAATTATTGCCAAAGTGTTATTTTTTACAATATCATTTGGTGAGTGAATAACTTGATATTTCTCCATTAATTTCTCATGTTTCCTTTGTCTTTTAAGTAACTAATTTACATGTTGTGTCAGTACTTCTGCCAGTATTATAGTTGTATAGTGTTTAATAATAGTAGTTTTAAAATATATTTTTTATCTGGCAAAGCAAAGGATGTCCCATACTTTTGTGAACATTTTCCCCAGTTCTTTCTTAAAATTAAATATATTTAATAACAGGTAATATATATACTTAGTTTTAAACTCAAATTATAGAATACGGTATACATATTTAATAAATGTTACTAGTTTCTTGTATATCCATCCATAGATATTTTATACATAAACTAGTAAATATGATTTTTCCTGTTTTTAAAATGTATATATACAAATGGTAGCAAACTATGCATGGTCTTATGTATGTTGCTTTTTCACTTAACTTTATATCTTAGAGCTCATTCCATTTTAATATATAAAAAGCTTCCTCGTTCTTTTTTACAACTGCATAGTATACCAATGAATGAATACCGCAATTTATTGAACAGTTTTCTGTTGATGTTTATTTAGGTCATTTCCATTTTCTTACGTCATAACAATAAATAAAAAATAATTTTGTACATATATTTTTAACATAGATACAGGAATATCTGTCAGATTAATTCCTAAACAGGAACTGCTAGTCTAAAAGGCAAGTGCATTTATAATTTTTAAATATTGCCAAATTGCTCTCCATAGAGGCTGTACCAATATATAATACTGTGAAACAATAAGAAATACATATATGTATATACTGGTCTCTGACCCTGGTTCCTGACATGGAGCTCCTAAAACCCTTGTAATTTCTGAAGTGAAAGGGTACTAGGAGCATCTTTGTTCTAATAAAATGACTCTCGGTGGGCTCTTAGATGGGGGCTGTTCTCGAGGAAGACCAAGCCATGATTAGAAGCTTGGAACTTCTGGAGATTGAGTTAATAATGAATCATGCCTACATGATGAAGCCTCCATAAAAGTCCCTGAAGTACAGGGTTTGGAGAACTTCTGGGTGGGTGAACACATCCGCGTGATGGGAGGGTGGTGCACCCCAACTCCACAGGGACAGAAGTTCCTATGCCTGTTCTGCTTTCGGACCTTGCCCTATGTACCTCTTCCTCTGGCTGTCCATCTGTATCCTTATCATATCCTTTATTATATAATAAACTGGTAAACGTAAGTGTTTCCATGAGTTCTATGAGTCATCGTAGCAAATTATCAAACTTGGGGAGGGGGTTGTGACAGCCCTCAATTTGGTAACCTGGGGATCTACTCCTTGTACTTGGTGTCTGAAGTTGGGGGCAGTCCTGTGGCACTGAGCCCTTAACCTGTGGGGTCTGCCGTAACTCAGGAAAGTTAGTGTCAGAATTGAGTTAAATTATAGGATACCCAGTTGGTGCCTACAGAGAATTGGAGAATTGGTTGGTATGGGAAAAGCTCATACACATTTAGTGGCCAGAAACATTATGAGAGTATAGAGAAGAAACGTTTTTTTCCCCCTATGCAAAATACCATCAGCAACGTTTGAGGGTGCCTGTTTACCCAAACTCTTATCAACATTGTTTTCAAACTTTTTGACCATAACATTCTAGGTGGTAAACAGCTTATATTGCCTATTGTTTTATTCACATTACTTTTATTATTGATTTTTAAGTTCTTGTTTACTATTATTTTATTTCTGGAAGTTGTCTTGGAATTTTAAAATATAGCTTTTATAACTAAGGTATAGCACTGATAAGAAATGATAATTTTGTCTTCTTGCCACATCTAGTTTTTGTTTTATTCCTTCATTTATTGCATTGACCTTAACTTCTAGAACAATATTAAGTAATAATAATAACATTGATCTTTTTGTTTGGTTACTGATTTTAATGAAACAATCTGTAGTATTTCAATTTTAAGTAAGATATTGCCACCATTCATTATGTTAAGGGATTTTTCTGCTCTCCCTAAAAATTTGAAAGTTAAAAAAAACCCACCAGAAATGGATGTGGAACTTTATCAAGTGCTTTTCAGAATATAGGTTTGGGTGATTTATTTTCTTAAGGATGAACTGTATAATTTTAATACATTTCCTAATGTCAAACCATCCTTACGTTGTTAAACCCTCCTTGACTATCATGGATGATTTTTTGATGTGCTTTAATTAAATTTGCTAATTTTTTTCCAGATGTTTTTCTGTCCCCATTCAAAAGTGAGACTGGTCTTTGTGTGTGTGTGTGTGTGTGTGTGTGTGTGTGTGTGTGTGTGTGTGTGTGTGTGTGTATGTGCTGTTCTTGACAGGTTTTGTTATCAGGGTTATGATAACCTCATAAAATGAACTGGGCAGCTTTTCTTCTTTGCTTTTTTGCCCAAATTCTTCTCTGCTCTCCTGGCCTGGGGAGAACAAGGCTGGCCTGTGTTCAGACCTGCTCCAGGACCTCTGGTGACCTCCAGCATGTTCCCAGCTCTCTTCTTGACTCTTAGTGGTGTTGTCTCTGGCATCTCTCTGCTTCTCCTCCGGTCTGGCTTCCCAATGTGATCCCCTAACATCTATGGCTCAACCTGAACTGGCCTCTGTGTGAACTCAAGGGAGGGGATTTCCTTGGCAGATGGAGGTTCTCCATGTGCCCCCCATCCCCCCACTTCCTCCAAGAGCTCTCCCAGCTGTGATCTTTAGCTCCTCCTTGCGCTTCTGCCTCTAGCTCTCTGCTGCCCTCTAGCCACAACATCTGTCCTTGTCGTGGCTTTCCGCAGGCAGAGGCATTGAGAATGGAACTCTGTTCAACAGATCCAGTTGAACTCTGTTCAACAGATGTCTCGAAGCCCTTGGAAGTTCTCCAAAGTGACTGGTTTGAAGGGGGTGCTGCAATGAGGCAATGGGTTGTTTTGGCTGCCTCTGAAGAAAAGGGGTGCCAGAATAGACCCAAAGCCTGGACTCTGCCCTCAGTGGGGAACATGAATTACATTGCTGCCAAAGGACAACTCTGAGAAGGCCTGGTGCCGCTGGGCAGGGCAGCTCTGCAAAGTCCGGAGTAGGGAAGGGATCATATTCAGTATGGACCTTTGCTCAGCATGCTTCTTTCCTGTCCTTCCCTGCTAACTGAGACAACATGTATGTCCAGCCTTTCTGTTCAGCTGTCAACTGTGAATGACACCCGATAGTGACTCTTGAGCTATGCTTGGAATTGTCTGGCTTTAGGCTGACACCTTCCTTGCCATCCCCCTGATGCCATCTAAGGCCACGGCCATGGAGAGGGACTTTTGTAAGTATGCTGTTCATCACCATTTAATATCATCTAGTGGTTCTAGAATCAGGCAGATTTGGGTTTGAATTCTGTGCATGCCACTTACTAGCTCTGTGATTTTAGGCAAGTAACTCAGCATCTCTGAGCCAAGTTTTCTCGTCTTTAAAACAGAAAAATAATAGATATACTTGTTAAGCTGGTGTGAGATAACAATGCATATAAAGCACTTGGCCTAATGCTCAACCTAGTAAATATTCTATAGATGTTAGTTGATATGGTTTTGCTGTGTCCCCACCCAAATCTCATCTTGAATTGTAGTTTCCATAATCCCCACGTGTCGTGGGAGGAACCTGGTGGGAGGTACTTGAATCATGGGGGCAGGTTTTTTCTGTGCTATTCTCGTGATAGTGAATAAGTCTCATGAGATCTGATGGTTTTATGAAGAGCAGTTCCCCTGCACACGCTCTCTTGCCTGCCGCCATGTAAGATGTGACTTTGTTCCTCCTTCACCTTCTGCCGTGATTGTGAGGGGCCTTCCCTGCCATGTGGAACTGTGAGTCCATTAAATCTCTTTTTCTTTTAAATTACCCAGTCTCAGGTACTTCTTCATAGCAGTATGAAAATGGACTAATTGGTTAAGATTATTCTTTATCCTGATTGTTCTGTATCTCTCTTGAGAATCAGTGTAACCTCTTCACTGATATTCAAGGCTCTCTTGAGGTTGGGGTCAGTTTATGAGCTGTCTTTCCAGTCTTATCTCCACTACTCTGTTACACATACTATATTAGTCAGCTAAATTTTCATCTCTTTGCCTTTGTATATGCTGTTCTCTCTGCACTCAGAGTAACCTCCTCAGCATCCTTGACTGAGAATCTTCCCAACTGTCGAGGCCCAAGTTAAAATATGACCTACCCCATGAAGAGTTCCTGGCTGCCCCTTGAGAGGTTTTTCTCTGCCTCCTGTAGCAGCACAGCCATTGTAACTATTTTCAGTCAAGAACTGGATGAGATTGTCCCCTGAGAATGAATTTAATGTCAAAGTTTGTCCTAAGTTTTTGTGGACATCCCCCCAACCTCACCCCAATAGTTGATTTCTGAGTGCCTGAACCTGAGAGGTGCTATTGGCTCCAGCATTTCTTTTATTTTTATTTTATTTTCTTGAGACTGAGTCTTGCTCTGTTGCCCAGGCTGGAGTGCAGTGGCATGATCTCTGCTCACTGCAACCTCTGCTTCCTGGGTTCAAGTGATTCTCCTGTTTCAGCCTCCTGAGTAGCTGGGATTACAGGCACATGCCACCATGCCCAGCTAATTTTTGTATTTTTAGTAGAGATGGGGTTTCACCATGTTGGCCAGGCTGGTCTCGAACTCCTGACCTCAGGTGATTCACCCGCCTTGGCCTCTGAAAATGTTGGGATTATAGGTGTGAGCCAGCACGCCCTGCCAGCTCCAGCATTTCTATGTTGGAGGGGTTAGGAGGCATTGCAGTGGAAGGGGAAGCTAGAAGTCTTGTATGGAAAACACACTGATTTCACTTACATTGTATACTTTTTAGGGATGGCTTAGGGGATGGGGGTAAGAGGTTGGGGTCAGGTGGCATTGGCCCTGCTGATGAACCATGGATATTCCTAATCTGTGAGTGAGCCAATGGAGTCCTTAAGAATGGCCGATAACTAAATCAGCTCTAACCTAAGCAGTTGTTGGATGTGAGACTATGAACAAAAGTGTGAGGTCACATGGAGTCTGCAGAGAGACAAGCCAGGCCGCTACCATGCGTTGCCTTATAGCCACCTCCAGATCTTTCTCTGAAAAGCCTGCTAGGGAGATGAGATATTTGGCCTGGTTGGGTAGGCTGGGCCAGCTAGTATGGGTGAAAACTTGAGATTCTTAGGAGTTGAGCTTCTGGTCAAAAGAGAGAGAATGGGTTTAGGCAAGAAAGGGCTTTACTTCTCCAGGGACCTCTCAGGTTGATGGGAGCTTGGCCCAGCTCTATCTACCAAGAACCACGGTCAGGTGGTCAGATTAGGGCTAGAGGTATACCCATCTCTGGGAAGTGAGTTGAGGGCTGCCCCCACGGATCCCATGACTTGGGCCTTACTTTGAAACCTGTGACCTGGTGTCTGGGCATCCTCCCGCTGGATCAATGGGCTGGGTGAGGGAGGAAAACAGTGTAAGGTGAGGGTCAGGGAATGACCCAGGCCTGAAACAGAGTCCCCAAGAGATGCTTGCTCCTTTGGCCTGTTGTGTGAGGCAGCAAAGGATGAGCTGAGCCCAAGGTGGGGGCAGGGTCACAGGCAGAGGACCTTCTAGAGCACAGCTCTGGAAAAGCCTCGTTTGCGAGACTCCAGTCTAGTCCCCAGTACCCAGCCCTAGTCCCTTCCCTACCTTTCTCTCTGAGAAGTTTATTCTTCTCTTAGACCTGGAGGAGTCATGAGTGCTTTTGCCAAATATTTCGTTTTCCCCTCTTCCAGGAACATGATAGGATTGCACTTTTTGGCTCCTTGGTGACCCTTTGTGGCCAAAGGGTTGTGAATGGAAGAGGTGTGAATCATTTCTGGGCCAGAGCATTTCATTGCCAGTACAAGACCCTCCAGAGTGCTCTTTCCACCCACATGCAGGTGATATTCAAATGATGGCTGCTTTATCAGCCTGGGCTCCCAGGTGAGATGCGGAGTGAACTCCCAACCATGGACAGGTAGCACAAGAGGGAAATGCACCTCTGCTGTTATAAAGTACTGACCTCTGTCAGTCTACCCCCCTGAGGATCGAGGTCTTCTGTCTATTTTCAGTTTTACTGTCCTACAGTATTGCTTTTTTCTCTTTTTTTTTTTCCTTCAAAGCTCTGTGCCCTTTGATTTACTTCCGTCCTCTTATTTTCTGCTCTTTCTTTTCCAGGTTCTTGTCTTTTACACACATATCCTTGGGTGCCAGTGCTACTTTGCCATTGCTTAGTTCTATCCTCAGGGCCTCTAAACTCCCCTCTTTGACTGTGAAGAAAGATGGGCTCCTTTCAGGCAAGATTGTAGAGGCTGGAGCTGGAGAGGGCAGAGGGCATGTGGTGGCAGCTACCAATGCAGCTCCCAGTGATCTCCACCTCCTGGTATTCACACTTTTGGGTAGTCCCCTCCCACCTGGTACTAGTGTAAGTCTGTGTGATCAGTAGACTATGGCAAAGTGATGGTATGTGACTTCCAAAGTTAGGTTATAAATGATTGTAGTTTCTGTCTCAGTCACCCTGTCTTGGATAATTTGCTCTGGAGAAGCCATGTCATAAGCTATGGAGAGGCCCATGTGGCAAAGAACTAAAGCCTCCTGCCAATTGAGCTTCAGATGCCTGCAGCCCTGGCAACCCTGGGAGAGGCCCTGAACTAGAAACATCCTGCTAAGCCACTCCCAGGTTCCTGACCTCATAACAAAAGCTACAAAGTGTGGAATCATTAATTAAGCAGCAATAAATAACTAATACGGGGCAGGTATTTGGGAGATTGTGTTTGGAATGTCAAAGCCCAGTAGAATAACAATTCCAGATCTCTGCTTAGTATAGGTTGTGTCCCTTGATCTGGGACAGATTTGGCCACCATGGCTGGTGACCTGAAGGGTCAGGTTTCCCATAAGTCTTTGTGTATGGTTGCTGAGGGCACTCAACCCAGGGGAGTAGGGGGTAGGAAATACTAATACAGATTGTTTTCTATCCCTTAGAAATCTCTCTTGATCCAGTCTCAAAAGACTCACTCAAGCCTGTCTTGTGCTAAACAGGGAGTTCTAAGTAAAAACTCAAGCCATTTTACAAATAATGCAAAACATCGATGTACCATCCACAGTTCTTTAGGATACTTTTTCTGGGTGTGACACACAGGGAGAGAGCCTACATGACACCGAGAAGGTTCCACACATCTCTGGTGGTGCTGAGTGCAAAGAGCAGTATCTGAAACTAGGACCCTGTGGGGCAGTAGATGCCCCAGAGAGAGATTTGCTCATGGGCAAAGAGAACTCCTGTGAGACACATTCCACAAAAGTGAAAGCCTAAGTTATTAAAGGAGAACATTAGTTGGTGAAATTAGATCTCTTATTGTTAAAGAATCTTCACTCATGCTTGCAGGCTTGCAGGGATTGGGAAAATTTGGGGTCCAATAATAACAAGAAATATTATTTATCTACTTATTAAGCACTTACCATGGGGGTAGGGAGATTGGGAGATGTTGCTCAAAGGAATAAGATTAGACAGAGAGAACAAATTCAATAGATCTATTGAACAACCATGTGACTGTAGTTAATGATGATGTATCATATACTTGAAAATTGCTAAGAGTAGATTTTAAATGTTCTCACGAGAAAAAAATGATAAGTATGAGACTTCAAAAAGTTCATGGAAAAATGGAACTAAAAAATTAAAATACAAAATATAAACTTGATTTCTCACTATAAGCTCCATCAAGATCAAGACCCTGTTGTAATTGATGACAGCACGATTTAGTCCATTTCTGAAGAACCGAGGGGTCCTGGGAACTTAGCCATGTCAATTCAGTCTTTTTTACATTATTAGCTGAAGAAAATGGGTGCCTTTTAAAGACTTTTTAAGAGTAGGAAACAAACAAGAAGTCAGAAAGAGCCAAATCAGGATGCTTAATGATTTCCCACCAAAACACTGTCAAAATTGCCCTTGTTTGATGAGAGGAATGAGTAGGAGCATTGTCGTGGTGGAGAAGGACTCTATGGTGAAGATTTCCCGGACATTTTTCTACTAAAGTTTTGACTAACTTTCTCAAAACACTTTCATACTTAGCAGATGTTATCATTCTTTGGCCCTCCAGAATGTCAACAAGCAAAATGCCCTGAGCAGCCCAAAAAATTGTTGCCACGACCTTTGCTTTTGACCTGTCCACTTTTGCTGTGAGTAGACCACTGCCACCCCTTGGTAGCCATTGCTTTGATTGTGCTTTGTCTTTAGGATCATACTGGTAAAGCCACCCCCTCATCTCCCGTTACGATTCTTCAAAGAAATGCTTCAGGGCCTTGATCCTACTTATTTAAACTTTCAATGGAAAGCTCTGCTCTTGTCTGTAGCTGATCTGGGTGCAATGGTTTTGGCATCTATTGAGCGGAAAGTTTGCTCAACTTTAATTTTTCAGCCAGAATTGTGTAAGCAGAACCAATTGAGATGTCTATGGTGTTAGTTATTTTTTTGTGCTGGTAATTGTCAGTCCTCTTCAATTAGGGCACAAATGGGATGATTTTTTTCCTCACAAGTTGATGTGGATGGTCGGTCACTGCAGGCTTCATCTTCAACATTGTCTCATCCTTTCTTAAAATGAGGTATCTGTTTGCAAACTGCTGATTTCTTTGGGGCTTTGTCCCTATAAACTTTTGTAAAGCATCAGTGATTTTATCATTCTTCCACCCAAGCTTCACCATAAATCTGATGTTTGTTCTTCAATTTTAGTAGAATTCATGTTGGTCTGATAGAGGCTCTTTTCAAACTCATGTCTTATCCTCCTTAGTGCCTCAAACTAGATTCTGTTCAACATATTATAACAAGTTAGTATGAGTTTATGTTGGTGCAGAAAAAATTTTAAATCCATGCATAGTTTTCTCATAAGACACATTTTTCATAAACTTTGTGAAGTCTCTTTGTATGTGAGATAATGGTTATGTTAATTTTTAGTCATTCCACAATGTAGTCATTATCAAACATCATGTTGTGCATGTTGCACAAATATATACACTTTCATTTGTCAATTAAATAGAAGTTCAAAGAGTGGACATATTATGAAGTATAGTATACTGCAAGATAGAAATGAATTTGAAAAATTAAACTTGGGGGAAAAAGCACTTACCATGTGACTATTTTAAACTATTTACTACTTGAAAACAAACAGTTCATGAACATCATCTTTTTCAAGCTTTGAAATAATCTATAAGGTGGATATTATTCCCATTTTTCAGATGAGGAACCTGACATTACATAACTTGCTTCTTTCAAGTGCCTCCTCCAAAGGGCAAAGCTGGGGCCACACAGGTGGGTGCCTACCACCCTTAAAGGCACAGTCGTCTGGTGTCCCCATCTGACGCAAACAGTCCAACTCTTGTGTTGTGAACACAAGTAGATCCACTCCTTTTTGAGACCGATTCCCTGGAAGGGAGCCCATGCCACTGCCTGGCCCAAGACTCTTGGCTGCAGGAAGCTGACCTGCTTTTATCCATGGAGTCAGCAAAATGTGAAGATAATTTATAATAGCCATTAGCAGAGTGCATTTGAGGTCAAGTATGAACCTCCTGCACTTCAGCTCTACACAGATCTGTGCAGGAGCAAAGAGGAGTCAAATTTCTGGAAGCAATCTAACCATAACAAATGAAGACTGTGTTGCTTCAAGGCTTTTAGGTAAGTGCTAAAGGGGAGATGGAGAACAACAGTGTGAACATACTTAACACTACTGAACTGTACACTTAAGAATGGTTAAGATAGTAAATTTTCCATTGTGCGTGTGTTTTTTTGCCACAATTAAAAATAAAAATAAAAAAGGAGATGGTCTCCTTTTTTATTTTTATTTTTAATTGTGGCAAAAGTGATGATCTATAGCCTGCACAGATATAGATCAGATCTATTACTGATAATTCTCCATATTTATCAGTTGGTAAATGGGACCTGTAAAGGAAGTGTGGGTCTGTGTGGGATATAGATCATCAAGATAGAGAAGTGGGGGAGCAGATGCACAGTCAGATCAGGCAGAGGTAGACCATAAAAGGCCGTCACAGAAACTCTACCTGTAGCCAGTTTCATTCTGGTGAGGAGGATTGGCAGTTAACCTCAGGCCCCTAGGCCATGACTGTACTTTATTCAAAGTCACTGTATATGTGTATACATGTATACACACACACACACATATGTGTATATATGCCTATATATACACACATATCTGTATATATGTGTATGTACATGTATATACATAGACCTATATGTACATGCATACAAATGCATATACATGTATATACACATATATGCATGCATGTGTATGTATATGTATGTTTATGCATGCATGCATGTTTATCTATATGTATGTATAATTCACAAACCATATTACATGGTTAATGTCATAGGGGGATTTAGGTCTTTCAAACGATCCTTTTGTCATCTTTACAAAGTCCTGAATCACAGAAGCTTTTGTTCAGGAGGGAGGTCTGAATGAATGGACCTGCTGGCATTGTAGTCATCATTCCTGGGCTGAGTGTATGTCCCAGATGAGCTGTCTCCTGTGCCTATCTGTTTGGGCTACATGTTAGACCAGAAGCAGCACACAGAAAGCCAGCAAGGCAGAAACAGCACCATGATTCTGATTGTCTAATGGGAAGATCCAGCCTCTCTTCTCTTGACCAGACTTAGCTGCAGGCTCCCTGGGAGATAGGACCCTGACACATCTCTCAGAGAGAAGCCCTGCCAGTGACAAGGTAAGCGACAAGTCTGGGAACAAGTTTGGAAATCTTGGCTTCTTTTGAAATGAATGAGGCCTTGGATGCTGGGAGTGGGGCAGTGGGGAGGGAAGCTGTGGCTCTTGTTTTTTGCTCATGGAGAAATGGAAGGCCTTTAGAGAAACAGGTATTGACTTAGAGGTATAAAACTGGAGTGGCAACTGATTCCCAGAACTTTAGAGCTCTCTCCTCTTTTTCAAGGTTCTGGGATGGTATGTAAGTGTATCCCTTCTGCCTAGCCAGCTTTCCTATCTCTAGACCGGAGAGGACCCTCTCTCTGACCTTTGACCCTGCCATACCTAGCACAGGACTTAAAAGTGGCTCCTGTTGCATCCCATGGCGAGTGCAGACAGCCCTATCCTATACCCTTTTCATTCCTCTTAGCTTGGTATACAACAGTCTTTTCCCCTAGTTTATAATCTGTGAGGGCTGACACTATGTCTTGTTCATCCTGGGAGCTTGCATAGCTTCTCTTTCCCTCCCCTTCTCCACGTGCCTTGCATACAATAGAGGATCCCAGCAACATTTGTTAAAAAACCCATCCCCGGATGCTCCTCTAGACAGTACTATCTTCTCCTTTTTGCCCTATAAACCAACTGCTGTGGCTTTAAAACTTTGCATTGTTGGCCAAGGGTTCTGAAACTGCAGTTTGTCTTAATCTGTGGTCTCTGGATTCTTGCTTGATTGCTCTCTTTCTGGAAATCTCCCAGATAGATCACAGCCAGTCATATCCGCACTGCACCTCTCCCCAGGATAGTCAGCATGAGGGCAGAGGTAGAAGGGCCTTGAGAGAGCATCCAGGAAGCCCTTGTATTACAGATGGGAAAGCAAAACCCCTGAGAAGAGAAGGGATTTGCCTGAGGTTATGGTTTTGAGTCAGGGCCAGAAATCAGCTTTTCTGTCTCCCAGAGCCCCCAGGGCTCCTAACGCTGGCCTGGTCTTCTTCTTTACACTGGCTGAGTTCTAAAAAGGCATTTTTTCTGGCCCTCACTTTTCAAGTATCGCATCCAGAGAGGCAGGTTGGTAGCTCAGCCAGCCAAAGGGTGTCTGCTCCAGGGGAGATCAAGTGTTGAGAACCTGAGAAAAGAGACCTGGTCCAAAGGAGTGGAGACAACAGCCAATGGCCCTCTTGATATTCTCTCCATGCAATGACTTCTACTGTGAAATTGTCGTTTGACAACAAACCTTGTAAATGAATAGCGTCTCGCTGTAACTCACCCTGAACACGAACTTGGTTAAGTGTTCGTGGCCATCGGAATTCCCTGCCCACTCCATCTAATTGTCTTCTGGCAGGAGGACTGTTTTTTTTTTTTTTTGTGTGGCCTTGTGGTAATGTTTTTCTCATCAGCGGAGGCTGACTCCTGCCTGAGCCCTGACCAAGGCCACTGGCCACATGCCGTAGTGAGAACTGGAGAAGAAGATAATAATGCAGCTTTTCAAAGCCCTTTCCCAAGCACTGCTTACTTGATCCTCAGTGAAGCCCTGGGTGACAGGCAGGGAAGTCCTTATTAGTCCCTAGCTTATGGAAAACACGACGGCCCAGAGAGAATGAGTGATTAACCCA
Organism: Homo sapiens; assembly: GCF_000001405.40. Classification (NCBI taxonomy): domain Eukaryota; kingdom Metazoa; phylum Chordata; class Mammalia; order Primates; family Hominidae; genus Homo; species Homo sapiens. The sequence goes on from NC_000011.10 coordinate 10,376,394, forward strand.
AGGGCACATGGCTTGGTGAGTTATTGAGGTCAAGGAAACAGTCTTCAAATTCCACCTCTGCTACTTACTGTGACTATTTGAGGTTTATAACTCACTAGTATGGGACCTTGAATGTTACTTAATCACTCTGCCTCAGTTTCCTCACTTTTAAATTAAGAATATAGTACATCCTTCATTGAGATGTTGGGAGATTAAATAAGCCAATATATGTAAAGCAGTTAAGCCTGTGCCTGGCAGGCAGTGAGTGGCAATATTAGAAATTGTTGCTATTATTATTGTTATTATTTTTGGCGAAGAAGTCTCACTTTTTCGCCCAGGCCAGAGTGCAGTGTCGCGATCTGGGCTCACTGCAACCTCCGCCTCCCGGGTTCAAGCAACTCTCTTGCTTCAGCCTCCCGAGTAGCTGGGACTACAGGCGCATGCCGCCACACCCGGCTAATTTTTGTATTTTTAGTAGAGACAGGGTTTCACTATGTCGGCCAGGCTTGTCTCGAATTCCTGACCTCGGCCTTCCAAAGTGCTGGGATTACAGGCCTGAGCCACAAGGCCCAGCCAATTGTTGCTATTATTATCAAGTCTGTCTCTGTTGTGTGACAGGAAAAGCTTCCCCAGAGCTCATATAAAGATCCCTCCAGGGGATCTCTAAGAAGATAGATTTCAAAACTCATAGCATTACAAAAGCCTCAGTGATCATCTAGTTTGTCCGCTTATTTGATTTTATTATTATTTTTCTGATCTGACCTTTGAAGATAATCACACAATTATTAGATGCATAGTCATTAGGTGCATAAGGTCAGTGGTCCACATAAATCATTGACATTATTATTATAATTATGTAGCCAAATACAATTTTTAATATTTCTATTTTTGATATTATTTGGAATCTATAAATATAGACATCCATGTTATCACATTTCTCCATAACATGCACCATTTCATCTTGATCACATGCACTGACAATGACTCATATTAAGAGGTAAAAATAGAAAAAAAAGAACAGTACTACTCATAATATTTGGGAAGTGGGGGAAGGGAGGAAGGGGAAGTGTAAGAATGGTAATTTCCTTATCTTTTATAGCAGCCAGTCAATTGATATTGCCTAAAATTGAAGCATGTAAAAAAGTTTATTCCAGTCTCTGAATATTTTTCATAACATATTTTCTTAACCTTAGAGGTACAACATCCTTGAGAAATACTGTCTCCTTTGGGCCAGGTGCAATGGCTCACGTCTGTAATCCCAGCTCTTTGGGATGCCAAGGCAGGCAGATTGCTTGAGCTCACTAGTTTGAGACCAGCCTGGACAACATGGCAAAACCCAGTCTCTACCAAAAATACAAAAATTAGCCAGGTGTGGTGGCACGTGTCTGTGGTCCCCGCTACTTGGGAGGCTGAGGTGGGAGGATTGTTGGAGCCGGGGAAGTCAAGGCTGCAGTGAGCTGCAATTGCACCACAGCACACCAGGCTGGGTGGCAGAATGAGATCCTGTCCCAAAAAATAAAAATAAAAATATCTTTTGTGGAGAATACACCAAGTTAAGCAATTCCATTAGCTTTATTAACATCTTTGTCTTCTCTTAAATTCAAGGAAAATTAAATTTTATACCTTTTATTAAATAGCATGTAAAGTGTGATCTCTTTCTAAACCACTTTTTGTAGTCAACTATCCATACATCCATTCACTCTCCCTTCTTAGTTACCTATCCATCCTTCTCTCTGTACACATAAGGAGAGTGACATCTGCAACAATGTTCACTTGTGTCAGCCATGGTTATTTGGTGGTGGTGGGATATTGAAGATTTTTAAATATTTTCTTTGTGTTCTACAATATTGTTTGAATTTTTTATAATAAGTATGTATCATGTTTATAAAAATAAATTATTATCTTAAAAAAACAGAGGGAGACAGTGCTCCTGGATTTCCCCCCAACAATTGGGGATTTCCTTGCTTTTCCCACTCTCCCTCACCCTATATACTCCAGGACCAAGGCTTTCAGGTTCTTCTGATACCCTAATACCCATGATTGTTCCAGAGGATTTTGCTTCCAGAGCTCGGGGGTCCTTAGTGCTGGGGAACTTGAGTGGTGGAAATTCTTTGCAAGGAGGCTGTGGATACCCTGGCATGGAAACATACAACTGAGGAGAGGAGGAAAGATGGCCAGAGGACAGTGAGACAGCAAAAGGGTTGCGAGTCCAGGCATTTCTCATCTTACGTAGGAGGAGAGCAAGCCTAGGGCGGAAGAGTGGCTTGTTTAGAGTCAGCAGCCTGCCACACACAGCAAAGGCAATCAGTTGTCCCCTCAAAGGCATTCAGTATTTTTCCCCAAGCCCTGTGATTAAGGAAAGGTGGTAGGGCTTCAGGCCCTTATTCTCAGTACAGAAAGGGGGAAGGAAGGCAATGTTAGGGCATAGGAGGGGGATTGGGACTGCAACCTCCCCCTCTTCAGCAGCTAGTCTTGTTTTTCCTATTGGATCTGCCAGAATTAGCATCTGTAGGGACTTCAAGACCTCCCTGGAGGCATCTATAGCATCCATCACACAGAATGTTTAGAATCAGAGTAAAGGAGTCCTGACAGATATTGTGTCTGGATTTCAGCGAAGTGGAGAAGATTCAGAAAGCTCTGGGGGCCAATTCTTGTCTTTCCCACTCCAACTTGGGGGCATGGCCTATGTTTCCATAAACCCTCCAATATTTTACTTTTTTTTTTTTTTTTTTCTGGGGAATGTGGTGGTGGTAGGAGTGTGGAGTGGACTCTTTCACAACTCTTGAGGACGGTCCCCATATAAATTCCAGGAAATTGTCAGCACCTCCCTAGTGGACAGCTCCCCATCAGCCACCAGAATCTCCCCATCTCAATGGGGCCCCTGGGCCACTGGTGTTCTGGGAACACTGGCTTGTCTTTCTCTTGTTCTTCTTTCTTTCTTAAAAAATTCACTTTGGTTTAAGGAGCTCCAATTTAAGAGATTTCATTATTTAAGATACCCAATGTATATAAAGGAATGAGTTGGTCCAAATAAAGGACCTTTGGCTAAATATAAGAGCCTGAGTAATTGAATTAGAAACAGCTCAAGGATGGGTGTGTATCACAGCTCAGGAATCTTTTATAACAAGATTTTCAGAACCAAACCAACATCAAGAACACATCGTCTTACAAAAATTGTTTTGGGCTATTTCCCAGTATTAATGCAATATGGGAGAGGTTAGTTGGACAGAGAAATCTTAGAATTCCATGGATATTTTAATAGTTTAAGGCTAAAGTTCAGCATATTTGGAATCTGAATTGTCCCAGAAAATCCAGAGTTATGCTTCTCTTGCTCATAACCAGCAGTCTAGAATGACTCAGGTAGAAGAGAGAAGTCTAACAGGAAATGGAGATCCTGGCATTGTGAATGCCCTGGGAACTAAAGTACTAGAGGGTGCACAGATTTTCCTCTAGTAAAAGGAGGAAGCATAAAAAAGGGAGCATAAAGGTTTGAAAAATTGTGAAGCCATCTGTTATTGCTTCCCTTAACAGAAGTGGAACACTGCCACCAGAGCCTGTAAGAAGGTATGTGGCCAGGTCAGGTGCTGGCAGGTGAGGCTGGTTGACTTCCATTAGGCTCTTTATGAATCAGCTTTTAGGGTGGAAAGTCTCCTTGGCCCAGAGCCTGGTTCTCATCTTGGTAGGCTTGGAAACACATGTTTATCAACACTGAGAGTGGCTCTATCTCACTCAGAATAGGGTTTCATTGTCTGAGCTTGCAAGTGCTTACTGTGTAAACTACTTGCTAAACATTTGTTGGCGATGAGAAGCAAAACCACTTGGGGACTGGGCATTTGCTGCCTCTTGTCAGCATCCCCTCTTTTTTAATGGAAAGCCATCTGGGAAACCAGGTCATCCTCAGAAGATTGCTTGGTGAGCTTGGAATCAGATTTAGGGGTGATCGTTTCATGATGGTGCAACCTGTTGATGGCAACAGGTTCTAATCAGCTGTTACCCCCATGCCTGGGATGGGGGAAGGACTTCCTTTGAAGCTGGGTAGGTTAAGGCCTTGGGTCAGGAGACTGCCCCTCTTTGTTTGGGTTCCTCCAGAAGCAGGCCCTGAAACAAGGATTTGAGTGCAAATGGTTTAATTGGAAAGTGGTTCCAGGAAACAGTGGTAGCAGAGTGAAATGAAACAGGGAAAGGAAGGAAGCCAATACAGATGTGTTATCAAACAAGATACCACTGTGGGTAACTGAAGCTTAGCCTCACTGAAGACTCTGGGAGACAGTGTACAATATGCATCCCCATGTTAATCCAACCTAGGGTCCAGAGATCTGGGTCTTTTTTTTTTTCTTTGAAACAGAGTCTCACTCTGTTGCCCAGGCTGGAGTCCAGTGGTGTGATCTCAGCTCACTGCAACCTCTGCCTCCTGGGTTCAAGCGATTCTCCTGCCTCAGCCTCCCGAGTAGCTGGGATTACAGGCATGCACCACCACACCCAGCTAATTTTTGTATTTTTAATAGAGATGGGGTTTCACCATGTTGGCCAGGCTGGTCTTGAACTCTGGACCTCAGATAATCTGCCCACCTTGGCCTCCCAATGTGCTGGGATTACAGGCATGAGCCACTGTGCTCGGCTGGAGATCTGGGTCTTTATGCACCAACTCTCATAAGTCATTGGCTGAGTGATACTCCTGACCAGGGAGTGGATTGGGTGGCTAATTTGCCAACACATCCTTCCTACTGCGTACATGGGAAGAACGAGCTCTGGTGGCCAGAGCTTCAGTCAAGAGCAACAGATGTGGTGGTTAGAAGTTGGGCTGGTGGGTCTGAAATGGATAGTGCTGAGGGGACATAAGAAGGGCACAAGTCGCATATTTGCCCATCCCTGTATTGTGGGCAGTCATGAATTGACTTTGCTTAAAAAAGCTCATCCCTTTTTTTTCTGTGCTTGTATCATTGACCCTTTATGATTAGTCAATTCTCTTTATTTATTTTTTTTGAGACCAGGTCTCACTCTGTCACCCAGGCTGGAGCATAGTGGTGTGATCATGGCTCACTGCAGTCTCAACCTCCTGGGCTCAAGCGATCTCCCTACCTCAGTCTCCCAAGTAGCTGGGACTATAGTTGTGTGCCACCATGCCAGGGTAATTTTTTTATTTTTATTTTTTGTAGAGATGGGTCTCACTATGTTGCCCAGGCTGGTCTTTAACTACTGGGTTCAAGTGATCATCCTACCTCAGCCTCCCAAAGTGCTGGGATTACAGGTGTGAGCCACTGTACCCAGCCTCTTTATTCTTTAAAATAAGTTTGTTAAACTGAATCAATTAGGTTCTGTGCTTCCTACTTCTTACCCCAGAATAGTCTATGATTATTGCTTTCTACATGTTCTAGTTTTATTTATAATGTGGGGGTTTAAAATTTTTACTTCTTAGAATTTTGGGAGTGCCTTGCTGATGACCACATGTACTGCTTAAAGGAGGTGGGATGGGGAGAAGGAGAAATAGATCAGTAACTAGAAAAGGAGAAACATTTAGAAACAAAGTATTTGATGGGTTCTGAACTTTTTATGCAACTTGACCACAAATTCTTAAGTTCATCTGGAAGAAAAAATGCAGAAGTCTAGCCAAGAACATTTTGAAAAAGAACAATAGTGAAGAATTTTCCCTATTAGATATCAAAATATACCATAAAGCTATAGTGGTTAAAACATTGTGGGATTGGCACAAGCATAGACAAATAATTCAGTGGAACTGAACAGAGACTCCAGAAACAGATTCATCTACATGTAGAAGTTTAGTATATGATGAATATGGTATTTCACACTTGATCTTAGCCAAAAGCCTGAGAAGTAATGAATACGGTATTTGAAATGACAGGGCACAAAGAGGGGAATAAGGGTGAATATTATAATAGATGATGTTCTTAGTTATCTATCTGGGAAATGATTGGATTAGAATTCCTATCTCACACATATACAAATGAAAATAAATTTTCAAATGGATTACGGAAGGAATACTAAAGAACAACACTAAAATGTTTTAGAACAAAACATTTGAGAGCAGTTTTTCAATCTTGGAGTGGGAAAGACCATTCTGAGATTCTAAAATTGAGAAGTCTTAATAAGAAGGGGCTGGTAGATTTGACTACATAAACTCGAAAACTTTTTTGCAAGTTAAGACACCATAAAAACATTAAGAACACAAAAGAAAGTTTTTCTGCATCTCTGCCCCCTCTCTCTGGTGTCTATCTTTCTAAGTCTGGCCTCTCTCGAGTCCCTGTCAGCTTGTCTGAGTCTCGGCTCCTCCCGGTGAGTCTCGGCCTCTCCCACTCTGAGTCTTGGCACCTCCCACTCTCTGAGTCTCGGCTCCTCCCACTCTGAGTCTTGGCTCCTCCCTCTCTGGGTCTCAGCTCCTCCCCCTTTGAGTCTCGGCTCCTCCTTCTCTGAGTCTCAGCTCCTCTCTCTCAGAGACTCTTCCTCTTTCCCTGTCTTGGCTCCTTCCTTCCTGAGTTTCAGCTCCTAGCTCTGAGTCTCTGATCCTCCCTCTTTGGTTTTCTCCCCAGTCTTGTCTCCTACCTTTTCACTCAGGTTGTCTCACAATCTGTTTCCTCAAGAAAAGTAGACGAGTCCTGGACAGACAAATGATGAGTTTCATTCATAGACTGAGGAAGCAATAAGGAAAAAGGAAAAAAAAAAAGAAAACAGCATGGGAAAGATTTGCAGTGTATATAGAACAAAATATCAAGATTCATAAGGAATATATAGTAAGTATAAATCCATCAAAAAGGTACAACTGGCCAGGCGCGGTGGCTCACACCTGTAATTCCAGTACTTTGGGGGGCCGAGGTGGATGGATCAACTTGAGGTCAGGAGTTCCAAACCAGCCTGGCCAACATGGTGAAACCCCATCTCTACTAAAAATACAAAAATTAGCCGGGCGTGGTGGTACACGCCTGTGATCCCAGCTATTCAGGAGGCTGAGGCAGGAGCATCACTTGAACCTGGGAGGCAGAGGTTGCAGTAAGCCAAGATCACACCACTTCACTTCAGCCTGGGTGACAGAGTGAGACTCCGTCTCAAAAACAAAAACAAAAAAAAAGGCGCAACTACCATGAGAAAATTGGTTAAAGGATATTCACAGGCAATTCAAAGACACTGAAATGTGTGCAGCTTAGTAAGTGCTGTGATGCACCCGGCTCCCTCCTTCAGAGCCGGGTACTCCTTCTCCAATGCTGGGAGTCTCAGTAGCCTGTGGTTACTCCGTGAGTCTCTCTCTAGGAGTCGTCATTTATTCAGAACAAAAGTATATCCTAGCTGGGCGTGGTGGCTCACGCCTGTAATCCCACACTTTGGGGAGGCTGAGGCGGGCGGATCACTTGAGGTCAGGAGTTCAAGACCAGCCTGGCCAACACGGTGAAACCCCGTCTCTACTAAAAATACAAAAATTAGCTGAGCATGGTGGCGCATGCCTGTAGTCCCAGCTACTTGGGAGGCTGAGGCAGGAGAATCACATGAACCTGGGAGGTGTAGTTGCAGTGAGCCAAGATTGCGCCACTGCACTCCAGCCTCGGCAACAGAGAGAGACTCTGTCTCAAAAAAAAAAAAAAAAAAAGAAAGGATATCCTGCCATTCCTATGAGAGAAGTCACAGAGAAGTCTGAAATACACAAAAAAGTCTTTATAATTAAGTGGTCTTCACTTTTTTTTTTTTTTTAAATACACAGAATTTTGCTCTTATTGCCCAGGCTGGAGTGCAATGACACGATCTCGGCTCATCGCCACCTCTGTCTCCCGGGTTCAAGTGATTCTCCTGCCTCAGCCTCCTGAGTAGCTGGGATTACAGGCATGCGCCACCATGCCCAGCTAGTTTTGTATTTTTAGTAGAGACGGGGTTTCTCCATGTTAGTCAGGCTGGTTTCGAACTCCTGACCTCAGGTTATCTGCCTGCCTCAGCCTCCCAACACATTTTTATAATTATAATTGAAAATAGTCTTCACAGTTTCATTATAATAATCATGTCAATTTCCTAAGTTTTTAAAATTTAATTTAAATTAAAACCTTGAATTTCCTTTAGTTTTTAAAATTTAAGGACTTAATTCTCTTCCACATAAAAAAGTGGCCCAATTTCAAGGACTTCATGTCTAAAACACCAAAAGCAATGGCAACAAAAGCCAAAATAGACAAATGGGATCTAATTAAACTAAAGAGCTTCTGCACAGCAAAAGAAACTACCATCAGAGTGAACAGGCAACCTACAGAATGGGAGAAAATATTTGCAACCTACTCATCTGACAAAGGGCTAATATCCAGAATCTACAATGAACTCCAACAAATTTACAAGAAAAAAACAAACAATCCCATCAAAAAGTGGGCGAAGGACATGAACAGACACTTCTCAAAAGAAGACATTTATGCAGCCAAAAAACGCATGAAAAATGCTCATCATCACTGGCCATCAGAGAAATGCAAGTCAAAACCACAATGAGATACCATCTCACACCAGTTAGAATGGTGATCATTAAAAAGTCAGGAAACAACAGGTGCTGGGGAGGATGTGGAGAAATAGGAACACTTTTACACTGTTGGTGGGACTGTAAACTAGTTCAAGCATTGTGGAAATCAGTGTGGCGATTCCTCAGGGATCTAGAACTAGAAATACCATTTGACCCAGCCATCCCATTACTGGGTATATACCCAAAGGATTATAAATCATGCTCCTATAAAGACACATGCACACATATGTTTATAGCGGCACTATTCACAATAGCAAAGGCTTGGAGCCTACCCAAATGTCCATCAATGATAGACTGGATTAAGAAAATGTGTCACATATACACCATGGAATACTATGCAGCCATAAAAAAGGATGAGTTCATGTCCTTTGTAGGGACATGGATGAAGCTGGAAACCATCATTCTCAGCAAACTATTACAAGGACAAAAAACCAAACACCACATGTTCTCACTCATAGGTGGGAATTGAACAATGAGAACACATGGACACAGGAAGGGGAACATCACACACCGGGGCCTGTGGTGGGGTCCGGGGGATGGGAGAGGGATAGCATTAGGAGATATACCTAATGCTAAATGACGAGTTAATGGGTGCAGCATACCAGCATGGCACATGTATACATATGTAACAAACCTGCAGGTCGTGCACATGTACTCTAAAACTTAAACTATAATAATAATAAAATTTGAAAAAAAACCAATTTGCATTTATGTAGATGACATGTTATTGTCTAAACCAAACCTTTTTTGGTATTTGTTTGCTTTTACGTCAGGCTTTGAAGTTGCTAAGAAATTTGCTCTGCCCTCCCTACTCTCCTCGAAGGAGATGTGACCTGTTCCCTGGATTACCCTAAGGATCCACCACCCTTCAGTAACCGAGGGGGCCAAGGGCCAGGAAAGCGGGCAGCAACTGAATTCCTCTCTGGGATCTGACTGTCCTCAGCAGAGAGAAACACCACACGGACTGGAGCAGAGCCACAGTTCTGTGAGCTGTGAGTTCGTCAGAGAGATGTCCCTGACAACAACAGCTGGGTTTGTGATTGTGATTTCCCTGGCAGCTCTGTGAATCCATGTGCTCATCTTTCCTGACATGAGCCTCTCCCCCTTGCACAATGCAATGGGGTTTTTACTATCCACCTGGAGCAGTTGAGGTCCAGAGAGGCCAAGGAAATAAGCGAGAAGGACAACAGCAGGATTCAAAGCCAAATGCCACATAGCGTACATGCCTGAATGAGGGCATGGGTTCCCTAAGAAGCCCTCCCTTCCTTTATGCTCCACAGGCTCCTGTGCCATTCCCAATTATGCCCCGTTGGAAGTATCTTGGAATTCTTTAACTATTCTTGTACACAGCTCTAACACCTCTGATTGTCAGGGATTCATGTATACCTGTGGAGTCTAAAGGGTGCAGCAAAGCAGTTAATTTTCTCAGCAAATCATCCACTGGTCCATATAGCAGCAGCCTTAGATAGGCAAATCGGTGTTCCCTTTGCCCTCTTTGCCTCCCTTATGACCCCGTTTCTTTGCACTCCCTGGCCTCCCCTTGGATTCCTACTCTGTTATAGAGTGATAGCATCACATCCTGAGGTCTTCAGGAATTAACGTCTTTCAAAATAGTCAGAGGAGCATCATAAAACAAGTCTTTCTCAATCCCAGCACTTTGGGAGGCTAAGGAGGGAGGATCGCTTGAGCCCAGGAGTTCAAGCCTAGTCTGGGCAACACAAGGAGATCTCGTCTCTTAAAAAAATGTAAAAAATTATCTGGGTGTGGTGGCATGTGCCTGTGGTCCTAGCTATTCAGGAGGCTGAGGTAGGAGGATGGCTTGAGTCCAAGAGGTTGAGGCTGCAGTGAGTTGTGACAGCACCACTGCAGTCCAGCATGGGTGACAGAGCGAGACTGTCTCAAATTCTCACGCCCCAAAACCCAAGTCATTCTCTTTCTAATATTGATTGCCTTCCATAGCTTGTGGTTTTTATGCTAACAGAGTTTCTGCCACTCTATGGTGACTATCTAGAGACAAACCTTCACTACAAGAATGGTGGGGTTATATGTTGGGAAGAAGTGGGCAAGGGGAACAGGAAACCTCATTATGCTACCACCGCTCCTCTCCCAGGTGGCGGACCCCTTGAGGGCAGGGATGTGTCAGAATCCCGCCTGTCCCCACACTAAGCACAGGGTCTGTTGCAAGGGGAAAGCTCAGTGAACCTTGGATGAGTGAATGAAAATACTCGGGCTGTAGGAAATCAGCCCTCAACGACATCCCTGAAGCCCGTGCCTCCTTCATATGTGCAACCCACTTTGTCCCCCACCCACTGCCTCTGGTGTGACTCACTTTCATTCATCCATTTACCAACATTAAGAACTATGTTCACTGACTGTGCTGGAGCCCTCTGGAGGGGCCAGACAACCCCAACAGTTGCAACACTGTCTTCCGCTGCTAGGATGGGGTCGACACAGGGCACGGTGGGGACGCAGAGGAAAAGGGCTGGATCCAGACACGGCAATTGGGAAAAGCTTGAAGTTCTTTCTAGAAGCTGTAAAGTTCCGGGCCAGAGGTAGGGACAGGGCGAGGGGAGCCAGCAGAGAGAGAGAGCTGGCCTGCAGTGGGGCCAACAAAAAATGTGGCCAGCCGCTGGCCAGGAAGGGGAGTGAGAAGCCTCAAATGAAGCTTTGACATTGTTTTTCTTTCTTCTGGAGTGCTGCCATGTGCCGCCACACAGAGCATCTCACGGGTAGATGCGTATTATTGCAATGTGTTTATCTAGGAAACCAGAGCCCAGCTCCAGCATCTGGTTTTCAGCACAATCCTGAGTGAAGTCCAATTTTCCAGTTGGGTTAATGAAAATAAAACTTGGGAAGTTGTGGGCTGGCTGCATCAGGGGCTGAATTCTGGGCTCATGCAGGGCCATGGATTGCAGAGCCGGAAGGGCTTGGGCAGGTCATGGATTTATTGTGGACAACCTTGCATGGGGAGGGAGTTGCTGCCTGGCCTGGCTCTGAGGAACACGCCTCACAGAGGAATGATGTCTTTGGATTTTCTCTGTCTTAACCTGACACCAGTTGACGGAGCACCTACTTTGGCTGAAACACTGGGCTGCGTTGTGGGGCAGGGGTGAAGCACAGGTGTGGACCAGTGCCTGAGCCCAGCTTGCTCGAGCACAGTGCAGCCAAGGAGAGATGCCCGAACACACAGGCATCACACAGGTGGACTGCTGAGTGGGACCCTGATAGCTTGTCAGGGCTCACCACTTTGAAGCTGTCTGGAGACCTGGGATCCGAGAGAGACTCGTTTTTAAAAGCCAGCTTAAAAAAAGGCGTAGCCAGGTTTCAGGGAGACCTGGAAACCAGAACTAAAAGTCCACTGGCTCTCTTTGCATCTCCGTCTGCAAGTCTTGAGTATTTGTTTCATGTTTCTCTCTCCTTGCAGAACAGGTTTCTCTGATCTTCAGACAGTGTGGCAGAAAACGCAATTGCCCTACAGCTCCTGAGTCCACATGAGCCTCTTTATCTCTCTCTCTTTCTTCCCCCACTCCAAGTTCCTTGGGGTAAAGGTGCTAGTTAGCTCTGGCAGGTGACAGGCTCACTATTGGTAAAATCAGAGGTGGCTAGGGGGTCAGAGTCACATGTATGAATATGGCTAAGAGGAGCCCACCCTGAGGTCCCATGCCTGGGGGTTCTTGTTTATAGAAAGTGTTTAGTAGTGAACTGCAAGTCACAGACAGCTGCTTCTTTGATGTGACTCCACCCTTGTGAGGGAGACAGGACAGGGAAATGGGGGCCAGCCATTAGTGTGAGAGTAAGGCTGGACCCAGGGCTCCTGACTCCCAGCCCAGTGCTCTTTCCACACTCTGTTCCGCTGGTCCTGATGTGGAGCCAACAGTTTTGAAATGGACTGTGCCTATGTGGTTTCCCCTCGGGAGCAGCTGCAGAACGAGCAGTGTTGATTAAATAGGATTTTGTTGGCAGGCCTTGGAACGAGTGGGGAGCCAAACACCAGTGGTGTGGCTAGCTGCAACCCTTGGGGAGGTTATCAGAAGGCGTGTGTCATAGATCCTGGACAGGGTGACCTCTCACAGGGTGTCAGGATCCTGGGGGAAGGATGGGCCCTTACCAAGGATGGTCTTCCTTACCCCAAGGTTGCTTCCTAGACAGAATGTAGGGAAGGCCCAGGCAGGGCAGGGAGGAAGAGCCTCTCTCTCCTGAGTCTCACCTCACACTAAGGAATCACACTGAGTCATAAAATGGTGTTAGGGGAAGAGGCCTTTCTCTGAAGCTGGAGAGGAGGGTCCCCAAGGCAGGCCAGAGAGCCAGTTCCTAAAGGACTATAAGGGGTAGGACATTTGGTGTCTCCTTGGTCATCCGTAATCCTGCTGAACAATGACGCTTTCCCTCATTCCACCATCTTGGTGTGGGAAGGGATACTTATGTTTTTCAAGATGCTGTCAGTTTTGTGTGCACCTTGCTGTCCCTGCAGCTGTCTCTCCAGCACCTCATGCCTGGAGTCACTGATGTTCCCACTTCCAGGCCTGAGCCCATCCGGGAGCCTGAGCCAATACTGAAAACAGCCCCAATCCCATTCCATGGGGCTTGGAGTCATCTTCCTGCTGGTAGCACCAGGCTGGGCTTCCTGCTTTGCTGTGTTGGTATATCCATAGGACTGGGGTCTCGCCTTGGTCTTTCTTCCTAGTTCACTTGGTTATATTTCCTTGAACCCTTCCTGTGGGTCTCTACCCACGTTTTAAGCCTTCCTGGGGCTCTATACCTGCTTATAAACTTTGGCCCATTCCTCCAGCCACTGATGAAGGGAACCCTGGGCATGGTGATGAACCTTCACCTGGCTTCATGTTACCTCCCATCTCTATCATCTCTGCCAACTGGCCTGGCTATCTTTAATAGTGATGTCAACTAGGGATGACCTCTGAACAGTTTACCAGCCCATTTTGCAGCTGGGCTGGAACCTGTGGCTCAGGGTTAGTGAGGAGGCTTTCTCCATTTTCTTTGTTCTTCTCCTTGGCCCTACATTCTTTCTCCATGAGCCCATTCTAATGACACTTGGCATGGGCTATGCTTCCTGTCCCACTGAGCCATGCCCAGGAGTCTTCTCTCCTTTCCATTTGTCTCCCTTCTGTTGGTTGCAAAGGTCATTAGGAGTCCATTGACAGCAGCCCATCCCCCAGTGAGTAGATCTCCTCATGTACTGGTAAGGGTTACTGACTGCAAGATCACATTCCTCATGTAGACATCTCCCAGAGTATTATGGGTCATCCCGCATCAGCTCATCAACCCATGTGATTAACCTGAGTCAAGGCAACTCTGGCCAAAGTGAAGAAGGAGAAAGTCAGACTATATATATTCTTTATTTTTTGGTTTTAATTCTCCCTGTCATGATGCAGGCAGGTATTACCTGAGCACATGCAAGCCTGACTTATCCTAATCTCTTTCTCATCTAGGTGCTAAAATGACATTTTCTCTGAACTTGGGACTATAGAATTCTTGCTAGTGCAGGGTCTGTTCTGTTCAGTCACCACCCATTCCTCAGACATGGTTTCTATTGCCTTTTGCCCACAGCTGAAATTCCCCCATCCATCCATCCATCTATCCATCCACCCATCCATCCACCCATCCAGTCATCTAATAAATGTATCTGCCAAGTCCTGTGTAAACAACTCAGGCATGGTTTCTTCCTGCAAGGAGCCTTGTGTCTGCCTCAAGCCCTGCCTCTGTCTGGCAGGACCTGGACTGTCTCCAGCTGGACTTGCTAATATGTCTCCAGTCTAGGCTCATTCTTATGGGGATAGCAGACAATGGCAGGGAGACTGGCAATAAACATGTAAACATATAATTAATTGTCAACTGCTAATTGGCTTAATGTTATATAAAGAATAAGACTGCAAAAGAAAATGACAACAAATTATGAGGGCACCTACTTAGGAAGGGTATTAGGAGTAGGCTTTCTGAGGAAGTGACCTTTAAGCTAAGATCTGAAGGATGTCATAGGGGAAAAAAATGTGCAGAGAACAGAAAACAAAAAGTGCTAAGGCCCTGAGGTGGAGAAGGAAACATGTTCCAGAACTGGAAAGAAGCTTGATGTGGCTGAAGTACAGCAAATGAGAAAGTGGCATAAAATGAGACCAGGGAAGAAGGCAGGAGACATATTCATGCACAGCTTTTTGGCCTTGGTGAGGAAGTTATAAAAGGAAAGAGCTAAAGCAGAAATTGATGTGATCTGATTTAAAAGATTGCTCTAGCTGCTACGTGGAAAATAGATTGGAGAGGGGGTCACATGGAAGCAAGGAACTGCTGGTCTTTTAGCCAAGGGATGATGGGTGGCTTAATTTGATGGGACAGCACTGGAGACAAGTTTGGGGTATAGAGTAGGATGTGGTGGGCAAGGGAGACTTCATGTACTTTTGCCACATTTCTGCTTGAGAAACTGAGTGAATAGTGTAGGGGTGGGTTGCCCCTCCACACCTGTGGGTGTTTCTCGTAAGGTGGGACGAGAGATTTGGAAAAGAAAAAGACACAGAGACAAAGTATAGAGAAAGAAATAAGGGGACCCGGGGAACCAGCGTTCAGCATATGGAGGATCCCGCCAGCCTCTGAGTTCCCTTAGTATTTATTCATCATTTGTGGGTGTTTCTCGAAGAGGGGGATGTGTCAGGGTCACAAGACAATTGTGGGGAGAGGGTCAGCAGACAAACACGTGAACAAAGGTCTTTGCATCATAGACTATGTAAAGGATTAAGTGCTGTGCTTTTAGATATGCATACACATAAACATCTCAATGCTTTACAAAGCAGTATTGCTGCCCGCAGGTCCCACCTCCAGCCCTAAGGCGGTTTTTCCCTATCTCAGTAGATGGAGCATACAATCGGGTTTTATACCGAGACATTCCATTGCCCAGGGACGGGCAGGAGACAGATGCCTTCCTCTTGTCTCAACTGCAAGAGGCATGCCTTCCTCTTATACTAATCCTCCTCAGCACAGACCCTTTACGGGTGTCGGGCTGGGGGACGGTCAGGTCTTTCCCTTCCCACGAGGCCATATTTCAGACTATCACATGGGGAGAAACCTTGGACAATACCTGGCTTTCCTAGGCAGAGGTCCCTGCGGCCTTCCGCAGTTTTTGTGTCCCTGGGTACTTGAGATTAGGGAGTGGTGATGACTCTTAAGGAGCATGCTGCCTTCAAGCATCTGTTTAACAAAGCACATCTTGCACCGCCCTTAATCCATTTAACTCTGAGTTGACACAGCACATGTTTCAGAGAGCACAGGGTTGGGGGTAAGGTTATAGATTAACAGAATCTCAAGGCAGAAGAATTTTTCTTAGTACATAACAAAATGGAGTCTCCTATGTCTACTTCTTTCTACACAGACACAGTAACAATCTGATCTCTCTTGCTTTTCCCCACAAATAGTGGTGTCTTTAACTGAGATATGAAGATCACAAGCAGAGAAGCTTCCGAGTTCAGGGAGGAAATCCAGAGTTCGGATTTGAGCATGTTAAGTTTGAGATCTCCGTTAGACATCCACGAAGGTCAGGTAGGCACTTGAATAAATGAGACTGGAACTCAGAAGAGGCTTGGGCTGGAGCGAAAGCTGAATTGTCAGCATATGGAGAATAGGTAAGGTAGGAGGGACACCCTCTTATCTGTTTCCCTGGGAGCCTTGCACTAAAGCTAAGGTCTTTCAAACAGACTTGAGTAAAGGCATCAGGGGTGGGGGACCTGGAATACCCTTCCAATATGAGGGCTCTTGGGTTCCTGCAGGGCCAGGACTGTGCATAATAGTGATTCAACTGGGGCAGGAGAACTTTCTTGGCTCCACTGGGGCTGGCCTTTCTTAGGATTGTTTTAAATTCCATTGATTATTCTTTGCTTTGCTCTGGAAACAACTACTCTTTATGTAAGCCCTCTCTGAAAGTGACAAATCATGGAAAAATTCTTTTGGATTTGAATGCAGTGAAGGCAGAGAGGGCGCATCTTGCTTTGTGGTGTGGAGGCCATGCTGAGGATGTGCCGCGGGCCAGAGAGCTGGAAAGTGGGTTCAGGCAGCCAGGCTGAGTCAACCCTTCACCCCTGAGAAACCCACGCAGAGCATCACGTGATGTGGAGGAACAGGGGCACTGAGTCAGTCTAATATTCAAGGCAGGAAAGGTAGAATTGGAAAGGGAGGAGAAAATGTCATTTTGGTGTGGCAGGAGAACACGACATGCTTCTCTGGCTGCCAGGAAGAATATTTCCTGCCTAGGGCTCTGGATTCTCTATGGCTGAGCTCTCTGGGATAGAGAAGGAGGGAGATGTTCATTCCCATTTGGAGATGTGGGCTGTTTTCTTGGGGCATCTGGGCTGGTACTTGTGAAAAGGATAGGACTTCGATAGGTACAGTTTTCCCTTTACCTGCTGAACCCTTCTGCATGTCAAAAAAATAAAATAAAATAAAATAAAAAAGTTCCCAACTTGACCTCAGGGACCTCCTTCCCCCTACCATGGAGATTCCTGCTGCCACTCTTCTTGGCTTTAGAGGACACACTTGAGGAAGCAGAGTCTTTTCTGATGAGCTCCTTGTCCCTGCTTACCAGATGTAGTGATTCCTGAGCTCCTTCAGGGGTGAAGTGTCTCAGCAGTTCCTTCCTGAATCGTGCCTCTCCTCTCCTCTGGCTTTCTCTCTCAGCTCTCTCTTCCTTTGTCATATTTTTATTTCCTCACTTTCCCTCCCACAGTGGAATGAAGCACCGTATTGAGTAGAGGCTGTTGGTGTTGGCCAGAGCTGTAGAATGCTGATGGAGGAACAGGAAGTAAGTGAGGAAGGGGCAAGGGTGCTTCTAAGTGCTCTGTGCACTGACCCAGAAGGTCCTTTTTGGAGCCACAGGGCTGTGGTCCTGAGCATGAAAGAGGAGGGCTGGGGTGAGGATCAACACTCCAGAGGGCCAGGAAAGGGGGAGCCACTGTCTCCATGGGACATTTCTGGAAGACAGTTTTCGAGGTGGTATAGTGGCACGACAGTTATTAAGATAATGATGAAAAAAGATTAGAGGAAGCAGCATTGAAAGCAGCAGCATAAACTTGTGGAGATGGGGGTCAGTGTGGCCCCGATGGTCCTCCTCCCTCCATCACCCTTCTCCCACCCCTAGGTGTGTCACCCTGAAGCTAAAACTGGTCCTGTATGGATGAGGCAACATAAATGGGAGGCAAGGCAGCAGCTGTTGAAAATTCAATCGCGGAGGCCTCTTTGGGGCATATGTGGCCTAGGAGTGGCTGGCACAGAAGTGCTGGAAGTAAAACCACCCCTGCCCCTTTCTTTTCTCTCTACCTCTTATGAGTTTTATGGAGTTAGTATTCCTCCCCTGGACAAAAACTCCAAAGGCCTTCCGACTTCCTCAGTAAGATCCAAAGTTCTTCTCATGGACTTAAGACCCTCTATGACTTGGCCTCCCACCCCTTCTCCTGGACTCTCTTTTGTGTACTCTATTTTGGCTGCACTGGCCTCCTTGTTCCTGGAAGATGCCAGCGTGCCATGCCACGCGGCTTCACATCTGCTGGGCCCTCTGTTGGGACGCTCTTCTTGCACAGTGCCGCCTGGCTCACTCCCTCACTCCTTCTAGGCCTCCGTTCAGAGGCTCCCTTAACAAAGAGGCTTTCTCTACACACCCCACATCAATTAGACACTTTCTTCACTCACACTCCCACTCGCCTTACCATGATTAATTTTTCTTCGTAGCTCTTTATCATCACCACATAACATATTCTGTATCAATCTCTTTACTGTCTATCTCTCTCTGCCTGAATGTCACTGTTTTGTTTGCTGCTGCATTCCCGATGCCTAGAAGAATGTCTGGCACATGCAGGCTTTCAATAAATATTTGTTGAGTGGGTGAATGAATGACTACATCTGACGAGAAGAGAGGCTTTGGTCACTCTTTAGCATTGATATGTAATCTGTTGAGTGCGTGTTTGCTGCATTTATCAACATTCTTTTAAAACTAGATTCATTTTCTGATAGTATTATCTCATCAGTCAGGGGACCGCCTGAGCATTAGGCCACAAGCCAGGCTATTCCTGGAAGGATTGCAGGACAGGCTTGCAGGATGATGCACAGGCTGGTACCCTGGGGCTCTTCATGTTTGAGAAGAGAGCCATGGCACTTCTGGGATGTTCACAGTGACCTCACTCTTATTTGATTTTCCCTGGAAGACACCTCAGGCTACTTCCTTCTCTGAGGATGAAGTAGAGGAAAGGAGTGTATTATTAGTCAGGGCTCTCTAGAGAAACAGAACCAGTAAGATATCTACCCATCCACCCTATTGGATATATATCCTATCGAGTATATAGATACACACATACATACAGGAGGAAGAGAGGGGGAGGGGGGAAGCGAGGGAGAGAGAGGGAAGGAGAGAGAAAGAGAATTTGTTTTAGGGAACTGGCTCACATGATTGTGGGGTTGGCTAGTCTGAAATTTGTAGGGAAAGCTGGCAGGCTGGAAACTCAGGAAATTCCTATATTGCAGTCTTAAGGCTGAATTCCTTCTGTTTCAAGAACTCTCAGTCTTTGCTCTTAAGGCCTTAAACTGATGAGCTAAGGCCCACGGCAGTATGGAGTGTAATCTGCTTTACTCAAAGTCTACTGATTCAAATGTTAATTACATGCCAAAATCACCTTCACAGCAATGTCTAGACTGGTGTTTGATTGAACAACTGGCCACCATAGCCTAGTGCATAGAAATAACTATCCCGGGGACTCACCCTGGCAGCAATATACATGCTGGTGAACAGTCCAGTAGCTGCAGTCTCTTAGAATTAGGAGGAGCTGCCAAGGTGCCTTATCTCATTCATGCCTCTGGTGGAGTCCTCCTGTGGCAAGTCACACCAGTGAGCAGTGGGGCCCCATCAGGAAGGACTGGGCGGGGGTGCCCAAGCCCCTTATTCTGCCTTGTTCTGGCCCTGCCCTGGCCTGATCCTTACCCCAAACCCATATCCCCGGGGCCCTGAGTCATACCTAGTTTTTCCCTTTTGTCACTTCATTTATTCTGAGCTCCAGGACTAAAAAGAGAGAAATCAGTCCCTTTTCACATGGAGCTTACATTCCAGTTGGAAGTCAGTCAATCATATGAACAAATAAACAAAAATATTTCAGCCCGTGATAAATACTATGAAGAAAATAAGACAGGACAATGGGATTGGTAATGATGGGGTCTCACCTTTCTGAGGAGGTGCCATTTGAACTGAGAATGAGGGATGCGTGGGAATCAGTCATGCACAGATCTGGGGAGCAGGGGGGTCAGCAAGCGCAAAGGCCCTGAGCATGCAACTTCTTGGGAGCCAGAAAGAAGGCCGTTTGCTAGGCGCACAGTGAAAGAGGGAGAGTCACACGAGGTGAGGTCAGAGAGAAAGAGAGGGGCCAGGTCGTGGGGGTCTTGCAGGTCATGGTTAGGATCCTGGGACTTGATTCTAATTTCAAGGAAGCTGTTGGAAAGTCTGTAGTGGTAGAATGCTATAATCTCACATTTTATAAAAGGTCACTCTGGCTGCCATGTAGTGAATGGACCACACAGGGAAAGAGTGGAAGCAGGATGCCTTGTTGGAGATGTCACCCAAGCCAGAGATGATGGTGGCTTGGAGCGGTGTGACAACAGCGCAGATGAAGAAAATATACATTTGGTGCATTTTTGGAGGCTAAAATGACAGGCCTTTTTGATGAATTGGATGTGGCAGATGAAGGAAAGAGGAATGAAGGAAGATTCCTGGGTTTTTATCTAAGCAATGTGTTGAATGGTGCTTTGGTTAACTGAGATGGGAGAAGCAACAGCTGGTGGAGGGTGAAGGTGGGCAATCGGGTTTGTAATGCCTCTTAGGTATGCAGGGATGTGGTCAGGCCTGGTCACCTACTGCTGCCAGCTTCAAAGTGGCAGACCTGAGCTGAAACCTGGACAGGGCGACTTTTTCCCAGTGGCTGCCTGGAATTCACTTGCTTTCCTTTATCATCAAGCTCACCGTTGGATGGTAACCCCATGAGCTATACCTGCGGGGAGTTCTACCTGAGCTTCTCAGCTCTCCTTGTATCTTGAGCCCATGGCTCCTCTCTCTCTGAGGCAGTTCCTGCCTTCTGTTGAATTCAGCTCAGTTCCACAAGTTCTTATGGACACCAACTCAGTTTCAGATCCATGCTGGATGTTGGTAGCACAAGGACCAGCAAGGCATGGCTAGGCCAGCTTCCACAGTTCCTGCTTGCTCTCTGGAGCAGGACTTTTAAAACCTGGGTTCATGGATGGACTGTGTATTAGTCCGTTCTCATGCCACTATAAGGGCATACCCGAGACTGGGTCATTTATAAAGGAAAGAGGTTTAATTGACTCATAGTTCTGCAGGGCTGGGGAGGCCTCAGGAAACTTACAGTTGTGGCAGAAAGGGAAGCAAACACATCCTTCTCTTCACGTGGCAGTAACAAGGAGAAGGGCCGAGCAAAAGGGAGAAAAGCTCCCTATAAAACCATCAGCTCTCATGAGAGCTCACTCATTATCACAAGAACAGCATGGGGGAACTGCCCCCATGATTCAATTATCTCCACCTGGTCCCTCTCATGACACGGGGGGATTACAGAAACCATAATTCAAGATGAGATTTGATGGGGGGAACACAGCCAAACCATATCAGATTGCAAGGGAAAGATCTGTAACTTCCCAGACATGTGGTATAAAATTTGTGTTTAGGTACATTAATGTGGTATAAAATTTGTGCTTAGGTACATTATGGTATTCATTTTTCTAGGAAGGGGACCTATGGCTTCTAACAGACACTAAAAAAAGGTAGGTGACCCCCAAAATGCCAAGACTGCTATTCTGCGGGTGAAGCGCCCAATGCTTAATCCCTCTCCCTCCAGTCTTGAGTCATCACCAGCATCCAGCCTTTCTCAACCTTGCAGCTGCTTCAGGATGTGACAGATGTGATAAAATGCAGGGCAGGTCGGGATAGGCCAAGAAGCAGGAAGGGGCTGGATCTTAGGGTGTGTGAGGGACAGGTACAGAATGCCCCTGGAGAGAGTGTGGGGGGCTTCAAATGCCATCTGAGGAGTCTGGATTTACCCCTGCGAATGATAGGGAGTTAGAAAGCATCTTAAGCATGGGTGACATGGACAACTTTGTGTATCAGATAGTCCTCTCTCATAGTTGGGTGGAGCGTGGACAGGAGATGGGTAAGGCTGGAGAGGGAGAGTCAGGAGGAAAGAATGGGAGATGAGACAGTGTGGATTTGGAGTGGAAGGAAGAGGAATGGAGGGAGTGGAAGCTAAATGACCACTGCCTGTTGCTACAGAGAGAGGCTATTCTGGAAATGCTGAGCTTGGCAGAAGAGGCTTTGGGGGCTCAGGGGAGAAAAGAGGGGTAGCTTGTTGGCCAGAGAAGTGGGGAGACACCTGGGTTGAATGAGGGTCTACAGGAAGGCTCCCTGGAAGATGGACAGCCTGACTCTGCAGTGTGGCCAGGCTTCTCTTGGAAGACACTCTCCTGAAGTCCTTGTGGGCAAATGATTTGGGATCAGGGAAGAGAGGACTGAAAGTCAGGGAGGCCAGAGGGTGCATGGCGGACTGTAGGCCCCTGCAGGAGGAGAACTGGGAGAGGTCAGAGGCTGAGGGCGTGCAGAGTCTCAAAGGTAGGCTAAGCAAAAGCAGGGAAATCAGGGGAAGGATGGAGGCTGAGATCACTAAGGGGCATTCCACAGGAACAGTTGCTTCCTCAGGGTGACCATGCCCAGTGCCTCTGTATATGCTCTTCCCTGGGGCTAGAACACTCCATCCTCCTTCCCACACGTGCTTGGTGTCACGCCCCAGGCTCTCGTCCTTCTGTGACCTCGAGAGCAGAGCCAGTCACTTCCTCCTCCCTGCTCTCACAGCCCCTGGGCTTGCCTCCTCAAAGCACTTTGCAGGCTGGATTGCTGGTGACTGTGTGTGCTTGCTACCCCCACCCCCAACCAGGAGACTGGACTTCCTGGGGGACAGGCTTGTCTGTCATCCATGGGTCCCCTGAGTCTGGTACAGCTGATTGCAGCCCTGCTATGGATATTGAACTGTTAGGTCCTGAGTGGGACACTCCTGCCAGTGGGTTTACAAAGGAGCCAGTGTAGGACATAATTTAAAAAAGTGTTTGCCAATTTATTATAAAGGATATTACAAAGAATACAGATGAACAACAGCCAGATGGATGGAATAGATACCTAAGGCAAGAGATGTGGGAAGAGGCGAGGGGCTCCATGCCCTCTCTGGATGCACCACCCTCCAGGAGCCTTCAGGTGTTCAGCTACCAGGAAGCTCCCTCAAACCAAACCTTTTGTGTTTTTAAAAAGGATGGTTAGTTGCCTTGAAGTAGGTGGCGATGCCTTAACTGCATGCATGCTGTCAGGTTGCAGGGTCTCTTCCGTCATTGTCAAGGGGAGTGCTAACTTTCCCTCCTTTCTTAAAACATGCAACATGATGTTTTAATGTACATATGTATGCATAATGTACATATGTATGCATAATGTACATAGGCAGGAACTTGCTGTGCAACTATCAGTAGTTTCTTTCTATCCGTAGCCGAAGCAGTTACTATGGCCGAGGAAACTGACATATCCATTATCTCACATAGTTACCTTTCTTTCTTTTTTTGGTGAGAGTACCTAAAATCTACGCTCTTAGCAAATTTCCAGTATGCAATACAATATTAACTATAGTCCTCATGCTGTCCGTTGAATCTCTAGTCTTATTCATCCTATACAACTACATCTTTCAACCCTTTGACCTACATCTGTCCAGTCCCTCCCATCAATCATCATTCTTCTGTTTTTATGTATTCAATTTTTTTAAGATTCATGTGTAAGTGAAATCATGCAGTGTTTTTCTTTCTTTCTGTGTCTGGTTTATTTTACTCAGCATAATGTCCTTCAGGTTCATCTATGTTGTTACAAATGGCAGGATTGCTTTCTTTTCAAGGCTGAATAATATTTCTTTGTGTGTGTTTACATTTATATATAAATATATGTAACACACATATATATGTTTATGTATACACAAAGAAATATATATACACACATATATTTATACATATACATCATGATTTCTTTATCCATTTATCTCTTGATGGACACTTCGGTTGTTTTCATATCTTGGCAGTTTTGAATAATGCTGCGATGAACATGGGAGTGCAGCTATCTTTACAAGGTGGTGATTTCATTTCCTTTAGGTATATACCCAATAGTAGGATTGCCAGATCATACAGTAGTTCTATTTGTAACTTTTTGAGGAACCCCCATACTGTTTTCCATAATGGTTGTACCAATTTACATTCTCACCAACATTATACAAGGGTTCCCTTTTATCTACAGCCTTGCCAATCCTTGTTATCTCTTGTCTTTTTGAGAATAGCCAGCCTAACAGGTATGAGGTGATCACTCATTGTGGTTTTGATTTGCATTGTGGTTTTGATTTATCTTTTATTGTACCTGTTTGCCACTAGTGTATCTTTCTCTACCTTTGTTTTCCCTCTTCTTTCTTTCCTGCCTTTTTAACCTCACCTCTCACTTCTCCTGAAAAGTCCTTTCCAGTCTTCTACTCTGTTCCAGGAAAGGGTAATAGAAAGATCCAAACAAATGATGGCCTCAGACGTGCTGGGCCCAAGCAGCCCCAGACACCCACTGTGGCCTGATCTTGCCCTGTGGACCCCTCTCCGCAGTACGTTTAAGCTGGACCAGCCTTTAGTGGGCGTGGTGGGGTGCTTGGACAGTCGCCCCCTGCCTCTACCATAGGAGATCTGGGACTGTCTTTGGAAACCTCAATAATGCAGGTGAGAAAATAGGCACAGAGAGGGGAAAGAAGCTGCTGATAGTTGCAAGTTCCTGGGATGTCAGGCTTGCTCTGCCACTCCGAGGCTGTGTGATCTAGTGCTAGCCTCAACTTAGTTTTCACATCTACGAAATGGGCATAACAAGAGGAGAATTAATTGTGAAGGTGTTCTGAAAGTTTTTTCACATCTGTCACTGATAAACAGTGGGCCGTACCTAGGACCTAAATTTCTTGATTTCCAGCCTCATACTTTTTGTATCCATCAAATATGTTTGATGGAGCTAAGGGTGAACTGTTCTAGCTGGGATGTGCAGCCACTCTGGGCACAGAAAGTCCTCAGCCAACCACTGTAAATGTGCTGACTTGACTCCACACAGACTTTTTACTATATGCTGGAGATCCAGTAGAGAGGAAATTGTGGGCAGCAAAAGGAAGTGAAAAATTGCTCCCTCACCCTCAGCAAGGGTTCATTATTAATTCAACAAATATTTATTGAGGACCTATTATGTGTCAGGGTTTGTTCCAGGCACTGGAGATACAATGGTGAGCCAGACAGCAAAGTTCTTGCTCTCATGAAAATTCTGGATCTTTCTTCACCTCTGATATCCTGACTTATCCTGCCCTAAAGTAGTTTCAGCCTCCCCAAACCAAGGGCCAGAAGGCTTCTTCCCCTCCACCCTGGATCCCAGTCCCTGCTGTCTCTAAATTACAGCTCTGTTTCCTGGGGCAAAGTGCCAGGCTCAGCAGGAACACTGGCAAGGCCTTTGGAAGCCAAAGATAACACCCCTCATCTCCCCGCAACTCTTCCCCAGGAGTCGTGGTCCCCTTCTGCTGAGTTCTGGGCTTTGTCAGGGATGGGCTGCCCTCTGGGGGTCTGGCTGGACTCTCCCAGAGCAGCTGAGCTTCAGGCAGGCTCCCTCTGCCACTCTTCTACCTCACAGAGAATTCAGTCTTACTCGAAATCCCCAGCCTCAACTTTAGGCACTAGCTCGAGCCTTCCTAAAATTTCCCAGTGTCCACATTTCTAATGCCCAGGACTCTGCTTTTGCTCCAAGCTCAGAAGCCCAGGTCTGGAGCCTCTGAGAAGTGGCTGACAATCTCCAGGGTTCCCAGGCTGCCCTGTTGAGATGGAGGCAGCCTGGGCTGATACTAGAGCCCTAGGATGGGCACAGGTAGGCCTGGAGTTTGGTCCTGTTTCTGCCACTTGCTTCCTATGTGATATGGGGCAAGTCACTTTCCATCTCCGAGCTGAGGTTACTTGTTTGTGTGTTCATTCATCCATTCACGCATCCAGCAAGCCTTTTGACTACTCTTCACCTCCTGTTGGGTCAAGTCTCAGCTCCTTGACACAGTATCTAAGGCCCTTCACAGTCTGTACCATCTAGGAGGAAGCTGGATGAGAGGTTTTGTTTCCTGAATGGCTCTTGTTCTGCCCTCTGTCTTACCAGTTCTTCACATGCCTCATCTGGAACCCCAGCTGGTCTCCTGTGCCAGGCACCCTGGCAGGGGCACACTCTGGGCATCTGAGCACAGGGAAGCTCTGTCTTTCTCTAGGAATTCTGGCTGCCTGGTGCTAACAGACAGGGTTTTGAAAGACGATTTTCCAGTTCCTGAGTTCAGGCCTAAACTTGGAGGTGGAAGAGAGGGCACCGAGGAGTAGGTTATTTCAAGAACCAGGGAGGGCCAGCTGGCCAACAGGCTCAGAGAGGTAGCCTCTGGGTGGACAGCCCAGGGAAAAAAAAAGATGGGAGGACAAAGGGTT
Source organism: Homo sapiens (assembly GCF_000001405.40). Taxonomy (NCBI): domain Eukaryota; kingdom Metazoa; phylum Chordata; class Mammalia; order Primates; family Hominidae; genus Homo; species Homo sapiens. Next base: position 10,402,435 of record NC_000011.10, read on the forward strand.
CTGTAGAAGCTGAGACCTGGAAGTGGACATGGGCAGGTTGGTTTGACTCAGAAATTGGGACTTGAGGTTGCTGCTGCCTTGGTGGCCAGACTTTAGAGGAGAGCACAGCTTGGATGTGTTGGGAATGTATCCTGTTCCATCACTATGATTGTGGTGATTAGTTCAGGGATGGGTACATGGCCCAAGAGTGGTCTTTCTGAGTGAATTCCAGGAATTGATCCTGAGCATTGGGGAAGAGACTTGTTCTTTTCCCATTGGACATGTATGTGGGAAGATGAAGCTTGGAATTGCTGGTAGCCATTTTTCCATAGATGTAAAGTCTGAGATTGAAGCCAACAGAGACAGAGCAGAGCAGAGGTACAGCTAGACTGGGCAATGTCATTCTTTGAGCCTAGTGTAAAGCTTTGCCTGAAGCTGGCTGTCCCTGGTCTTTTTTAGTTTCATGTGCCCTTTTTTGCTTAAGCCAGTTAGAATTTTTAAAAAATCACTTGCAACCAGAAGAGTCCTACCTGACACATAACCGATGATAAAATTCGTCTTCAGAAAGATCAATGTGATAGGGGAAGAGCCCTCAAGAAATCATCAGACCTCAGTCCCACAGGAACTCGGTGGAGCTCAATTGTTGATGACTGCCATCTTGTGTGGGATCTAATGGGGGCCCCACTGATCTAGAGACCAACAGCCTGGGGGCCCAAGACAGCTGCTCTTTGATTCCAAATGAGGTATGAACAGAACCTGTCCACCTGGACACCGAGGCACCTGCCTTGTTGTGCCACATGTATCTGTGACTAAGAGGAGATTTGGCTGGTTACTGCCTAGCTCTGTAGCCCAGTCAGCTCACATAGTCCAGGGAAAAGGGATTAGTTAGACATCAGGACTGGGACTTGGAAAACCCATCTGGGGTGGAGGGTGCTTCTGAAAGGGGTCTACTTAGAAATAAAGGCGAGAGAAATCCTGTGTCCCTCTGATGTCCATCATAGCCGTACAAGCTGCCACTCCTGGATATGACTTAACCTTTTGACAGCTCTTCCCCAAATGGACTTCTGGGTCTCTACTTGGACAAAAGAGGGCTAGGCAGAGAATTCAGGGCTTTTGGCCTGCAGAGGTTGAAAATGTAGCAGAGCAGAATGAAGATTAAACGGAACTGAACACTGGAACGTAGTACAATTGTCCCTTGATTTCCGTGGGGGATTGGTTCCAGGACCTCCCACAGATACCCAAATCTGAGGATGCTCAAGTCCCTGGTATAAAATGGCACAGTATTTGCATATAACCTATGCACATCCTCTGTATACTTTAATCATCTCTCAATTACAGTCATGTGCCACACAATGATGATTAAGTCGATGATGGGCTACATATACAATGGGGTCCCCTGAGATTAAAATGGAGCTGAAAAATTACTATTGCCTAGTGACATCGTAGCCCTCATAAAATCATAGTGCAATGCATCATTTACATGTTGTGATGATAAACAACCATTCACATTGTTTCTGGTGTAAACAAACCTACTGCACTGCCAGTTGCACAAAAGTATAGCACATACAATTATGTGCAGTGCATAATACTTGACAAGATAATAAATGACTATGTTACTGGTTTGTGTGTTTACTATATTATACTATACTTTTTATCATTAGAGTGTACTCCTTCTACTTATAAAAAATTGTTAACTGTAAAATAGCCTCAGGAGGTCCTCCAGGAGGTATTCCAGAAGAGGACACTGTTAGGATAGGAGATGACAGCTCCATGCATGTTACTGCCCCTGAAGATCTTCCAGTGGGACAAGATGTGGAGGTGGAAGACAGTGATATGGATGATCCTGACCCTGTGCAGGCCTAGGCTAATGTGTGTGTTTGTGTCTTCGTTTTTAACAAAAAAGTTTAAAGTTTTAAAATTTTAAAGAGTAAAAAAAAAGTTTATAAAAAATAGATGAAAGCTCATAGAATAGGATATAAAGAATTTTTGTACAGCTATACTATGTGTTTCAAGCTAAATGTTATTACAAAAGAGTCACAATTTGCAAAAATTAACAAGTTTACAAAGTAAAAAAGTTACAGTAAGTTAAGGTTAATCTATTATTGAAGAAAGAAAAAACGTTTAAAACAAATGTAGTGTGGCCTCATTGTACAGTATTTATGAAGTCTACGATAGTGCGCAGTGATGTCCTAGGCCTTCACATTCACTTACTGATCACTCACTGACTCACCCAGAGCAACTTCCAGTCCTGCAAGCTCCATTTGTTCATTTTTTAGTCTTTTATACTGTATTTTTACTGTATCTTTTCTTTGTTTACATATGTTTAAATACACAAATCCTTACTATTGTGTTACAGTTGCCTACAATATTCAGTATAGAACATGCTGTAGAGGTTTGTAGCCCAGGAGCGACAGGCTATCCCATATAGCCTAGGTATGTGGTAGGCTATACAATCTAGGTTTATGTGAGTACACTCTGTGGTGTTTGCACAACCAAATCACCTAAAGACACATCTCTCAGACCATATCCCCATTGTTAATGGATGCTTAACTGTACTGATAATACCTAATAAAATGTAAATACTATGTAAATAGTTGTTATACTCTATTTCTTGGCAGTAATGAAGAGAATAAAAGTCTTTATATGTTTAGGATGGATGCCACTTTTTTTTTCGAATATTTTCCATCCACACTTGGTTGCATCCATGGCTATGGAACTCTTGGAGATGGAGGGCCAACTATATATAGAATTGTAGTTAGTGGCCGGGCTTGGTGGCTCATGCCTGTAATCTCAGCACTTTGGGAGGCCAAGGCGGGTGGATCACTTGAGGTCAGGAGTTCGAGACCAGCCTGACCAAAATGGTGAAACCTTGTCTCTACAAAAAATACAAAAATTAATTGGGCATGGTGGTGGGCACCTGTAATCCCAGCTACTTGGGAGGCTGAGGCAGGAGAATCGCTTGAACCTGGAAGGTGGAGGTTGCAGTGAGCCAAGATCTCACCATTGCATTCTAGCCAGGGTGAAAAGAGTGAAACTCCATCTCAAAAAAAAAAAAAAAAAAAAAAAAATAGATTGTTGTTTGCTGGATTTCTACTCAATAGAACAGAAATTACCTCAATAGTAAATATTCTATAGTTCTCATTTCAGATGAAAATTCAGCTGTTCTCAACGACTTTTTTGTTGTTTGCATAGGTGATCCTCAACTTTGATATGTTCTAATTTTCATGCATGTATCTTTCACTTCTGTGACTGTATACTGATAACTCAAACAGATACTTCATCCTTTAGTTGATGGGTGGTGATTTTACCTTCCCTCTTGTGTGACCACTTGCTAAGTGCTGCTGCTTGGGGATAAAAGGCTGGGTTTCTACAGAGACAAGGGGTATGGGAAGCGTTTATGGTACAGCTGCCCCCCTTTCCCTCTGTGTGCCAAGGGAATCCCAAATTTTCTGAATGCCTGGAGTTTGTCGGTTGATAACAAATTGTTGTACAATGAACAATTAGGTGTTTGCTTCCCAGGCCCATGCTCCCCTCTCCACCACTACAGTCCTTGCATCTGGTAAGGGTGGGAAGGGGGTTCAGTGGCCACTGGTCCTAGGTGATGGCAAGGGTGGTGTCACTGGCTGGGGATGGTGGAGACTTTGCCGTGCCACAGGGGTGGAGAAGATGAGGGCAGAGAGGAGAGGTGGAATCATGGAAGAGAAGCCACAGGCTCGACCTCCCAGGCACCAGGGAGCAACAGAGGGATGCTTGTGAAAGTTTTTATCTGTCAGGACCCAAGATAGCTATAATGCATGTGACAGGGATGGCAATTTTGCAAATATAAAACAGATATATTTAATTACTCATTACATCACTGTTTTCCCTCTGAGATCCAGCTACAAAAATTATCACTAGAGGGCAGGAGAGGTCTCTTTAGCAAGAAACATGCGTCCTAGCCCAGGGTACTGGCTTCTCCCATAGTGTGGGGGCAGTGCTGACTAATGCTTCCCTGTTCACAACACGCTTAGAAAGTGAGAATATGCGTGTGGCACACTGGGGTCAGCTAAAGGGGATTTGGGAATGCCTACATGGGAGCTAGTGAAAAAAATTCACATTTTCTTCATGTTATATTATTACAATAATATACAAAACAAAATATTAAATGTTGAATTTATATAATATTCTAAAGAAAATCATTTAAATATTTTATTGTTAAACATGAGCTTGCTTCAAATTAACATGTCTTTTTTATGTAGTTTTAGGCTTGAAATGGCTACATGGAATTTCTGATCAAGATTTTTAAGGGTTTCTTCATTCTTTTTTCAAATTTCATTTGTTTCTAATTTTTAAATGTTTATAGATTTAGTGGGTACAAGTGCCATTTTGTTACATGGATATATTGCAAAGTGGTGAAGTCTGGGCTTTTCCTGTAACTATCACTTGAATAGTGTACATTGTACCCATAATCATCATTAACAGGAAATTTGTTTGTACAGATTGGTGATAAAAAGTTAAAAACAATTTTGCACCTGTTAAAAAATATATACCAGTTGAAATCATATAGAGACTATAACGGCATTTTCTTTTTTCAAACAACAAATGTGGTATTGAAATTTTTTGGGATGAGCATTGGATTTAGCACCCTTCAAACCTTTTGGATTCTAGTGCACTTAGGTAATGGTGAAGCCCTAATCTGCAGAATACACATGCAATTTTACATCAGATATCCTGCAGGCAGTGTGGAGGTGACTAAAGAGGCTCATCTACTGAGAAAGACAGGAACAGCCCATATACATCGAGTGACTGTTGTCCTGATTTGTCCTGAAGGGCTCTGATTCATTCTTCTGACATGACATGACTATCCAGAGCACTTCCCTTTGCTAAAAAACAAACAAGAAGCGTGCCAGTTTGGTGTTCATACACAGTGTGGATGAATCTCGAAACATTGCCCAGAATGAAAGAAGCCAGACACAAAAAAGTACATGCTGTATGATTCCATTTATTTGAAATTCTAGAATAGGCAAAACTAATTTGTAGTGATGGAAGACAGATGAGTAGTTGTCTCAGGCAGTGGTGGGGGTGAGTGACTGCAGTGGGGCATATGGGGCATTTGGGGGGTAATGACAACATTGTGTATCTTGATCATGGTAGTGGTGACACTGGTGGATCACCCATGTATACATTTGCAGAAACTCATAGTACTATATAGTTAAAATAGATGCATTTCATTATATGTAAATTATACCTCATTAAAGTCGATTTAAAAAAAGAAAGTATACTATTTTGGACAATGAATTTTATGGTTTCTGTACATAGGCGTGAAGACAGATTCAGGGCTGCCATTTCTACTGTGGCTGCCAGAAGCTCCCTCCTGCTCTCCTTGCCCCCGGCCCCATCCCTCTTGGTCTGTGCTCTGTGCTCACCCGACGCAAGGGACACACACTCCTCCAGTGGGTTTCTGGCTCTGTCCATGTGGGAGTGGCACACTATGCAGCAAGCTGCCAAAGGACGTGTCCTCGCCGCTTGGGATGAGATCACTGTCCTTGCTGTTTGATGGGGCCCACTCTTGGCTGCCCTCCAAGGAGCTGTAGGTGAGGTTCTCCTTAGAGGTACCCAGCCTGTGCACTTTGGCTGCCCTCTCACCTGAGGACCGAGGGCATCACCATTGTGCTGCATGCCTGTGGCCCATCTGAAGCACTTCCACGGGGAAGCTCTGGCCTAGGGAAGGTACCTGTGCCTGTCCCTAAGGCTTTCTCATGAGGCTAGAGTAGAAAGGGGGAGGATCTGACATAAAGGAAGCAAATAAGCACCCATTTCTTGGTCCCAGGGAATTGTGGGAGGAAGAAGGAGGGAGGACAGGAGATGGTGGAGAGTGGAGGGCAGTGGCGGGGGCAGTGCAAGGAGAAATGGAGCGGGATGGGAAGAGAAGTTGAGAGTGGTCAGCCAGATGGGTCTTAAATTCCCTTTCTGGGCTTTGGTCTAGAGCAAGTGTTGGCGAACTATTCTGTAAAGGGCTAGATAGTAAATGTCTGAGGTTCGTAGGATCATATGGTGTCTGTCACAACTACTCGACTCTGCCATTGCAGTGGAAAAGCAGCCAAGGACAATGGGTAAATGAATAAATGTGGTCATGTTCCAAGAAAACTTAATTTATGGGTGGCAAAATTGGAATTCATGTAATTTTCATGTGTCACAAAATATTCTTCTTTAGATTTTTTTCTCAACCATTAAAAATGTAAAGACAATTTTTTTTTTTTTTTGAGACAGAGTTTTGCTCTGTTGCCCAGGCTGGAGCACAGTGACATGATTTCAGCTCACTGCAACCTCTGCCTCCCAGGTTCAAGCAATTCTCCTGCCTCAGCCTCCTGAGTAGTTGGGATTACAGGCACACACCACCACACCTGGCTAATTTTTGTATTTTTAGTAGAGACGGGGTTTTTAGGCTGGGAGCCACTGCGCCCGGCCTAAAAAATGTAGACAATTCTTAGCTCATCTTCCTCATAAAGTGGGTGGTGGGCCTAATTCGGCTGTTGGGGCATCGCTTGCCAACTCATGTATTTAGTGTGGGGGGTCCTGAGGGTGGAGGACTTAGGGAAAGGTGTGGCTCTTGGAATTCTGAGTGTCAGCATAGCTGCTCCCTTCCCTCACTCCCTCTGCCCTTCTCCATTCACCAGGCATCTTATCTGTGTAACCCACAGATTGTAATTATGGGTTCTCAGGCCTGCACCCCAACCCAGGGGCTGTGCCATGCTGTGTGTGCTTCATAGCTGCCCCTCCTGGACCTAGTGCAGGGCTGGGCCCAGAGTGGGCCTTGATAACATTTGTTGTCTGGAATTAAATCAGCAGCTCACTAGTGGAATCTGCCCAGGCCTGGCTAGAAACTGGGAGCTGTAGCCAGTCCCTCCTGCCCTGTCCTCAGGGGCCCTCAGCCACCGAGGATGCCTGCCTGTTGCTACGCTGGAGAACATTTTGTCATGTTTACTAACAAGGAATCCGAGGGGTGGAGTGGGATGGGGACCAAGGAGGGTGTTCTGTAACACCACAGGGCAGAGAGGGATGGAGATGGACTCAGGGACAAGGTCAGGTTACAGAAATGGACTTTGGCAGGAGCATTGACATGGGGCAGGGGCAGAGACAGCAGGAAGCAGAGGGCAGGGGGAGTGAGATGTGGGTTTCCTGTGGGGCCCTCCCTTCCTGGGCAGGATGGAGAGAAGCTAGATGCCTCCCATGCCTCCCAGGGAGAGCTATGCCCAACAGGCATGTGAGAGCTCCCTTGGCATCCCTGGGGACTGATCACAGAGCACCGGAGACTCAAACTCACAACTCTCCTGGGTTCTTATAAGAAGGAATTTCAACTCTCAGATTTTGTCTGCTGTGGGTGGCAAAGGATAATTGCTTTGGGAAAGGGCAATTTTGGGTGGAAGGAAGGGGATCTCCCTGGGCCCCAGTGTTTTGTGGATTGTGTGAGGCACCTGCAAGGTCTTGGAGAAATGGTGGGCTGGACAACAACAGCGAGGCCCTGGCCTAAGCTGACACTGCTGCTTGAGTCTTTAATGCATGTATTCTTTTCTTCACAAAGGACATTAAAAGGAGACCTTTTAGCATCAGGTTATATGAAGGACAAACAAAGTTAGGACAAATATGGGTCATCTTCCTGGAGCATCAATTTGACGTGAACATTGGTGGGGAATAGCACCCCCACCTATGTTTATATTAAAACAAATATACATATAGGAGTAAAATACTGAATTTGCATAGATATATATTTAAGGAAATAGGGAGCCTGGAGAGAAATTTCCAGTTTTAGAGGCATATTTAGGCGATGCTCTCAGACCCTTGGAATTCGTGTTCTTTCTTCTGCCCTTAGCACTGTCACTTTGTCTCTATTTTACGAATGAGAAAAACAAGGTCTGGAGGGGTGCGTCAGCAACTTGCCTATGTGATAACACAGAACAAGGAGGTAAGGGTAGGACTGGAACCCACATTGCTGGGCTCTGCATTCAGCATGTTACCTGCTACACAATAGTGAATCTAGAGTTTCATGCTTTAGTATTTTGATTTCAGTAGTGCCATGGAAATAACCAAATCTCACCTGTCCAAGTCGTCTTTGGGCACAGCCCCATGTTTCAAATCAATCAAGTCTAGTGGGAGGCAATGTGGGGTAGTGGAGTTAGGGGCTGAAAGTCAAGAGACTGGAGTTTACCTTTAACCAGTTCTTTAGATAATAAAGCTCCGTGACTTTAGGCAAATGGCTTAACGCCTCCGGGTTTACCTTCCCTATCTGTAACATGTGGTAGCTACACAAGATATTGCCTAACAGCCTGGCCTTCTATGATGTGGGACCACTGCTTGCCTTTCTAGAACCTTCAGACCTGTAGATGGGCTCTTCTTGGACATTCTGGAGTCCCTGGGGGAAAGGGAAGTCTGAAGCTCAGTTGGCCACCTCTGCATAACAAATACCGAGAGCACTGCAAGTGGAGCTTGGACAAGGTCTGGAAAATCAGCCTTCTTCTGGATGCCTCCAGCCTTTGCTATCATCTGCCTAGGAGGTTGGAAGTTACTCAAGCGGCTCAAGGAAAAGGTATTGTGAGCATGCACCAGGTCATGTGATTGGAAGGGCTATCTGCTCCTGGCCTGAGGCCAGCACCCAAAGCTGTCCACATCTCCCAGGGACAGCAGCATCTTTCTTCTTTACTACATTCTCTCTCCTCTCATCTTGATTGGCTTCCTCTGCCTGTACATGGCTAACTTTGCTACCAGCCAGAGTGGGAGTAACCCACAGCCCCTAAGTCCCCTCCAGAGAGGGCTGTCAACAGGGCTGGCTGCTGAGCTGGGGAAGGTGGGAGGGTCTCACCATCCCATATGTAGATTTCACTTAATTTCCCTGCTTTCAGGACAGTGCTTCACCTTTAACTTCCTCTTTGCCAGGTATCGCTTATCCTTGAGTGTCTCTGGATCAGTTTCTCTGGAGATGAAATTATCTATGGCCTACCAGGATAGTTTCCAGGCAGTGCAGAGTTGGGAGGAGGACTGGGGTAGAAACACTTTCTTATAAAGACTTCTGCCCTATCCACCTGTTTTCAGCCCCATTTTTCACCCTGGCTCCAATGCATGAGGCTTTGTGGGGTCGGTGGTCGGAATTTGCTTGCTTCTTGCTAACATTTCTCTTTGCATTCACTTTGGTTTCAGCTCTCTCTGCTTTGCTAAGCTGGTTATCATCCAGCTTCTTACCTCTTCCAATAATTATTGACTTCTCTTGTCCTCTGTCATGTTCATGCCATTCTCTTTGCTCTTGTGGGCTCACTCTTTTTCTTTTTTAACAAAATTTCATTACTTTTACTTTAGTGGGTGTCAGGATGGAATGGACATACCACATGTGTTTACACCCCCATGTTTCATTAGAAATCCTAGTCACTGTTCAACACATTCTCTCAGCTCCATCAGTCCTTTGAAGCTGTTCTTGTCAAGGACACCACCATTTCCATGTTGCCAAATCTCTTGGTCACTTTGCTGTCTGTCTTCATAATACTCAGTCTCTCAGCAGCATTCCACACACTTGACCACTCTTGAAAAACTTGCTTCTTTTGACCTTCATGATAACACATGCTTCTGATTTGTCTGCTACATCCACTGAGCATGCTTCACCCTCTCTTGCTATATCTTCCTCTTCTGGGAATTCCCATGGACTCTTTCTTTGGTCCTCTTCTTTTCTCTATCTATACACTTTCCCTAGCTGATCTCATCTAGTCCTAGGGCTTTAAATACTTTCTATATACCAATGACTCTCACATATTTATCTGCAGCCTTGATAGCTTCCCTGAATCTCAACTATCTACTTCTCCCAGACATCTCCATTTGGATGCCTAATAGCATCTTAAACTTAACTGGGCAAACCTGAACTCTTGATTTTCACCGCCAAACCAGTTCCTTCTTAGTATTTCCCATCAAAGTCATGCTCATACACTGAGTGGCTGAAGGCCAAAACTCAGGATCATGCTTCACTCTGCTCTTCCTTTCTCCTTTCCCATTTACTATGTCAGCAAGCCCTGTCGGTGCCTCCATGATATATGATTAGTGAGTCTGCTTCTCCATTGCCACTGCTGACTGACTGCTCCTGTCAAGGCCACCATCATGTGTTGCCTGGGCTATTCCAGTTGACTCCTGAGTGGTTTCCTGGCTTCCACTATGGCCCTCCAAGGATCCACCTTCCGCATAGTAGCCAAATGATTCCATTAAACATGTCTATCAGGTTATGCCACTCCTTTGTTTAAAATTTTCCAGTGATTTCCTGTTGCCTTAAAATAAATTTCACACTTCTTACCAAGGCCTCTGCTCCTCTGCAAACTCTTTCTCTTCTTTTTAGAGATGAGGTCTTACTATTGCCCAGGGTGGGGTGCAGCAGCTTCATCATGTTTCACTGCAGCCTCAAACTCCCAGGCCCTGTCTCAGCCTCCCAAGTAACTAAGTCAACAGGCATACCCCACCTCACCTGGCTAATTTTTTTTAAAAAAGAGATTTGGTCTTACTATGTTGCCCAGGCTGGTCTTGAACTCCTGGCCTCCCAAAGTGCTGGGATTATGGGTGTGAGCCACTGTGCCCAGCCTAAACTCCTTTTTTTTTTTTTTTTACACAGGCTTAATCCACTATGGCCTTTCTGGTCATCTCCCATTCCTACCCCAGGACCTTTATACTTGTTCTTCCTTCTGCCCAAGAAGGAAGACTGCAGCCACAATCTTGATGCTTACTGCAGCCACAACTCCTCATCATTCAGGTGCAAGCTCATACATTCTCAGAGAGGCTCTCTTAGTCTATTTTATCTAAAGTAGGAACCCCTTCTCCCAAATCATTTGCTAGAACAGTGGTCCCCCACCTTTTCGGCACCAGGGACTGGTTTCATGGAAGACAATTTTTCCAGGAATGGTTTTGGGATGAAACTGTTCCACCTCAGATCATCAGGGATTAGATTCTCATAAGGAGCGTACAACCTAGATTCTTCCATGTGCAGTTCACAATAGGGTTCGCGCTCCTATGAGTATCTAATGCCACCACTGATCTGACAGGAGGTGGAGCTCTGGTGCTAATGTGAGCGATGAGGAGAGGCTGTAAATACAGAGGAAGCTTCACTTGCTTGCTGGCCCACAGCTCACCTCCTGCTGTGCCACCCAGTTCCTAACAGGCCATGGACAGGTACTGGTTCATGGCCCTGGGGACCCGTGCTCTAGAACATCACTTTGTTTTGCTTGTCTTAAAAAATTCATAGTAGGTATCATTATCCAAAATTATTTTATTTGTTTACTTGCATACCAGCTAACTCTCCCCATTAAAAAATGGACTCTATGAGAAAGGGTCCTTGTCTGCATTGCTCATTTTTCATATCTTTATCTACCACAGTGCTTGGAATACAATAGGTGCTCAATACATACATGTACAATAAATGAATGAATGACCAGTTAAGCTAAAGGGACTAGGAGTAGAGACAGTCCCTGGAGAGGGGGATGTGGGTAGAACAGGCATTCCACAGCGTGTCTCTTGAACTTTTGCTTCATTCTAGGCCAGAGTATGACACAAAGTCTCCTAATTTTATAAAGGGTCAGTAAGCACAAATTGAAGGGAAAGGTGAGGGCAGGGGCAGTGGATGTGGGGAGCGTGGGACAGCTCAGGAAAGGTGCAGTACGTGTTGCTCTGCAAAGATTTTGCTCCATTCTTTTGTCCCAAGCCGCACAGCTTTTCCATTGTGACATTCTGTAACTTTCTGGAAATTTTTTTTTTATGGCCCTTGGGTAATTTTCCACGTGGTCAGCCAGCTCCGTCAAGTGCAATGGTGAGGAGTGGGACTCAGAATGGCTGGGAGGCCCCGAGACCATCAGACAGGGAAGATGCATGTCGTTTGCACCCGGCACTGACTTCCAGCTCCCTTTTGCGTAGGAGGCTCCTGGACTGTGACATACAGGATGTTCCTGTGTGGCTCTTTTTAAGGAAGCCTATTTTTCCTCCATGTTAAAACTAAAATCTGTGGTCTAGCTCGGAGCAGATGTTAAGAGCACATTCTCTCTAAGAGTGTGGGCTGGAGTGTGGGCAATGGCTATTTATCACCGTTTCCTTTTCTTTGTGTTTCTCTGTGGTTATTGAAGTTTTTGGTTTGGGGAAAAACAACAAAAACAAAAATAGCAACATATTTATGAACAAAGAAGAGAGCTAAAACTTAACATCTGGAAGAGAGGAAAGAGGGGAGTAAGGTGCCTGAAAATAATTTCCTTTAGGAGTGACTGGAGGCTTCAGGGGGATCACAGCACTCCTGTGGAATTTTTACAGAACTAAGGAAGGCTGGAGTCAGCCAAACTTTTGAAACCTCAGCATCCTAAACCTCAACTCTTGCTGCCCTGAGAAGAGCATGAGCCGGCCAAGCCCTGGTGGCGGCTTCCCCAGGACCTCCCACTTCCTTCCTGATGTGCCTGCAGTCCTGGAGCTGTGATCGCCTCTTCTTTAGCTTCTTAGAAAAGAGGCGGCACAAGAAAAACGCTCAGTCATCTTGCAGAGACTTGGCATCTCTCAGCAACACGTTCTCTCTTTCTCTCTTTTCTTTTTTCCTTTGAGATGGGGTCTCGTTCTGCCGCCAGGCTGGAGTGCAGTGGTGTGATCTCGGCTCACGGCAACCTCTGCCTCCTGGGTTCAAGCGATTCTCCTGCCTCAGCCTCCGGAGTAGCTGGGACTACAGGCGCACACCACCATGCCTAGCTAAGTTTTGTATTTTTGGTAGAGACGGGGTTTCACCATGTTGGCCAGGATGGCCTCGATCTCTTGACCTTGTAATCCACCCGCCTCGGCCTCCCAAAGTGTTGGGATTACAGGCGTGAGCCACCACGCCCGGCCGACACATTCTTATTAACTTGATGGCACAGTTGGCTGGCAGGTTCCCAGGTCATGTTCTCAGTGATTGGAGTTCTTGCTGTTTCTTGGACTCCTTCATGTCTCACCCAGTCCTAAGTCCCTTCCTTGCTTCTTAATTAATTTATGTCCTTGTGTAATATGTGGCACACCCACATAGCCATGAGGCATGTTCAGGCTGTGTTTTTTAATGTTCTGGCTTGTTCTACATTTGCCAAGTGGGCAAGGACAGCAGTTACCTGATTGGCTCCATTTGGGCAGCAGAACCTAAACAGTGACTACCTGTTGGAATCCACCTGGCCTAGGTATCTTTTGTTTGTTTGTTTAAATAACAACAAGCATTTCTTATGGTGTTTTGTTTTCTCCTGAACTCTGTAAAGACAATGGCAACACAGAGGTCAGTCTAGAATGACTATACTGGCACTAGGAGATGAGAACTATACAAGTGGAATTAAGCAAATGTATAGACACAAAATCATCACAAAAAGGGTGAAGTGCTGTTCAGTTATTGATGCCAGTCCCTCTTCTCTAGGGGACTGTGACAGCTGTAGCCAGATGTGTCCAGGAGATTATCTCTGTCCTGATTCTGTCAGCATCCTCTTCATTTATTGTCTGGTTTTGCTTCTAAGTCTTCTTCTGCATCTCAAGCTGTCTGCATGCCATACTGTCTGCATTGAAATGATTTGCTTGCTTAAAATGAGTCTTGGCCAGGTGCAGTGGCTCACGCCTGTAATCCCAGCACTTCGGAGGCCAAGGACTCCTGAGGTCAAGAGTTCGAGAGAAGCCTGGCCAACATGGTGAAACCTCATCTCTACTAAAAATACAAAATTAGCCAAGTGTGGTGGCACATACCTGTAATCCCAGCTGAGACAGGAGAATCGCTTGAACCCGGGAGGCAGAGGCTGCCGTGAGCCGAGGTGCCACTGCACTTCAGCCTGGGCAAGACAGAGGGAGACTCTGTCTCAAAAAAAAAATGGGTCTTAATATCAATAGTGGGGAATTCTCAGTCTCTCCATCAGCAGGTGCTGAAAGCTCACAATAAAGGAGAAAATTTTCAATAGCTGTTTTTTTTTTTAAGAGATGGGGTCTTGTTCTGTTACCCAGGCCAGATGCAGTAGTGTGGTGATCATGGCTCACTGCAGCTTCAACCTCCCTGGGTCAAGTGATCTTCCCGCGTCAGCCTCCCAAGTAGCTAGGACTACAGGTGTGTGCCACCAGACCCAGGTGATTTTTAATATTTTATAGACATCTTGCTATGTTGCTCAGGCTGGTCTCAAACTCCTGGACTCAAGCAATCCCGCCATCTTAGCCTCCTGAGTTGCTGGGATTATAGGCGTGAGCCACTGCTCCCGGCCCAGTAGTCATGTTTTTGAGGAAGTTTATTTTTATCCAGTATGTTTGGCTCTGCATGGGTTCCTTAAGATACTAGGGACTGTCTTTGGGTCACAAAGCCAGCATGACACTAACATGGGTCTCAATATCCTTTGCTTGATAGCTTTGGACCTGAACATCACCTGACAGCTCCACACACTGTGTTCTGGCTTGTTCCTAATCCTGCCAGTTCCTGACCTGCCATTGTTCCATGTTTGGCTTCACCTTGTCTTTTGCACCTGACATTTGGTCCGTGCTGCTGGCTCTATTCCACCTATGGCAACCTGAATAAAAACTCTCTTTCCAGCCTTGTTTCTAAAGCTCTTCCTTGGCCCAGATCCCCCTAGGTGGCTTCTACCAGCCTTGTCCAGTTGAGGAGCATGGCCTAGACACCTGTGAGGGTCTCTGCCTGCCTCCAGCTGTGCCCAGGATTGGCTTCTCCTCAGCTGTGCCTCATGCTGGGCCACATCATGGGAGCAGGCTGGTCAGCAGGGGTGGATGCTGACCTACAAAGGGCTCCTTACTGCCAAAAGTCATTGATTCCCCATCCTTCTGGTCTACCATTAAACATCTGTAGCCACTTAGGGTTTTGACTTTTAACTATTTCTTGACCACATACCTCCATTACCCTCCAGAGAGCACCCTTTTAGAAATAAATGTAATAGTTACTACATTTGTTCAATGATTTACAGTCAACAGAGCACTTTAGTATATTCACATGTATTATCTCATTTCCATACTTTCTTTTTTTAAGCAAACATAAAATAATTTTATCAGATACAACAAAAATTAAAACATAACAAAAGTATCACATATAATGTTATATTCCCATTTAAATATAACATAGAAAAATACTACAAAATAAGAAATACAAAACCAAAACCTAGATAAGATTTTATTTATTATGATGGGTGTGCTTGCCTGTTCATAAGTTCATTCCAGTCTGGAACACAGGAAGATAATGCTACCCACATAGCTGCTGCACCATTTGATCCATTCCTTTCTGTTGCTTTTAACTGAGTTAAGATAGAAAACCCTAGTTCACACAAACTAGTTGTTGTGAATGGTAGTAATAGTAGGACACTCTTTCTACTTAACAAAGGAAAGTCTTCCTTTACCTTAATTCAAAATGCTGATAAATTTAAGGTCTCATAATCATTCTTCAATGTATATGAAGAACTAAACTAAGATAATTCATTCTCTTCTTCAGGCACCAGTTATTAACTAAGCCCAGTTATTGATTCTGGGTTTCAAAAAGCAAACTGATTGTTTTTTTTTTTTTTTGAGACGGTCGCCAGGCTGGACTGCAGTGGCACGATCTCGGCTCACTGCAACCTCTGCCTCCTAGGTTCAAGTGATTCACCTGCCTCAGCCTTCCAAGTAGCTGGGACTAGAGGCGCACACCACTACACCCAGCTAATTTTTGTATTTTTAGTAGAGACGGGGTTTCACCATGTTGGCCAGGATGGTCTTGATCTCCTGAGCTCGTGATCTGCCCGCCTCAGCCTCCCACAGTGCTGGGATTACAGGCGTGAGCCAGGGCACCTTGCCGCAAGCGGATCTTTTACCCAACTATTTTCCCTGAATGTTTCAAATTTTTCTTCTGGAAAGAAATGGTTAAAAATTTGAGATAGAGAAGTGAGATTCAACAATGTCTCTAATTTTATTTCTTTCAAAATGTTTCCATTAATAATATTCTCTTCAATATGTTGCAAAAATCTTGGAAACGTAGTAGCTAGGACAGTTACTTGTAAGTCTTGCTTGCCATAACAATAATGTCTTTCGAAATCCCTGGATATGTCTGACATGTTGGAATACATCACTGTTTTTCCCCCGTGGTTTTAAATTCAGTTTATTAAGAATACCAAAAATACCAGTTAAATATGCCAATTTTTTTATCCAAATGTCATCTTCAAAAATATTTGCCAAATGAGATTTTTTTCAATGAGAAAAAAAGTCAATCTGATTCCTGAGCTCATAAACCCTGCTTAGTATTTTCCCTTGAGACAACCAACGAACTTTGGTATGACACAGAAAGTGGGTATGGTTAGTTCCAATCTCTGAACAAAACGTTTCAAGAAGCTGGTTATTCAGTGAGTTTCCTTTAATAAAACTGACAACTTCACTGCATTTTTCAGTACTTCCATGAGATACTGTGGAATTTCTCTGGATGCTAAACCTTCATGATGTATAAAACAATGATTCCACACAGTACAACTATTAGTCACTTCTAGTAATTTTTTAATGACTCTGCTGTGTTTTCCAGTTACTTTTGCTGTGACGTCACCTGCAATTCCTTTACAGTTTTTCCAGTTTAATTTATATTGACCAACTCTGTGCCTTTCTAATCCTGTAAACATATCTAATCTACTTGGGTATGAGGTTAAACTTAAAAAACACAAAAGACCCTCCATAAAATCATCTTTCCACGCATATCGGACATAAACTGAATGTCTTGTGCAGCTGCCAATATCATCAGTGCTTTCATCACACTGCTTTGCAAAATCTATACCAGACTGTTATGGAGTAATAAGCATTGTTTCTAAACGTTCTGCAATACTACAAATCCAAAGAGATAATTGTGTTATCATTAGATATAGTTTTTAATTTATCAGCTAATTTCTCATCAAAAATCATATGCATTGTATCCAAACATGCTGGAAGAATAATTTTTTCAGCAGCTGTGTTAGCTATGTTCTTTTTGCCACATGATATGCAACTAAATATGATGATACGGCTCTCTCACTAACAGTAGTAGAACAACTAAGAAATTGTGTTGATCATTTTATGTCTTCTTTCTTTCTTCGAAAATATTCAAGAGGCTTATCAATAAGTTCAGCATGCTGAATTTCTAAGTGCCTTTTTAATTTAGGTTTTAAGCTTTCATTTGCAAGAATATTATTACAAATAACACACTGAGGTCTGTCATTTTCAGTGGGCTTTTCACATTTGATAAAGCCATATTTTAAGTAATCATAATAGCGTCTTGCACTTAAGTTTTTCTTTTTGAAATGAGGCTCAAATGAAGTTTCAGTTTGCAGATTAGAGTCTGTATTTTTCTCAGTATTGTCACTATTCACACTTCCAAATTCAACAGATGAACTTCAGCATGCTTCTGTATATTTCATTTCATGATTCCTCTTTCTTTTAATAAAGAAATTATGCATTTAATAGCAATTTTTTCCAGTTTGATTAAAATGGTATAATTGGTACTAACTCAAAAAAGAAGAAAAAAATACACATATATATAGTTTAAATGACATCTTTTCAAAAACTACACTCAAAGTTTGCAATTGAATCTCAGTTGACTATCTCCAGTTTCAAGTCATTGTAATATAAAACTTGACTGCACAACATTCACTTTGCTAATATGAAAACCAAGCGAGACACCCAAGAGCAAATGACTGAAAACCACTTCTTAGCCAACATACATTGTATTCATCATATCCCCTCCATCAAATACCTTTCTCACATATTGAAATTGACCTCACTATTCCTTGCAACATGCACAATTCAGGCAAAGGATCCATGCAAAGCACTTTGATATTTTACACTTTTTAAGTTATACTTTAAGTTCTGGGATACATGTGCAAAATGTGCAGGTTTGTTACATACGTATACACATGCCATGTTGATTTGCTGCACCCATCAACCCGTCATCTACATTAGATATTTCTCCTAATGCTATCCCTCCCCCATCCCCCCACCCCAACAGGCCCCAGTGTGTGATGTTCTCCTCCCTGTGTCCATGTGTTCTCATTGTTCAACTCCCACTTATGAGTGAGAATATGTGGTGTTTGGTTTTCTGCTCCTGTGTTAGTTTGCTGAGAATGATGGTTTCCAGCTTCATCCATGTTCCTGCAAAGGACATAAACTCATCCTTTTTTATGGCTGCATAGTATTCCATGGTGTATATGTGCCACATTTTCTTTATCCAGCCTATCATTGATGGGCATTTGGGTTGGTTCCAAGTCTTTGCTATTGTGAACAGTGCTGCAATAAACATACGTGTGCATGTGTCTTTACAGTAGAATGATTTATAATCCTTTGGGTATATACCCAGTAATGGGATCACTGGGTCAAATGGTATTTCTGGTTCTAGATCCTTAAAGAATCGCCACACTGTCTTCCACAATGGTTGAACTAATTTACACTCCCACTAACAGTGTAAAAGCATTCCTATTTCTCCACATCCTCTCCAACATCTGTTGTTTCCTGACTTTTTAATGATCACCATTCTAACTGGTGTGAGATGGTATCTCATTGTGGTTTTGATTTGCATTTCTCTAATGACCAGTGATGATGAGCATTTTTTCATATGTTTATTGGCCACATAAATGTTTTCTATTGAGACGTGTCCTATTCATATCCTTCGCTGACTTTTTGATGGGGTTGTTTTTTCTGAGGGTTGCCTGTTTACTCTGATGATAGTTTCTTTTGCTGTGCAGAAGCTCTTTAGTTTAATTAGATCCCATTTGTCAATTTTGACTTTTGTTGCCATTGCTTTTGGTGTTTTAGACATGAAGTCGTTGCCCATGCCTATGTCCTGAATGGTATTGCCTAGGTTTTCTTCTAGGGTTTTTATGGTTTTAGGTCCTACATCTAAGTCTTTAATCCATCTTGAGTTAATTTTTGTATTAGGTGTAAGGAAGGGGTCCATTTTCAGTTTACTGCATATGGCTAGCCTGTTTTCCCAACACCATTTATTAAATAGGGAATCCTTTCCCCATTGCTTGTTTCTGTCAAGTTTGTCAAAGAGCAGATGGCTGTAGATGTGTGGCATTTATTTCTGAGGCCTCTGTTCTGTTCCGTTGGTCTATATGTCTGTTGTAGTACCAGTACCATGCTGTTTTGGTTACTGTAGCCTTGTAGTATAGTTTGAAGTCAGGTAGTGTGATGCTTCCAGCTTTGTTCTTTCTGCTTAGGACTGTCTTCACTATATGGGCTCTTTTTTGGTTCCAAATGAAATTTAAAGTAGTTTTTTCTAATTCTGTGAAGAAAGTCAATGGTAGCTTGTTGGGGATAGCATTGAACCTATAAATTACCTTGGGCAGCATGGCCATTTTCACGGTATTGATTCTTGCTATCCATGAGCATGGAATGTTTTTCTATTTGTTTGTGTCGTCTCTTATTTCCTTGAGCATTGGTTTGTAGTTCTCCTTGAAAAGGTCCTTCACATCCCTCGTAAGTTCTATTCCTAGGTATTTTATTCTCTTAGTAGCAATTGAGAATGGGAGTTCACTCATGATTTGGCTCTGTTTGTCTATTATTGGTGTATAGGAATGCCTGTGATTTTTGTACACTGATTTTGTGTCTTGAGACTTTGCTAAAGTTTCTTATCAGCTAAGGAGATTTTGCGCTGAGATGATGGGGTTTTCTAAATGTACAATCATGTCATCTGCGAAGAGAGACAATTTGACTTCCTCTCTTGTTATTTGAATACCCTTTATTTCTTTCTCTTGCCTGATTGCCCTGGCCAGAACTTCCAATACTATGTTGAGTAGGAGTGGTGAGAGAGGGCATCCTTGTCTTGTGCCGGTTTTCAAAGGGAATGCTTCCAGTTTTTGCCCATTCAGTATGATATTGCCTGTGGGTTTGTCATAAATAGCTCTTATTATTTTGAGATACGTTCCATCAATACCTAGTTTATTGAGAGTTTTTAGCATGAAGGGGTGCTGAATTATATCAAAGGCCTTTTCTGCATCTATTCAGATAATCATGTGTTTTTTGTCATTGGTTCTGCTTATGTGATGGATTACATTTATTGATTTGCATATGTTGAACCAGCCTTGCATCCCAGCTATGGAGCCAACTTGATCGTGGTGGATAAGCTTTTGGATGTGCTGCTAGATTTGGTTTGCTGGTATTTTATTGAGGATTTTCCTATCAATGTTCATCAGGGATATTGGCCTGAAATTTTCTTTTTCTGTTGTGCCTCTGCCAGGTTTTGGTATCAGGATGATGCTGGCCTCATAAAATGAGTTAGGGAGGAGTCCCTCATCTTCTATTGTTTGGAATAGTTTCAGAAGGAATGGTACCAGCTCCTCTTTGTCCCTCTGGTAGAATTTGGCTGTGAATCTGTCTGGTTCTGAGCTTTTTTTGGTTGGTAGGCTATTCATTACTGCCTCAATTTCAGAACTTGTTATTGGTCTATTCAGGGATTTCACTTCTTCCTGGTTTAGTCTTGAGAGGGTGTATGTGTCCAGGAATTTATCCATTTCTTCTAGATTGTTTAGTGTATTTGCGTAGAGGTGTTTATAGTATTCTCTGTTGGTAGTTTATATTTCTGTGGGATTAATGGTGATATCCCCTTTATCATTTTTTATTGCTTCTATTTGATTCTTCTGTCTATTCTTCTTTATTAGTCTGGCTAGTGGTCTATCTATTTTGTTGATCTTTTCAAAAAACTGGCTCCTAGATTCATTGATTTTTTTGAAGGGTTTTTTGTGTCTCTATCTCATTGCTGCTCTGATCTCAGTTATTTCTTGTCTTCTGCTAGGTTTTGAATTTGTTTGCTCTTGCTTCACTAGTTCTTTTAATTGTGATGTTAGGGTGTCGAGTTTAGATCTTTCCTGCTTTCTCCTGTGGCCATTAAGTGCTATAAATTTCCCTCTAAACACTGCCTTAGCTGTGTCCCAGAGATTCTGGTATGTTGTGTGTCTGTTCTCATTGGTTTCAAAGAACTTATTTATTTCTGCCTTAATTTTGTTATTTACCCAGTAGGCATTCAGGAGCAGGTTGTTCAGTTTCTATGTAGTTGTGCAGCTTTGAGTGAGTTTCTTAATCCTGAGTTCTAATTTGATTTCACTGTGGTCTGAGAGACTGTTTGCTATGATTTCCATTCTTTTGCATTTCCTGAGGAGTGTTTTATTTCCAATTATGTGGTCTATTTTAGAATAAGTGTGATGTGGTACTGAGAAGAATGTATATTCTATTGATTTGGGGTGGAGAGTTCTGTAGATGTCTATTAGGTCTGCTTGGTCCAGAGCTGAGTTTGAGTCCTGAATATCTTTGTTAATTTTCTGTCTCGTTGATCTGCCAGTGGGGTGTTAAAGTCTCCCCCTATTATTGTGTGGGAGTCTAAGTCTCTTTGTAGGTCTCTAAGAACTTTATGAATCTGGGTGCTCCTGTATTGGGTGCGTATATATTTAGGCTAGTTAGCTCTTCTTGTTGCGTTGATCCCTTTAACATTATGTAATGCCCTTCTTTGTCGCTTTTGATCTTTGTTGGTTTAAAGTCTGTTTCATCAGAGACTAGGATTGCAACCCCTGCTTTTTTTTTTTTTCTTTCCATTTGCTTGGTAAATATTCCTCCATCCCTTTATTTTGAACCTATGTATGTCTTTGCAAGTGAGATGAGTCTCCTGAATACTGATGCGTCTTGACTCTTCATCCAATTTGCCAGTTTGTGTCTTTTAATTGGAGCATTTAGCCTGTTTACATTTAAGGTTAGTATTGTTATGTGTGAATTTGATTCTGTTATTATGATGCTAGCTGGTTATTTTGCCCGTCAGTTGATACAGTTTCTTCATAGTGTCGATGGTCTTTACAATTTGGTATGTTTGCAGTGGCTGGTACTGGTTGTTCCTTTCCATGTTTAGTGCTTCCTTCAGGAGCTCTTGTAAGGCAGGCCTGGTGGTGACAAAATCTCTCAGCATTTGCTTGTCTGTAAAGGATTTTATTTCTCTTTCGCTTATGAAGCTTAGTTTGGCTGATATGAAATTCTGGGTTGAAAATTCTTTTCTTCAAGAATGCTGACTATTGGCCCCCACTCTCTTCTGGCTTGTAGGGTTTCTGCAGAGAGATCTGCTGTTAGTCTGATGGGCTTCCCTTTGCGGGTAACCCAACCTTTCTCTCTGGCTGCCCTTAACATTTTTTCCTTCATTTCAACCTTGGTGAATCTGAGGATTATGTGTCTTGGGGTTGCTCTTCTTGAGGAATATCTTTGTGGTGTTCTCTGTATTTCCTGAATTTGAATGTTGACCTGTCTTGCTAGGGTGGGGACGTTCTCCTGGATGATATCCTGAAGAGTATTTTCCTACTTGGTTCCATTCTCCCTGTCACTTTTAGGTACATCAATCAAATGTAGGTTTTGTCTTTTCACATAGGTCCATATTTCTTGGAGGCTTTGTTTATTCCTTTTCATTCTTTTTTCTCTCATCTTATCTTCACACTTTATTTCATTAAGTTGGTCTTCAATCTCTGATATCTTTTCTTCCGCTTGATTGATTCGGGTATTGTTACTTGTGTGTGCTTCACGAAGTTCTTGTGCTGTGTTTTTCAGCTCATTTATGTTCTTCTCTAAACTGATTATTCTAGTTAGCAATTTGTCTAACCTTTTTTCAAAGTTCTTAGCTTCCTTGCATTGGGTTAAAACATGCTGCTTTAGCTTGGAGGAGTTTGTTATTACATACCTTCTGAAGCCTACTTCTGTCAATTGGTCAAACTCATTCTCCATCCAGTTTTATTCCCTTGCTGGGCGAGGAGTTGTGATCCTTTGAAGGAGAAGAGGCATTCTGGTTTTTGGAATTTTCAGCCTTTTTGCACTGATTTTTCCTCATCTTTGTGGATTTATCTACCTTCAGTCTTTGATGTTGGTGATCTTCAGATGGGGTTTTGGCGTGGACGTCCTTTTTGTTTATGTTGATGGTATTCCTTTCTGTTTGTTAGTTTTCCTTGTAACAGTCAGGCCCCTTTGCTGCAGATCTGCTGGAATTTGCTGGAGGTCCACTCCAGACCCTGTTTTCCTGGTTATCACCAATGGAGGCTGCAGCACAACAAAGATTGCTGCCTGTTTCTTCCTCTGGAAGCTTCGTCCCAGAGGGGCACCCACCAGAGGTCAGCTGGAGCTCTCCTGTAGGAAGTGTCTGTCCATCCCTGCTGGGAGGTGTCTCCCAGTCAGGAGGCACAGGGGTCAGGGACCCACGTGAGGAGGCACTCTGTCCCTTAGCAGAGCTCAAACGCTGTGCTGGGAGATCTGCTGCTCTCTTCAGAGCTGGCAGGCAGGAACGTTTAAGTCTGCTGAAGCTGCGCCCACAGCCGCCGCTTCCCCCAGATGCTCTGTCCCAGGGAGATGCGAGCTTTAACTATAAGCCTCTGACTAGGGCTGCTGCCTTTCTTTCAGAGATGCCCTGCCCAGAGAGGAGGAATCTAGAGAGGCAGTCTGGCTACAGCAGCTTTGCCGAGCTGTGGTGGGCTCCATCCAGTTCAAACTTCCCTGTGGCTTTGTTTACACTATGAGGGGAAAACTGCCTACTCAAGCCTCAGTAATGGTGGATGCCCCTCCCCCAACCAAGCTCAAGCATCCCAGGTAGACTTCAGACTGCTGTGCTGGCAGCAAGAATTTCAAGTCAGTGGATCTTAGCTTGCTGGGCTCTGAGGAGGTAGGATCCGCTGAGCTAGACCACTTGGCTCCTAGGCTTCAGCCCCCTTTCCAGGGGCGTGAATGGTTCTGTCTCACTGGTGTTCCAGGTGCTGCTGGGGTATGAAAAAACTCCTGCAGCTAGCTTGGTGTCTTCCCAAATGGCTGCCCAGTTTTGTGCTTGAATCCCAGGGCCCTGGGGGTGTAGGCACCCGAGGGAATCTCACCTGGGTTGCGAAGACTGTGGGAAAAGTGTAGTATCTGGGCTGGAGTGCACCGTTCCTCATGGCACAGTCCCTCACGGTTTCCCTTCACTAGGGGAAGGAGTTCCCCAACTCCTTGTACTTCCTGGATGAGGTGACACCCCACCCTGCTTCAGCTTGTCCTCTGTGGGCTGCACCCGCTGTCTAACCAGTCCCAGTGAGATGAGCTGGATACTTCATTTGGAAATGCAGAAATCACCTGCCTTCTGTGTTGATCTCACTGGGAGCTGCAGACTGGAGCTGTTCCTATTCCACCATCTTGCCAGCCACCTACATTTATTTTTTTTTTTAAGTTTATTGTGACTCACAGAATTAATTTCATGCCTCACTAATGGGTCACACACATAGTATAAAAAATACTCATAGAGAGACATGTTGTGCCCTTTGCTGTGTTGGTGCCTCGAGTATGTCAGCTTGATGATGAAAGAGACTAGCTGATCTGCTAGACTGTTGACTCGTATAAGAATATCTTGAAGTGGTAGGAATGTATCTTAAATTTTCATTCCTGATACTTTTTCATGGGAAGCGTTTTTAAGAGTGCCAGCTATGCTCTGATCTAGTGAGGAGCCAATGAGGTTTTCCATGGCTAGGTCAAATATCAGGTTGGAGCTGATGATATATTTTTATGGAACTCTCCTGGAGTGCATCCTTGACCTCCAGCTCAGCTGCTGCGACCCGGCTAGGCCCAGGACCACAAGCCTCACATCTCTCCAGTGGAGCTGCCATTGGCCTTGCCCCCGATTCCCTCTGAAACACCACGTCCCCATACTCTCTTCTAATTTCTTTTGCAAAGAAGACTGAAAGCCAGCTTATCTAGTAGGCACATTAGGGACCAGCCCTATAAAAAAGTATTAATTTTAATTTCTTTTAAAAATAGAAAAAAATGAATATAAAATATATAACAACGAACCCAAACTGGATTATATTTGTCTTTATACTCATGAATTCATAAAATATAATTTTAAGTATTATTTTATGGAGGAAGGAGCTCAGAAAGACAAACGTATTGGGGACTCACAAAAGCCATAAATAATTTGGCCCTGATATTGGCCCTGATAGGACCCTGACTCATTGGCCATTTTGGTGCATTGACTTGCTGTGTAAATTTGGATATGTTTCTTAATATAAGGGTTTTTTTTTTCTGCCAGAAAAATGGGAAGAAAAATTTCTGTACCCGCTTATTTCCCAGGGCTTTTGTTAAGACAAAGGTAATAACTCTGACAGTGTCTAAACTTTTCAGAAGATTGGTTTATATAATAGGACTATTTCAATTGCACATAACAGGTATCCATCTCAAATCAACATAGAAAGAAAGGAAATATATTGGTGATCATAACTGAAAACTCTAGGTTTCAGCTTTAAGTGTAGCTGGCTCAGGAAACCCAAAAATTTTGCCAGGAATCTGTTTCTCTCTTTTCCTCTCTTGTGGGCCTGCTTCTCTCTATGATGAATTTCTTTCCTAGCACACTTTTCCCACATGTTGAAAGAATCTCAAAGACTCCAGGTTTTCAGAATCCTTAAGCTTGTGACCTCAGAAGAAGAGACTCCTCCTAGAGCCCCCCCTGTTCCTCAGAGGACTCCAACTGCTCATTGCTTGGGCATCTTGGACATCCCTGTGTCCAGGGGATGGGTCTTCTGTCTGGCCAGCTTGTCATATTTGCCCCTCTTCCTCCCTATTACTTGAGTGGCAGTCCCACAAGTCTCCCTTGGAAGCAAGGGCAGAACCATTTCTAAGTGAAGAAACACAAGCAGACCAAATAACATGTCCATTCCAGGGCTGATCAGTCTGAGGCATTGTTAAAATTATCCCTCTTGCAGGACGTTAGAACCAATTGAGATTCATTCAGAACCTCTACTTAATTTTCCAGATGTGAGTTCTGTGTGTGACCATCAGGGTTTAGTAGATACTGCACAGACTCATTTAATTGTCACAAAACCTGTGAGGCAATTATTAGCTCTACTTCTACAGATAATAAATGTAAAAAATTATTGAGAGCTTGCCATAAACTAAGCACTTTGCTAAAAACCCTACATATATCTAATAAAAATTCCATGAGGTGCTGAGTCTGTTGAGGTTCTTTAGATTGTAAGCAACAGAAACCAAATCTAGCTAGTCAGGAAAAGAACAAATGAATTGAAAGGATGATAGAGTATCTAATGGATACCCTGTCAGAGGAAGGATTGAACAATCAAAACTTGGAAGGACAAGAACCCATTCTTGCCTGATCTTGTCCCCTTAGGAGGTGAATTTGGGGTTAAACCTGGTGCAGCACTGCTAGCTCCTAGCCCCTATTATCACTCTGTTCCAAATACCACGTTTCAGGGTGGGAGAATCTGATTGGCCTATCTTGGGTCAGGTGTATATCCCTGGACCAATCAGGTTGAAGGACCCTGTAACATAGGCATGGCCACCAGGCTCTCTCAGGTTTATATAGGAGCTGTGCTCAGAGAAATGGAATCCCTGTGAGCTGATTGGTCACTCAAAGGGAGATAACTGCAAGCACACAATTCTATCACTCAGGGCTTTGGCACATTGAAAAGTGGGTAATTGAAGAGCATTTAATGAGGGGATTAAGTGAGAAGAGTTTAGGGAAAGCAACAAAGGATGTTGCAGTATCTTGGGGCTAGTGAGTATGGGAGCTGTTACCATCCCAGGCCTGAAGGGGAAAGAGGAGGTAGTGGCTTCTGGAACCTATGGAAAGAGCTGTCAAAAGGCTGCCTGAAAGTAGTTTCAGTCTCTGGGAGAGGGTCATAACCAACCCTTAGCAACCCAGTGGTGTGGGTACCAGGGGAATAAGCACCAAGATGTCACTCTCCTCCCACCTTCCCATTTCATGGGTGCAACTAGAAGCCAGAGGGCAAAGGAGTCCCTGGATGTGGTTCATATAGGCCATCCTCCTGGGACACAGGTCAGGGTAGAGAGGAATGAGAGCACATATGGAAGGGCAAATAGAAGACATCCAAGACAATAATACAAATCCCAGTTTACAGATGAATAATCTAAGGCTTGAAGGACTTAGTGACTTCTTTAGATTCACACAATCAACTCAAGGGAGGAGCTAGGACTTGAACTCAGCAAGTCTGACTCTGGAACCTGTGCTCTTAACCACTAGGCTCTATCATCTCTCGGATGAAGACCCTGAATTCAGACAGCAGATTGACTGTGCACAGCTCAGATGAATTACGTTATCTCACTGATCCCCTTGTAGTATCACCTCTTAGCTGCGGCAACAACAAGAGCTCCTAGTCCTGCTTCCCAGAATGGTGCTGGAAGATTCACACTTGCCATTTTCCCTCTAGACTCTCCCACTGGGATTCGCAGATCTACAGAGTGGTTTGAAATATCAGAGGCAGCCCAAGTAGAGTCCAAGCTTCTTGCCACCAGGCAGGCAGCTCTACTCTCCTGTGAGTAGGGATATGATTGAGATTTAAATTGAACTTCAATTAAGTCTCTCCTCTCTTAGTCCTCAGGGGGGCATTCTCATGCCTGGACTAATGCACTTCTGAGAGCTAATACCATTATCAGATGCCTGTTCATCTCATATAAGTAGGCCTATTAGCGCCTCATCTGTCTTGCCTCCTGTTTCCTGCCACTGCTTAGAGCCCCCAGACAAGAGCACTTCCAATCAGGTATGCAGAGGGAAATATCATTAACAGTTATAATATTATCTGTATGGTTTTATTTCATGTCCCATTATTTTCTAGCTCTTTAGCTAATAATAGGTTATATCTGTTATACATTTAATGTATGCTAGGTACTGCACTGAAATGTCTCATTTCATGTTGACAATAAACCTAGGAGGTAGGTAATATTTAATCCCCACTTTACAGATGAAGAAACCGAAGCTTATAGGGCTTAAGTATGCCTAAGGTGACATAATTAATAGACAGCAGATCCAAGATTTGAACCCAGATGGACTGGCTCCAGAGCTAAAACCACTTAATCATGATGCTTCTTAGAACCCTACATGGCCTGTATTCATAAAATAGTTGACTCTAGACACTCTTCTCCCCTTTCAAAGTGAAATTTTGATTTGTTTATGGAATGGGGTGTGGTGGAGACTACTAGTGATCACCAAATACCAATGTGTTCCTATAAAGTCCCTATTTCTGTTGCAGTTGATTTGGAGTTATGTGATGTGTAGCCCATCAGAAGTAAGCAGAAAACTTTGTGCCGTTTTCTATCCTGGAAATAACACCCCCGCCCCCTGGCCCCGCTGCATTATCAGCCACTCCTCTTCACTCCTTTCTATGGCTCCAGAAGTGAAGAGCTCTGAAATGCCTAAATTGCCAGATGGGAACATCTTTACTGCTTGGAGAAAGCCACACAGGAGTTACCTGACCTGCCTTGGATGGTGACATGAGTGAGAAATAAACCTTTGTTGGGTTAGACTGCTAAGATTTAAACTTAAAAGTGTTTTTTTAATGTTTAGTTTTTGTGGCTACATAGTAGGTGTATATGTTTATGGGGTATATAGGATCTTTTGATATGTGCATACAATGTATAATAGTCACATCAGGGTAAATGGAGTATCATCACCTCAAACATTTATTCTTTCTTTGTGTTACAAACAATCCCATTACACAGTTTTAGTAATTTAAAATATATAATTAAATTATCGTTAATGATAGCCACCCTGTTGTACTGTCAAATTCTAGATCTTATTTCTTTCTATTTTTTGTACCCACTGATGAATCTCTCTTCCCCCTCACCCCACCAACTACCCTTCCAGCCCTCAGTAACCATCATTCTGCTCTCTATCTCCATGATTCAATTGTTTTAGTTTTTAGCTCTCACAAATAAGTGAGAACATGTGAAATTTGTCTAACTGTGTCTGGCTTATTTCACTTAACATAATGACCTCCAGTTCTATCCATATTTTTGCAAATGACAGGATCTCATTTATTTAATGACTGAATAGTACTCCATTGTGTATATGTATTACATTTTCTTTATCCCTTTGTCTATTGATGGACACTTAGGTTGTTTCCAAATCTTGGCTATTGTGAATAGACACTAAGATTTTTGAGTTAATTTATTACTAGGGTATAGTTTATCATACTATGACTAATATAAATATCATACTAAGACAGATATAGGTACATTGAAATAGGGCACTGCTATAATAGCTGATGGTGTGCTGAGAGGAAGCCTGGTGTTGGAGACCAGAAATATGTCAATGCATGTTATGTTGTGCCAAAATATTACTAACCAATCTAACTTGGGAGGCAAGCTTCATATTTACTTATATGGCATCTCTAGGAAAAGAGACTGAAAAACAGAACATTAGTAGATGTGTTGGCTACTATTTCTGCATTTGGCAAGTATTACAAGAAAACTTCAGAATAGGACTGGCCAGAGACTTGCAGAATGGACAATACATGATCCAACTATATGCTGCATATAAGAGACACATGTTTGATTCAAAAACAGAAATAGGTTCAAGGTAAAAGAATGGAAAAACATATATCAGGCAAACAGTAACCAAAAGAAAGCTGGAGTGGCTATACTAATATCAGACAAAATAGACTTTAAGACAAAAATTGTTATCAGAGACAAAGAACAGTTTTATAATTATAAATAAATCAATTTGTCAAGAAGATATAAAAATTATAAACATATATGCACCTAACAACAGAGACCCAAAATACATGAAACAAAAACTGACAGAATTGATACAATAATGGTTGAAGACTTCAATACACCACTTTCAATCATGGATAGAGCAACTAGACAGAAAATCAATATGGGAATAGAGACTAAATACCAATATAAACATACTAGATCTAATAGCAATATAACCCTTCACTCAGAAACAACTGACTATACATTCTTCTTAAGTGCACATGGAGAATTCTCCAGTTTAGACCATATGTCAGGTCATTAAACAAGTTTCAGTAAATTTCAAAGTTCTGAAATAATATAAAGTATGTTTCCTAACCACACAGAATGAGATTAGAAATCAATAACAGAGGGAAATTCACAAATATATGGAAATTAAAGAACATTTCTGAATAATCAATGAGTCAAAGAAGAAATCACAGACAAAACTAGAAAATACTTTGAGATGAATGAAAATAAAAACATGACATACCAAAACTTATGGGATGAAACCAAAGCAGTGCTTAGAGAATATTATAGCTATAAACACCCAAATTGAAAAAAGGACAAAGAACTCATATTAGTAACCTAAACTTCTACCTTAAGGAACTAGAAAAACAAGAGCAAACTAAACCCAGAACAAGCAGAAGGAGGAAACCAATAAAGATTAGAGCAGAAAGGAATGAAATGTAAATAGAAAAGAATAGAGAAAAAAAAACAAACCCAAAAGTTGGTTCTTTGAAAAGGTCAACAAAATTAACAGACCTTTACCTTGACTGACAGAGAGAGAGAGAGAGAGGGAGAGCATAGAGAGAGAGAGAGAGAGAGACAGAGAGAGAGAGACAGAATCAAATTACTAAAATCAAGAATGAAAGAGGGGATGTTGCTACCGACCTTGCAAAAATAGAAAGGAATATAAGGTAATATTATGAACACTTGTGTGCTAATGTGTTAGATAATCTAGATAAAATGAACAGATTCCTAGAAAGACACAAATTACTGAAATTGACTCAAGAAGAAATAGAAAATTGAAACAGACCTGTAACAAGTAAAGAGATTGAATTAGTGATTAAAAGTACTTGCCACAAAGAAAAGTAGATGACAAATGGCCTCACTGGTGAATTTTATAATACCTAGTATTAAAGAGTTAAGCCCAATACTTCACAAATACTTCCAAAAATTATAAGAGGAGAGAACATTTTCCAAGTCATTCTATGAGGCAGTATTACTTTGATACCAAAGGCAGAACAAAATATCACAAGCAGAAACCAATATTCCTTATAAATATAGATGCAAAATCCTCATAAAAATACCGGGAAACTGAATCAGCAACATATAAAAAGTATTTTATACCATGACAAAGCAGGACTTATGGCAGGAATGCAAGATTGATTCAACATGCAAAAATCAATAAATGTAATATGCCATATTAATAGTATAAAGGACAAAAACCACATTATCATCTTAATAGATGAAGAAAAAGCATTTGACAAAAACCAGCACCTTTTCATGGTCAAAACACACAACAAAGTAGGAATTAGAAAGAAACTTTCTCAATCTTCTAAAAAGCATATATGAAAACCCCACAGCTAACATCATACCTAAAGGTGAAAGAATAAAAGCTTTCCCCTAAGATAGGAATGAAACAAGGATGTCCACTCTTGTTACTTCTATTCAACATTGTACTGGAGGTTGTAGTTAGGGAACTTGATCAAGAAAAAAATTGGCATCTATATTTGAAAGAAAGAAGTAGAATGATCTTTACTTGCAGATAACATCTTACTGAATATAGAATATCAAGGGAATCCACAAAAAAAATCTTAGAGCTAACAATGAGTTCAGCAAGGCTGCAGGATATAAGGTTAATATACAGAAATTGCTTGTATTTCTGTACACTAATAATGAACAATCCAAAAATGAAATTAAGAAAATAATTCCATTTACAGTAGCATCAAAAAGAATAATATATGTAGAGACAAACTTAACAAAAGAATTGCAATATTTGCACACTAAAAAAAGATGAAACACTGCTAAAGGAAATTAAAGAAGACCTAAATAAATGAAGACATCGCATATTCACAAATTGGAAGACTCAATATTGTAAGATGGCAGTACTCCCCAAACTGATGTATGCTTTTGAATAATATACAGTATGTTCCCTAACCACAACGGAATGAAATTAGAAAATCCCAGCCAGGTTTTTGCAGAAATTGACAAGCTGATAATAAAATTCATGTGGAAATACAAGGGATCCAGAATAGCCAAAATAATCTTGAGAAAGAAGAACAAAGTTGGGGCATTCACATTTTCAGGTTCAAAACTTACTACAAAGTGTAATAATAAAGATAGTGTGGTACTAGCATAAGGATAGATATATAAATCAATCAACAGAGAGTCCAGAAATTAGCCCACGTATTTATAGCCAATTGATTTTCAATAAAGGTGCCAAGACCATTCAATAAGGAATGAATAGTCTCTTCAACAAATGGAGCTGAGAAAACTGGATATCCATGCAAAAGAATGAAGTTGGACTACTACTCACACTGTACACAAAAATTAATTCAAAATTATCAAAGATCTAAACTTAAGAGCTAAAACTATAATACTCTTAGAAGAAAACATAGGTATACATGGCCTTGGATTATGCAATGATTTCTTACATATGATACCAAAAGCACAAGCAACAAAAGAAAAAACAGTCTTCATCAAAATTAAAGGACACTATTAAGTGTTTCAAAGAACACTATAAAGAGAGTGAAAAGACAACTCAGAACTTGAGAAAATATTTGCAAGTCATGTGTATCTGATAAACATCTAGTATCCAGAATATATAAAGAACTATTATAACTCAATAACAAAAAGAAATAACCTAATTTTTAAATGCACAAAGGATTTGATAGATGTTTTTTCCAAATAAGATACACAAATGGACAAGAAGCACATGAAAAGATGCTCAAAATCATTAGTCATTAGGGAAATGCAAATTAAACCTAAAATGGGATACCACTTCCTACTCACTAACATGACTGTGATTAAATAGAGACAATGACAAGCGCTGGTGAGGATGTGGAGAAATTGGAACCCTTATACACTGCTGGTGGGAAGTCATATGGTGTTACTAGTTTGGAAAATAGTTTGAAAGTTCGTCAAAATGTTAAACATACAATTCCTGTATGACCCATCAATTCCACTCTTAGGTACCTATCTAAGAGCTATAAAACACACACATTCCCATAAAAATCTGTATATAATTTTTCGTGGCACAATTATTTATAATAGCTCAAAAGTGGAAACAACCCTCATGTCCATCCACCGATGAACGGATTAAAAAAAATAGTGTGTCTATACAATGGAATATGATTCATCCATATAAAGAAATAAAGTACTGATTCTCATTACAACATGGCTGAACCTCGAAAACATTAACTGAAAGAAATTGGACACAAAAGGCCGTGTATTATATTATTTCATTTATCTGAAATGTCTAGAATATGCAAATCCATATCCATATCTACAGATAGTAGATTAATGGTTTCTAGGAGAGAGGAGAAGTGGTAAATGGAGAGTGACTGTTAATGGTTCCAAGGTTTCTTTTGGGGCTGGTGATAATATTCTGAAATTAGATAGTGGTGATGGTTGCACAACTTTGTAAGTATAGTAAATACCACTGAGTTGTACACTTTAAAAACAGTGAATATCATGGTATGCGAATTAGGTCTAAATTTTAAAAAATTTAAAAAAGAGTTGCCTGTTTGCCAGTAGAAATTAACTAAAATAGAGAAAATTCAGAATACTGAGGCCTGTAGAATTGAAAAAATTGACTGTTTCTAGTTTCCGGATAGTAAGAGATGGAAATTTAAAAGGCGTTGCATAATAAGGCCCAAGAAAATGTCTCAGTTGATTAAAATCCCAGCTCATGCCTATAATCCCAGAACTTTCAGAGGCTGAAGTGGGAGGATTGTTTGAGTCCAGGAGTTCAAGACCAGCCTGGGCAATATAGTGAAACCCCGTCCCTACAAAAAAATTAAAAAACTAGCTGGGCAAAGTGGTGCACACCTGTAGTCTCAGCTAGTTGGGAGGCTTAGGTGGGAGGATTGTTTGAGCCCGGGAAGTTGAAGTTACAGCAAACCATGATCGTGCCACTGCACTCCACCCTGGATGACAGAGTGAGATCCTGTCTCAGAAAAAAAGGAAAAAAAAAAAAAAGGAAAATATCTGATTAAAGGTGCATTCCTTTGTTCTAGCTAGCTTCAAGGTAGACACTATCATATTGAAAGACAGAGGGAGCAGGGGGACAAGAAGGCGAAAGGTAAAGCAAGTTGGAAAACTGTATCTTACAAAAGCAACCTTGAGTGTGGATATTGGCAAATAGATCAGATGCTTACCAAATTTTTGAGGAAACAGTATTGTCAAAGAAACCACAAGGCTGTATAAAAAGCGTTAGTCCATTAGCTAAGCCTTAAAGCAACCTCTGGTAGGAAGTTGCACATCCCCTAAAGAGAGTATTCTCCCTAACTCCCTCTTTACATGTGGTCAAGCAGTATCAGGGTCCAGGAGGAAGCCCCTCAGAGTGTGGTGCCAAGGATCACAAAGAATAGTGGAGGAGGGAGTTCCTGCTCTAGGCTAGGCAGCCTTTATAACATCTGCCCACTGGTATTTCAGCACTGTCACAGGCAGTGACTACTGTGGGTCTCTTAGTCTTCCCCTTTCTGAATGGGAGTTATCCTGTTCCTGTTATTGTAGTTATCCTATTCTTGTTCTATTATCGCATATTTGTATGCTGTCATGGTGTGTTAGTCTGTTCTTATGCTGCTAATAAAGACGTACCAGAGACTGGGTAATTTACAAGAAAAGAGGTTTAATGAACTTACAGTTCCACATGGCTGGGGAGGCCTTACAATCATGGTGGAAGACAGAGGAAAAGCAAAGGGACATCTTACATGTCAGCAGGCAAGAGAGCTTGTGCAGGGGAATTCCTCTTTATAAAACCATCAGATCTTGTGAGACTTATTCACTATTATGAGAACAGCCTGAGAAAATACCCAACCCCATGATTCAATTAGCTCTCACCAAGCCCCTCCCATGACATGTGGGAATTATGGGAGCTACAATTCCAGATGAGATTTGGCTGGGGACACAGCCAACCCATATCACATGGATATGAGGCAGACATCTTGACTTTTCAGTTCACAGGTGTAAGAGAAGCCATGTCTTTTCCTGATAGAGAGGACTAAGAAATGCAAAGCTATAATAGATTGGACTTTGGATTGTCTTTCGTGAGGAGTGGTGGAAGATGCTCTACCTTCAGGACGAAGGGAACAAAGGGATATTTAATGGCCAGAAGAGTGAACTGCAGTGGAGACTGTTGTTGCTCACCAAGTTGGCTCACATGTGCTTCTCTAAATTTCCCAGCCTAAGGTGTTGTCCAGTAATTTTCCTTTCTTGTAATATCTTTCTGAGCTTTTGGAATCAATGTTTTGTGGGCCTTATAAAATGAGTTTGAATGTTTCCCTTCTTCTATTTTCTGGACACACCTCTGCAGGCCAGTATTAATTATCTCTTAAATTTTTGTGAAGCAATCTGGGCATATAGTTTTCTTTTTGGAAACAGTTTTAATTTCAGATTTGATTTCTTTGATAGATATAGGGCTATTGGTATTTTAAAATTTCTTCTTGTGGCAATTTTGGCAAATTGTATTTTAAGAAACATGTTTCACTTAGATTTTCTAATTTACTGGCATAAATATTGGTGTATAGAATGCCAATCTATTGGCATAAAGTTTTTTCTAACATCCTCTCATTATCTTTTTAATGTCTGTAAGGCAGGTAGTGATATTCTCTTTTTCAAGGCTGGTTTTTGTATTTATGTTTTTTTCTCTCTCTTGCTCTCTCTTTTCTTGAATTGTCTTGCTAGGAGTTTATTAAGTGTATTAATCTATTCAAAGAATAAACTTTTGACTTTGTTGATTTTCTCTATTAAATGTCTGTTTTCTATTCCATTGATCCTGCTCTGTATTCCTCTCTTCTATTTTTTGAGGGGGTTAATTTTCTGTTTTTTGTTTTTGTTTTTGTTTTAGCTTTTTTCCTATTATTTAAACATATATTTTAAAGAAAGATTTTTCTTACATAGAGACAGGGTCTCACTATGTTGCCTAGGCTTGTCTCAAACTCCTTGGCTTAAGCAATCCTCCAGGTTTGGCCTCCCAAAGTGCCGGGATTACAAGTGTGAGCCACCATGCCTGGCCATTTTTCTAGTTTTTTGAGTTGAGAACTTAGATCATTGGTTGGTTTTTGTTTTTGTTTTTTTTGAGATGGAGTTTTGCTCTGTTGCTCAGGCTGGAGTGCACTGGTGCGATCTCGGCTCACTGCAACCTCCACCTCCTGGGTTCAAGCAGTTCTCCTGCCTCAGCCTCCCGAGTAGCTGGGATTACAGGCACCCACTACCACTCCCAGCTAATTTTTGTATTTTTAGTAGAGACGGGATTTCACCATTTCAGCCAGGCTGGTCTCAAACTCCCTATGGCAGATCATCTGCCCGACTCAGCCTCCCAAAGTGCTGGGATTACGGGCGTGAGCCACCGTGCCCAGCCAGATCATTGGTTTTTAACCTTCCTTATTTTTTAATATATGGACTTAATGGTATATGTTTCCTTCTAGATTCTGCTTTAGCAGTGTTACTGACCACATTACCACTCTTCTCTCCACATATCCAGCAGTGAAAGACTTCTGATGCTGGAAATGCAGAATGAATCTGCATGAATCTCTGAGTCACTGTCTGGGATGCAAGAGAGCTGCCTCACATGCATTGGCTAGTGATATATGCAAGAAACATACCTTTGATGTGTTGAACTGCTTTGTTTCTTTCTTAAGAGGCTGGCTATGGCCTATCCTATCCTAGCTGTTACAAGAGGGCTTGTTTTACAATAGCTCTTATATCTGTCCATATTGCAGTTTGCAAAGACTTCCCATTGATTCCCCCAAGTGTTTTTCCTGAAGATGTGGGGTTAACGGAGGGGTATTACAGCATAGCACACAACACAAAACAATTTTAATTTAATATACAGTCCCCTCCTTCCCCCAGGGAATTTTTCATTGCCTGTCTTTCAGATTCGGCCCTGACCTATTGTCAAGTTTTAAGGTCCCCTTTTCTATTTAAACCTCTTTCCTCACTTTCCATATTCTTGCTTCTTCCCATCCATCCTATTCCAAAGCAACCCGAAGCTCTCCAGCTTTGCTGTTGTAGCTTTTCTTTACCTTGGATCAAATCAGATTCTTACTCAAGGTCTCTTTTCTACTGACCAATGCATACTCAGATGTCTGTTAGGCAGAAATGGAGCAGTGGGAAGCCTGTTGGAGAAACAGGACAGGCCCTCCTGAGCTGAAAGGGTTTTCCCCCAGAATCTAGAGTGGTATTTTTCTTTATTGTACTGCAACTTACTTACTTCTATGCTCAGGTTTTTATTGATTTTATTTCATTTGCTTTATTTCTACATAGTTGAAATCATGTTCTTGTGGACTGCTTTTCTAACTTAATGTTCTATCAGAAGCATTTACCATATTACTGTATAATATTGGGAAACATCTGTTTTATATTCACATTTTTTCCTATTTAAAAACATAATTTTCAGTCCTGAAGGATATGAGAAGAACATGCAACTCCCCAAAATCCTACTCCCGGGCAGAAAATGTTTAACAAATTAGGCTGCATGATTTCAGCTGCTGACAGCTAGACAGAAAGAAGAATATTTCTAAATATGTCTGTGGAGAGACTGCTTGGACAGAGCTGTCCCTTGCAAGACTATACCAGAGGCATGGTCTTAGTGGGACAGCCTAGTGTTCTGAGCACCGGGACTGTCAGATTCACATGTATTTGGATGGTCCAGAGCAATTGTGGTGGCAGAAGTCTGTTTGCAGAAGGATCTAGAAACCTCTTGGGAAGGGGTCTAGCCTGTGAATGTTGTTCACTCTGGCCCAGCCTCAGAGGGAAGGGCTGTAGTAGAAAATGAATAAAAACAGGGCAGTTCACTGAAATTGCTGTGAGAGTACAGGGCGACCGTGTTTCGTGTTCTCAGTAATAGTGACGCACGGGGACAGGGAGGGGATAGTGGGAGGGATCTCTCCCCTTCATAGTAAAAACCCTGGGACACAACTGCTGAGCCTTAAGGCCATAAGCCATAAGGCCTGATTGAGTACAAGTCACCAGCTACAAAGAAAGGCAAGGAAGGTCAGGGGGCAAAGGTGGTGACCCTTAGCACTGTTTACAGATCCTCACTGAGGAGGAAAGAAAAGCTACAGGGACAGGTGGGCTTGGCCAGGTACTTGTAGCCATCAGGTTCACAGGAGGCCTTGAGGTCAGGTCAGAGGCAGGAAGATCCTGTGCTGAAGAGTAAAACTTGGAGAGGGGCCTTGTGAGATCTTGCGAGGGATCTGGAGAAATAGGATAGGGCAGTGATTAAAAAGGCCTATCAGGACCAGGCTAACAGGAGTTAGCCAGGGAACATGAGACAAATAAATAACTTGGAATCTGGCTTCATTGGAAGCTTGCTGCATAATCACTGTAGCTGCTCTCTCATCTTGGCCCTTTAGGCCCAGAAAGTAACAGCCCTGATATTATTAGCTCTTGAGTCTTGCACAGACCCTCACTGTTTCCCTACACACTTGCCACACCTTTGAAAATAGTCCTTCTATGAAATGACCTGTTAAATCAATTTGCCTAATATGAATGCACCATCTGCCTGCTGCTGGGACTACTGATGCAGAAGCCATTCTGTTGATGGCTCCAGGGGGACCCTCTGGAACTCTGGCTCTCAGTAACCAGCTCTGGAGATAAAAGACAGGGACTGAGATTTAAATGGTGGACCCTTTATATCACATAAAACTAAAGATATAGATTGTGACTTCACTGACATACTTCAGAGATCCCTGGTAGAAATTTGGTAATACATGGCAGCCTAACTCATCAGGATGAGTAGAGATTAAAGAGATCTGATTTGAGGCAGGAATGGGGTGGTGGTATTAGGGGACAAGAAGGCTACAGTCAGACCTCAGCCCAGGGCCATGATCATCACTCAGACCTATTCCTCTTGCTCTATGGAGAGGAGCTGAACAGAAGGCCAGACCCTGGAAGAGGAAAAGAATTAAAGTTGAAGACTCCCCTGAAGAAGGAGGAGGGTGGAATGGGTGGTACCTGGCACTAGAGTGTCTGCACAGGGAGTGGCATGAGTGGGCACCTCTACAACTTTGATGGAAGGAAGCAAGGTGCTTACAGAGTAGCTGTGGGGAGAAGAACTTTCTTCCCCTCTGACCTTCAGAATATGCTCACGTGGAAGGAATGCGTGAGACACACAGCTGGAAATGTTGAGAAAACACAAGAGCCTGGGCCTGAGGAATCTTAAAATAGGTTTGTTATATATTTAATAAATGCTGGAAAAGTGACAGGATTTGGAAAAGTTAATGTAAAAACAGCACCACCCTGGAGCACTAAATCTGGTTTTATTTACCCGGGCCATCTGGTACTTCCCTTTGGTAAAGTAAGGAATTTATACACATTGAAAACCAAGCTTTAATGCGTAAACTTAACAGAATGTCCAATCACAAGTATGTGATAGAAGTAAAGTAGGGGAAGAAATGACTCAGGTATTATTCCCCTCAATTCTCCCAGGACCTTTGCACATGCCATTCCCCATGTCTCCTCCCTCATATCCTGACGAAGGTTGAGTTTTCTTGTTATGCTCTGGTATGGTTCTTGTATTTTTTCTTCACAGCTCTATCATAGTTTGAAGTCATTTGATTAACGTCCTGTGTCACCCACTAGCTGATGACCTCCATGAAGACAAGAATGGTGCTCTGCTCACCACTGTTGCTCTAGGACCCAGTGGCTGACACCTAGATGCTCAATAGATCTTTCATGGATGACAACATGAAGGACTTTTAAAGCATGTCAAGTTGAGACTAGCTTCCCAAATTAGAGAAGGTGACACATAATATATTAATATAATCCTGGTAACCTCAGGCCTATGTTGCCTCCATTTCTCTGACACATTTCTGACACATTACCAGGAGGGAGTCCTGCTGATGTCAGGAATTCATGAGGAAGGGGGGTGAAAACTTTAATCAGATCAAATCTTACCTTTAGAGCAGGAGAGACATACTTTCTCTTTGATCTCCCTGAAACTGCCAAAAGGTTTTTGCCGAACTCATAGGTCTTTGGACCTTTCAGTGGGTGCTACAACTATGCAAATATCGTGGTGCACCAAGACCAAGCTGGAGAAGTTCTGAGGTTGTGAGGATATCTAAACTGTGCTGTGTTGATATTTTTATCTGCTCTCTTTGATGCAAGCTTCTAGGCCTGGTATACTCAAGTTAACCACGAAAACCAATGGCGGTTATATTTGGAAAGGAAGGCTATGCCCTGGTGAAATTATACGTGAGACACAAAAAATACTGAGGTCACTGGTCAGTGATGTTAGAGAGCAGCTCAGTAAGGCCAGTGGGAGGTGTGATATGGTGGCTTAATTAAAAGGCCTCTGGCCTGTGCCCTCTGCCTTTTATTCTTCGTCACTTCCTCCTTTCTGCTCCATGAAACATGAGTGTAATGGCTGAAGCTCTAGCCTCCGCCTCTTTTTTTTTTTTTTTTGAGACGGAGTCTCGCTCTGTCGCCCAGGCCGGACTGCGGACTGCAGTGGCGCAATCTCGGCTCACTGCAAGCTCCGCTTCCCGGGTTCACGCCATTCTCCTGCCTCAGCCTCCCGAGTAGCTGGGACTACAGGCGCCCGCCACCGCGCCCGGCTAATTTTTTTTGTATTTTTTTTAGTAGAGACGGGGTTTCACCTTGTTAGCCAGGATGGTCTCGATCTCCTGACCTCATGATCCACCCGCCTCGGCCTCCCAAAGTGCTGGGATTACAGGCGTGAGCCACCGCGCCCGGCCGCCTCCGCCTCTTCCTTAACAAAGGAAGAGCTAATTTCCCACGCCCCCCCTCCCACCACAAAGTATGAGGGCCACACTGGAGGGATGGTAGAGTGATGGCTGGAAGAAGTGTGGGGCTTTTGTGGAACAGCCTGTAATGTCCAACTCTGGACTATTTAGGGAAAGGAAATGAGACAGAAATTTTTCTCTTGTTTAGGCCACTATTATTGTGGGTCTCTGTTACCATCAGCCGAACTTAATTCCCGTGAATATATTTGTGAACACTAAATTATTGGTGCATCATAAGCTTTCATCATGTTCATTTAGATAGGGATCTGAACTTTGCCATAGGTGACTGGTAGTGATCTGGATCCAGTGGGAATTGTCTGGAATGTGATCAAGACATGAAATGTGCAGATGGGCCAGTGACGAGGGCTTA
Source organism: Homo sapiens (assembly GCF_000001405.40). Taxonomy (NCBI): domain Eukaryota; kingdom Metazoa; phylum Chordata; class Mammalia; order Primates; family Hominidae; genus Homo; species Homo sapiens. The sequence goes on from NC_000011.10 coordinate 10,443,223, forward strand.
CCTTTTGGGAGCAGTTGACAGGTGATAGATACCGATGACTTCTAGCTGATTTATTCCTCTTAAAGAGTCATCCTTTGGATGAATCGTGAGCTATGGAAACGATTGCTCACCCTGAGCTGTTTGGGGCTTGTGTTCTTCTCAAGATTTCTGAGGACCTGGCTCGAGCTTCTGTGTCAGAGTCCTCATTCTGACTATGGGGCCTCAGTCCTTTTTTGGTGTTTATGCTCTTTCTCTGGCTGCTGCCCTCCTTTCCTCTTCTGAGCCTTGCCAGTGTGGAACATGACTGTCTTCTGTGTTCCCCCAGAACACGGCTAAACCGCTTTGCCTGAAGCCTTGGGGATACTGGATGGTGGATAGAGACCCACATGCTCTGCCCTGTTCATACTTAATGTTCCAAAGAAATAGTAAAGTTCTGCAATAACAGTTTCTAAAAAAATTCAATCTTTAATTTTGTTGTTCTTTTGATAATTTTTTACTGTGGTAAAAATATATATATAAGTTGCCATTTTAACCATTTTGCATGTGCAATTCAGCAGCATTAATTGCATTCACAATGTCATACAATCATCACAATTTTTTGATTTCCCAAATTAAATTCTTTAAAAAATGTTTAAAAATTTTTTAAAAATTTTTGTTATTTTTGTTTTAGATTCAGGGGGTACATGTGCAGGTGTGTTACATAGGCATATTGCGTAATGCTGAGGTTTAGGCTTCTACCAAATTAAATTCTTAAATAGAGCCCTCTTTCCTGACCCAGAGATGTTATAGCCCCAGTGAGGTCATAGTTCGGCTTCTTTTTAAATAACAGGAATTCAGGAACTTGAAAAATCCCCATGCTTTTCTCTGGTATAATTTTAGCCACCCCTTCCTCCAGATGTCCCTGGTAGAATGCACAGATCTGTGGATGTATTGAGTGTTGATGGTACTGTCGAAGGCTGATGGTGGCCAGCCCCTGGAGTCTGACATTCAACTGGGAAGCAAACACCGTGGGACAGGAAGGCTACAGACCCTCACTCCAGATTCAGCTTTTGACCCTATTGCCCATTGAATGGTTGGGTGAGCAGTTCTGAACAAGGCACCAGGACGAAGGTAGCTTGAGACTAGGAAAACTAGAAGCTACAGCCAGGGAGGACTCCTGGGAAAGAGTATGGCCTAAGGGGAATGTGTGTGTGGTGGGCAGGTGGGCAGCAATGGGGGAGACTGCATCTCTGGGAGACAGAGGTCATAGCCTCACCTGAGTTCCACTCTACTCACCTCCCTCTCCCTGCTTCCAAAAATTTTAGACGGCTATGGTCAGCCTAGAATTTGAAGTCTGAATTTCAGATGATAAGGCAGAAGAGTTGAAGCAGATTGAGGGCAGAGAATTTGGGAAATTCTATTTGAAGCTGTGACTCTCATCTATGGATGTTCAGCTGCAGAGTCTCACCAGAATAATGTAATGTTGAGGCTGCTGGTGGCATTTTGGAGACTATGAAAGATACACAAACATGGAAACAAGATAGTGGTGACCTGGAGCAATAAACTCTACTTGTGTAGCTGAGGATGATCTTGTACAGAGTCCTGGCAAGAAGGTAGAGACGACAGGTCATTCTTAGATGGAGTAAAGGACTGCTAATTTTCAGACTTCAGTTTGATTCAGAAACTGTGTCCCTATCAGCAGACAGCCATGCCTGGGGAGCACCAGCCCCCTGCCATGCACTTAGATAATGGAGGGAGGGTTTTGTGGTCACATGTGGTAGGCCCCAAGCTTCAGATTCCCACTCATGACTCTCTTTCACTCCAGTCTGGTGACGAGTTAGGGACTCTAAGCTCAAGGACCCAAGGTTCCCCGAAACAGACTCAGCCCAGTCCTACTCCTGAGCCCTCTTCTTGTTGTCTCCTGACCTGGTGCCCAGGACACCCCCCCTCCCCACTTCCTGCCATAATCCTGAGTGCACGCACTCTGTGATGAGGCCTAGCTGTCACATGCACTAATTTTCAAAGTGCTCAGATTTGGTTCTCTTCTTTCTAGAAACCCATTTCAGAAAAAAGGAACCAGATCTTAACAGTAAGGAGACTGCTGTGCCAATTGTCAGACTCCAGTTTGCTTAGGTCTGATTGACTACACAGATTAAAATCCTGGGAAGGAATTAGGCTCAAACTGGAGTGGAGGGGTGGTGGGGGAAAGGCTTATACTCTCATTATGCCACAGCATCAGGGTAGGCTGCAATGCCCTTCCACACGTGGTGCCCTGAAAATGTCCCTGGTTATTCTTCTTTCAGCCATCATGTACTTCTGAGGTACCTATTTCTATCCTAGTGTCAGGCCATATGCCATGATTTCTGTCCACTCAATTAGCAGAAGGCCCCAGGGCACTTTGGTTTGAAAACTGGCTATATCTGATGAGGCTTTGCTAATGTGCTCTCAGAAGCAGAGTCCTTCTCTTATTGCCTCCTGTGGGGAGATTTGGACCTCTGTAGCAGAGAAGACTGTAAAGGTCGTAGAGAAACTGGGTTTTCGGAGGCTGCCATGCCCATCTTGTATACATGTATGCATTGTGCAACCATTATTCAGAAGGGAGCATAAGTCAGGGCATGGGAACAGAGACCCCAAACAGATATTGGCTTCCAAAAACGCTCAAATAACCCCATCCCCCAGTGCATTAGGAGTCAGAGTATTGTTGGAGGTAACCTGAAGCTCTGGTCCAAGTGCTTTCCTAGGTGTTCAAAGGTCTGAATGAGTGGAGCATCAGGCCGATTGGAGGAGAGGAGCTGACAGCACAGGATGTCTGTCCCTGGTGTGAAGCTGGAGGAGAGACTGGTGGTATTCCTTGGGGTGGGGTGAGGGTGACAGTGGGGGTGAGAGCTAGAGGGGGTGAGGGGTCGGGGGGGTGGTTGTATTGGCAGAAGACTAGTTAGGTGGTATTCTTGTTGAACTGAGGCAATGGAAGGGTTAGATTAAATCAGTGGTCTTCACAGGAGGTGTAGAATGTTCCATTGAAATGTAAAAGAAAAATTAAAACTTTTATTTTTACTTTTTTTTTAGTCTAAAACTAAAAAGCTAACCTTCACCAATGTTTACTATTATACATTTTACCCTCACTCAACTCATGCATTGGGTGTCCATGTCATGCATCATATCAGAGGCAAGTCAGGGAAGAGAGGAGGTTCTACAACATGGGGGATGGAGAAGGGGACCACAGCACCCTCCCTGGCCCACCTGCTTTCAAAATCTATTGCTAGGTCTTAAGAACTATTTGTGTCCTGGCAGTGGATAGACATATTATCAGTTTTCACTAAACTCTTCTCACAAAAGAGACAAGTGGTTTGAAGACATTCCTCAAAGGAACCCATAGACTGAAAATAATATGAACAATGTAAGCAAAAGCAAACTCAGAAAATGGCAAAGTTGACGATTTCTTACTACTAATATGATATCCATTATGATGATTAGTCAGCTCAGTAGTAGTCAGCTCTGACAACTAAGTTCAAATTTATAAAAAAGACTACTTGAAACAGGGATTTACACCACCATATGTTGGCCCTTGAGGTATTAGCTAATAATAATATAAACATGAAATCATGATCAGCAAGACATGTAAATGCTATAAACTCAGGGCAAGAAGACAAACCTCTACGATTTTTTTTTCAGGGATTTTCCAAGTCATGCAATACTTAGTTGTGTACTTTTTAAAAATTATTTTTTGGCCGGGCGCGGTGGCTCATGCCTGTAATCCCAGCACCTTTGGAGGCTGAGGTGGGCGGATCACCTGAGGTCAGGAGTTGCAGACCAGCCTGGCCAACATGGTAAAACCCTGTCCCTACTAAAAATACAAAAAAAATTAGCCGGGCATAGTGGCGCATGCCTGTAATCCCAGCTACTTGGGAGGCTGAGGCAGGAGAATCACTTGAACCCGGGAAGCAGAGGTTGCAGTGAGCTGAGATCATACCACTGCACTCCAGCGCCTGGGCGACTCAGTGAGATTCTGTCTCAAAAAAAAAAAAAAAAATAGTGCTCAGAAATCTCTTTTGAGGCTTCTTATTTAATAGTAAAAGACAAAATATCAGTCAACATCACTGGAAAAAACAGCTGTTGTATTTGCCATGGTTAAAGTGACTGAGTTAATACAGAGAGAAGATGGTAGTACATAAAAATGTATTCTGTTGGAAGACACACAGACTTTAAGTTTGAAGAATAAGTTTTAAAACACATGGTGTGTTGTGGAAGTTGGCTATATGGTTGGATGCAAGTTGCTAACATGTTTCACCTTGAGTATTTGCTATGCTTTTTGATAATGACATTCATAAAGAAATATTTTTTGTGATCTACTAAAGGAAAGATAGATATGTTCACAACAGTGAACAACTTAGTAAAACATGCTGTGGTTTTTATGGGTGAAAGTAAACCACTGAGGGAGTGGCTGCCCTCTCTGGAATACAAAATGAAGGGTGGTTGGTGTTTTGTATGACCAGCAAGACATGTAAATGCTATAAACTCAGCAAGACATGTAAATGTCTCGTTCTACCACTTGTCTCTTTTGTGAGAAGAGTTTAGTGAAAACCAGAAAACGTAATCTGTCTATCTACTGCCCAGGATACAAATAGTTCATAAGGCCTAGTAATATACTTTGAAGGCAAGGGTGTCATGGTCCCATTCTCTGTCCCCCGTGTTGCACAACCTCCTCTCATCCCTGACTATGCCTCTGATATGACACATGGCATGGACACCTGATGCATGAGTTGAGTAAGGGTTCCATGTAGTTAACATTGGTGAATGTTAATTTTTTTTATTTTTAGACTAAAAAATATGTAGAAATAAATGTTTTAATTTTTCTTTTACATTTCAATGGATCATTCTACACATTCTACTTTGAAGACTACTGATTTAATGTTACCCTTCCATTGCCTCAGTTCAACATGAACACCACCTCACTAGTCTTCTGCCAATGCAACCACTTCCGCTACCCCTCACCCCCTCCACCTCTCACTGCCACTGTCACCCTCACCCAACCCCAAGCAGTAGCAGCACCACCAATCTCTCCTCCAAAACTGGGGGGTGGTTCGTGTTCTGGTCCATGAGGACTACATGTGAAATTCAGCAATCACATTATTCATTTACAAAGTACAACAAGAAGTTGAAGCAAGAAGATCATGAAATACTATGGGATGTCAATAATATGGTTAATTAAAAAATTAAAATATAGCAGAATCTTTATAGCACTTTGTATTGAGATGTGGAATGAGACTAAAAATCTTTCTTATGATTCCAAGGTTTACTGATTATCTCAAGGCAAACAACTTGAACGCTGTGAATTTAAAGATGAGTTTCCTTAACAAAGAACAAGTGCTCCAAATTTGCTGACCTCCGATGTGCTGGCCTGAGATTGTCACAAGTGTGATACATAGCAGAAAGAAACACACATATACACACACATACACACACACACACACACACACACACACACACAGTATCCTTTTGGGTAAAGGTGATATTTCAGCAATGAACTGACGTAACAAATGTGCTTTAGAAGAATTGTGTTATAGGGAAGGCACTTTGAAAATTGACGTTTGGAACTGTTTCCATTATCATGTGATTTTCATGCCAAAACGAAGCGTGCTAGTGTCACCTATACTCTCATAGCCACAATCTGCAAAATGTAGAAGCATACTTCTAAATCCATTTTACAATATTGCAAATGCAGAATTTCAAGTGTTTTAAAAGTCCCATTTGTTAAAATGATTTGCAAGAACAGCTGAGGAAAACATCATTGAAAATGTTGATTTCATAGACAAAGAAGAGTTTTCACATTTGCAAAATTGATAGATCAAATTTAAACAGTAAGAACTATGATTTAATAAGTGCAAAGATACAGTTCTTCTATTCAGGTCTATTTAATCTTTGTGAGATATCTTTTTTTTTTTTTTTTAAAGAATAGCCATTAAGACCAAGTATGGACATTAACTGAACTTACAAGTACACTTTCTGGTCTCATAAAGTATTAAACTAAGATTTATTTAAATCATTTTTAATGATTTAATCACTAAATCACTAACAGATTAGTGGAATCACTAAACAGATTATTGCTAATAACTTTAAAATGAAAAGAAAAAGGTATATTGTACCACTCATAAAAATGAAACAATTTAAAATTATTGTTTCATCTTTACCACATCCTTTAATTTTTTTAGTGTTCTTTATAATATGTAACTCATTAACGCAGTCTCATGTGCAAAACGTTTATGAATACACGAATTGCGAGTATCAGACCAATCAGACTATGGGGTAGAAGGAATACAACTTGGTGCTTACATGAGACAACTCTGTGAAAGTGGTTGACACAGTGAGGACACACAGTGGGTGCTCACTAATGAAGTTTCCTCTCCGAGCTTGGTGACTTACTCGTTGAGAGAGGAAAGGGAGACCGAGTCAAGAATGGCTCCCAACTGTGGCCCCGTGGTGGTGCCGACCCCGGTATCATTCACTGAGACTGGAAACACAGAAGCAGGTTCTGGCGTTTTCCTGGGAAGCAACTAGGTAGTTTGGGTCTGGACCGCTTCCGCCGGCCTAGGAAGATCTAGAGGAGATGTTCCCTAGGCAGTTAGATTCACCATCTTCAGCAGCTCGGGGGCATTCTGGGCTGGAGATGAAATTCAAGAGCCATCATCCGGCAGGAGGTTGTTAAAACCATGGGAGTGGCTGAGATGCCCAGAGTGGGCCTTGGAGTGGGAGAGCGGGCTGGCACGGTGGGACCCTGGGGTGGGACCACAGAGAAAAGCCAGGCCGCGGAGGCCGAGAAGCTGTAGGTACCCAGGTATGTGAAAAATCTGGAGGTGGGGGCCGCGGGTGCCAACTCTGGAAACTGCACTCCAAGCGTTTCAGGAAGGAAGACGTGGTCAGCAGGCTCAGATGCCAGGAAGAGGTGAGCGAGGGAGGCTGCACGGCACCCAGTGGCTTTGGCAACTAGGAGGTCATTCAGGACTTTGAGGGGCAGGTGAAGGCAGAGCGAGGAGGGTTGGAGAGGGAGCGTGTGCACGTGGTGTGTGTGTGTGTGTGTGTGTGTGTGTGTGTGTGTGTGTGTGTGTGTAGGTGATCCAAGTGACCAGAAGGACGCCTGGAAGAGTGGACGGTTGGCGAGGGAGTGTGTGTGTGTGTGTGTGTGTGTGTGTGTGTGTGTATCCAAGTGACCAGAAGGACGCCTGGAAGAAACCAATGCTTGCGGGTTGCTGCAACTACAGGGAGCAAGTCACCTGTGCGGGGCCGAGACCCCCAGAGTCTCGCGCTGGGAAAAGTTGTGCGGGGAGGGGAGGACGTCGGGCAAGCCCGGGCGGCACGGGGAGCGGTGTGGAAGCCCGGCGGGGCCAGCGCAGTTGAGGTCTGGGGAGCCCGGCTGGCATCTGCTCCGGGCTGCGGCGCGGGCCCCGCGGAGCCCAGGAGGCGGCGGGTGCTTCCGGCCAAGGGCCCTGGCGGCCGCCGCGCCCCTGCTGCTCTCAAGTTTCCCGTTGGCGGCGCGGCCCGGGCGCTTCAGGTAGCCTCTCGGCTCTCTCTGCTCCGCTCCGCGCCCAGGTAGGGCACCGACGGGGGCTGCACGCGGCTGGCCGGCTTCCTCCCTGCTGAGGCGGCCCTCCCTCCTCCCGCGGGGCCCTCCTGGCCGGGGATCCGCAGCGCTGCGCCCTCTGAACGCCCGGCCCCCGCGCCTGCTGCGGGGCGCGGCCTGGCCGGGCCCTGGCCCCGGCTGGCCTCAGTGCCCAGCAGCCCCGCTCCGCTCTGCCCAGCGCGTCCCCTTTGCTCCAGCCCTGCGGCCGTCCCTTTCGGCCGGCGGCATGGCCCTGTCGTCCGAACCCGGTGAGTGCGCGCGAGGCTGCGCTGCTGACCTTGGGCCAGCCCCGCGGACCCTGCGGCCCAGGCGGGAATCAGCAGCGCCCTGGGGTCTGAACCGCGGCTTCCGCCTTCCCTGCTCGCAGAGGCGGTGGCGCTGACTCCGGTCCGATCCCTTGCCCTGTCCCCTGTTCCTGTCCCTGTCCCTACCCCTGCCTCTGCGGTGGCCCGAGCCCCAGCGGCCTCAGGTGAGCGGGCAGCATCCCGATTCCCTGGCGGCCTAGAATGGAATCGCAAGGTTTAGAGAAATTAAGGGACCTGGGACTTGCCACCCTGGGCAAAGTTCCTAGGTGCTTGAGGACTGGCTGGATGTGGACAGCTGAGGTGGACTTCTACCTGGAGGCGAGGGATGCACTGGATGATAGGGTGATGAGGTCGTTTGAGGCCTTCATCCTTACCTCTTTGGCTCTCTCCCGGCAAGGGAGGTGTACAGCCTTGGGCTCTGGCAGTCTGCTTTCTGCCCTTGATCTTCTGGTAGCTGCTTTGCCAGCAGAGCTGCTAATGGCTGTTGTAGGCTGGCAGAGGTCCCTGGGGAGAGTTTTGAGAGGCCTTGGAGTAGGAGAGGCTTGCTAACTAGGGTATCATTTCCCCAAACTGTATGTGGCTGAAAGCTTGATGGCGACACATCAGCAAAGGAGCTGGGTGAAAGCAGGCAGCACAAGGAGGGATTTTAGCATGGTCTTGAGCCCCTGTTGGCTTTCCCTCAGGATGCAGTGACCAACATTTGGCCATCTTCATGGAAAAGCTGCCTGCAGCTGGAACCTGCAGAGGAGAAATTCTTTCCCTGGCTGTGCAGCACTAAGGCCGAGTGTTAGTGGAGCCATTGAGCCAGACAGACAGAGCCTCTGTCACTTCACACCTCTAGGAGTGTTGACAGCAGGTCTGGGGTAGTTGGCCTGGCCTGGCTGCAGCTTCATGGGGCCTGGCTTGCTCTGAGGATGATGGTATGGGGCTGCCCTCTCTAGGAATAATGACACCTGCATAGGTGGTGGCTGGGAGACTCTTTGACCTCTCAGTCCCATCCTTAGCTCAGCCTCTGTCTTCTAAGGTTCTCCTAGCTCTCAGCTAGGTCAAGAAGCTCTTTGAGAGATGAGGTTTTTTGTAGTTGTTTTTTTTTGCCTCTACACTGACTGGATCACTCTTCAAATGGCCTCAAAATCTGTCTCAGGTCTTGAAAATGTCATGGGCAGATAACATGTAGCCTTCGGGTTAACAGGGAGATACCCTTTCTCCCCTAAAGCTGCCCATTGGCCTCCATGATTCTTCCACCAAGTATAATAATCTCTTAGTTCTTCTGTATGCTGGTTGCATATCTAGGACAACAGACAATTGCTTTGGGCTTTTGATTTGTAAGGAACTGACTGGGGCATGGGAGGATGAGCTCATGGCTGGAGTCCTGGCTGTGTACAGTCACCGAGAAGTACCATTCATAGGGGAGAAGGATGTTCCTCCTCCTGATCTGGCTTCACATTTAAATATGTTTTCCTTCTTCCTGCACCCAGGTAATAGAAACTTGGGAGAGTGCCAGGCACATGGTGGTGCTCAATAAATAAGGTTGAATAAAAGGATTCAGTGTCTAGATAAAACTTCATGTTCATTTTCCTAGTTCTTCTCTCTCGTATCTGATATCATAATGATGATGACAATGATGTTGGCAGATAATGCTTATAAAACACATACTCTATGCCAGGTACCAGTCTAAACACTTCACTTATGCTCATTGTCATGGCAACCTATGAGATTGGCTTTTTATTATCCACACTTCATAGGGAATAAAACCGAGCCACAGAAAAGTTATTTAACTTGCCCAAGGTCATACAACTAAGTGGTGGAACAGGATTCAAATGCAGGGAGTCTAGCTGGAGTTTTTTTTGTTGTTGTTTGTTTGTTTGAAATGGAGTCTCACTCTGTCACCCAGGCTGGAGTGCAGTGGCACAATCTCAGCTCACTGCAACCTCCACCTCCCGGGTTCAAGCGATTCTCCTGCCTCAGCTTCCCAAGTAGCTGGGATTACAGGCGCCCGCTACCATGCCAGGCTAATTTTTGTGTTTTTAGTAGAGATGGGGTTTCCCCATGTTGGCCAGGCTGGTCTCAAAACTCCTGACCTCAAGTGGTCTGGCCGCCTCGGCCTCCCAAAGCGCTGGGATTACAGGCGTGAGCCACCACACTCAGCCTGAGTCTACGTTTTTAGCCATACACTCTACTCATTCCTGAGATTGCCATAGGTGGATTGATCTATTATAAATAGCTAGTTCACTTGTTCATTGTTTTATGCATTCATTCATTCAACAAATACTTGCTGAATGTCGACCATATTTCAGGTATGGGGATACAACTGTGAATGAGACAGGCGAGATTTGTCATGGAGCTGGTATTTAGCAAGTGAATCCCCTTTGTCCAACTCCTTGTGTGAGTCACACACACCTCACAAATGAGAAGAAAAATGAACCCCTCTATGCAAGCTCATGCCTGGCTTTTGGGGAGGAGAGTGATATCTTTCTTTTTCTTTTTCTTTTTTTTTTTCTTGAGATAAAGTCTTGCTCTGTCGCCAGGCTGGAGTGCAGTGCAGTGGTGCAATGTCAGCTCACTGCAACTTCTGCCTCCTGGGTTCAAGTGATTCCCCTGCCTCAGCCTCTCAAGTAGGTGGGACTACAGGTGCGCACCACCATGCCCAGCTAATTTTTTGTGTTTTAGTAGAGATGGGGTTTCACCACGTTGGCTAGGATGGTCTCAATCTCCTGACCTTGTGATCCACCTGCCTCGGGCTCCCAAAGTGCTGGGATTACAGGCATGAGCCACCATGCCCGGCCGATATCTTTCTTGATGAGACATAATTTGATTCCGTCCTCTCCTGTCTTTTAGAGTTTGTAAGGGGTGCTTAAGTGATAAAAGGGGATGCAGTCTAGTCTCGGGCAGGAGAAGCGGGCCCTGTATCTGGTTATCATAAATTGTCTTGATGTTTGTTCGAAAGGGAAATAAGGCTTTGAGCTTGGGATCAGTGCTCTTCAGTCCACAGAGACATCTTGGCTGCAAGAAGCAGCAACAAGTTAGGCTCAAGGTGGAATTGTGAGGTCCTGAGAAGAGCTTGCTCTTCTGGGACAGAACTGTATTTTTCTTCTAAACTGCCCATGTTCTGGGGAGTCTTCCCGCCTTTTGGCTTCAGCAGGACCCTTGGTCATTGTTACAACCTGTGTCATCTTAGTGGAGCTGCTGCTGGTTTCTGTCTGAACCCGATGCAATGGGTCTCATACCTGTAAACTGGGCTCCAGGAAGGCAGCTTTCTCTAAGTTGGAAAATGAAGACTCAAGGTGGAGGGTGTTTCCCAAAGCCGATACCACAAGATATTAATAGGTGTTTTTTTCCTATGACAGCAGTTCTAGGATGGTCAAATAAGTGCGTCGGGTTAAACAAAGTTAAGCAGCTTTCTTTACTGCAGGACTTCTCAGGTGTTGAATTTGCTAGTAGAAACTGTGCATGAATACCCATAAGGGACTACAGGATGCAGTGTTTTCCAAGCCTTCTGACCTTTCATGTTCTGCAGACTGCACTTTGAAAAATGCTTGTTTAGACTAAGGCTAGCTGGGATCCGGTTAAAGGTGCAGAATAAAATTCCCTGAACGTGTCGGACTTAAATCCTTGGGCTGGAATCCTCCCACTGCAGTCCCCACTCTACCTCCCCTTTCCCCAAAACACTAGCAGAAAAAGTCATCTGCCCCTCCTCCTTCTGGCAGAATAGTACTAAGGGCTTGGATTTTTTTCTCATACTGTAAGTTCATTTAATTGTTTAATGAATAAATATTACCCTCCCTCTAGGTTGCTTGTAGCCTGCTGGTTGCACTGTTTATGAAACAGCTGTGAGGACAGGTGGGCCGTAATCTCTGGGTAGCTAAAGCCCAGCAGCAGCCCGAGGATCATGTGTCAACCCTGTAATACTGCTCTGTGCACACAGGAATTATGATGTGAGCTCAGTAAGACACAACCTCACGATTGGACATGCGGAGGTGACTCAGGCCCAAGTCAGGGTTACAGCTAGCCTCCCGGTAAACAACTGACCCATCCTTCCTGAGCTCTTCTCCCCAGGATTTCAACAGCACCACAGAAATAGCCATTTTGCTCATGGTTATTTCCCAGGACCACAGGATTTGCCTAAGTCACTGGGAGGCTATGTGTCTGTTCTGAGCCTTCCCACTCTCCTAAAGGGCAGATGAAGATCAGAGCTTTGCACCCTGTGATGCCATTTTAATCAACCCTGCTTGGTTTTAGAGGATTGCTCCTGTGGGTCACTTGAGGCAGGCTCCACCTTCCCCAGGAGGAGTGGCAGAGTCCAGCCAGCGCTCGGAGCTGGAGGCCCACGTGGGAGCAGTGAGCGGCTGTAAGCAGGGGAGGGTTTGGGGTGGGCTCCGGTGGGTCAGTTGGGGTGTACTCCTTTTCTGTGTGTGTGGATGGGGGTGGGGGTTCTGGTAAAGCTTATCAGGCTTCGCAGTCACCTGTGATGTGGGCTTCCTTCTGGGAAGAAAGGAAGGAGTGGGATGGGGCTGTCAGCTTTTCATCCTAGCCTGCCCCTGTCCTCTGTCCGCCTCTGTGCTGAGGCAGTTCCTGCTCCCTGAGTCTCTGTCCTTTCCTGGGAAAGGTGGAAGCAGTTCATGGTCTTTCCCTTTCAGAGGAGGAGGGGATGGAGGGGATTGTATTAGCAACTGGGATTGAAGCTCCCCCTGGCAGTTATGGGGTGCCCTTGGGAGGGCTGCTTTAGGGGGGCTTTCTGAGAAGAGGCAGGTCGGGCTGTACCTGAGACCAATCCCCTTGATAAAATGCAGCCAGGCCTGAAGCACGTTCAGAACGGAAGCAGCAAAGGTGATGATATCGCTCGTTGCTACTCAGCTTTCAGGAGGAGGCTGGGCGTTAGAGGGAGGCTGTGGCTTATCTCCTGCAGCTGGGCAGGACGGCTGAGTTTACTGTTGTAAAGAGGAAGCCGCCGCTTTAGTTTCCTCTTGTGAGGGCTGTGAAGAGGGCCAGGACACTGCATTCAGGATACCACAGCCATTTTGTTTTGGATAACTGGGATTACCTGGGGACTTCAGGGCTCTTGGAAATTTTCCACTCATATTTCATATTCACGAGAGAATTTCCAGCCCAGGCTTTTCCTGCTCTGGCTCACTGCTGCTCACAGATATGCAAAACAGAGACCTCCTACTCCAGCCGGCAGACAGGACCCAGCCAGCTGCACGCACGCACTGACTCAGCTGAGCCTCCTGGGTGGCAGGCAGCACCTCACCCGGGTGCATCACTTGAGTGGCATCTTCAGGACCAGTCATGGAGCCAGGCTCAGGTCTGTGTCGGGGCTTCTGCAAGGGGAGTCTGGCAAGAGTAGGAACCAGCTTCCTTCGTATAACGAGGGGATTTCAGTGGCACTGGGCTTCCTTTCTGGAGGGACTGTGGCACCATGAAAAGTTACTGTTTGTTGAAACTGGCAGTGTTTTAGAACTTTCTAACTTTGGGACACTTCTTCAAGTTCATCAGAGCGTGTTGCATGTAACAGTGAGATAAGCTGTATCATTGGCTGACTGATGCTGGTGAATTCACAGCTAAGCCTCCCAAGCCTGCTGGCTTCAGCTGACAAAGGGTTGGAAGCCAGGCGTGAACATGCAGCTGGAGCTGAAGCTCTGCTTGGCATCTGCAGAGTGAGCTTTCCTTGTCAGGCCTGGCCTGGCAGGTGTCTGGAGGGTCTGAGAGGAGAGACACTCTGGAGGGACGGGTTGGCAGGTGGGAGCTGTCTGCCAAGGACATCCAGAAGGCAGCAGATGTGGGGGCAGCTGCTAAGGCCTGCAGCACCCCAAGTGGGTTACTTGGTCCATACTAAGATATGGAATTAATTATTTTGTTGTGGTTGCTGTTGTTTCTTGCTTTTTTTTTTTTTTTTTTGAGAGAAGGTCTTGCTCTGTCACCCAGGCTGGAGTACGGTGGTGCCATCATGGCTCACTGCAGCCTGCACCTCCAGGACTCGAGCAATTCTCCCAACTCAGCCTTCCAAATAGCTGAGACCACAGGTGCATGCCACCACACCTGGCTGTTTTTTTTTCTATTTTTTGTAGAGATGAGGTTCTGACATATTGCACCAGGCTGATCTCGAACTCCTGGCCTCAAGCGATCCTCTTCAGCCTCCCAAATTGCTTGGATTATAGGCATGAGCCACTGCACCCGGTCTTGGAATGAATTATCTACCAACTATTTAAGACACTGGTAGTAGTTCTGCGGAAGATTTTTATGGGTTCTGTAAAACAAAAAGGGTTCTGTATGTTAATGTTACTCTATGATCCTTGATTTTAATGAGCCTTATGAATGTGAGTTGAGGGGCTGTGGAATGCAACATCTCCCAATAACTGACCACAGGACCTGTTTTACCAGCAACAGGTATCAATTTCTTATGGCATCCAGTTTGGGAAAGGTTGATTTAAGCTAAAGAGAAAGGAAGATATGTTATAGAAAGCTGTGTCCTGAAAAGTATTTTTAGTTGATTAGAGCAAGCTAAAAATGCTTTGTGCGCTGGTATGATGGCTCACACCTATAATCCTAGACCCTGGGAGGCCAAGGCAGGCGGATCACTTGAGACCAGGAGTTCAAGACCAGCCTGGCCAACATGGTGAAACCCCATCTCTACTAAAAATACAAAAATTAGCCAGGCATAGTGGTGTGTGCCTGTGGTCCCAGCTACTCGGGAGGCTGAGGTGGGAGAATCACCGGAGCCTGTGAGGTCGAGGCTGCAGTAAGCTGTGATTGTGCCACTGCACTCCAGCCTGGGCAACTGAGACCCTGTCTCTCAATCAATCAATGAATAAATGCATGCTTCATGAGCAAACATGGCAGGATCTGGCATAAGAGCCCTCAGACATCAAGGACTTCCCTCCCACCCAAATACCCATTGCCAAGGGAGCCTGGTTGGGGGTGTCTGGGTCAGGCCTGTGTGTGTCTGAGGGCATGAAGGAGGTAGGAAGGTGCTGCTGGTGGTGGATGGCTTCTGTCCAGGGTAGGAGCTAACACAGAGATAGGTCTGAATGGTGAAACTCCCTTTGGCCTGGCCTCTCAATAGTGTGGGTTAGGCTGATCTTGAACTCTTAGCCTCAAGTGATCCTTCCTCCTCAGCCTCCCAAATTGCCTGGACAACATGGCAAAACCTCATCTCTAAAAAAAAAAAAAAAAAAAAAAATTAGCCAGGTATGGTGATGCTCCCTCCCTCCCTCCCTTCGGCAATTAAGGAGGGAGCCCTAATTGCCAAAACCTGCCAGAAAAAGAAGTTTGTTTTCCTATTTTTCTCTCTTTTCATAGAGTCTTAAGTCTACTCATTTTCTTTCTATTCTCTTTGTATTTGTTAAAAATGGCATTATAATAGCATTCATCATCAAAATAAAATATCCTCTCACACACAGGCAGCCCTGCCACCTGGTCATTTTGACTGCGTGAATCTCTTGCAGGTCTTGCCCATAAAGGGATGCATTTTCCTTTCACTGTAAATAAAGCATGGGTATGGTTCTATGTATTAATTTTTTCATTTACTGTATTTTTATTTTTTTATGTGATTGCACCATCCTCATAATCATAATTCTGATTACTTAACATCTTTTTCAAGTGAGTATGCTCTAATTTAGGCATTTTAAAGCTATTTATGTAAATAATGCAGGTAAATATCCTTGTGCTTTTCATTCTTAGGATTCTTTTTTTGAAAGAAATTTGTAGAAGTAAAGTTGCTTAGTCAAATGGTATGGTGCTTTATGGCATTTGCGGCCTTTTGCCTGGGCTGTTGGGTTGCATATCTTCTTCTGAGATGCGATGTGAGGTTTTGGGATGGTGCCCTTGATTGGTGGCCTTGGAATAAGGGGGGAGGTGAGGATCCAGTTTCGTTTCAGCCTGATGGAGCCTCCTGGGTCTGGTTCTTTGTGCTGTTCCAGACTTTCTCTCCCCTGTCACCTCCTTTGATGGCCTCCAGCTTCCCCCCTCTCTGCTATCAAGACATGGAAATCCCCACAGGCAGCTCTGTTCCTCTTCCTTTTTGCAGAGGCCAGGCCTCGCTGTCTTGATGTCTGCTCCCCAGACAGTTGTGTGTTGACAGGCTGTTCCCCACCAGCTCCCTCCCACTCCTCTCATCAGGGAGTGGCAGGTCCTTGGGTCTCAGAGTTAAGGGAGCCACAGACCTCACTCTGATTGCCTGTTGCTAGCCTGCTTTCTTCCTTCCTGTCTGTGTCATGACTTAGTCCCACATGCCACTCAGACTCAGAGCAGCAAGCCCTCCTCAGGCACCGGAAATCTCTCTGGTACCTAGAATTATGCCACTTAGAGCTGAGAGGGCCTTAGAGACCACTTAGTTCAATCCCTTTATCTCACAGATGAGAACATTGTGAGGCCGGAGAATGACTGTCCCAAGATGGCCTAGTGTGTTCCCCTCCCCTGTAGCTGCACTTCTCCCTGCTGGACAGCAGCAGGGCTCTGTCTCATCTCCATTCTTGTCTGTCTGGTCCACAAAACCACTTCTCTCTTTAAACCAACTTTAAAGAAACTGTGGTCATAGGTAGATGGGAAACTCCTCTTCCAGAGCTGCTCCCAACGAGGGTGGCTTGTCGAAAAGGGTGCAGTATTAATCCATTCCACAAGTGTTATGCTGGGGACTGTGAGGAGCCCCTGCCCGGACACATACGTGGACAAAGAGAAGCAGCACAGCATGGTGGGTGAGGGGACAGAGGCAGGAACCAGGTGCCTGGGTTCAGATCCCTGAGCTGAGGATCAGAGAGGAAAGGGATGAGAGAGAAAGGCTGAGAACAGCACAAATCTCTGCTGACTTATTAAAAGTGTGACCCTGGGCATGTTAGCTCTCTATGCCTTCATTTTCTCATCTGTCAAGTGGGAATAATAAGATTAACTGAGTTAATAAGTATGAAGTTCTTTGCAGAGTATATATATGTATGTATACATATATAAAATATATATTATATATAATATATATTATATATAATATATATTTTATATATATATATATATTTTATTTTTAAAATTGAGACGAGGTCTCACCCTGTCTCCCAGGCTGGAGTGCAGTAGTACGATCATAACTCACTGCAGCCTCAACCTCCCTGGCTCAAGAGATCCTCCTGCCTCAGCCTCCCTAGCAGCTGGGATTACAGGCATGCATCACCATACCTGGCTAATTCTTTAAATCTTTTTTAGGGATGAGGTTTTGCCATGTTGTCCAGGCTGGTCTCAAACTTCTGGGCTCAAGCAGTCCTCTTGCCTTGACCTCCCAAAGTGCTGGTATTACAGGCGTGAGCCACCACACCCGGCCCCAGAGTATACTTTTTTTTTTTTTTTGAGGCAGAGTCCCACTCTGTTACCCAGGTTGGAGTGAAGTGGCTCAATCTTGGCTCATTGCAACCTTCACCTCCTAGGTTTAAGCAATTCTCTTGCCTCAGCCTCCTGAGCAGCTGGGATTACAGGTGCCTGCCACCACGCCTGGCTAATTTTTTTGTATTTTTAGTAGAGACGTGGTTTTGCCATGTTGGCCAGGATGGTCTCAAACTCCTGACCTCAGGTGATCTGCCCGCCTCAGCCTCCCAAAATGCTAGGATTACAGGCGTGAGCCAATGCGCCTGGCCAGAGTGTACATATTAAGTGCTATACAAGTAATTGCAAAAAAGGAAAGAAATAAGGAAATGAAGAAAGCAAGCAAGCAAGAATGAAACCCAACCAACCAAGCAGGTGGTTGAGGCCAGTGACTGTTAGTAAGGAATCAGTATGCGAGGAGGTGGATAGAGAAAGCTTCTTTGAGGGAGTGAGTTTTCAGCTGGGTAAAGAGTGTTCTAAAACCTTTATTTTATTTGCTGTGTCTTGTTAGGAGGTTCCAGAGGGTTTGGAACTGCAATAGCAGATTCTTTCTCTTCAGCAAAAGGCCTTGATTTATGTAATGAAGAATGCAGCTTTGGATTTCCCAGGGCTCTGCTGTAATCTTGTGCGACCTTAGCTGTTAAAGCCTCTGTGAAGTGGGGGAGTGAGGTTTGATTATTGTTGCAGCTATAACAGTATCCTCATAGTCTGGAGGAGGGAGAGCTGAACTCTCTCTTGTCCCTTCTCAAACATGGGAACAAAGTCAGGAGGGCAGGGCTGCCAGGTGCTGCAGATTCCCTGAGTTTGGGAAAATGGAAGCCCACCTAGTTGAACAGTTCATTCTTTGAATTTTGAACACTTGCTTTCTCCTGACACCTAAGTGGCCCTACATGCTTCACATCCAGTTACTTATTGAGCTAATTTTGAAATTGGCATGCTGGGTTTGGTCTGGGGCATTCCTAAGTAGACAGCTGACCCCAAGTACCAGGTGGGCCTGGCCCTCACTTCAGTGCCTTCTCTTCCCCGGTGCTGGTGACTCAGGGCATCCTGCAATTCATGCTTGTTCTTTCTTTGCTAGCTGAGATGCCGCGGCAGTTTCCCAAGCTGAACATCTCTGAAGTGGATGAGCAAGTCCGGCTCCTGGCGGAGAAGGTGTTTGCTAAAGTGCTCCGAGAAGAGGACAGCAAAGATGCCCTGTCCCTGTTCACTGTCCCAGAGGACTGCCCCATCGGGCAAAAGGAAGCCAAGGAGAGGGAGCTGCAGAAGGAGCTGGCAGAGCAGAAGTCTGTGGAGACCGCAAAAAGGTTTGTTCCCAAGGCATGGTTTTCGTGTACATAGAGTCATGCAGACCCAGGCAGGCTGTGGGTGTGTGTCCTGATATGAGGCACCTCATGGGGACTGGTATGTCCCTAGAGCTGTGTTGGTTCCTTAACCAAGACCACTTAACTCACCTCTTATTTATTGAGGGATGTCTCGGTGCCTCTGTTGCACTGAAAAGATCAAAACCCACTTTGCTGCTGATGTGAAAAAATACACACCATTTCCAAATGGCATTTCTCTTTTCTTTTTGGAAATTTGAGGATTTCTTAGGAGACAGCAATTGTATTTCTTCTCATCACTTGACAAGCATTTTGCATTACTAATGAACACAGCTTACTATTTGCCGGGTGCTGTGCTGGGACTGGAGATGTTATAATGAACAAGATAGATAGAGTCCCTGGGTCTAGACAATAATTAAGTAACTGGACAAATTAACTTAAAAATTACAAGTTATAATAAGTGCTGTATCAGTCAGGGTCCAACTAGAAGATCAGAAACCAATGAAGTATTAGAATTTTAATGCAGGGAATTGGTTACACAGGTGGTAGAGAGCTGAGAAACCAAACAGGGGAGAGAGAGGCGGCTCAGAGATTAGACACAGTAAGGAGCAGCTACTACCCAGGACAGGAGTGACAAGGAAAGCAGTAGTGTTTCTGGAGCCAAGGTGGAGTCGCCCTGGGGAAGGTGGAACTGTGGTGGACTTTCCAGTGGAAACTGGAGCCAAGGGGAAGAGGTGGCAGCTGCAGAGATGCCTCCCAAGGCAGAGATGGAGGCAGGCAATACCTCGTTTGACCCTTTCTGCACCTTCCAGGTTCTCCCAGTGGCTGCCATGGGCCAAACCTAGCCAGAATCCTGCTGGCACACTTGGGAAACACAGGAGAGGATGAGGAATGGATCTGAGGGCAAACAGGCCCAGGAGCAGCGCAAGTGCTATGAAAGAGATGAATAAGGATGAGATGGGGTTAGGGGAGAGAAAGGCCGGGAAAGAGAGAGAAAAAATCCTTTTTTAGACTGGGAAGTCAGGGAAGGCCTCTCCAAGGAGATGACATCTTAGCGGATGCTTCAGGGTATAAAGAAGCTAGCTATGTGGCCTTCCAGATAGAAGAATCAGCTAGGGCAAAGGCCCCCCAGTTTCTTCCAGAAGGCCCATGTGGTTAGAGGTCTGTTAAAGGAAGAAGTGCTGTGACCAGGGCTGGAGGACTTGTGGGGCCCAGATCAGACTGGCCTTGTGCTCCCTGATAAGAAGTTTGGATTGGAGTCTAAGTGAAATGAGAAGCCCTCATCCTTTCACAGTTTATCTCACCCTGGGCTTTATCAGATTTTCTGCCTGCCCGGTACCCTGCAAACATCAATAGTTGACATGGTAGACCTTTGAGCCCTCTCCGACCTAGTCTGTGATCACACTAGATACTGCCTCAGTTTTAAAGGCAAGTCTTTTCCTTTCTTGGTTGTGTAGAAGCTCGCATTTTCTTAACTCGTTTGGAAAGAAGTAAAAAGTTGACTACTGGTGTAAAGGCAAGAACAGAGCTTCACCACTCATAAGACCAGTGCTTTCCTTCCTTGAAAGGATGGTGAGCCCATAAAGGCAGGAGTCACTGGTGCCATTGGTTAACCTCTGAGTGCCAGCCTTGTGTTGGATAAGGTGGGGTGGCCCCAGCCCCAGCAGTGTGCTCATCCCTGGAGGGTCAAGAAGAGTATGACTGTAGAGACCCTCATTCACACTCCGTGGGTGGAACAGAAGGGCTGACTTCATCAAGTGAATGGTCTGCAGGGCCTTCTGTGTGTTATGAATTGAGCATTTGAGACCCTTAACAATGAGAGGAAAAGAAATCCTGGCATTTTTTATTACTAGGAACAATAAGTTTCTGGAACCAGTTTCCACTACAGAGTGACACTGGGCCTGACATCTGCTGAAGCGACTGTGCTCTTCTCAATGCCCAGACTCAGGGCAAAATGGAAGCTTTCTTACTCTAAGTCTTAATGGTGCTCTGTGGTTTCCAGAAATTCCCCTGCAAACTTCTCTCCAAAAACTTTGTTCTGTCCTTGCCTAGGTTATGGTGTCTTAGTTTGCATCTGTCTGCGCCATTTGACTAGACGCTCCTTGAGGACTGGATCCATTGTGGAACTTAGTTGGTGGGCAGTGGATGTCTGGCAGAGGAAGACATCCTGCCTCCCCATTGCCACCATGGACACTACATCAGGGTGGCTGCAACTTCTTGGACCTCTGTGTTCTGCCACTCACTGTCATGCTCTGTGACTTTGGGGAAATTAGGAAACCTCTCTGGGCCTCAGCCTCGTCCTCATCTATAAAGTGGAGATGCTAACAGCTACCTTCATGGGGTGTTGTGAGGAATGAGGGAATCCACAGGTAAAAGGCTTCGGACAGTGTCTGGTTATAGTGCATCCCGAGTAAATATAAGTGATTTCTCTGACTTCCTGCTGCTGAGACAGGGAACAATAGCAGCTCCTGCCATTGAATACTTACTATGGGCTAAGTACTAGCCTGTGTAGGTTGGATTCATTCTTTAATTCTCACATCGAGCTTATCAAATGGATATTCTTAGTATTCTGATTTTGCAGATTAGGGAACGAAGGCTCAGAGAAGTTGAATTTACTTTCACAAAGACACATAGTGAGTAAATGACAGAGCAAGAACTAGAGCCCATATCTTTTGAATCTAGACCCCACACTTCAACCATAAGGCTATCCCCTCTTCAGGTAGGGGTGGAGTCTTCGGTTCCCTGGTCTGTAGACCCTGGAATGACACTAGGTGCTGCTCCCTAGAATGTAATTGTTGCTTCTAAATGAAATGGAGGGAAACTGGTCAAAGCTCCCGCTCTGTCCATCGGCTTCTTTCCTGAAAAAAAGCTTGGTCCCTGGACTGTCAGATGCCCCAGCATCCTCCTCTGGGGTCTGCCCATACCCAATTTTGTCTTTTAGTTTCTCTTCTCACTAGAGGTGCCTTTATATGTAAATGTTCGAAAGTTAACATTTTCATGGAGGACACCCTCTCCCCAGCTCCCTCTTTGTCTGTGGCACCTCCCATCCCATCTCCTATTTATTCTTACTTTACACAGAATTCTATAATCTGGCTATATTGTTTCTTATCCCGTGGCAGATTTAAAGAAGCAAATTAGAAGCAGGGAGAGAGACTTCTACAGGCAGGGTCACAGAGGTGATGTGTGGTGATTATAAGCCTGGGCTTTGGGGTCAGACCTATTGGGTTCAAGTGGCAGCCCTGTCACTTACTACTGAATGGCCTTGGTCAAAGCTCTTGACTGCCTGAGCTGGTTTCCTAAACTGCAAAATGAGAATAATAAAAGGACATACCTTGTGAGAATTAAATGAGCGAATACACAAAAAATCCTTAGCGCAGTGCTTGGAGCACCATTAATGTTCCTGTTTTGTTATTGTTGTTATTAGACAGTCAACAGTGAGAGAGGAAACAAAATAATTATGAAAAGCAGGCACAAGAATTTGAAGCACAGTAGTTTAGGGATAACACACCTCTGAGATCATAACTGGATAATACAGTGATGATCCTGGGTCATTGAGAAAACTTTAAATTATGTTCAGCATGCTTTGAGGAAGAATGCAGGAATTATGTATTTTTTTAAGAAGCCAGATAAAAATTGATTTTTAAAAAATTAGGATATAGTTAAGGCTGGCAAGATGGCCAATTAGGAACATCTCCGGTCTGCAGCTCCCAGTGAGATCGATGCAGAAGGGGGTGATTTCTGCATTTCCAACTGAGGTACTGGTTCATCTCACTGGGGCTAGTTGGACAGCGGGTGCAGCCCAAGGAGGGTGAGCCAAAGCAAGGTGAGGCGTTGCCTCACCTGAGAAGCACAAGGGATGGGGGAATTATCTTCCTTACCCAAGGGAAGCCTTGAGGGACTGAGCCTGAGGAACTGTGCACTCTGGCCCAGATACTGTGCTTTTCCCATGGTCCTTGCAACCTGCAGACCAGGAGACTGCCTCTGGTGCCTACACCACCAGGGCCCTGGGTTTCAAGCACAAAACAGGGCGGCCATTCAGGCAGACACTGAACTAGCTGCAGGAGTTTTTTTTTTTTTTTTTTTTTCTGTACCCCAGTGGCGCCTGGAGCGCCAGCAAGACAGAATCATTCACTCCCCTGGAAAGGGGGCTAAAGCCAGGGAGCCAAGTGGTCTGGCTTGGCAGGTCCCAGCCCCATGGAGCCCAGCAAACTAAGATCCACTGGTGGCCAGGCGCAGTGGCTCATGCCTGTAATCCCAGCACTTAGGGAGGCCAAGGCGAGTGGATCACCTGACGTCAGGAGTTCAAGACCAGCCTGGCCAACATGGTGAAACCTCATCTCTACTAAAAATACAAAGATTAGCCGGGCGTGGTGGGGGGCACCTGTAATCCCAGTTACTTGGGAGGTTGAGGCAGGAGAATCGCTTGAACCCAGGAGAAGGAGGTTGCAGTGATCTGAGATCGCACCATTGCACTGAGCTTGGGTGACAAGAGCAAAACTCCGTCTCAAAGAAAAAAAAAAAAGATCCACTGGCTCAAAATTCTCACTGCCAGCACAGCAGCAGTCTGAGATCAATCTGGGACACTCAAGCTTCGTAGGGGGAGGGTCGTTGGCCATTGCTGAGGCTTGAGTAGGAGGTTTTACCCTCACAGTGTAAACAAAGCCACCAGGAAGTTCAAACTAGGTGGAACCCACCGCAGCTCAGCAAAGCTGCTGTGGCCAGACTGCCTCTCTAGATTTCTTCTCTCTGGGCAGGGCATCTCTGAAAAAAAGGCAGCAGCCCCAATCAGGGACTTATAGATAAAACCCCCATCTCCCTGGGACAGAGCACCTGGGGGAAGGGGCAGCTGTGGGCACAGCTTCAGCAGACATAAATGTCCCTGCCTGACAGCTCTGAAGAGACCAGCAGTCCTCCCAGCACAGCGTTCAAGCTCTGCTAAGGGTGAGACTGCCTCCTCAAGTGGGTCCCTAACCCCCGTGTATCCTGACTGGGAGACACCTCCCAGTAGGGGCCGACAGGCATCTCATACAGGAGAGCTCTGGCTGGCATCAGGCAAGTGCCCCTCTGGGATGAAGCTTCCAGAGGAAAGAACAGGCAGCAGTCTTTGCTGTTCTGCAGCCTCCACTAGTGACACCCAGCCAAACAGGGTCTGGAGTGGACCTCCAGCAAACTCTAGCAGAGGGGTCTGATTGTTAGGAGGAAATCTAACAAACAGAAAGGAATAGCACATCTAATCAGAGACCACATCCGAAAATCACCAGCATCAAAGACCAAAGATAGATAAATCCACGAAGATGGGGATGTAAACCAGTGCAAAAAGGCTGAAAATTCCAAAAACCAGAATGCCTCTTCTCCTCCAAATGATCACAACTCCTTGCCAGCAAGGGAAAAAAACTGGACAGAGAATGAGTTTGACCAATTGACAGAAGTAGGCTTCAGAAGGTGGGTAATAACAAACGCCTCTGAGCTAAAGGAACATGTTCTAACCCAATGCAAGGAAGATAAGAACCTTGAAAAAAGGATAGATGAATTGCTAACTAGAAAAACCAGTTTAGAGAAGAACATAAATGACCTGATGGAGCAGAAAAACACAGCACGAGAACATTGTGAAGCATTCACAAGTATGAATAGCTGAATCAATCAAACGGAAGAAAGGATATCAGAGATTGAAGACCAACTTAATGAAATAAAATAAGAAGACAAGATAAGAGGAAAAAAAATGAAAAGGAATGAACAAAGCCTCCAAGAAATATGGGACTATGTGCAAAGACCAAACCTACGTTTGATGGATGTACCTGAAAGTGACGGGGAGAATCGAAACAAGTGGAAAACACTCTTCAGGATATTATCCAGGAAAACTTCCCCAACCTAGCAAGACAAGCCAACATTCAAATTCAGGAAATACAGAGAACACCACAAAGATATTCCTCGAGAAGAGCAACCCCAAGACACATAATCGTCAGATGCCCCAAGGTTGAAATGAAGGAAAAAATGTTAAGGGCAGCCAGAGAGAAAGGTCAGGCTACCCACAAAGAGAAGCCCATCAGACTAACAGCAGATCTCTCTGCAGAAACCCTACAAGCCAGAAGAGAGTGGGGGCCAATATTCAACATTCTTGAAGAAAAGAATTTTCAACCCAGAATTTCATATGCAGCCAAACAAAGCTTCATAAGCAAAGGAGAAATAAAATCCTTTACAGACAAGCAAATGCTGAGAGATTTTGTCACCACCAGGCCTGCCTTACAAGAGCTCCTGAAGGAAGCACTAAACCTGGAAGGGAGCAACCGGTACCAGCCACTGCAAAAACATACCAAATTGTAAAGACTATCAACACTTCGAAGAAACTGCATCAACTAATGGGCAAAACAACCAGCTAGCATCATGATGACAGGATCAAATTCACACGTAACAATATTAGCCTTAAATGTAAACGGGCTAAATGCCCCAATTAAAACACACAGACTGGCAAATTGGATGAAGAGTCAAGACCCAACAGTGTGCTGTATTCAGGAGACTCATCTCAAGTGCAAAGACAGACATAGGCTCAAAATAAAGGGATGGAGGAATATTTACCAAGCAAATGGAAAGAAAAAAAAAAAAGCAGAAGTTGCAAGTTTAACCTCTGATAAAACAGACTTTAAACCAACAAAGATCAAAAGAGACAAGGAAGGGCATTACATAATGGTAAAGGGATCAATGCAACAAGAAGAGCTAACTGTCCTAAATATATATGCACCCAACACAGGAGCACCCAGATTCATAAAGCAAGTCTTAGAGACCTACAAAGAGACTTAGACTCCCACACAATAATAATGGGAGACTTTAACACCCCATTGTGAATATTAGACAGATCAACGAGACAAAATTAACAAGGATATTCAGGACTTGAACTCAGCTCTGGAACAAGCTCCAACCCAAATCAACAGAATATACATTCTTCTCAGCACCTCATCACACTTACTTTAAAATTGACCACATAATTGGAAGTAAAACACTCCTCAGCAAACGCAAAAGAATGGAAATCATAACAAACAGTCTCTCAGACCACAGTGCAATCAAATTAGAACTCAGGATTAAGAAACTCACTCAAAACCACACAACTACATGGAAACTGAAAAATCTGCTCCTGAATGACTACTGGGTAAATAAGGAAATGAAGGCAGAAATAAAGATGTTCTTTGAAACCAGTGAGAACAAAGACACAACGTACCAGAATCTCTGGGACACATTTAAAGCAGTGTGTAGTGGGAAATTTATAGCACTAAATGTCCACAAGAGAAAGCAGGAAAGATCTAAAATCAACACCCTAACATCACAATTAAAAGAGCTAGAGAAGCAAGAGCAAACAAATTCAAAAGCTAGCAGAAGACAAGAAATAACTAAGATCAGAGCAGAACCGAAGGAGATAGAGACATGAAAAACTCTTCAAAAACTCAATGAATCCAGGAGCTGTTTTTTTTTTGAAAAGATCAATGAAATAAATAGACTGCTAGCAAGACTAACAAAGAGAAAAAGAGAGAAGAATCAAATAGACACAATAAAAAATAATAAACGGGGTATCACCACTGATCCCACAGAAATACAGACTACCATCGGAGAATACTATAAACACCTCTATGCAAATAAATTAGAAAATCTAGAAGAATTGGATAAATTCCTGGATGCATACACTCTCCCAAGTCTAAACCAGGAAGAAGTTGAATCCCTGAATAGACCAATAACAAGTTATGAAATTGAGGCAGTAATGAATAGCCTACCAACCAAAAAAAGCCCAGAACCAGACAGATTCACAGCCAAATTCTACCAGAGGTACAAAGAGGAGCTGGTACCATTCCTTCTGAAACTATTCCCAACAATAGTTTGGAGCTGGTACCATTCCTTCTGAAACTATTCCAAACTCATTTTATGAGGCCAGCATCATCCTGATGCCAAAACATGGCAGAGACACAACAGAGAAAATTTCAGGCCAATATCCCTGATGAACATCGATGTAAAAGTCTTCGGCCGGGCGCGGTGGCTCACGCCTGTAATCCCAGCACTTTGGGAGGCCGAGGCGGGCAGATCACGAGGTCAGGAGATCGAGACCATCCCGGCTAAAAACGGTGAAACCCCGTCTCTACTAAAAATACAAAAAATTAGCCGGGCGTAGTGGCGGGCGCCTGTAGTCCCAGCTACTTGGGAGGCTGAGGCAGGAGAATGGCGTGAACCCGGGAGGCGGAGCTTGCAGTGAGCCGAGATCCCGCCACTGCACTCCAGCCTGGGCGACAGAGCGAGACTCCGTCTCAAAAAAAAAAAAAAAAAAGTCCTCAATAATATACTGGCAAACCAAATCCAGCAGCACATCAAAAAGCTTATCCACCACGATCAAGTTGGCTTCATACCTGGGATGCAAGGCTGGTTCAACATATGCAAATCAATCAGCGTAATCCATCGCATAAACAGAACCAATGACGAAAACCACATGATTATCTGAATAGATGCAGAAAAGTCCTTCAATATAATTCAACACCCCTTCATGCTAAAAACTCTCAATAAATTAGGTATTGATGGAACGTATCTCAAAATAAAAAGAGCTATTTATGAAAAACCCACAGGCAATATCATACTGAATGGGCAAAAACTGGAAGCATTCCCTTTGAAAACTGGCGCAAGACAAGTATGCCCTCTCTCACCACTCCTATTCAACATAGTATTGGAAGTTCTGGCAGGGGCAATCAGGCAAGAGAAAGAAATAAAGACTATTCAAACAGGAAAAGAGGAAGTCAAATTGTCTCTGTTTGTGGATGACATGATTGTATATTTAGAAAACCCCACCATCTCAGCCCCAAATCTCCTTAAGCTGATAAGCAACTTCAGCAAAGTCTCAGGATAAAAAATCAATGTGCAAAAATCACAAGCATTCCTGTATACTAATAACAGACAAACAGCCAAATCATGAGTGAACTCCCATTCACAATTGCCACTAGGAGAATAAAATAGCTAGGAATCCAACTTACAAGGGATGTGAAGGACCTCTTCAAGGAGAATTACAAACCACTGCTCAAGGAAATAAGAAAGGACAAAAACAAATGGAAAAACATTCCATGCTCATGGATAGGAAGAATCAATATCATGAAAATGGCCATACTGCCCAAAGTAATTTATAGGTTCAGTGCTATCCCCATCAAGCTACCATTGACTTTCTTCACAGAATTAGAAAAAAACTACTTTAAATTTCATATGGAACCAAAAAAGAGCCTGTATAGCCAAGACAATTCTAAGCAAGAAGAACAAAGCTGGAGGCATCACGCTACCTGACTTCAAACTATACTACAAGGCTACAGTAAACAAAACAGCCTGGTACTGGTACCAAAACAGATATATAGACCAATGGAACAGAACAGAGGCCTCAGAAATAACACCACACATCTACAATCATCTGATCTTTGACAAACCTGGCACAAACAAGCAATGGGGAAAGGATTCCCTATTTAATAAATGGTGTTGGGAAAACTGGCTAGCCATATGCAAAAAACTGAAACTGGACTCCTTACACCTTATACAAAAATTAACTCAAGATGGATTAAAGACTTAAATGTAAGACCTAAACCATAAAAACCCTAGAAGAAAACCTAGGACATTCAGGACATAGGCATGGGCAAAGACTTCATGTATAAAACATCAAAAGCCATGGCAACAAAAGCCAAAATTGAGAAATGGGATCTAATTAAACTAAAGAGCTTCTGCACAGCAAAAGAAACTACCATCAGAGTGAATAGGCAACCTTCAGAACAGGAGAAAATTTTTTCAATCTATCCATCTGACAAAGGGCTAATGTCCAGAATCTACAAAGAACTTAAACAAATTTACAAGAAAACAACCCCATCAAAAAGTGGGCAAAGGATATGAACAGACACTTCTCAAAAGAAGACATTTATGCAGCCAACAAACATATGAAAAAATGCTCATCATCACTGGTCATTAGAGAAATGCAAATGAAAACCACAATGAGATACCATCTCACGCCAGTTAGAATGGCGATCATTAAAAAGTCAGGAAACAACAGATGCTGGAGAGGATGTGGAGAAATAGGAATGCTTTTACACTGTTGGTGGGAGTGTAAATTAGTTCAACCATTGTGGAAGACAGTGTGGCTATTCCTCAAGAATCTAGAACTAGAAATACCATTTGACCCAGCAATCCCATTACTGGGTATATACCCAAAGGATTATAAATCATTCTATAAAGACACATGCACACGTATGTTTATTGCAGCACTATCCACAATAGCAAAGACTTGGAACCCACCCAAATGTCCATCAATGATAGACTGGATAAAGAAAATATGGCACATATACACCATGGAATACTATGCAGCCATAAAAAAGATGGGTTCATGTCCTTTGCAGGGACATGGATGAAGCTAGAAACCATCATTCTCAGCAAACTAACACAAGAAGAGAAAACCAAACATCGCATGTTCTCACTCATAAGTAGGAGTTGAACAATGAGAACACATGGACACAGGGAGGAGAACATCACACACTGGGGCCTGTTGGGGGGTGAGGGGCTAGGGGAGGGATAGCATTCGGAGAAATACCTAATGTAGGTGTCAGGTTGATGGGTGCAGCAAACCACCATGGCATGTGTATACCTATGTAACAAACCTGCACATTCTTTACATGTACCCCAGAACTTAAAGTATAATTAAAAAAAGAAAAAAATTAGGATATAGAGGGAAAAATTTTATTAGTTGAAAAATTTGGCTATCTAGGACAGCCGCTTCCCTAGAATGTTTTGAGTGAAATTGAGAAACATATGTGCTTTATGAATTGAGCATAGCACAGCTAAAGTGTTGCTAAGTCACTTCATTTTATGAAACTTGTGAAAATAAGAATGGGGAACTTTTTAAACATTCAGGATCATTGACAAAGGAGCTTCATTTGAAATAGTCAATCTATCCCCTTTTAAAGTTAGGGAGAGATTGGGCTGGGCGCGGTGGCTCACACCTGTAATCCCAGCACTTTGGGAGGCTGAGGCGGGTGGATCACCTGAAGTCAGGAGTTGGAGACCAGCCTGGCCAACATGTAGAAACCCTGTCTTTACTAAAAATATAAAGGTTAGCTGGGTGTGGTGGCACATGTCTGTAATCCCAGCAACTCCGGAGGCTGAGGCAGGAGAATTGCTTGAACCTGAGAGTCAAAGGTTTCAGAAAGCCAAGATCACCCCACTGCTCTCCAGCCTGGCTGAGGGAGGGAGACTCTGTCTTGAAAAAGAAAAAGTTAGGGAGATTGGGAAGCCGAGGTGGGTGGATCACTTGAGGCCAGGAGTTTGAGACCAGCCTGGCCAACATGGCAAAACCCTGTCTGTACAAAAAATACAAAAATTAGCTGGGCATGGTGGTGTGCGCCTATGGTTCCAGCTTTTTGGTAGGCTGAGGCACGAGAATTGCTTGAACCCAGGAGCTGGAGGTTGCAGTGAGCTGAGATCGTACCCCTCCATTCCAGCTTGGGCGGCAGAGCAAGACCCTGTGTCAAAAAAAAGTAAAAATAAAAATAAAGTTAGGGAGAGAGATTGTAACACTTAAGTTAACAGATAGTACAGATTGCACTTCATTTTCATCTCCAGGTCTTTAGGGAGGAAGGGCAGCTGGGAAGGATTGAGGAAGGGAGAAGCGAAGGTGAGTGGCAGGAGATGAGTGGAGATTACAGTAGGCCAGGAGGGGTTGTGGGGAAGGGAGGATGGAGAAAGAAGGGGCAGGTTTCCAGAGGAGCTCAGGGAGAGACAGAGGGTGGGGCTGTGAGTTTTCACACCTGATTGGCTGCAAAGTGTTAGAATCAAAGTTACACCCACCTGGCCAGGATGCTGGTCATCTGGCTGCATATGCGGAGTGAGTGATCTCTGTGCGCCCCTGCTCTCTCTGTAGGGACCCCTGTTATAGTGCCCATCGTGCAGCATATTTCTCCAGATAGGCTGGGACCTCTGGTCTCAAGTACAGGGAAGGTGTCAGCCCCTCTTAGTTCCCTCCTTAGATGGGGGTCCCAATTCCAGGTGAGCCAATGCAGGGGCAGCGTGAGCAGCAGCAGTGTGAGCCTATGGAAGTGGAGGATGCCTGTCCCGCCTGATGGCATTCAGATTCCCAGTGTTTGCAAAACTCTGTGCTGGTTTGTGACTTCTGATTCCAACCTTTATTTTAGCGTAACAATTCTCATGTGGAGGGGCTGCCAGAATGAGCTGAGTGTGCGTGGGGGAGGAGTTCAAACCAGCCTCCATGTTCTGAAATGTCCCCCCTCTGACCCCATTGCTCCACTGCTCCCACCCCTAGTCTGGATTAAGTGTCTCCTCTGGGGTCCCAAAATATCCAGGGCATCTCATTACACCAACCACACTGTATGATAATCTGTGGAACTGTCTGGGTTCATCTCAGCCATCACAGTCGGCCCCTGGAGGCGGGAGTTATATCTTATCTACTCCTCTACACCCAGGGCCTGGCACACAGTAGTTTATTGAATGAAGTGGGGTCCACGTGTGGCCCCCAGCTCATAGTACACATATGAGAGCCTGGTGAAAGGTTGGCTCCAGTGCCCCTCCCTGCCTAGTAGTCATCTGGACAGACCACACAGGGCAGTGGGCTTCAGATGGCCCCTGGTAAGATGCTGGCTATTCTCTAGGAGAGCAAGGTGGGCCTGAAGGGCTCCTCACTTTAGCATTTGAGTGCTATATAGGGAAGGCCCTGGGAGCCTGATTCCCCAGAGCGGAGGAGGGCTGGGGAGTGGAGCAGAGTAAGGGAGGGGACTTAGTGACTGTCAGGGGCAACCAAGGGCCATAGAGCAGGTGGAGCACCAGACAGGTGCTGGGAGGTAAGATGCTGTAACAACAGCCCAGGTGACCTGATCAACTCTTTGTCTTGTGGGCCTGGTTAGCAAGAATGTCCTTGTGCGTCAAGAGGATAAATCTATTTCAGGGATGACAAAACTGCTCCTGGCCCTTTGAGCCCTCAGGCTTGGCCTGGAGCTGGTGTCCTCACAGCCCCACACTCTGCTGGCTCCTTGGCAGGAGTGTGCTTCTGCCAGGTGCAAGTGTGGGTGGGGGAAGGAGGGGGTGTGCCAGCTGTAGCCCAGCAAATGCTGGCGCCCCAGGGGCTAGTGCAAGGTGCAGCAGGTGAGATAGTGGACAGACAGACCTTGGCCCATCAGAAGGAAGTGCTTTCTAACAGGGGCACCAGATCAGTTTTGTTCATACACACACTCATAGACACACTCACTCACTGTATTAGTTTGCACTGCTATAAAGAAATACCTGAGACTGGTAATTTATAAAATAATGAGGTATAATTGGCTCATAGTTCTGCAGGCTGTACAGGAAGCATGGCAGCATCTGCTTCTGAGGAAGCCTCAGGGAACTTTGACTCATGGTGAAGGCAAAGCAGGAGCAGGCGTCTTACATGGTGGGAGCAGGAGCAAGAGGCAGCGAGAGTGGGTAGGGGAAGGTGCTACACACTTTTAAATGCCCAGATCTCCATGAAAACTCTCACTAGAACAGCACCAAGGAGATGGTGCTAGACCATTCATGAAGGATCCACCCCCATGATCCAATCACCTCCCACCAGCCCCTACCTCCAACACCGGGGATTAACATTTGACATGAGATTTGGGCAGAGACATGGATGCAAACCATGTCGCACACCCTCTGACACTTACGCCCACACGCCCACTCACTCAGCTCCAACCCTCTACCTTTACTGGCTGGGCCTCGGTTGTATAGAATGGATGCTAGATATGGGCCTAGGGGAGGTAGAATTTCTAAAACGGCCCCTGCAGATGTCCCTCCTTAATCTCCAGATGCAGTGAATAAGATGAGTTATCACTCCTGTGATGATGTTATGGAATATGGCACAGTTGACCTTAAGATAGGGGGGTTATTGGTAGGCCTGATTTAATCCCATGAGCCCGTAAAAATAGAGAGCTTTCTGAGTGTAGGAGGGGAGGGCAGAGAGATTCAAAGCAACAGCACAATGACCACTCCTGGTTTTGGAGATGAAGGGGGCTATGTGCAGGGATTGGAGTGAGGTCAATAGGAGTTGAGAGTGACCCCTGGTCAAAGCCAGCAAGCAGCCTGGGACTCCAGCCTTGTGGGCACTAGACCTGAATTCTGCCAACAACCGGAATGAACTTGGAAGTGAATTCCTTCCCAGAAACTCCAGACAAGAGTACAGTGTGGCTAACATCTTGATTTTGGCCTCTTGATACCCTGAGCATAGAGCCCAGCCAAGCCCACCCAGACTTCTCACCTATAGAACTGTGAGCTAATAAATAGCTGTTGTTTTAAGCCATCAAGTTTGTGGCAATTTGTTCTGCAGCAATAGAAAACAAATCCAGGGTCATCCTTGGGCTCCATATAGCTTTTCCAATTTCCTGAGATACAAGCTGTGGTTAACTTCCAGTTCTTCCAAGCTCAAGGGGAGTGAGCCCTGAGGAGTTAGCCTATCTGTGGTTAAACCTATCCCTTGTGCCTACAGAGTCTGAGCTCCTGGCCCGCAGATGCTCATATGTGACAATCTGGAGCTCAACTGAAGACCAAGGTTGTCGCCATAATGGATATCCCCAGGAAGGAGAATTCTTTGGGCACCAGTTTGTGGGTACTAGCTTCCTCACTGGGGCAGAAGAACATTCCTAGGACAAGCCTGGTAGGCTGTTGGCTTAGGCAGCCTCCCAGCATTTGGGCTGTAGTGTTTTTTTTTTTGTGTGTGTGTGTGTGGTTTTTTTTTAAACTTTCTTAGCTGTTGCTCACCTTAGATGTCACCTGTTGCTTCTTGTTGGTAGGACCAGACCTCAGGCAGCCTTGGCTGAGGCATTTGGAGGTGAGGTTGCATGGAAATAAAAACAGTGAGCTGGAAGGCATGTGTGAGTGACACAGAAACCAGAATCTCATGCGTCCCAGCTGAGGTCAGAATGTGTTGGGGAGCCCAAAGTAATGGCTCTTCCTCTGGGTGTGGGCATTCAAAAGATGCCAAAGGGAGAACCTCATCCTCAAGGTGAATCCGCCTCTGAGGAGTGACTGACAAGGTGGCATCCCTGGGGCAGGATGCTTGGCTGAGCTCCATTTGATGGAGGACAGACCAGAGAAAGCTGAGGCTGGGGGCTCCCAGGGCTCAGGTTGAGTTTCCCGAAGCAGTCCAGTGCATCACTTAGCAGGACCAGGGGCAAGGGGAAGGTAAATTCCTGAAAAGGAGCCACCTCTGTCTTGCAGGTTAAAATAGCCTTGTCCCAAAGATGTGATAACACAGGGTAGGCAGGTGAGAACCAGAGGGCCATGGCAAGCACTGGGTGTGTAAACACGGGAGGAGAACTGTGGTTCTTGAAAACTCGGCAGTGAGGATACCTGGCCACAGGCCAAGAGGAAGAGAGCTGCTTCTGGGTAAGCCCTGAAACTTATTTGGGGATCAACTGATTTCTTCAGGCCTGTAGGTATCACACTAGTACCTGGAGAGGAGGAGGGCTCTAGTGGGTCACAGTTGTCACTGAGTCCTTGCTGGTGGCTGTGGTTGTGGTAGAATAAATACTCAGGAAGCTACTGGGCCCATGGCACAAGGTAGGGCAGGTGGTCAGTTGGTTTCTGGCATTTGACACTGTGGGATGGCACCGTGGGGAGGCCGGGTTCCACTGGGGGCAGACAGAAACATGAGGTAGGAGAAGAGTGCTGATGGCCTCACCTTAATGCTGGGTAATTTTTCTGCAGAAGAGACTTGCAGTGACATAATCTGATGTCTGTTTCATGAATGAGGAAGGTAGAGTCATCACAAATCAGCCTTGCAAATAAGCATGGGCTTGTGGCATTTTAAACCAACCTTGGGCCCAAGAGCCAGTGTAATCATCTTTTGGTGCCAAGGCAACAGGTCCAGAGGGACCTGAATTTGGTGCCGATCAATCCCTCTCCCCAAACAGAGGTACATATCTGTGCCTGCTCTAGCAGCGGCAGTCAGGATGGTACACGGCGGGCTAGAGGAGGGAGCAGCAGGGCTGGAGGCTGGGTGGAGCAGCCACTGTGCCATGGGCCGTGTGACTTTGTGCCAGCCCTTTCCCATCTCTGGGAAAGTGTCTGTGAGAAGTAGGCTGATCTTGCAGATCTCCTTGGCACCCAGTAGGTCTGCTGCCAGCCATGGGGCCTATGATGCCTGTAAGCTTGGATGGCGGTCGCTAGTCCACGGTCCTGAGCACTGTCTCGACTCCTTTGTAAAACAAGGAGATTGGATTCATTGAGCATCCCTCTCTCTTCTGGCTCCAATGCCCCAAATGTCTAACTGTGTGAAATGCAGTGTGATTGTCTCTCTGTGACCCTATTCCTGGTCCTTTCTGAGACCGTTCATATGTTGGGACTGAGAGTTTGTGTTATC
Organism: Homo sapiens; assembly: GCF_000001405.40. NCBI lineage: Eukaryota > Metazoa > Chordata > Mammalia > Primates > Hominidae > Homo > Homo sapiens. Next base: position 10,478,128 of record NC_000011.10, read on the forward strand.
TGAAGCCAGCATGCTGTCCACACTGTGGGGAAAGCCTGCATGATTTGCTATTGTCCTCCCCTCTAGTGCCCTGTGGTTTTAGAGCCCCTGCCATGTGGTCTGCCATTTGTCTCTCTGTCTCCTAGGGCATTTGCCTGCTTTAATCTTCTGTGGGCTGTGCAAACAGCCCTGAGCAGTGCATGGTGACCACAGGTAGGGGTGTCTGGAGGGCCGTGTTCTATCTCAGGCAGACATGTGTAAGAGGAAGGCATGAATAATTAGAAACTTCTTAATGGTAGGGCCAGCACCAGTGATTAATCATAGCAAAATTCTCCTGCCACGCACACAGCAAAGAGTCTTTATCACTCACCCCAATTAGCTTCTGATGTCTCCCACTTTTCCTTGTCCTTGGCTCTTAGAAAGAAAAGTTTCAAGATGATTCGGTCCCAGTCCCTGTCTCTGCAAATGCCGCCACAGCAAGATTGGAAGGGCCCCCCGGCAGCCAGTCCGGCCATGTCTCCCACAACCCCTGTGGTCACTGGAGCCACTTCCCTGCCCACGCCAGCACCCTATGCCATGCCTGAGTTCCAGCGGGTCACCATCAGCGGAGATTACTGTGCCGGGGTAAGGCGTCTGTGAGAGTGTTGAATGTGCCTTGCATGCAAAGGCCAGGGGCCCCATGGGCCACAGGGTCGTGCCTCCCTCTGGAGCCTGGCCCTGTCCGTGGATGTCTGGGAGAAGGTGAAGAGGAGGCACAGGAGACAAGGAGGGCCCTAGCAGAGGTTGTGGGGTGTGGGTGTGGTGTCTCGGTGGCTGCCTGTTCCCCGTGAGGAGGGTCCCGGGGTGCAGGCTGGCACACTGTGTCTGTGACTCGTAAGTTCCACATGTTCTCTAAGTCCAGAAAGCTGGAATTGGTCCCTGTAGCCTGTTGAGAAAGGTGCCAGCTTGGGCCTTTCAGTGTTGCCAAATGTTTAGTAGATTCAAAGCCATGGTACTGAGTGGTTTGTGTGAAATTAGTTGTTGCTAAATCATCTCTTCTTATATGTAGGTTCAATACCCTTAAATATAGGCTAGATCCCTTCAACCAGGAAGAGAGAATCTTGTTTAGAAATTGAGCAAATTGGTTTACACTAAGTCAATTAACGCAGTCACTGAAAATGTGCTAATTTCACCTGATTGGATGATGCATTTTTTATGCATGTCTGCTTCTTGGAGAGAAATATCACTGAGTTAGTGCCAGGGTTAAGTTTGGCTCCATCTCCCTGGCCCCAACTCACTACTTAACGCCTCAGTTGGCTTCATTAGTCTCTTTTTAACAGTAGCTGTAGAAAATATGGTGAATCTGAGAAAGCAATGCAGCTTATTGCTCTTCCTATAAAATTTCCCCTAGCTTTCAAAAATTTTTTTGGTTATGTGTAATGGAGAACACTTGCAGATGGTACAAAATTTAAAAGATACAAAAATGGTATCAATTATTCAGCCACCCATTCTCCTCCTCAGAGGCAACCACTGGTTTTAGTTTCTTATGTATTCTCACATATATGGTCTATGTACCTACAATTATTTATGCATACATAGTTTATTTACTTATTTTTACAAAAATGGTAGTTTACAATATACATTATACTGCATCTTGCATTTTCCACTTAACAATACATCTTAAAGATAATGCCATATCAATATATAAAGAACTTCTTTGTCCTTTTAAAAAATATGTACATAGTATTCCTTTATGAGGATATATCATAGCTTATTTTAATTAAGTTCCCATGGATGGGAGTTTAGGTTGGGTTGGAAACAATGCAGGCCTTGTCTGGAGATCAGCATCCTGACCATGAGTCTTTGGTGTTCACCCAACCTGAGGCAGGTGGGCAGGGCATTGGAAAGCAAGAGTCGAGGTGGGTCGGCCACCAGCTGAATGGGAGGATGTCAGCCTGTAGCATATAATAGCTTCTTTCTCCCAGTCTCCTGGCTGGCACAGAGTAGTGCATGGAGCACCTGAACTGGGCAACTGGTCCTCAGAAAGCTAAGTGTCTGTGAGAGGCAGGCTGATCTTGCAGATCTCCTTGGCACGCAGTAGGTCTGCTGTCAGCCATGGGGCCTGTGATGCCTGTAAGCTTGGCCGGTGGCCACGGGTCCACAGGGGTCCTGAGCATCCTCTCTGATGTCCTTAGCCATGGCATGAGCCCCTTGTCATGCTGAGTCCATTGGTTCCCCAGAGAAAGAATTTGGCTTCGTTGTTGGCAGGGACATATTTTTGTCTAGGATGTCGGTGTCTGCTCACCTATTCCTGCCGCTCTCAGAAGCCATCCACTGGAAGATGTAAAAGGAATTAACATACCTTATGGGGACATTTGGAGGCAGGAAAGGAGAATCTACCATCGTAACAAAAAGTCTTGCTTTTTGTATTTAGTATTTACTAAATACTACTTCTTAGTAGTATTTAGTAAAAGTATAAAAACATGCATAGGAAAAATATATTCAGACTTCTTCCCTCTGAGGATGGGGTAGGGAGGAGAGTAGAGTTTTAGCTGTATCTGTGATGATTTATTTCTTTAAACCTGTGAGAAATTTGAAAGAATTATGCTAAATATTATTGTCAGCTCTAGAAGGTAGGTTATATTATCTTTGGTGCCTGTCTGTATGTTTAAAATATTACAAAATTAAAAATGATGATTTTATTAAAGCAGAGGAGATCACTTTCAGGCCCCAGCCCTCCCCACTCTGGGCTATGCCAGCATATGGTGCCTCCCTCTGCTGTTCCCCTTACCCTGCATTGTGTCTGTCTGGCCACTTGTCTCCCCAAGCATATTTCTGCGATTCCCATCCTTCCCAAACAGACTAAGATTAATGAGCCTGTTGGAAGGCGGGAATTTATCTCATTCATCTTTGAATATGAGGCTGCTCTGGTAAAGCAGAACATCCTTAGACTTTGGGACTCAATCAGGTTAGAGTCTGAAATTTGACTCTGTAGCTTCCTGGCAAGTGATTTATCCTCTCTGGGCCTCAGTTTTCCCATTTGCAAAATGGGTTGCTGTAAGGAGCAAAATGAAATCTATGGAAAGGTCTGGCACATAACACATGACAATGGGGCTTGTTGCCTGGATGAGTTGGGTGATTAACAGAGTTAATCAGAAGTGTGGGGTTGGCAAAGAAGCAGGCTGAGCATGCAGAATTTGCTTTTGCTTCTTGTTTTGTTTCGCCATCTGAAGGACACATGAATTTTCTCAACTGAAAATGACGGTGCTCATCGCCTTCAGGGATAGGACTCAGGCTTTGTCCCTCCATGGGCCTGGTACAAAAACAGACTTTTGGCTTAATTAGCTGCATGTGAGGCCGGCTTCTGGGTGTGCAGGCTGGAGCACTTGTCTGTCTTCCAACGACCCTAACTCCTCCTGTGTCTCCTGTGTTGGGGGTCTCCAAGACCACTCCAGGTTGGATGATTCACCAGGAGGACTCACAGGACTCAGCATATAGCTGTACTTACAGCTTTGATTTATTACAGTGAAAGGATACAGAGCAAATCAGCAAAGGGAGCGATACATGGAGGATACGAGGTGCAAGCTTCCAAGGTCCTCTCCCAGCAGAGTCATCAGAACATACCAAATACCTCCAGCATCACATTGTGACAGCACATGTGGGAAGTGTTGTTTACCAGGGAAGCTCATTAGAGATTCGGTGCCCAGGGTTTTCACTGGGGCTGGTCACATGTCTGCATAGCACATCTCAAATTCCAGGCTCCAGAAGGAAAGCAGGTGTCCAACATAAACCATATTGTTTGTACAAGTAGTTTAGGTGCAATGAACCACTCTTATTGGTCAAGGAGTGGTGAGAACCCTCCTGAAATCTAGGTTCCCAGATACCAGGCAAGGGCCAATCTTGCAAGCACATCTTTCCAAGGATGGCAGTCTCAGGCCTGCTGCATGAACCCTTTCCTGCCTGCCTCCCTTCTGCAGATCACTTTGGAGGACTATGAGCAGGCAGCCAAGAGTCTGGCCAAGGCCCTAATGATCCGGGAGAAGTATGCGCGGCTCGCCTACCACCGCTTCCCGCGGATCACATCCCAGTACCTGGGTCATCCGCGGGCGGATACTGCACCTCCGGAAGAGGGCCTTCCAGGTATGGAGCTCTGGCTGGAGGTTGGGTCCCAAGTGTGGGCAGACCGAGAGCTAGTCAGGGCTTTTTTCTGGCTCGGTCTATTTCCCCTGATAGTATTTTAAAATGACAATGTTCTTTCATTGGCTTCTCCCACACTGATGTTTGATGGTTCCCCCAAGGATTGATTCTATGTGTACTGTATGCCTAGCCTGTGCAGAGCTGAACTGTTGAAGTCAAGACAGAGATGTGAAAGACAGTCCTTGTTCTTGGGAGTCCACCAGGGAGACAGGGAGTCTCATGTGGGAATTTTTTTTTTCTTTTTTTTTGAGATGGGTCTTGCTCTGTTGCTCAGGCTGGCATGCAGTGGTGCAATCATGGCTCACTGCAGCCTCAATCTCCTGGGCTCAAGCAATCCTACCACCTCAGCCTCTCAAGTAGCTGGGATCAAAGGCACACACCGCCACACCCAGCTAATTAAAAAAATATATATTATTATGTTTTGTAGAGATGGGGGTCTTACCATGTTGCCCAGGCTGGTCTTAAACTCCTGGGCTCAAGTGATCCTCCTGCCTTGGCCTCCCAAAGTGCTGGGATTATAGATGTGAGTCACTGCGCCTGGCCTCATGTGGCATATTTAAAAGAACACAATCACACAGTAAATGCCAAATTGGTGGTAGGGTGGATCGGGGTGGGAGTAGGAACAGAGGGCATGTTCCCTGGGAAGACATGTAGGCTCTGGTGTCAAACACACCTGCATTTGTATCTGGGCTCTGTCAATTTCTTGGGATTTTGGGAAAGATATTTCTCTAAGCCTCACTTTGTAAAATGTAATCTGTAAATGGAAATGCAAATAATACCTATCTCCCAGGGCTGTCGTGAGGATTAAACAGGAGAATGCATGTGAAGTACTTAGTTCAGTTCTGGCATCTAGTGAGTGTTCAATAAATGGTAGCTACATTTATGCTGCCGAGTTCAGGGAAGGGGAGGTCGGAGAGGGCTAGGTGGTTTCCTCATGAAGCCTTGCCATGAAGAACCTAGGAGCAGTAGAGGCAGTGATGAGGACAGTAGGAAACCCCACTCCTGAAAGTTGGTGGTGGGGGACACATAAGGGCCTGGTGGTCTCCATCAATGCCTGGGACCCTGGCTGCCTCTGGGGGTAGCTGGTGGTGCCAAGTTGCCCCAGTCTCTGGCTTCCTTGAATTTCAAGTCCTGTACTTTGAGCATCTGGGGCCCTAGGTAAATCTCAGCCCTTTGGGCCTATTTCCCTATCTGAGGGAAGTGGGTCCTACCACCCCAGTTTTGGCAAAGACAGACAGAAATGACTGTCAAATGTGTACTTTACATGGACAGAGGACCCCTGGGTTCTGGGCATGAGTATGGGGAAGAGGAGCAACTTCCGAACATGCAGGCTGTAGCTTCACCCGGGCCTTGAACTGCCTGCATCTCACAGACCACTGCATTGCATTAGGGCCTCCTGAGCTGGCCTGTGGCCGTGCCTGATGGGGCATTCCCCTCTCCAGCTCTGCCTGCATCAGCCCCTCTGTGGCTCCTCACATGTGCTCTAGGGATGGTCTGTTCCTTCCAAGCACAGATGGAGGATGCCCAGGCAGGTCACTCTGCCTTGGCAGCTTCCTTTGATGCAGATCTTGAGGTTTGCTCCTGCCTATGCTGGCAGCTGGACAGCTGATCCTGGATGGTGCTGGCTGAGCTGCATGGAGTTGAAGCCTCCAGCTCTACTGATATTTAGCATCAATACACTCCTTGGCCAGGGACAGAGTTTATCAAGAGTCAGGAAAACTAATTATGAGAATAATAAGAATAATATCCTATAATTCATTATTTGTAGTGCATTACTGTTTATGAAGAATTTTCCTATACACACTATTGCAACCCTCACAGCAGCGTGTTAAGGCAGGGGGTGTTATCTTCAGAGGAGATAGGCTCAGAGAGGTAAAGGAGTTTGCTGAAAGTCTCACAGCAGGGAAATTGCATAGAGGAGTTTTCTACCTCCTGTTGGCTAATTCTAACCTTAACCTATAGTGGTTGGGGGCAGATGGCTTTATCATTGGCATTCTCTGCTCTGGGGGAGACAAGTTCCCTATCCTTTGCTCCTTTGGGGAGGGAGTGGCTTCTTTATCTAGCCCCTCACCTGGCCTGGGCTCGGGACAGTTATTCCCACTGGGCAGTCCAGGTGCAATCTGTTTTTTTCCTGGGAGAAGACACCGCTGCTCTTTTTAATATTCCTGGAATCTCTGAAGTGCCGAGGAAAATGAAGCCCATTTCAGTTAAATTTTAAAAAATTGTTGAAGTGCTAGCCATGTGCCAGGGACTGTTCTAGACACTCAGCAGTGAACAGCACAAATTAAAGTCTCTGCCTGCATGGAGTTTCTATTGGAGTGGAGAAGACATCATATCTGAGATAAAGAAGTGACATGGTTTGACATGGTGGTAAGTGCTGACGAGACAAAAGGAAGCAGGGAAGAGCATATGAGATGCGGGGCCGGCGCAGGGTTGGATTTTGGGCAGGAAGGCCAGCGCAGGCCTCCGTGTCTTTTGAGCCCATGTGTGCTCACAAGGTCAGGGGCACTTTGCCATCCCTCAATCCTGTTTTGCAGACTTCCACCCTCCTCCACTGCCCCAGGAAGACCCCTACTGCCTGGATGATGCACCCCCCAACCTGGATTACTTGGTCCACATGCAGGGGGGCATCCTCTTTGTGTATGATAACAAGAAGATGCTGGAGCACCAGGAGCCGCACAGCCTACCCTACCCCGACCTGGAGACCTACACGGTGGACATGAGCCACATCCTGGCTCTCATCACCGATGGCCCCACGTAAGCTAGCTTCTCCGCGGCTGCCTGTCTTTGCACAGGTGCTGTTCTGTAGGAAGGAGATGAGAAAGGCCTCACCCCTCTGCCCTGGGGTCCCCTGTACTTAAAGCATCCCAGAAAGAGCGCGGTTTCTCCTTTCCTCAGTGCTTTGCGGGTTTCTGCAACAGTTTTCCTTCATAAGCTGGCATAGCCTTTGACTTGGTACTCCCTGTCCCCTCTTTTGTTTTTGAGGCACCATCTTGCTCTGTTGCCCAGGCTGGGGTGCAGTGGTGCGATCTTGGTTCACTGCAACCTCTGCCTCCTGGGTTGAAGTGATTCTCTTGCCTCAGCGTCCTGAGTAGCTGGGACTACAGGCACGTGCCACCATGGCTAATTTTTTATATTTTTAGTAGAGACAGGGGTTTTGCCATGTTGCCTAGGCTGGTCTCAAACTCCAGAGCTCAGGTAGTGCACCCAACTCAGCCTCCCAAAGTGCTGAGATTACAAGTGTAAGCCACTGTGACCGGCCTCCCTGTCCCTTCTGCGTGCATAGTGTGGAGCCTCTGCTTGCTGGTAGCTACCTGGGTGCCTCTGAATGGCTGTCATCCCTCTCCCCAGGCAGGACAGCAGCCTTGCAGAGAGTTACCAGCCCAGAGCATAACTATTTGGTGAGGAGTGATGAAGACATTGCTTCAGGCCTTGAGTTTTCTGGGTTTCTGGAGGGGAGCATGCAGGGAGCCTGGGGAACTTTGCTCATGGGCATGGTGCACCATGATGCTCGTGGGCTTGGCTCCAGCTAACCTGGTGGGCAGCCATCTTTCTGAATTTGGCCCCTCACTTCTTGGTGGGCACTTAGGCTGATCAGTAATACCTGGACTCTGTGAGCCTCAGAGTGGCTGTGCTGGGAGTGGGAGTCTGGGTGAGAGGAGGTGCTAGTCACTCCTGAGGACCTTCTCTCTTGTTTTCTGGGAATCTTGTGATGCCAGTCTCGAAAGTAGCATAGTGAGCCCAATGTGGATGGGCAGCATGATTCTTAGTCCTCCCTGATCTGAGGGCAGAACTAAGGCATGGGAAGGGCAGGGGCGGTTCCTCAGAGGCTGTCCTCAGCCAGGTGTGCAAGTAGTGGCTGTCCCATCTGGGAGGCTGTGAGGATCCTGCCTAGGGAGAGAGACTGAGTGAGATGGCCTTTAAACTCCCTTCCGACTCTGAGGCTGTCCTGTGCTCCGTCCACTCTGGGGCTTGTCTGGGCAGATGGATGACTGTGCTGTTGCAGTGCCGGCAGATGCTCTTATGGAAGTCTACGTGATTAGATGCCAAGGAAGCTGCTGTTTGTTTTGGGGGCCTGAGGAAGCAGGGTAGCGTGAATTGTGGTCGAAGGTTCCATGCGGCTGTGGATGCAGGTGTGTGGCTAGGCACCTAGGCTGTGTGTGGGCTGGCAGTTGGCCACAGCAGTGAGCACCCCCATCCCCAAAGGCCTTTGCTGGCTGATAAATCATGGGCCCCTTCTCTGAGTTGGTGGGAATCTGGGGGCATCAGTCCTTACAGAGATTTCTGTCTCGGTAACAAATATCCCTACAGTCCCAATCCACCCATGATGCAAAATATCCTCCTCTTGTCGTGAAGCCTCAGAGTTGAGAGATCCTTGGGCCGTGGCCATTAGGTCAGGGGGCTGGTTCCTCTGCAACCCAAGGTGGGCAGGTCATGCCTTATAGTTTGACTGTGTTATCAATCCTCTGGGCAACAAACTCCTTCTTCAAGGAATGACAAGTGGCTGAGGATAGAAAAGAGGAAGGAAAGGAGGAGATGAAGGAGGGAGACTTCCACTGAGCATCCACTCTGCTTGGACTCAGGCCCTTTCCCAGGCATAAACCAGTTTAACCCTTACTTCAGCCTTGGGTGTTACCACCTGATATTTACTCATGGGAAATGGAGGCTTGCGGTTAATTCCCTAAACACATAAACAAGAAGTCAAAACACCTGTATGAGGTCCCAGAGCTGGCCTGCTACTGCCCCATCTCCTGACTCTCCACTGACTTTATAGAGTCTGTGGATATGACTCAACAGTTCAGCAGGGTCTGTAGAAAGCCAGAACCTCCTCATTCCGCCCTGCTCCGTCCTGACCCTTCCAGCCAGGGTTGGCCCCTGCAGATGCTGGAGGCCTCCAAACTGGAGAGCTCGATGCGACTCAACTATGGTCTCTCCCCATCTCCAACTTGCAGGAAAACCTATTGTCACCGGCGACTGAACTTTCTGGAATCCAAGTTCAGCCTTCATGAGATGTTAAACGAAATGTCCGAGTTCAAAGAGTTGAAGAGTAACCCCCACCGGGACTTCTATAACGTGAGAAAGGTGCGTTAGGGGCGAGTGTTCACAGCTGCCTCACCCGGTCCCCCTCCCAGCCCATGGGATGCCCTGAGCCAGTCTGAGGCTTGTCCCCTGTGAGAACTTCAGGGCTCCTTGCTAAGGGCGGCCTTCGTGGCCAGAGGGGTATGAAGCATATGTGCAGAAGGAAGATGGGTGAGCTGCATTTGTGTCAGGCTGGGCCTCAGACAGCACTTGAATCACTCTAGGTGGAAACATTTGTCCGCATTGTATATCTGTTGGGATGTGCCCTCTTCCTTGGAAAATAGGGCACAGCCTATTAATTGGTCATAAAAGTTGAGCACAGCCTACTTTTAAGGTAGGGGATGTATTAGAGTCATCAAAGAAAGACACAGCTGTTAAGATCTCTTTGGTCCCCTCCTTGTGTCCATGTGTTCTCATTGTTCAGCTCCCTTATAAGTGAGAACATGCGGTGTTTGGTTTTCTCTTCCTGTGTTAGTTTGCTGAGGATGATGGCTTCCAGCTGGGCTTAATACCTAGGTGACGGGTTGATAGGTGCAGCAAACCACCATGGCACACGTTTACCTATGTAACAAACCTGCACATCCTGCACATGTATCCTGGAACTTAAAGCAAAATAAATAAGTGAATAAAATAAAATTTAAATTCCCTGAAAAAAAAAAAAGATCTCTCTGGAGATGGGAGTTTGTGGTTTTGCATCCTTCGGGATCATGTGGATTTAAAGAAAAGCCTCTGATATGCTCAGATCTCTGCCTCTCTTCTCCCACCAAGGGGATGGCAGCCTTGTCCGGGGCTCCTGGCAGTCTCCGCCTGCAGGGGCCGCAACTGCGGTAGGAGCGAAGGTTAAATGATCATGGCCCTAGCCTTTCCATTCTCTTTTGCTGAAGCGCTGTGCAGTGAGGCACAGGGTCAGTGCTAGGCAGGGGGTGTTTGATGGTGAGCAAGAGTCACTTCCTGTCAACCAGGTGGCTTTGAGGGAGAGGCCAGAACTGAGCTGACTTAGAGTGAGTAGGAGCTTGCCAGGCAGAGGGTGTGGTAGGGGAATGGAAGTGGTGGCATTCCAGGTAGAGGCACGTGATGTGCAAATGTCAGGAGGGAGGGATGGTATGAGAGAGTCGAGAGAGTCAGAACAGTGTGTTGACATAACTGCAAGCAGTGTGGTGTGGTTGGAGCTCAGGCATTGGGAGCGGGGAGCAGCGGGTTGTGGGGAGAGTAAGGCTGCAGAGATGTGGGGAGGTCCTGGATCATGCAGGGGCTGTGGGTTTCCCACAGAAGGCAGGGAGGTGGGCCGGGGTGTGGTGGCGAGCTGGGAGAGAAGCTCCTGGGGGAAGAGTCGGGATCAGGCTTTGCTTGGAGGAGGGATGGCTAAAGCTGGGTGGAGTCACAGTGGGGTTGCCATCTCCACAGGAGCTCTGTCCCAGCTGGGAACCTCTTGGGGACTTCTTCTTTTTGGGGTCAGCTTTGATAAGGGAGGGTAGGCCAGGGGAGGATGTGGCTCCTCTGGGAAAGCCCAGCTCCAGCCTCCCTGACCCCCTGGCTGGGAGCATATCAGCAATGCAGATGGAAGACCCTACCTGGAGGCCCTAAGACCACTTCTGTTACACGCCAGGGGTCCAACACAGACTCCCACTTGGATGGGATCAAGAGCTTTAAGAAGTGAGAGTTTGGCTTCAGCTCATGTGCCCTGAGAGGCTTACAGAAGTGTTTTGGGGATTTCCAGGCAGAAGTGAAAGGTGTTTTAGACACCACTTACGTGGGCACCCTGGCATTTTCACCTTCAAGCACCATTTGTTCCTTCTCTGTGAGGCTTAGGCGTTCAGACAGGTGGATGCCTCCATCACTGTGTGAACTCCTCTCAGCCCTGCCCAAAGAACTTCACACGCCTAGCACATGCCCAGGCCCGTGTTCAAAGAAACGCCTTGCCCAGCCCGATGCAGCCCTGCCCTGAGCATACGTGAATGCTCTGGGCTTACCTGCTTCCTGCTGCCTGGGGCCAAGGTGTCCTCACTGGCTGTGCTGGCACTGACACTGTTTTCTTCTAAGGTGGGGCCCCAGTGGGTGTTCCTGGGTCTACCAGCTGCCCTCTGGCCACAACATGAGAAACAGTCCTGGCGTGGGGCTAGGGTAACAAATCAGAGCCTATCCCCAGGGTTCTCCTGCAGTCTTGGGGTTAATGTTTTCTCTGGACAGAGATGACCTTGATATCTATGACCCAGTGGCCTGTTCTTAGGCACCACAGTCAGTCCATAAACATGGGCGCAGGTCTGCTATGAGTCAGGTCTGTGCCCGCCCCTGGGTGCTGCCTACTTGATAGCACTCTGTCTCTCTTTTTTTTTTTTGAGATGAAGTTTTGCTCTTGTTGCCCAGGCTGGAGTGCAGTGGTACAATCTCAGCTCACTGCAACCTCAGCCTCCTGGGTTCAAGTGATTCTCCTGCCTCAGCCTCCCGAGTAGCTGGGATTATAGGTGCCTGGCACCACTCCTGGCTAATTTTTGTATTTTTAGTAGAGATGGGGTTTTGCCATATTGCCCAGGCTGGCCCCGAACTCTCAGCCTCAGGTGATCTGCCTGCCTTGGCCTCCCAAAGTGCTGAGATTACAGGCGTGGGTCACCACACCTGGCCTTGATAGCACTCTCATAGCCTCTACTATGGGGAGGAGAGCTGCTTTCTAAAATCCAGAATGGGCTGGATGATGGCCTCCGTATGTCTAAAGTGGCTATTGGTGTCCCTGGGGCAGACAAGGGCTGTGGTCTGAGGCAGGAGCTGCGACGTGGCCGTGGATCTGTGTGGGTGGTATCTGTGAAGGCACCTGTCACACTACAGCAGGTGAAGGGCTGAGACACCCCGAGGCCCAGCCAGCAGGACTGTGTGACTGAGACACTTGTTTTCTATGCAGAAGCAAGACAGAAGAGCTGAGTGTGTTTGCTGCTTGGGAATTGGGTAGAAGTAGGTGACATCCACTGTGGTTTAAGTGTCATATTAAGAATAGCAAATAGGTTTTACCTTCTGTGCCAAACCTGACCAATTAGGGGCCACCCCTAAAGCTTAGTGAAAAGAGTGCTGTGTTCGATTATTGATGCCTGCCATGGGTATGGAAATGGTCAATGTTGGCTTAGGTCCCAGGTCTGGAAACTCTGCTCTTTCTTTACATCTGAGGTCTTAGGTGAACACGGGGAATGCACTTGGATCCTCTGGTGAACTGAAAACACTGACCTCCAATGACCTTCAATTATTTTGTTCCTAAAATAATCACCCTTGAGTTCTGAAGTTTGGATGGGGTGCTTCCTGGATTGTCCAGTTGTTTTCCTCATTTATCTTGTGACTCATGGGGGTAAGGACAGGCTGACCCCCCTGTGGTGTGTCATTGGTAAGCCAGAGGACAGGACCAGAAAGCCCAGAATCCGCTGAGTCATGCTGAGGTCATTGTACCAAGCTGTGTCCAGCTGAGCTGAGCCAGGCTGACCTTCTTTTGTGCATCCCACGTGAGCCCAGCCTCATCTCTGAGGAGCCTGGGCTTTGGGGATGTTTTAGTTTTCTGCTTTGCTTTGTTTCCCCAGTGTCCAGTGGTCTGTCTTTCTGGTAAGAATGGCAAGATTAATGGCAGGAAGGATGCTGATGAGTGAGTGCTGTGGCTAACGACATGGGCTGGCTGGCATAATGCTCACAGAGGTCCAGTGGATCAAATATCTGGTTTGGCATTACTTGGAGATGCTCAGCCAGCCGTGGACAGCATTCCCTGCCCTGAGGTCAGCCGCCTCCTCACCCCAGCCCGGGCTGAGCGCCCAGTCGGCCGCAGCAGTAGCTCCAGAGTGTGGTCTAATGGCTGTCAGCAGCCTGGCCTTGAGGCTGCTGTCGTCCTCCCCCGGAGCTCCCATAGGTCCCTTGTGCTCAGGGAGGGGGAGTCAGTTTACCCATAGTGACTTGAGGCCATCCCTCAGCTTAGCTGGGGCTTCATTTCCTTAGGGCTTGTGGTTGTCCTATGAGTGAAGCACAGTGAAAAGGCAGACTGGGGATGAGGGGTTGGGGAGATGGGTAGGATCCAGGCAATATTAGCAGAGCCCTCATCCTAAGATTAATGAAGAGGGTTCAGTAACAGAATCAAATTACATTTAAAGAATCCCTTCTAGCTTCTGTGTATGGAGAATGAATTGAACCAGAGCACAAGAAAAAGGAACAAGACCAGTTAGGAGGTCACTGTGAATTCAGGCCTGAGAACATGCAGGCTTGAACTCCCGTGGTGGCAGTGAGGTTGGAGAATATTGTATGGATTTGACATCCATTTGGAAGGTAGAACTGATGAGACTCACTGAGGGAAGGGAGTAGTAGGAAGGCCAAGGATGACTCCCAGTTTTTCAGCATGACCAGCTGGATTCAGGACACACCATTTCCTGGGATTCCAGAATCTGGGAGAAAATCAGGTTTGGGCTGGGGTCAGAGATGGAGAGTCCACTTTTGGATATATTAAATTTGAACTGCCTTTGGGTTATCCAGATAGAGATATCAAGAAGGCAATAGTATGTACAGTTCTGGAGCTTTTGGCTGGTGGCATAAATTTGGGAATTGGTATAAGGAAAATAATTAAATGCACAGAAATGGAACAGATCACCTTTGGAGAGAATTTATAGTGAGAGGACAAGAGGGCCCAGGACCAGGCATCAAGAAATTCCATTATTAAGAGGTCTGGTAGTGAGGATGAGCTGACTAAGGAGGCTGAAAAGGAGAGGACAGAGATGCAAGGGGTCGGTCTGGTATCACAGGACTTAGCATGATATAGAGGGCATGAGAAATCCCATGAGGTGTTTTGAGACCTTGCTGGGCTCCTTCTGCAAAGGTGCCTTCTGCAAAAAACTGCCTTTCCCTGGAATGTGGGGAGAAGTCTAAGCTGACTGTTCATTTCTGCTTCTTAGGATTTGCTCTAAGATCTTTGGCCTTGGGCCCCACAGCTTGAGTCCATATGTTGGCTTAGGGTCAGTAGAGCGGCTTCCAGTAGAGTGGCTTCTTCTTGGGACTTGGATGCCCTGGAGTTTGGGTGAGGTGTAACTAGTCAAGGAAGGGTGTGTTTGGAGGCTTGGCCTTTAGTGTCTGTTCTTTTCATTCATTCCCACTTGGAGGTTTGCTTTGGGAATGCTCTGAGGGTTCTGAGAGGGATCAATGGGAAGAGTGGGATTTGATGGGCCCTCAGGGTTATCACTAAAACTGTGAGAACCTGTCGTACCTGTTAATTTGTTCATTCATTCATCCATTGGTTCGACTTTGTACTAGGCTCTGGGGTAGGTGCTGAAGACTTAGAGGCATCAAACATGGCCCTTGTCCTTGAGGAGCTCCCAGTCTAGTGAAAGCGTAGACACACAAACGTTAGAGTGATCGGGACGGTCTGCACAACAATGGGATGCCTGTGCCAGGTTTTGAGGTTGGGCAAGGGAAAGAGCATTCAGTTGTGCTTGGAGGAACAAGGTTGGCTCCCAAATGGAGGAGGTTGTGGGAAATTTCTAGGTGGATGAGATGGTGGAGAGAAAGGAGGGCATTCCAGACTGAAGAAACACGTGGGCAAAGGGATGCAGTGTACTGTACCTTGGTGTGTGGTGTACCCGTAAGTGGTTTGTCACGGCTGCAGCACAGAATGGGGCAGTGGCAAGGCGAGAGTTAAGGCTTGAAATAAGCCTTGAATCTCAGGCCAAGGTGCTTGGGCTTTATCTTGAGACTGATGGGCCCATAGGTCATTTGTTAACTGGGGAATGGCCTGATCCAATCTGCATTTTAAAAAGATTTCCTGGTGCTGTAAGGAGGTGGAATGCGCAGCAAGGCTGAAAGGGAGGGATACCAGTTCCGAAGTCTGGAGGAGAAATGGGGGGTGGGATCCAGACACTGGTGGGGCTGCCCGGATGGCCCATGAGGTGCTGGGGTTCTGTGCACATTGAGGGTTGGATGTCTTAACTCTTGTTGCTAGGGGAGGTGGCCTGACTCAGGGCCTGGTGGGCGCTGTGTTCCAGGTGGACACACACATCCATGCGGCCGCCTGCATGAACCAAAAGCATCTGCTGCGCTTCATCAAGCACACATACCAGACGGAGCCTGACAGGACTGTGGCAGAGAAGCGGGGCCGGAAGATCACCCTGCGGCAGGTGTTTGACGGCCTGCACATGGACCCCTACGACCTCACTGTGGACTCACTGGATGTCCACGCGGTGAGTGAGCTTCTGCTCCAGTGCCGCCAGCAGACAGCAGCCCTGGCTGGGGACTCAGCCCCCTGGAAAGCCACCATGATTGTGCTTGCCGGGAGGTGCTACGGAAGCAGCTTTCTCTTCTATCTGACTGAGAGGTCATGCGGCCTCAGAGAATAACAGGTCTGGGGCAGCCATGGGACAGGGAAAGAGGGTGTGTGGCTTGGGGCCTGACAGGTCTAAGCACTAATCCCACTCCTGCCACTTAGGAGTTTTGTGCCCTTAGGCAACTCACAGAAGCCTTTATTTCCTTGCCTATAAAATGGTGACAGCCATGTGCCTTATTAACTTAAAAAAATATTAAAACACTAAATGATGGTGTAACTGCTATGGAAAACAGTATGGTAGTTCCTAAAAAAGTTAAGTATAGAATTACCTATGCCTCAGCAATTCATTTCTAGGTATATACCCAAAAGAACTGAAAGCAGGAACTTGAACAGATACTCACATACCAATGTTCATAGCAGTATTATTCATAGCAGCCAACAGATAGAAACAGCCGGTGTTCATCAACAGATGAATGGGTAAACAAAATGTGGTATATCCATACAACGGAATATCATTCAGCCATAAAAGGGAGTCAAGTACTGTACATGCAACAACCATGAATGGATTTTTCAAAAGATTATACTAAATCGAAGCCAGACACAAAAGGACAAATATCATATGATTCCACTGATATAAGGTCCCTAGAATAGGCAAATTCATAGAAACAGAAAGGAGAGTAGAAGCTACCAGGGGCTGGGGAGAGGAAGGTATGGGAAGTTAGTGTTTAGTGGGTATAGAGTTTGTTTGGGATGATAAAAAAGTTCTGGAAATGGTTAGTGGTGATGGTTGCACAACAATGTCAATGTACTTAAAGCCACTGGAACTGTATGGTTAAAAATGGTTGAAATGGTAAACGTTGTGTTGTACATGCTTTATTAGAACAAAAAAAACTTTTGTTAAACAAAACATTGAATGATATAATGTGGAGAAAGTGCTTTACAAAATGTGAGTAGTGATAGGGAATGTTCTATTATTCAGTGGTGCAGCCTCTCTGCTCACTAAGTCAGCCATGTCCTGAGCCGAGCTGTGGTAACTTGCAGGTGGGGCCTCTGCTGTTCCTTCACAGGGGGCCTTGCCAAAGGATCCCAAGCTGACCGAGTGAGGATCCATGGTCCTGGTGCTCAGGAGTTTCTAAGGTTTCATGCAAGAATTGACATAGAAGATGTCTTTCGGTGTGGCCATACAGAAGGCCGCCTCGTAAAGGTCTAGAGAGGGGAACGTGCATGGTGGCTGCAGAACGATGCGTTGATTGGTGTGGTCTCCCCCCTCAGGGCCGGCAGACATTCCACCGCTTTGACAAGTTCAACTCCAAATACAACCCTGTGGGGGCCAGTGAGCTGCGTGACCTGTATTTGAAAACTGAAAACTATCTGGGAGGAGAGTACTTTGCTCGGATGGTCAAGGTGAGTGAACCCTCAGTCTCTCTGAGGCCTCTCAGGTGCCTCCCAACATCTGCCTTCAGAGAGTGGGGGCCCTGTGTGCCCCTGGCCCCTTCCCCTCCCTCTGTGTACCATCAGCTCAGGGAAGGGTGAGGTGCCCAGGTGCCCAGTGCTGTGGTCTGGCTGCCTGCTCCAGGCAGTGCTGCATGTGCCAACTGCAGGAAAGAGGAGGGAAGGGTATCCACCTTGGCCAAGCTCACAGCACCTGGCCTGGCTTTCGTGTCTCTGCAGCCTGAACCTAGCTGGGTGCAGATGAGCTCCGTGTGGAGATGCTTCTGCTGTGGCCTGGTTCTGCAGACCCAAGGCCTTCCTCACCAGAGGGGGCCTCTCCTAAAGTGGAACAAGAGCTTACAGGAGCAGGCAGCCCTGGGGATTTAGATGAGTGCTTCCAGCCTGGGAGCAAGGTGGCTGGGGGAGCAACAGGACCCTGCTGGTGACGGAGAGTGAGAGTCTCCCATGTAGCTGGGATGCACTGGGGCTGACCCAAGCTCTTCTTGTGCCAGGAGGTTGCCCGGGAGCTGGAGGAGAGCAAGTACCAGTACTCAGAGCCACGGCTCTCCATCTACGGCCGCAGTCCTGAGGAGTGGCCCAACCTGGCCTACTGGTTCATCCAGCACAAGGTCTACTCTCCCAACATGCGCTGGATCATCCAGGTGCCCCGGATTTAGTAAGTGAGGTGGCCCGCTGTCTACCCTGTGCCCTACAGAGGTGACAATCTGTCCCTCATGGGCTGCTGAGTCTGCACTCCTGAGGGGTAGGGCCTGTTCTGGTGCCAGCTTACGCTTGTCCTTTCCAGGGATTTTTCCATAGAAGGAGTGATGAAAAAGATGTCTGCATGACACTAGAGCTCTTTTTTTTTTTTTTTTTTGAGACAGAGTCTCACTCTGTCACCCAGGCTCTGAGTGCAGTGGCATGATCTTGGCTCACTGCAACCTCCACCTCCCTGATTCAAGCAATTCTTTGCCTCAGCCTCCCGAGTAGCTGGGATTACAGGCACCCGCCACCACGTCTGGCCAATTTTTATATTTTTAGTAGAGATGGGGTTTCACCATCTTGGCCAGGCTGGTCTTGAACTCCTGACCTCGTGATCCACCTGCCTCAGCCTCCCAAAATGCTGGGATTACAGGTGTGAGCCACTGCATCCAGCTGACACTAGAACTCTTGATCTTTGAAAAATATAGATGTGCAAAGGCCTTGGGGGAACTACTACCCCCGCCTTCTTCTCATTGTGGGTTGAGGATGGATTGTCCTTTTGGTGAGCCCCAGGGTATGGGGAGAGCTGTAGTGGTCTACATTGCTGGCCTCTCCCTGGATGTCACTCAGACGGCTGCTGTCCTCTCCAGGCGGCTGGCCAGGGTGGAGCCCATGGCTCCAGGATGGGCTGGGGTATGTGGTTTAGGGAAACAGAGCTGAGTAACAGAATGTTTGGGTCACTGGGAATTTGAGGATTCATATCTCAGTCTCTTGGTCAGCCAGAATGCCACCATCCCATTCCTAGTGGCTTCTGGCTTGAGAAAGTGCTCTGATGGGCATGGGTAGGTGTGGAGCTTGCAAACCAAGGCAGAATATTGCAGACATTGCTGGGAGAGGAGGACAGAGGAGGGATCTGTTTTCTGGTCCCATCTGACTTGATTCTGGGTGTTTGATGGGGACACAGGGTGCCTGAGGAAGTGACTGGGGCTGGTCTCTGACAGGGCAGCAGGCTGTTGGATCCACCTGACAAGCGAGTCTTTGCTGTCCCCCAGTGACATATTTAGGTCAAAGAAGCTGCTGCCAAACTTTGGGAAGATGCTGGAGAACATCTTCCTGCCCCTTTTCAAGGCCACTATCAACCCCCAAGATCATCGAGAGCTTCACCTCTTCCTTAAATATGTAAGTGTGGGTGGTGCCCTAGGCAGGGCTCATAGCGGCAGAGGCAGGAATGGATTCGCTGTGAGCTGGGTCAGGCTTGCTCCTGCCCTTCACGATGGTATCTTAGGTCCTGCCACCTGTGTTCCAGGCGTGGGGTCACCAGCCCCAAGAAGCTAGATTTCTAAAAAGTCCCCTTCTCCTCAGGGGCAGCTCTGGGAGTCAGTGGGTGTGGGGGGATGGGGGTGGTGGTCTTGGGGTAGGCCTTTCCCCCAGCAGGGAAGGCAACAGTGGGCAAAGACTGGGAACTCGGTTCCTGCCAGGTGGGGCTGGAAAGGCTGGATCTAGCCCCCGGCAGCACCAAGCAGCAGCCTCAGGTTTTTTTTTCGGAAATGCAAACACTTCAATTCACCTGCTTTACCTCGCAACAGAGGCCCTCACACCATGTGTGATTAAGTACAAGCCCCTAAAGTGTATTTCCCTTCCGGATCCAGTTGTAGGAGAAGGAGAGGAGCAGTCTGGGAGAGGCTTAACCAGGGAGGGAGGCGGAGGGGGCGGGAGCCGGTCCCACCCTCCGGATGCCTGGGATCGAGGGGGTATCAGATGGTGATACAGGCCAGTGCCTGGTGATGGATGACTTTCTACAGGGAGAGGCACAGCGGGGAGCCCGAGGGCTGGGGCACGGGGAAAGAATTGAGTCTGTGTGCCCAGAAAGTGACTGGACAAGCTGAGGGACATCATCAAATTTATGTTTTAGACAAACATATTCTGGCTGTTGTGTGGAGTTGGCCCAGAAGAGAAGGTAGCTGGAGGTGGGGGCAGGGGTGAGAGTCAGGGGCCTGCCTGGAGACAGGAGGGGAGCTTGACCCAGCGGAAATAGCTCACACTCGTGCGTGCTTCTGCCTGGCCTGGTCAGACGCCACAACGTGATCTCACCTAAGCCTCACAATTACCCCGTTACTATCACCATTTTGTTGTTAACAGTAAGCGGAATTATTATGTGCTTGGTGCGTGTTGGACACGGTGTTGAGTGCTCTCCCTGGATTATCTCATTTAATCCTCACCAAAGCCCTGTGAAGCTGCTAGCTTCAATTGACACACAAGGAAATTAAAACAGATCATAAAGCTAAAAGTGGCAGAGCTGGAATGCGTTTCCAGGCAGGCTGACTCCAGCGATGTACCCTGAACCCCTATTCTATGTTGCCTCCCAAGTGAGAATAGTAAGGTGCACAGCAGCTACCAGCTTGCGTCTCTGAGGTGTGGCAGCGCAGGGACTCTGCACAAAGTGTGGGGCTTGGTGAGAAGCGGTGGGCGTACACCTGGCAGGACCTGGACAGAGACTGAAGGAGGCACTGGGGGGAGTCTAGGATGCCTCCCAGGTGCCTGGCTTTGCAGGAGCATGGATGATGTGCTGTCCGAAGGTTGCTGCCAGCAATGGAGGAAGAGCAGGTATGGGGAGGAGGAGGAAGAGCAGGAGGAGGAGACAACGCATTTTGCACCCGAGGCTGTGGGAGATGCAGTGGTGAGGCCCTGCTTCAGCTGGATAGAGCTCTGAAGAGGGGCTGAAATTATCCGCATGCCAGGCCCCAGAAAGTTCGGGTGAAGTATGGAGCTAGTGAGCACAGAGCAGAGCTCAAGGTCCTCCCTGGCCCCCCAAACCCGTCTAGGGAGTGCTTAGGGTCATAGCAGGGACCCTGTCATTTCCTTTGACACACAGGGCTCTGTGACACGGAAGATTCTGGCCAAGCTGCCTTGCTCCTCTGGGCCTTTGCTGCCCCCATAGGAACAGGAGAGGCCAGCAGACCTGGCTGGGGTCTGGGGCGTGGGCTGGGAGCCCTCCAGTTTGGGCCAGTTGTGGATTAAGGGGGACAGTCTCTTTCTCCCATCTGCTATTCAGAGGCCCCTTTGCAAAGCACTGCCGTGGCCTGGTAGCAAGCCTCCCCTGTGCGCTGAGAGCCCGTACCCTCCATGCATGTGTTCTTGGTTGGGGATGACCCCTGGGATCAGCCAGAAGGCTCCAGTGACTCAGGAGCAGCCCCCCAGGGGTCCCAGCCAAGGTAGAACTGCAGTGGAAGGGTGGGGGTTTCCTGAGGCTACTCAGGCCCATCTCAGAGGGCAGCTCCCAGTGGGGATTGGAGAGCAGAGCTGCCTCCCAGGAGCCATGGCTTAGCCCAGCAAGGACCCTCTTATCTGTCTGTGAGGCAGCTGGCGGGTTTCTCCTGGCCACACCTGGACATGCCCTAGAGTATTCTCTACCTACCGCCCCAAAGAGTGCAGACCCAGAGCCCAGAACCTGTTTTTTTTGTTTGTTTGTTTTTTGTTTTTTTTAGATGGAGTCTTGCTCTGTCACCCAGGCTGGTGCGATCTCGGCTCACTGCAACCTCCACCTCCGGGGTTCAAGTGATTCTTCTGCCTTAGCCTCCTGAGTAGCTGAGATTACAGGTGCACGCCACCATGCCCAGCTAATTTTTGTATTTTTTTTTACTAGAGACGGAGTTTCACCATGTTGGGCAGGCTGGCCTCGAACTCCTGACCTCGTGATCTGCCCGTCTCCTCCTCCCAAAGTGCTAGGATTACAGGCATGAGCCATCATGTCTGGCCAAACCTGGTTTCTTGAGCAACTTTCTTAATTGCTTTGGCCCTGGTTTGCTCAATTGTAAAATGGGGCTGGCAGCCAACCCCTCCCTCCTGGGTTGCTCTGAATATGAATTAACTGACGTGAGTAAAGTGCTTTGAGCAGGGCTTGATGAGTGATGTGTACTAGGACCCTTTTCCCTCATCGCTTGTCGCTGCTGCTGATGGCAATGGCCACTCCTCCCTGCAGGCTGGCCTCGGCATAGCAGAGGGGCAGGTGGTGGCCATGGCTGCTTTGCCCTTCACCTGGCTTGGCAGTTTCCTCCACTGTCACCACCACCACACAGGGGCTTGGCACTCTCCTGTCTCACCTCCAGAGTACCTATGGAAGCTCCGAAGGGGCAGACCTTGGTGTTGTACCCACTTTTCATCCCTGGGAGGAATATGGCCTCAGGCAGGCCAAGGGGTCCCCAGCTGAGGTGTGAACCTGAGGGGCCCAGACCCACAGGCCTCTGGCAGCTATGAGCTCTGGGAGGCTGAACCGAGGCTGAGTCCTGGTCCTGCCTTGGCCTGGTGCTCAGGACCTCTCCTGCCCAGGTGACGGGGTTTGACAGCGTGGATGATGAGTCCAAGCACAGCGACCACATGTTTTCCGACAAGAGCCCAAACCCGGACGTCTGGACCAGTGAGCAGAACCCACCCTACAGCTACTACCTGTACTACATGTATGCCAACATCATGGTGCTCAACAACCTCCGCAGGTGCGTGAGGCCTGCCCTCGCACATGCTTGGGTTCATGTGTTAGTACATGCACGCATGCACACACATGCACACACACATGCATGTGATCCTTGTGTCCGTGTGCACCTGAACCAACATGCATGTCCATGTGCCCACACACCTCAAAACACACAGCACTTTCCAGCCTGCTATATGAGGCATGTCTCCACATGATCACACACATGCAAACATGCCCACCATAACACACATGCCAGTACAGACATATGTCATGTACAGTATGCAATGCAGCCACAGTCCACACGTGTCCACACATTTATATGTACACACACCAGGGCACACTCCACGTGTACCTGTACATCCCTGAGATAATGGAAGCATAGGACATGCTATCACACATGCACGGTCACTTACTGCCACACCAACAATGTCCACACGTGCATATTTTCGTTCAGCAAATCACTGCATCTGGCATGCGATAGGCATTGCCCTGGGCACTGGACAAATAACGGGGAACAAAACAGACTAAATCCATGCATGCCCTTACAGGCAGAGGCTCCTACCAATACGCACACAGACGAGGCACACGTGGCCAGGAGTTAGCTGCCCAGGGCAGCAGGACACTGAGCCATTCCCTTCCCTACAAGTCTTGCATCCCACTTTCCCCTGCTGGGCCCTGGGGTCTCTCTAGCTCAGCCTAAACTGGTGCTAGTTGGTGGGTGTGGAGGTTTCGAATGGGGTCCTGATTGAAAGAAATGGCCTGGCAGGGTGGAGGCAGTCCTGGGCTGAGCTTTTGGAGATGGGGGCTCTGGTTCTGGCTTTGCTACTGACCTGTTCAGTGGCATGGAACATAGACTTCACTCTCCGGGCCTTGGTTTGCCCATTTCCATAACACAGAGGTCAGACTCTGTGGTTTCTCATGGCCTTCCCTGCTCTGGAGTTCTACGAATGCGGGACACAAGGCCAGGAGAGGAATTCAGGAGAGTGGCTGGAGGGCACAGCAGGGTCTCTTTCTACTGCGAGGCCCACTCTCTGCCCGTAGAGGTGATGCTTCTTGGTTCTAAGGGGCCCCAGGGCCTGGACCTCTGCATTTTAGGAGGGGTAGTTTCCAGGGTGCACTGGGTCAGCACAGCTGACCATGGGTGGTCATTCCCCCCGGAGCTGGCCCTGAGCTGTGGCTGCAGGCCCCAGGCAGAGCCAACTGGGGGGGGCCTTCCTGATTCGGAAACCCCTTCTCTTACAGGGAGCGCGGCCTGAGCACGTTCCTGTTCCGGCCGCACTGTGGGGAAGCCGGCTCCATCACCCACCTGGTGTCTGCCTTCCTCACTGCTGACAACATTTCCCACGGGCTGCTCCTCAAGAAGGTAACCAGGTCACTCTCGGGAGCCCGTCCTGAGTGACTGCCCTGCCCTGGGCTCCTGGGAGGCTCAACCAGTGAGGCCAGAAGGCTGGGCCCTCTTCTGGGCTGGGATGTCTGTCCTTATCTTGGTTTTATTTTTAATTATGAAAGTAATATAATCAAACTCATCACAATTTTGATTTTCCAAAAACTGGAGAAATGGAAAAAAGCCAGCCCTTATGCTATTACATTAATAGAAATAGCCATTATTAGCTTTTTAGTATATCTAATTTCCATCTTTTATCCACAGCATATTTTTAATGTGTTTATTATCATAATGAACACAGAATTTGGTTCCTGCCTCGTCCCTTACTGTTGTATGACAAGCATTTTTTGATGCTGCAACGTAATATCTATGCTCCTTTTTCCAAAGGCTGTTGTTGGATGAAGGGTCTGCCACTTTGTCTGTAATTGACTCAACCAGTCCACACTAGTTGGGCACAGAGTCCATCCACCTTTTCACTGGTGTACCCTTGAGCTCTGTGCATACAGTCTTCTCCGTATTTTGGATCACTTTCCATTGGCACGATGTTTGATCAAAATGCTCCCTTTCCCTGATCCCGGTGAGGTGTAACCATGGGTCACATTTTTGGGTGGGGTGGGTGCTACAGTAGAAAACCACTCTATCCTGGGCAGGTCCACCCCTCCCATCCCTTCAGGGATCATCTCCCAGGAGCTGGAGTGTTTATAGTCTCAACCTGGCTGTTTGCAGTCAAAGCAATAAAACAGCTAGAGGGGGGCATCTTCTAGACTGGGTCCGTGCCTAGGAGAAAGGAGCTGAAGGTGTAGGCTGGAGTGGGCTGCCCTTCCTGCCCTGAGCCTTGCCTCCAGTTTGGAGCAAGAATGAGCACTTCCAACAGTGGGTAGAGGCACCAGGGAGGGCTGGCATGCAATGTAGGAATGAGATGAACAGTGGGGAAGGGGAGAGTGGGTCTGAGTGTCCTGGCTTCGAGGAACTCGGGTTGAGGACTTGGGCAGACATGGTTCAGACCCCTGGTTTCCACTGGTGAATGCTTCTTCCCTTCCTTTCTCCCTTCCCTTTTCCCTTCTCCCCTCTCTGGCACTTGTCACATGAGTTCGGTGGTTCTTTTGCAGAGTCCGGTATTGCAGTATCTCTACTACCTTGCTCAGATCCCCATTGCCATGTCTCCTCTTAGCAACAACAGTTTGTTCCTCGAATATTCCAAGAACCCTCTGAGGGAATTCCTACACAAGGGACTGCATGTTTCTCTTTCCACCGATGACCCCATGCAGTTCCACTACACGAAGGTAAGGACTTTGGGGTGAGGACAGTAGTGCTTCAGTAGGCACCAGTCCTAGCCTGTCCTCCCATTTCAGGAACCTGAGCCCATGGCTTAGTTCTGCTTTTGGGGTGGGGTTGGTGGCCCAGTGAAGGCAGGAAGGAAGCCACTGTTGGGGGAAAATTGTGCCATCCAGGAGCCCTTTCTTTGGGGTTCTTGAACCCTCAAAGGCACAATTTAGTATCTTTGCCTTCCTCTATTTTCTCTTTCTTTGACATTTATGAGCTCTGTGACCTTGGTAAAGTTATTAGATTTCTGGATCAAGTTCTTCTTCATCTGTAAAATGGAGATAAAATTTTCTCTGTCCCTACCCTGTAAGGATTCATGAAGATAATGAATCAAAGGTTCTAACATAGTGTCTGCATATATTCAAAATGGTTGCTACTTTTTAAATCAATGCTATTATAATTTCTACACTTTGGGTCTCTGGGAAAATAAAAGAGGAAGCTAACAGTGGTGTCATGCATGGGGACTAGCCGCAAGTATACCCAGCATGTTTTGATGGTGTCGACAAGACCAGCCATTGCTTAACAAAAACAGAAGCACCAGAGTCTTTTAGGACAGAGGTTCTCCAACCTCTTGGTCTCTGGACCCCTTTATACTCTTAAGAATTGAAGCTTTCAAAGACCTGTTGTTTATGTGGGTTATATCTACTGATATTTACCATGTTAGAAATGAATAAGAAATTTTAAAATATTTATTATCTCATTTAAAAACCACATCAATAAACCAATGAAATGTTACATAATAATGATTTTTTTTCTGAAAAGTAACAGTTTCCCCTGCCTTTGTTTTGCATTTTTAAGCCTCTTTAATGTCTTAATGGAAGTCAGCAGGACTCTTCTAGCCACTTCTGCATTCAATTTGTTTTTAATCAAAATATGTAAAAATAGAAATCTTGCCTCATGAAAATACATAATTGGAAAAGACAAGACCTTTCAAAAGGTCTTAGGACCCTCAGGGGTCCTTGACCTGTACTTCGAGAACTATTGCTCTAGGCTACAGCGGCAGTGGGGTGGGGAAGAGGTCACAGACGGCTTGTGATGAATAGACACTTCACATCCCAGAAGGGAAGCAAAACCACAGCTCAAACCCAGATCATTCTGGGATTACACCATTTTACCACTTATCCTATGATCACTTCTCATTTTTTTTTTGATGTTCCATCTCTGCTTTTAGTACTTTACTCATCTATCTATCTATCTATCTATCTATCTATCTATTTATCTATCTATCATCTATCTATCTATTGCAAACTTAAGAAAATAGTGTGTTAAAAAGAAAAGCTAGAGGGCAAGTGCTAAATGTGGCATGACTAGAGGGCTTGTCACAGGAGAGCAGAGACTGCCATCCCTGATGACTGGCACAGGGTTTCAACATGAGGTCTCAGTGCTGGTCAATGAATAAATGTAGAGGCGTGATTTTAGATCTCTCTTTGATAACCCATGATTTTACAGAAGAAAAGATCTTAGGCTTTGAAGGTGTGATGTTTGATGATCCAGGTGCCATTTAGTGAGGAAAAGTTAAACCCGCAGTGTCTGATGTTGTTAGCTTTGGACATGTGTGAACGATTGACATGGATATCCCCCCTTCTAATCCACATGCTTTGGGGGAGGATCTAGGAAGCACTTATGGAAGAATATGCCATTGCAGCTCAAGTGTGGAAGCTGAGCACCTGCGACCTGTGTGAGATCGCCAGGAACAGCGTGCTGCAGAGCGGCCTCTCGCATCAGGTATGGAGTGTGACGGTGCTGCCTGTGTCCCTCCTGGGAAGGCTGCCTGCTGTGTGCCAGGAGCCTTCCAGGCACTGGGGATCTGTGATGAACATAGCAGGCAGGGCCTCTGAGACACTCAGGCACAGGGAGAGAAGACGCGGCAGCCTCCTGTGTTTTCATGGCTGCTTCCTCACCCTTCTCAGACCTCTACGCCTCCTTGGAGAGGCCTTCCCTGATCGCCCATTCTAAAATAGCCACACACTTGCTATTATTCTCTATCCCCTTAATCAGTTTTTCTCCATACCATTTATTCCTGCTGATGTTTAGTTATGTGTTTTTCTGTCTTTCCCTCTAGCATGTAAGCTCTGTGAGGGCAGAGGTTTGTTCAGAATTATATCCCCGGGCCCTAGATAGTCCCTGGCACATAGCAGGCGCTCAATATTTCTTGAATAGATGAACAGTATCTAGACTGAATAAAAATCTAGACTATGGGACTCAGACATCTGTCATTTTTTAAAAAGCCTGATGAGGAGCTGGCACTGAGACCCATGTTCTGATGTACGTTAGGTCCCCCGACACCTCCCTGGGTGATGTCACTGGTTGGGAAGAGGTTGCATTAGGGGCTGTGCTCGTCGGATGATGATGCAGCAGAGTTAAAGGCTTAAGATTCTTTTCATGCGCAGTGTGGTGCCTTGGATTGGCCCTCCCCAGGAACATTGTCCTTGTCAGCTCTCAGGGGCTTCTTAATTAGAGTCTTACCTCCTTCCCCTTTGCCTTTCCCATCCCCAGCAGCTGCTGCAGACCTTATCTTTCCTCTCTGATCAAGGAAAGCACAGCCAGGAATGAAGGGCTGTCTGAGGATGACTGAGGTTGTCAGGGTGACATCCTTGAGGACACAGAGGCCAGCAGGAATTTTAAGAGTTCTGTGGGGATAAGATGTCCTGACCAAAGATCTGCTTCAGGGGGACTAGTCTGACTTGCTGTGACTGATGTCAAAGCTGCCCACATGGCTATAGAAAGTGAATCAAAAGTATATAGTTTCATTTGTATTTCTCTTGGTCCACAGGAAAAGCAAAAGTTTCTGGGACAAAATTATTATAAAGAAGGACCTGAAGGAAATGATATTCGAAAGACAAATGTGGCTCAGATCCGGATGGCATTCCGATATGAGACCTTATGCAATGAGCTCAGCTTCCTGTCTGATGCTATGAAATCAGAAGAGATCACCGCCTTGACCAACTAGGTCCAGCATTTGACATGCATTTTAACTTTTTGGTTCAATTTCAAGTCTGCTGTGGCTAATAGTGGTCAAGATTCCGAACTAGGACTTTCCTCTGTGAAGAGGATGCCTCTGAAGAAATTTTAAACTGGTGATTTTGGTTGCACTGCTCACTTTAAGAGTTAACATGCTCACTTGTTAGTATTTCTGAGTAACAAGATGGTGACTTCTCCTTGGGGATCTGGGAGCTGAGCACTTGTCTATACTTGTTCCTAATTTTCCAAGTATTTCTCTTGAAACTGCCAGTGCCTGAACTGTTGGGGCCAGGATTTTCCCTGGTCAGATGCCAAGTAACATGTGGTTTTCTGCCATACTTTTCTCCATTGGCCCAGGTAGGCTAATTGGTAGTTGTTCATTTCAGCCTCTGGATGGCTGGCTGCCTTAAACACAATCAATTTCAAAGCTCCATTTCATAAAGGGGCTACTTTGAAGGAGTTAAGATGGAAGACTTCCTTCTTGACAAATTGTGTTTTTAGTGAATTTCTTAAACCGTTTTATTTAGCCCTCCTTCCCTCTTTCTAGTTGGAAGCCAAATGTACTCATGAAAACAGCCACTCCTATTCTGAGTCTTGGTTTCTTCACCTAGAAAGTGAGGGTTTGGACTAGATGAGTGGCTTTCAGGGTGTTCTGTGAATCTCCTCATGAATACTTTAGGGTAGGGGAGGGAAGGGAGTGAGTGATGCTCAGGGGCTGTCAAAGTGACTGCGTTCATCAGTTTTACACTGGGGCTGCTACATAATATTTTCATTTGAACGAAGAACTTCAAAAAGCACAGGACTAGATGATCTCTGTTCCTTTTGGCTCTAATATGCTACAACTGTAGGCCAATTATCACTTTACCAATTAAGAGTTAGGCCAGATAAGTGAAATTTAACTTAAGGGCACACAGCTAATAAGTAATAGGCCTAAACTGGATTTCCTTATTCCAAATCCTGTCTTTTCCCCACTATTCCATTAGACCCCACAAATGTTAGTTGTGTGTGTGTGTGTGTGTGTTTTTAATCACTGTAACCGGATGCATTTTTTTAAGGCAAAATTTCTCCCTTATCTACTATGATGACTTCAGAAGATACAATGGTCCCAGGGGCCAAGTAGAAAGCATTTTTAAAGATTAATCTGAATTAAGCTTTATCAGTGTACTCTTTATCTGTGTTACTAGTGCCTGGTATGTAGTAGGTGCTCAATAAATGCATATTGAATAACTAAGTGAATTTCTTTTGGCAACTTTTTAAGGACATGTGCTCTTAGTACTTAAGAGGCTGCTCAAGGACCTTCCTATCTATTTCTGTGGTCAAATTCAGACTACAGGAGGTCTTTTTGAATCATTATAGTTAGAAGAAGAATCCAGTTTCTGCCTGTGAACTTATTTGACTTTAGATTGTCTCATCTTGTGACTTTATAATGCCTGTCCCCTCCACTGGTCAATTCAGCATATGGAAGTATAAATGCAGTCTTTTTACTAGGCAGATATATATGCTATCTTACAGCTAATTATGAAATTGAATGAAAATCCATTGTTATCTTAGGGATTAGTTTTGAAAAGCCCCCGTTTATATACATTTGCCCTAACATAGGAAGTATTGTGTAGTTTCTCATTGTCATTTTATCTGTATCAAGTATCTTTTTTTAAATTGTTAAATAAAGTCAGCTAGGACTGTGGCTCAATAGTTTAAAACTATTTAAAGATAATCATATTTAAAGCAAATGTTAAAGATTTTTACTCTTAAGATTGGGCACCATGAAAAGCTATCAATAATAATAGCTAATTTATCTTTTACTAAGACTCCGACATGAATGACATTCACTAGGAAAACTCAAAATTTTCAAACTGAAGCTCACCAGACCCAGAAGATAAATCTTCCTTTGTTATTTTCTCTAACTTCTACCCTGTTATAGTTCATGAGCAAAGCTATACATGTTCCTTTCCTTTTCCCGGGGTATTATTTTAGTCTGTCCAGCTAACACCTTGTTGATATGGACTCTAGAATAGGATTGCGCTGTTATCCCTAGGGTAACTTGTTCCGTTGGTCAAGTTATTGGATCAATTAAACGTGGTAATTCGCTTTGACTGGTGAAGTCTCGGCATGTGTTGCTCGGAGGTCGGATTGTGCTCCGAGGTCGCCCCAACCGAAATTTTTCACGCAGGTTTGATAGTTTAGGGCCTGTGGACTTGTTAAGTGTTGTTTGCGTTAATGAATTAAAGCTCCATAGGGTCTTCTCGTCTTGTTATACTATGCCCGCCTCTTCACGGGCAGGTCAATTTCACTGGTTGAAAGTAAGAGACAGCTGAACCCTCGTGGAGCCATTCATACAAGTCCCTATTTAAGGAACAAGTGATTATGCTACCTTTGCACAGTTAGGGTACCGCGGCCGTTAAACGCATGTCACTGGGCAGGCGGTGCCTCTAATACTGAGAATGCTAGAGGTGATGTTTTTGGTAAACAGGCGGGGTAAGATTTGCCGAGTTCCTTTTACTTTTTTTAACCTTTCCTTGTGGGCATGCCTGTGTTGGGTTAACAGTGGGGGTAATAATGGCTTGTTGGTTGGTTATAGATATTGGGCTGTTAATTGTCAGTTTAATATTTTGGTCTGATGTAGGCTTATGCGGAGGAGAATGTTTTCATGTTACTTATACTAACATTAGCTCTTCTATAGGGTAATAGATTGGTCCAATTGGGTGCAAGGAGTTCAGTTATGTGTTTGGGATTTTTTAGATGACAGGTGTCGAGCTTGAACGCTTTCTTAATTGGTGGCTGCTTTTAGGCCTACTGTGGGTATTAAATTTTTTACTCTCTTTACAAGGTTTTTTCCTAGTGTCCAAAGAGCTGTTCCTCTTTGGACTAACAGTTAAATTTACAGGGGGATTTGGAGGGTTCTGTGGGTAAATTTAAAGTTGAACTAAGATTCTGTCTTGGACAACCAGCTATCACCAGACTCGGTAGGTTTGTCGCCTCTACCTACGAATCTTCCCACTATTTTGCTACATAGACGGGTGTGCTCTTTTAGCTGTTCTTAGGTAGCTCGTCTGGTTTCGGGGGTCTTAGCTTTGGTTCTCTTTGCAAAGTTATTTCTAGTTAATTCATTATGCAGAAGGTACAGGGATTAGTCCTTGCTGTATTATGCTTGGTTGCAATTTTTCATCTTTCCCTTGCGGTACTATATCTATTGCGCCGATTTACAATTTCTATCGCCTATACTTTATTTGGGTAAATGATTTGGTTAAAGCTGTTCGGTAGTAAGGTGGAATGGGTTTGGGGCTAGGTTTGGCTCAGAGCGGTCAAGTTGAGTTGAAATCTCCTAAGTGTAAGTTGGGTGCTTTGTGTTAAGCTACACTCTGGTTCGTCCAAGTGCACTTTCCAGTACACTTACCATGTTACGACTTATCTCCTCTATATAAATGCGTAGGGGTTTTAGTTAAGTGTCCTTTGAAGTATACTTGAGGAGGGTGACGGGCGGTGTGTACGCGCTTCAGGGCCCTGTTCAACTAAGCACTCTACTCTTAGTTTACTGCTAAATCCACCTTCGACCCTTAAATTTCATCAGGGTTATCGTAGTTTTCTGAAGTAGAAAATGTAGCCCATTTCTTGCCACCTCATGGGCTACACCTTGACCTAACGTCTTTACGTGGGTACTTGCGCTTACTTTGCGGCCTTCGTCAGGGTTTGCTGAAGGTGGCGGTATATAGGCTGAGCAAGAGGTGGTGAGGTTGATCGGGGTTTATCGATTACAGAACAGGCTCCTCTAGAGGGATATGAAGCACCGCCAGGTCCTTTGAGTTTTAAGCTGTGGCTCGTAGTGTTCTGGCGAGCAGTTTTGTTAATTTAACTGTTGAAGTTTAGGGCTAAGCATAGTGGGGTATCTAATCCCAGTTTGGGTCTTAGTTATTCTGTGTTCAGATGCATTAAAGCCACTTTCGTAGTTTATTTTGTATCAACTGGAGTTTTTTACAACTCACATGAATTTTAGCTTTATTGAGGGGAATTGATCTAAAACACTCTTTATGCCGGTTTCTATTGACTTGGGTTAATCGTGTGACCGCGGTGGCTGGCACGAAATTGACCAACCCTGGGGTTAGTATGGCTTAGTTAAACTTTGGTTTATTGCTAAAGGTTTATCACTGCTGTCTCCCGTGGAGGTGTGGCTAGGCTAAGCGTTTTGAGCTGCGTTGCTGCGTGCTTGATACCTGTTCCTTTTGATCGTGGTGATTTAGAGGGTGACTCACTGGGGCGGGGATGCTTGCATGTGTAATCCTACTAAGAGCTAATAGAAAGGCTAGGACCAAACCTATTTGTTTATGGGGTGATATGAGCCCGTCGAAACATTTTCAGTGTATTGCTTTGGGGAAGTAAGCTACATAAACTGTATGGGGTGTCTTTGGGGTTTGGTTGGCTCGGGGTATGGGGCTAGCAGCGGTGTCCTGCAAGCTTTTCTGACATCTTTTCTATAGCACTTTGTGCTTTTATTACATTGCTATACTTAATTGGCCTTTTGGGGGACAAATCCCTACTTTCCTTTGTGTTTGCAACTGGAATAAGAGGCAATTAATTGTATACTGGCTTAGGTTTCTAAAGCAACAGTTTTTGAGGCAGTTATCCCTTCTTTATCCTTAAGGGCTCAAGTTCACTTTATGTGTTACTTCAAATTGTACCGCTGAAACCGATCGACATCATTGCTCTTTGCCTCGTGAAAACAAATCACAGCTCCTGGGTTGTGATTTTTCACGGCCTCTTGGATTAAACAAGAGCCGAAAGCACTTTTCTCTTGCTTTCTCTTTACTTCTGAGTGTTGGTGAAACAATATTCTTCATTTCCTGCGTTTGAGACATGACTGAAGGTGATATACCCAAATACTCTGCCTGAACTATGATCATTATAAAGAACAAGTGTAACTAGGGGAATACTAACCAGATAAACAGTTCCTTGGAAATTTTTGCAATTAGTAAGATAGAAGATGACAGAGAGTAAGACTATAAACAGCTGCAAGCGTGTCAAAACCTATCTCTGCAAAGGCTTTTATGTATTTTGACAGTAAAATGTGCATTTCTCCACAGTATGATGATACAGTCAATTTAACTACCAACTGCCACTCATTCTTATGTCCTTGCACTTTTCAGCACTAAGATTCTACGATGTTTCTCTAATTACATTCTTATATTTTGGAAATGATTTTACAAGGTAAACAAACTACAATAGGGTTGAGCATTTTATTTTTGCTGTCTGTTGGGGTAGGGGTCCACAACCCCTGGGCTGTGGACAGTACTGGTCTGCTGCCTGTTAGGAACCAGGCCGCACAGCAGGAGTTGAGCCGCGGGCGAGTGAGTATTATTGCCTGAGCTCCACCTCCTGTCAGATCAGCAGCGGTATTAGATTCTCAAGGAGCATGAACTCTACTGTGAACTGCGCATACGAGGGATCTAGGTTGCATGCACCTTATG
Source organism: Homo sapiens (assembly GCF_000001405.40). NCBI lineage: Eukaryota > Metazoa > Chordata > Mammalia > Primates > Hominidae > Homo > Homo sapiens. The sequence continues at coordinate 10,511,355 of NC_000011.10, forward strand.
AGAATCTAACTAATGCCTGATGATCTGAGGTGGAAAAATTTCATCCCGAAACTATTCCCACCCCAACCCTGGTCTGTGGAAAAATGGTCTTCCATGAATGCAGTCCCTGGTGCCAAAAAGGTTGAGGACTGCTACAGCAGGGTGAATAGACATACGAACAAATGAGTCTGTTGTCAGCTGCTTAGGTTTGTATTGTATCGTCATTGTGTGGCCCAGCATGAATGTGAGTGACCTGTTAACTTCCCTCATCTGCAAGTAGTTTTCTTATTCCCGGATAGACTAAGCTTGACTTCAGACAATAGCAGTTAAAAATGCAAATTCTTCAGACTACCTTTTAATAAACTCAACTTCCCAATGTTAAAAATCACTGAATCAAAAGATATTTTCAAGCAGCCTTTTCTCCCAGATATATATTAGATATAAGGAAATCGAGTCCAATTTGAAATGAATTTTAAAACAGCACACAAACATCACAAGCCCCCAGCGCACAATATAAAATAGTTCTCTAAGGAATATAAACATTTAGTATATTAGAATGTGAAATTACATAGGAAAATAATCTCTTCAATTAGCTAAAATCACTTGCGAAAGATTATTTATTGCACAATTTATCAGTGGGTACTAAGAATAACACAGATCCTATTATTCTCAACCTCTAAATTCAGTACATAGTAAAATTCATTTTCTCAAACTAAGGTTCTATACATAATCGGAGTAAACCCTCTGTTACTGAGTTAGGATAGGGAAAACAAATTCCTTAGAGTTCATGAAACCACTTCACAAATCCTAGAAGGCACACATTATATTTCCTATCATAGTAAGTACATTTAAGTACTTCATATTTAAAAAAGACAAAGCTGTACAGAATACAAAAAGTGTACATTTCATCCATTAAACAAATTTACAACTTTTACGATTAGTTATTACAGTAGAACTGACCTAACATTCACATCTAAATAATTATCACCCAGTTCAATAGAGCGAACAAAGAGCTGTGCTCATTTATTTATTTGATAAGGCTAATAACATTTTATATTCACAGTAGATCAGTAAGTGTCTTGGAGCTCATATTGTAAAATAAAAAGGTTTGGGCCCTATTGAGTCACTGGGCTCATTGTTAAATAACTCCTTGAAAGGTGAAGGATTCTGGGGGATAAAATCATTGGCTATCCCTGGAAAGATCCAAAACTCTGTAAGGTAACTCTGTTCACTTTTCAGAAACATTTTAAAATTAGGTAATCTGAATTAAACTCAGCAAGTCTAATCTAAAAGGACAATTTAAAATCTTAGAGCTGGAAAAGATTTCAGTGGATCATCTATCCCAAGGTTTTCAAAATATGTTCCATGGAATACTAAGAATCTATGGAGGAGATACAGGGTTCTGCAAATTTGACTTGAATTTAATTAAAAAATTTTTTTAAAAAAAACGACTCCCACTATATGTGTGTTACTCACCAAATTCAAACATGCTGGATATCACCAATGCATTAATGTTTTTATTCATTGACTTAATCACATTTATAGTATATAAAGTTTATATAATAAGGAAATTTATAATAATATGACTTTTATATAGTGGGGTATAGGGTATGTGTGTATGCACACGTGTTTAAAGGTTCTGTAAGATTTTCCTTGAAAAAGTTTTTGCTGCTGAAATAGTGTGAAAACCACAAATAAAGTCTCAGTTTCTAAAGTAAGAACACATAAACAAGAGTAAGAGACTTTCTCAAGGTCACACAACCACCAAGTGCATTGCCAGGTTGATATGATGGAACCCCTGGTACTCTGCTTGCATAAACCTCCATAGGGAGTAGTTAGCTATTTGGTACTTAGCTGTCCCATTATGAATGTCAATGGATTAGTCTTCAGTATTTTTGGGGGCGAAATCAAGCTACCCCTGGCCAGATGTTTTTCCTTGAAATTGATTTGAATTTTATTTGCTCGCCTATTAAAATCCTACTATCCAGAAATTCTGTCATCAATAAGTGGCAACTTAAATTGTGTACCCTGGTTTAGGAAAATAGTAATATTTGCAACTTATGAATGATAAGTCAGAAAAGTTACATGGAATGTTAAATTTTAAAGGAGATAGGCCCTTGTTTTATTACATGCCGAAATGTTAATGTTAGAAATTTTAGTTCATAAGCAAAAAAAATGGTTGAGGTGCAACTGAAGATCACAATTCCATTATTACTATATTGTTTCAGAATATTTTAATGGAAAGAGTATTTCAATGGAAGTACAGTGAAACAGTAGGAATGCCAAATTATCTTCTAATTTTCATAAGTATTTTATGTATATACGGTAAAAAAGCCTCACTCTATTTTCTTGTGTTTTTTTTTTGATTAGGAGTCTCGTTCTGTCTCCCAGGCTGGAGTGCAGTGGTGTGATCTCGGCTCACTGCAACCTCCACCTCCTGGGTTCAAGCAATTCTGCCTCAGCCTCCCGAGTAGCTGAGATTACAGGCACCTGCCACCATGCCCAGCTAATTTTTGTATTTTAGTAGAGAGAGGATTTCGCCATGTTGGCCAGGCTGGTCTCAAACTCCTAACCTCAAATGATCCACCCACCTCGGCCTCCCAAAGTGCTGGGATTACAGGTGTGAACCACTGCACTGGCCTCTTGTCTCTTAATCTAAGAAATTTGAGGACTCTGAAATCTCAGAAAGATGTTTTCAAGTTAAGGAAATAAAAGCACCATAAACCAATATTAAATGACCTATAGTAATTTAGAAATATAAAATTTAGTATTTGTGATGCAGAATAATTTCCTTCTGAAACTCCAAGATGTGTGAGCATTATCAAAGCCATTTAGAACAGTTACCCAGCTGTGGGAAAGCATTTCCAGAACAGCCAAGAAAATTCCCCAGGAGAAATCCATTTGCAAAGGAAAGTCACACCCAATTTTGTAGACCTCACCCAAATTATACAGTATGGCAAAAACAAACAAACAAACCTTTAAGTACAGTAGTTCCAAAACACACTGCTAAAGTTATGAAATAATTGTGGATCATTTCAAGTAAAAATTATTAAAGGAGCAATAATTAACCACAAGGGGGCATATATATATATACTCCTTAGATTCCAGCAGAAAGACTAGTTTTAAGTAGTAACATGCACGTTGAAGTATTCTACATTTTCAGTCACTTAAACTTTCCTCTCTCAGATGGCTACAACTTTTTAATATTCGAGGTTTATTTTATATCTAAGTAAAAAGATTCCAGAATACTCCTGCCCTGCAAAACAGTAGTGTTTTAGAAGCCTCTGGAAGTGTTGCTGTTACCTTTAGCAAAGAATTCAAGAGCTATTAGTTGTAATAATACAAATTTGAACAGATAAATAATAGGAAAATATGGTCTAAAACAGTAGCAAATTTTAGTACCACAAATGGAAGACATGGGAAGTTTATTTTTAAAAGGGGGACAAATGATCAGAATAGCAAAAATAAAAGAGTGGGGAAAATGGATTTTCCTGTGTCTGTGCCAGTGCCACAACCCTACATTCTTCCCCCATGACCAAATATTTGAGCCCACAATAGCAACAGAAGACTTTCACTTCAAGGTCATGGCCTGTGGGGCTGGCCTGCCTCATCAGCCATGTTAAGAATATAGTTAGCCATATCATCTTCAGTGGGTGCATCTGATACCACCCAAGATTCATTTGCTCCAGTCATCTGTAGGCGACAAATAGGGCAATTCCTGTGTCGATCACTCCTATTAGAGAAGTCAAAACAAAACAGTTTGCTTTCTTCTTTTTTAAAAACAGGATTTTATTTAAAGTAATACATGCACATGGCTTTTAAAAAGGAAATAGCATAGAAATATATAGTGAAAAATAAATCCCTCCCTCCTATCTCAATCTTCAATTCTCTTTCCCAGGGGCAACCACAGTTACCAGTTTCTTATATATTCCTCCAGAGATAGACTAAGCTGGATTAAGCTTATGTGTACACACATGCACGCACGTGCACACACACATTTCTCCACTTGTCAATATATCTTACAGACTAGTATGTATCAGCACCTGTTAGAGCTGTTTATTCTTTTTAACATACACTGTATCGCTATGCCATAATTTGTTTAACTAGTCTCCTGCAGAAGGACATTTAGTTTTTTTTCCCATCTTTTGTTGCTACCAACAATGCAGCAATTCGCATCCCCATACCTAAACAGGTAAAGTATTCCTTTATAATAAAAATTCCTTCTGAGTCCCAAGAGGAAATTCCCTCGCATCAATGGAAGATTTGGTCAAAGTGTCAAGTATAAATGCTTATTCGTGATTATTTAAATGGAAGCCATTACTCTAGGAATAACTTCTTGGCAGTGGCAGGGGAATATGACAAGAAGAAAGGATATTATTAATTATTTTTCTAAGAAATATCTACATGACTTTCAACAATATATCTACCTGTTGCTTGCTTAAAGGTCTGAAAAAATTCCTATGGCTCATAAGCAACAGGAAGACTTATATAAAAATGGAGCATACAAAGTTAAAAGATAAACTTTACATGCACAGTAATTTTTCTGGCAGGGGAAGAACTCATATATGATCACTTAAATAAGATTATGTTTTCGAAAAGGATTTTTTTCTGGTCAAACATTATTTTGGTAATTTAAAAAATACCGTATTTGAGCCAGAGACATATTATGCAGAGAAAAATGTTTTTCTTTTCATCTCTCAGTGAAATCTGGGACCAAAGTAATTATTTGTATCAACTGCTCTTTGGCTTTTATGCAAAAATTTAGAACTCTGTTCCAAAAACTAAATGTGAAAGCTACAGCTGGCATATATTATTTAGGTTGATTTCTAGTTCTTCAGAGGTATTTTACAAGATAATTATATGTATGCTCTTCTGTGCACAAAACATCACAATTTAAAAATAGTCAACTTCTGTTTCCAACCAACAGAGGCTAGATTTATCTTCCCACCTAAAATTACTAAAACAATGGTTTCATACAATCTTTCAAATAAAGCACTGGCCATCAGACAACAAAGGACAGTGATCCCTGGGACATGGGAGTCAAAGAAGGTGAGACCTATACTTGCCTCAGCTTACAGCCTCGAGAGTTTCTAGCCCCTGATCAAGAAGCGGGAAGCTTGATGGAACATGGCAAACTCCCTGAGCTGAACACACAGAGCTGAGAATCTTGGGGGGCCAAACAGCTAGGGTTTACAGGGCAGGGTAATGGAAAGCTGCACAGAGGGAAAATTCCAGAGGTCTACGGAAGTGTCCCCGCCAGAATACTCAGCAGAGTGCTGATCAGTGTGTGCATGTGAAGACACTACCGAGGCTGAACAATCAATCAAAGGGCTTTGAGGGGATAGTCCCCTAAAGCTCACTGGGCCTGGGATACTGCCTGTTTCACCAGCCAGACTGGAAAACCTCATAACTCTTGGGGTATCAGTAGAGTTCTCTAAAGGGTCTTGCTATTAGTGGGACATAATTAGTTCTAAACTAAATACTGCTCTGGTCCTGCCTAACAAATCACAAAAGCAAGATCCAAAAGAATCAAACTGTTTCCAAGTCACTTAACTATAGTCCAGAAAAAAAGCTCAAGAATATTCATAGGAATACAAAAATATCCAATACCCAAAAAGGTAAAATTCACAAAGTCTGCCACAAAGTCTGGCATCCAGTTGAGAACTACCAGACATACAAAAAAGCAGCAGAAAAATATAATCTATAATAAAGAGAAAAATCAATCATAACCACCCAGAACTAACACAGATATTAGAATTAGCAGATAAAATGGAAAGTTATTATAGCTATATTCTATATAGTTAAAAAACTAGAGGAAAGCTCAAAGATAGTAAGAAGAGACATGAAAGATAATAAAAACCCAAATCAAACTTCTAGAAATGAAAATTATCTGAGGTTAAAAAAATACACTGGATAGAATTAATGGCAAGTTAGACATTGAAGAAAAATGGTGAATATGAAAAGAGATAGCAATAGTAACTATCCAGGATGAAACCCAGAGAAAGACTCAAAAAAGAAAGAAAAAAATAGCACCAGTGAGCTGTGAGACAACTTCAAGTGGGCTAATACATGGTAATTGGAATCACAGGAGAGGGGAGAGAAGATAGAAAAAAATCTGAAAAAATAATGGCTGAAAAATTTCCAAATTTGATGACACCGTAAATCAACAAATCCAAGAAGCTCAATAAACCCCAAGCACAAGAAACATGAAAAAACTACTCTAAGGCACATCATAATCAAAGTGCTCAAAACCAGTGAAAAGAAAACAACCTTAAAAACAGAGGGAAAAAATGGCACATTACCTACAGAGGAAAAAAGGATGACAGAGTTCTCATTAGAAACAATGCAAACAAGATGAGTGTGAAGCAACATTATTAACATACTGAAAGAAAAAATACTCTCAAGTCTAGAATTCTGAATCAGAAAAAAAGTCTTTGAAAAATGATATTCGGACATTCAAGAAGAGCCTATGGAATCTACAAAAATACTACCAGAACTGATACATGAGTTTAATAAGGGCGCAGGATACAAGGTTGATATACAAATATCTATTGTATTTCCATATACTAGTATCAATCATAAATTGAAATTTTAAATACCATTTAAAATAGCATAAAACTATGAAATACTTGGGGATAGATGTCAAAGATATGCAACACTGAAAACTAAAAAAATTGGTGACAGAAATTAAAGAAGACCTAAATAAGTGGAGAAATATACAGCGTATGTGGATAGGAAGATGCACTAGTAAGAAATTCACTCTCCCTAAATTGATATATTTATTCAATGCAATCTCATATGCTGCTAGTGGGGGTGTAAAATGGCACAAGACTGCTTTGGAAAATAGCTGGCAGCTTTTTAAAAAGTTAAACACACACATACCATATGATCTAGCCATTCCATGTCTAGGTATTCACCCAAGAAAAAAACCAAAATACATCCATAAAATGACTTGTCCATGAATGTATCTAGTACCTTTATTTTGTAATAGATAAATATGGAAAATAATCTAATTTCCCTCAATAGGTGAATAAACAAGCTATGGTATCCACATAACAGACATTACTCAGCAATAAAAAGGCATGAACTATTGATACATGCTACAACATGAATAAATACCAAGGTAATTAGACTGAATGAAAGAAGCCAGACAAAAAAAGCACATATTATATGATTCCATTTATAAAAATTCATAACTTTTATGGGTGTGTATATATGCCAAAACATATTAAACTGTACATTAAATACATGTAGTTTATTGTATGTATTTTATAAATTATCCTAAACGCTCAAGTCTTATTTTGTAAAATAATGAACTTGACTAGCTGATCTCTAAAGTTCCCTGAGGTCCAGTATTCAAGAATTTATTCCTTCTAAACACATACACAGAATAAATGTAGAAATGAGGAGAAAAAAAGGAGGAAAAAGGGAAATGTTTGATTTTAGACTTAAGTCAGGCACAAATTTTCATACAGCAAAAGAAAAGTGTCAAAACTAAGGTACACCCCCATATTTAATAAATGTTAGGTGTAAAAACAAAAATAGTTTTAACCAGTAGAAGGCATGCCATAAAATTCAAAGTACTAAAGAATAAAATCTCTCTCATACTTAACTACAGTATTTTTGCACTTTTCAAAGTTTATTCATGTACACTATCCCACTGACCTTGGCCCAGCCCATGAATGCAGTAGGTAACTTACCATTTATCAATACACTTCTGACAAAAGCTGTGAGCACAAGGCAGGATGAGGTCAGCCCGCCCATCCATACAGATACAACACTCCTCCTCATCGGTCAGCTGCTTCACCCTGCAATGTGAAAACTGAGCTGAAACAATTATATTCTCTGTCATTATGCTTTATACTTTTTGTTGCTTTAAAAAGCATTATTAAACATCTATATGCCCACAGTATAAAGCACAATATGACTCATGTGCAAAATCAGACTAAAATTAATATTATCTTTTAGGGATAGCAAATATATTAGGGAAAAAGTATTAAGAGGGCTACATTTCATAAAGAAAGACTAGATAAAAGATACATTTTGTGATAAAGAAAACATAGGCAAAAGTGGAAATAGTCAAATCTTTCTGGAAACAATTTAGCCCATTTTAATCATATTGGACTTAAATAAACAAATTTAACCGATATAGTTATTGCATTAAAGACAGAGATACGGTCTGAGAAACTCATTGTTAGGTGATTTCATTGCTGTGTAAATATCATAGTGTACTTATACAAACCTAGATGGTTTAGCCTACTACTACATACCTAGGCTATATGGCATAGTCTATTGCTTCTAGGCTACAAACATATATAGCATGTTACTGTATGGAACACTGTAGGCTACTGTAACACAATGGTAGGTATCTGTGTATCTAAATGTATCTGAACACAGAGAAGGTACTGTGTAAATACGGTATACAAGATTAAAAATGGTACACCTGTATAGGGCACTTACCATAAATGGAGCATGCGGGCCTGGAAGTTGCTCTAGGTGAGTCAGTGAGTGAGTAGTGGTGAGTGGATATGAAGGCCTAGGACAGGAGTGTACAATCTTTTGGCTTCCCTGGGCCACACTGGAAGAACTGTCTTTCTTGGGCCACATATATACTAACACTAACACTAACAATATCTGATGAGCTAAAAAAATTGCAAAAAAATCTCATGTTTTAAGAAGGTTTATGAATTTGTGTTGGGCCACATTAAAGCAATCCTGGGCTGCATGCAGCCCGTGGGCCGTGAGTTGAACAAGCTTGGCCTAGGACATTACTGTATAGCACTTGTACAGTAGTGTACAGACTTTATGAACACTGTACATTTAGGCTATACGAAATTTATAAAAAATATATTTCTTCAATGATAAATTAATCTTTACTATAGATTTTTAACTTTATAAACTTTTTACTTTTAACTTTTTGACTCTTTTTGTAACAACACTTACCTTAAAACACACATTATACAGCTGTACAGAAATATTTTATAAGCTTTTTTCTATTTTTAAGATTTATTTACTTTTTTACTTTCTAAACTTTTTTCTTAAAAACTAAGACATAACACACACATTAGCCTAGGCCTAAACAGCGTCAGGATCACCACCATCACTGTCTTCCGCCTCCACCTCTTGTCCCACTGGAAGGTCTTCAGGGGCAGTAACATGCACGGAGCTGTCATCTCCTTTGATAACAATGCCTTCTGGAATACCTGCTGAAGGGCCTGCCTGAGGCTGTTTTACAGCTAACTTTTTTTAATAAGTAGAAGGAGTATACTCTAAAATGATTAAAAAGTATAGTATAGTATAATAAATGCATAAACCAGTAACATAATTATCAAGTATTACTGTACATAATTGTAAGTGCTATACTTTTATACTATGAGCAGCACAGTAGGTTTGTTTACACCAGCATCACCAAGAACATTTGAGTAATGCATTGCATCACAATATTAGGATGGCTACGACGTCCACAGGCAATAGGAATTTTTTAGCTCCATTATAATCTTGAGACCACCATCACATATGCAGTCTGTGATTAACCAAAACATTGTTAGGTGATACATGACCATATAATTTATTCACTATGTGTAACACAAAGCTCCCTAAAATATGGATCCTGCCATCAGGGCCTTACAATGCTGACATTGATAATGGGCATATGAGTGAAAGAATAGTTTAGTCTTAAGTATCAGGTGCTGTGAGAGATACAAAGGGAATAAAAAGCAGTTTCTGTCCTCCAGGAGCTCTTTCATCTTCTTGGGAAGAAAAAAGATTTCAAACCTTTTGCTCCAGCCACAATTCAGAGAGCCCCTGAATGAGCCATATACCTTTGCAGATGGTATTTTCCTTTCCTGAAACTGCCCTTGTGAGTTTAGTAAGCTCCAACCTTGGTAACTCAGCTCAAAACATCATCATCTCTCTGCTCTCAAAATCAACACTTGCCTCAATGAAAAGACTTAAATATTGCATATTGATTGGCTGGCCTTTCCATAAACTGTAAGCTCTTTGAATATAGGGTGTTTGTCTTAGATTCTCAATAAATGCTTCTTGAAGTGATTTTAATTTCTTTTAACCTTTGTGCTTTTTTGTAATTTTTAAGGTTTTCTTCATCAGACATGTATTACTTTTGTAATAATATAAAAACTGACTGTTCCAAAGTACAGCCACTAGACTATAAACTTCTTAAGGATAGGAGCTATCACTAATATGTTTTCCATTCCCTGTTGTGCTTATAGCACTGTATGTAAGATATTTAGATAGTACTTAAAATTTTGATTTGAATGTAAAAATAAATGTCAAATGTATATTAAATATAGTAAGTGCTAAGTAAAGAAGGAAGAGATGAATATATCTCAAACTTGTTGAAATGATGAGATAGAAAAACAATAGGATTTTAATAGAAGACATTCTAGGTGCATAAACAAAGTTGTAGAGGTAAAAAGCAAAATCATGTGTGTTTATGTCTGTGTATATGTAACCAGGAAGCTGGCATGATACTTGGGTATGGAAAACTGAGGAAAAAGATTGATTAGATAAAGTGGAGATAATCTCATCCTTAAATGTCAAAATATTAAGTTTGAACGTGTCCTGACAAGCAAACTACAATCAGTGTATAATCAAGGGGAAGTGAACTCCAACTGATATGGTACTTCAGGAAGATAAATTGGGAGTGCAGTATGAGGGACAGTCTAGAAAGAGGAAAACTGGTTAGGATCTTATTTCAGCAATTCATCTGAGAGATAATTAGGTCTAAGAAGCATTATAAAAGACAAATCTTTTATGTGGTAATAGATTAAGTGTTATACGTTAGTAACAGGGAAAAGAGGGAAGTCACTGAATTGGAATGGGAAAACTGAATAAAAACCTAGATGGATATGGGTCTAATGTATCTGAGTTTCTCAGTAGCAGAGAATATAACTGAATCTGTACAGAGTGAAAGAATATTCTGAAGGCTGGACTTTAAAAGTGAGAAGCAGAGGACTACAAAGAAGAGCATTGTGGAGAGAGATAAAAGAATGGGAGATACAGAAATAGCCAGTGGAACCAGTACAAAGTTCTCTTAACTTTTTGCTACCTTCTTAGCAGCACAGTGACCAGAAGGAAGGAGAGTCTTGTGCTGTTTGTTCCTGTTAGATCACCTGTAGATTGGAATATTTGGTTCTATGCCTCATACTCTGAAAGGCACACATACTGACAGAGAAAAGACCATCTGGGAAAGCCTCCAGTATGTAGACGAGACCCACATAAACAAAGGCCAAAGGAACTGGGGGTGTTTATCCTTGAGAACAGAAGGTTCAGTGAGAATTTGATGACTGTTTTCAAATATTTGAAAGGCTGGAAAAGAGAACAGATTTGTTTGGAGGAATTCCAGAGGGCACAGCCATTGAAAACAATAAATAGAATATAGTAACAATAATAATGACAGTTAACTCTTATAGACAAATTATTATGTGTCAAGCACTGTTCTGAGCATCTTATGTCTTTTAATTCTCTCAAAAATCCTATAAAGCATATACTACAGTTATCAACCTCTGTTAGAAGATGAGGAAACTGAGGAAACAGTTTGATTTGTCAAAAAAATCACACAGGAGTGGAGCCAGGATTTGAACACAGGCAACTTGCTGCTAGAGTCTGTGCCGTGCTGCCTCAAGAAAGATTTTGGCTACTCTGAGGAAAATGAAGCAATAGGAAAAACTTCATAGTGATTAGAGCCATCTGAGTATGAAAAGGCTTGCTTTTTTCAGGCAGTGAGTCTCACATAACTGCAGGTGTTACTTGTACTTGCAAGTCGGACTTGGCAAAATGTGGGTAAGCAGAGTCTTGCTATTCAAAGTGTTATCTGAGGATCAGCAGCATTGGCCCCACCTGGGAGCTTGACAGACTCTCAGGCTCCTCCTCAAAACCACTGAGTAATAAATTTTCAGAAGCTCTGTGTGCAAGATCTTTATGCACCATAAAGTAATAGGTTAGAGCACAGCTGTACTGCCAGACAGGCCTGAATGTGAGTCTTGGCTAGAACAATTTCTAATCATGACACTTACTTAGCTAAATCTCAGATTCTTTGGCTGAAATGGGCCGATAATTGTACTCCCATATGGGGTTGTGAGAATTTAATGAGTTTATACATGTACAACACTCATCACAATTCTATACCCTGTAAGTAATCAATAAATGTAAAACATCAATGGAATTATGCATCAGATGTAAAGTTCAACTACATAAATATCCCTTAAGACCTCCTTCAATTTAGAAAGTCTCTTTCTGTGAACTAGTGTATAAGGGTATTATTATAAACTGAAAAAACACACAAAAACAAGAAGCACCCCTAACAAGCTAATCAGGAACTGAATTTCCAGTTTTGAGGGCACATGAAAAGGGATAACACCTTTACCTTCTTCATTAAGAAGACTGTAACAAGAAAAAAACAATACTTTCTTTTCATGTGCTACCATACAGCTTAAATACATTGGCAAACACCATCCTCAGCTTTTAAAACAATTAAACAAAACAACAACCACTATTCTGGAGAGAAGAAAAGCAGAAAAATCAGATCCATCTTTGAAAGATTACAGAATACAGGAAAGACAAGCCTAAACACTGCCTACCATGTTCTAAAAGTCACTTGGCCTATCAGTAACACTTGTATAGACCAAACCTAGAAAACCAAGTAATTCTATTAAAGATAATTGGGAAATAATAAATGGAAAATACAGTTTAACTGTAACATAGTGCTTGAAAACCAGTTGGTTAAGAATGAACCAGAAAATGCAACTGTAAATAGAGCAGTAAAAAAAAAGAAACCACTGGCCGGGCATGGTGGCTCATGCCTGTAATCCCAGCACTCTGGGAGGCCGAGGAGGGCAGGATCATGAGGTTGGGAAATGGAGACCGTCCTGGCTAACACGGTGAAACCCCGTCTCTACTAAAAATACAAAAAATTAGCCGGGCGTGGTGGCGGGCGCCTGTAGTCCCAGCTACTTGGGAGGCTGAGGCAGGAGAATGGCGTGAACCCGGGAGGCAGAGCTTGCAGTGAGCCGAGATCGCGCCTGGGCGACAGAGCAAGACTCCGCCTCAATTAAAAAAAAAAAAATCACTGTTAAGTACATTCTTAACTTTAAGGTAAAGGACACGGTGAATATAGATTTCTGCTATCTACCCAGTATGACAGTAAGACAGGATGTCAACATGTTTGGACCCATGTAAATCTTTTTCCAATGAGATATTTACAAATTTAAATTATGATCATGATTGTCAAATGTCAAGAAGTGGGAACTTTCATGTGCCAAAAGCATAACAGAGAAGGAAAAGAAAGTTTAGATAGAACAATAATGTATTAGGCCTGGGTAAACAAACATCATCAGAGAAAACTCTGGCTGACTTCATTTCCTTCTGGTAACTAAGTATATGCATTCGGTTCCTTCCTGAATGGACTGCCAAGTCCTGAAGCCAATATATAAAATTTTAATGCTTCAATTAGACATTTTTTAAAAAAAGTGGGATGATTTTGCCAAATTCTTTGACCTAATTCCCTAAAAAGCTTTGACTGTCTAAGAACCTAAATACCTATTATAAGGAAGGTGTTAACTATCTCCTTTGTCAATAAATGCATGCATATAGAGCGGATTCCTGGAGACCAGTGTGACAGAAACATTAATATTAAAGTGGCCCTGCCAAGCCACTTTAATTTAGCACTGTAACAACATCCGAAGCACAGAATAACCCCAAAACTGATCTCAGATACAATACCAACTGAGAAAAAAAAAAGATTTAAGATGCTACAATGAGCAACAGCAAAAATATTAATAGATTTCAGTTGTTTTCATATTAGAAAATAAGTGAAATACAATACTTATGCATTATATACCTTCCCATCCAAAGACTAGCCTGACAAGATGTTACAGAGGATGAGTTTTCATCAGGTTCTTCAGAGGTGGAGCTCTGTGCCAATACTCCTGCTGCTTGACTTGTGATATCTTTATAAAGTTGAATAAACTGGTATAAATTCATGATCCGTGATGCCTCCACAATGCCACTGCTTTTGTTAATCTAAAAATACAAAGAACATGAAAAAGAAAAGTTGATCATTTCTCTGACCAATTTTTCCCAAAAAGGGGGAACAAATATTTAGTCAAACATCCTAGGAAATAGGAGTTTTCAGGATTTGCAAATTACATAAGAAAGCAAGAGTCTGAATAAATGAGTAATACCATGTCCCCTACACTTGTGGGGTTCAAACTTCTTATACAAATTTACCTCATTTAACACACAAAATCACCCTGTAAGATTAATTAGGCATTATGCTGTTGATGGGTAAGGTGACTTTCTCAGAGTTAAGAAATAAATTTTAGAGATCAGTATTAACAATTCTTTCACTTTAATTTCTTAAAGAATTTCTTAACCACAGGATTCATTTGACTCCAACAACCGCATGAGATTCTACAACTCAAACAAGTACTTTCTTAAATATCTTTAAGTTCTATTTTGTACCAAAACTTCTAAACTAAAGCAAGAAAATTACTTTAAAATAAATCCTAACAAAAGGTGGTTGGACTTTTCCCAGAAGGCCATTTTGAGCTTTATCAAAAAACTCGTTTAATATGAGGTGAAACCAGTGGCCCAAAGGTTGTACCTTTACAGGTTGTACCTCTCCCCCATCCAGTTTACAATCTAATGTAGAAGATACTTGGGGCAAGCAGAGGAGATTGCTTTCACAAGCTTTGGGGAGCCATGGAGTGAGGCATAATGAAATGACCGAGGCCAGTAAGGTGAAGGTATAATGTTCTTGGATGAAGAACTTGAAATCAGAGAAAGATTAGAGACATGAAAGACTTCCTTTCAGCACAAGACATAGGATGGAAGACTGGGGAAGAAGTAAGCCATGAAATCTATTAAGTGCATATCAGAGTAAGAACAAGCAAAATCAGAAAATATTTAGAAAGAAATGAAGAATATAGGGAGAGAGACAAAGACACAGGGCCATAAAATTGTGACTTTAGGTTCTGGAATGTATTGATGGAACTAGGGGTATCAGAAAATGAGGTAGATTACATATTTTAAAATATTATTATACATTTGAATATTGTAAATGAAAATAATAGTTGTAACACGTTTATTAATTGCTTACTATTTGAAAAGGCAGGGAAAAAAATACTGAGACTCAAGAATGAGTCATGCGGCCAGGCACGGTGGCTCATGCTTGTAATCCCAGCACTTTGGGAGGCCGAGGTGGGCAGATCATGAGGTCAGGAGATTGAGACCATCCTGGCTAACACGGTGAAACCCCATCTCTACTAAAAGTACAAAAAATTAGCTGAGCATGGTGGCACACGCCTATAGTCCCAGCTACTTGGGAAGCTGAGGCAGGAGAATCACTTGAACCAGGAGGCGGAGGTTGCAGTGAGCCGAGATGGCGCCACTGCACTCCAGCCTGGGCGACAGAGCAAGACTACGTCTCAAAAAAAAAAAAAAAGAATGAGTCATATACCATACTAAGAAATTTTAGAACCATCTCTAATAATCAGAAAGTTGATTAAATTTTGGGAAGGTAAAATCTATCTGGAGATGCAAATATACAAGGTTCTTTGTACTAAAAGACTGTACATGAGGTAGAGAATAAACAGAATTAAAAAGTAACAGGAATTTAACAGGCTTACAAAATAGATCTTCAGAGCTGAGGAAACGGGTAGTCCTTTGGAACTGCATAGTACAGAAGAAATTATGGAATAATCCATATAAGGTCAGTACAGAAATAGCAAAGTGTATCACACTGTAACTATTCTCATCATAGGATTCCTGAAACAAGTATTTATTGAGTACCATTATGTGGATGTTATTGGTACTATGTGCACTGCTCTAGGCACTAGCCACAGTGTGTATAAAACAAAATCCCTGCCCTCAAGCAAGTTACATGATAGGTAGGAGAGACAGGCAAATAAAATACAGATACAGATTAGGTTAGATGAAAATAAGTGTAATGGAGAAGATGAAACAGGGGAGAAGGAACGCTGAGGGGTTACAGGGAAGGCCTTACAGAGAAGTTGACATTTAAGAACTGAAAGGTGCAGAAATGAGTCATATAGATGTCTAGGGGGAAGATCATTCCAGGCTGAGACAACAGGAAATACAAAGGCTGTTTAATAGAGGTGTACCTGGCAAGGAGCACAGAGAGTCTCACAAGAAGCCCAGAGTGTTTGGAACAGAGTGACAGACGGACAGAGGAAGGAGTGGTAGATAGACGGTGAGGTGGGAATAGAATATATAGGACTTTGCTGATTTCAGTAATAACTGTAGCTTTGATTCCAAGTGCATGAGAAGTCACGGGGGGGGGTTTTGAGCCAAGGAGTAATATGATCTAATTTACATTTCAAATTGTGATGTGGAATAGGCTGGTTGTTGTGCTTGGAATAGACTGCTTGTTGTGCTGAGAATAGACAGAAGCAGGGCAAGAGAAGCAGGGAGATCAGTTAGGAGGCTACTGGAATAATCCTGGTGATAGAGGATGGTCACTAGGAATAGGGTGGTAGTAGCGTAGATGGTGAGAGCTAGCCAGATTCTGAATACATTTTGATGTGACAGGACTCACTTACAGATTGTCAGGTGTGAGAGACAAAGAAAAGCCAAGAATGACTCTAAGAAGTTGGTCTAAGAAAAAAGAAGGATGAAATAATATAATTCATGTAGTTCTTAACAGCCACCTTAGTACCTAGTTTTTAATTAATCTCTTATTTTTCTAATATTATTTCCATAAAATATTCCATTTAAACATAATTTAGATCATTTTTTATAGTGGATTAAATATTATTTAAGGATAATCATAGCAGATGGCAGAGAGTCAAGAAAAAGACTTAATGTAAATACAGAGGGTTAAAGTACAATTTTTTTAAAGTTGTTTAACATTAAGAAATGTGAAACTCTCAATCTCCTATCAGTTTTTCATGGTGGACTTGACCTCTTTCTAACATAAACACTGACCTCTCAGATTCTTTCAGAAAGAACCTAAGGAATGCAAATAAAAAAATTTCTTTAGAGTAGCTCTAAAATCAAGAAAAATCACATGAAAAAATATCTAATTGCCTGTGCCTTTAGTACTTTTGTTTCTCTACTTAGAATCTTATTTTAAGGAAGATGTTTAATCACATACAGATGTTAGACATATTGAGGCAAAAAGGAATTTGACTACTAATAAAATTAAACCTTAAGTCTGTATTTGTCAAAGAGCAACAAAAAACGAAGGGATGAAAAGCCTGATATATTCGTATTCCCTTAGCTTTCTACAATTTATATTGGCCTCTTCAATGTGAGCTGAGTACTTTATGAAATAAAAATGAACATTAAGTGTAATTTAGATAATATACTGTGTCAATAAACAAGGAAAGCTTCAACCTATCCCAGTCATTTAAAAAGAGAGTATTATTTCAACAGATTTTTTTTGTTCACTTAATATATACTGAGTTCCTACTATGTGTAAAGCACCGTATTACAGCCTGTAAGAGATACAATAATGAATCTAGACATAGTTCCTGCCCTCAGGAGCTTACTCTCTAAAGGGGAGCTAAGAACCTAAACAACTTTTTTCGTAATGCAGTATTATAAAGTATAAATAATGTGCTGTTGGAATCTGGAAGAGACAAGAGAACTCCTATTCAGGAAGACTTAATGGATGAGATGGTATTTGAGGTGGACCTTTAAAGAGACATCAGGTTTAGAGATGCAGAAATAAAAGGTGTGGCAGAAACTACTGGCTGATTATCCAAATACCATTCCTTCTTTTCATTGCCAGCAGAACCTTATTTTGTTTTTGTGTCCACCATTCCCTGAAATGATGCAGGAGTCAATCCTGGTTAGTCTAATCTAAACCAATCATGCTAATCATATTCCCTCTGTCAGTGTAGGTGTATGAAGGGGATATGACCCAATACTGACCAGTGAGTTCAGAAGTGACATCTGCTGGGTCTTTAATTTAACCAATCCTGCAGTTAGTCTATAGAGTTAGGATTTCTTGATAAGTGAGAAAATAAGTATTGTTTTTGTTTAAACTGGTTTAACAGGAATTTTCCGTGACTTCCTAATGGAAGGAATGGACATCCTAGTTGAGAAAACACAATAAGCAGAAGCACTGAACTGGAAAAGAAAAGTAACAATGATACAGTCTTAAGTTAGTTAAGCCTGATAAGAATGCAGAGCAAAAGAAGGTCATTGTGACTAATGCAGAAAAGATAGTTTGGAGTCATATTGTAGGAGTTGGGACTATTTGGTAGGCAAGAAGGAATTACTGAGGAATTTTAAGCAAGGCAGTAATCTGATGCGAGTTGTGCTTTAGAAAGGTTAATCTCACAGCAGCATAAATTAGAATTTGGAGAAGAGTCTAGAAGTATAGAGATTAATACAAAATCTGTGATAATCTGGATCAGAAGAGAGAGATCAGTCTGCTTGAGAGCATGAAATCTGTCTTATTTATCATATATTCCTAATGCCTCTCACACTTGTGCTCAAATGTTTATCTGAATAAACTGGAAGCAAAACACAGTATGGGTAAAACTGACAATCTACTGAGGAAATAAGGCATATTATTTGGGTAACCTCCAGGGTCCGTGACTCAAAGGAAAAATCTCCTAACCCAGGGAATCTTTATGGGTCAGTCGGGAATGAACTTCAGAGCGCTCATGAATGCCCAATTTATGGTTTATATGCATATGGATGATTTTGTTCTTTGTTTTAGAGCCGGGGTGGGGATAGGAGGTGGCCTAATAAAATTCATGCCTTCATTTAATCAAAAGGTTTGTAGCCTCAAAAAGTTAAGAACTTTCTATCTGAATCTACTCAGTGGTGGTTGAGGCTTTCTAATACTCAATGACAGCTGGCAAAAAATCTATCCCATAACTAAAAATTACTAAAAAACAAAAAAACTCTTTCAATGGATCTTTTTTCTTTTTAATGAATGAATGTATTCTTAAAAGAAATGATCTCAAGATAACATTAATTTTTAAGGTATCATCTTAGAGCTAAATAGGATGTCACCTTAGCATTCCACAGCCAGCTAAAAACCCAAAAACAGAGATAGAAGATTAGTATGATGTAATGGTTAGAGATATTGAGGCAAAAAAGAATTTGATTATAAAAACCCCTGCTGTATAGCAATTAGACAACTGTAAGATTCAAACAGCTAGTTAGAAGGCAATAACAGTAACAAAACTATGTTTTACAAAACCACCGAGTTATTAAAATGTATATGCATTATATTATCTTACAGTATTAAATATAGTTCTAGCCACCAAAATAGCTTAAGCTCAGAGGTAGAAGTCTCCATCAGTCTCACCTTGGTACAGACCACCCGTACAACCACTTTCCAAAAAGCAGAGGAATCAGACCCAGGTTGTACCTCAAAGAGAAGATGTTTTTCCTGGCCAGAAGCCACTTTAGCCGTTCTGAAAAGAGACAAGAACATGTTAATTTTATGAAAAATCATATATTAATAAAATAATACAGCCATGAAACTAGATTCAAGAAACAATTTCAGAGAAGGAAATATGAAGAAACACAAAAAGACAAATAATAATGATTATAATAACTGGATTCTTAAAACAGGGATAGAGAATATTTTGAACATAAACATGCAACTTAATTTCTAAGGTTTTTAAAGTCAACAGCTTGGTGGCATGATATTTATAAATCTCTCTTTGTCACACCTATATCTCAATGGTCTTTAAATTTCTAACAAAGACATTTAGGAAAAACAAGTCTTAGAAATCAGGGACTTAAAAAAAAGGTTGGCCAGGGCAGTGGCTCACACCTGTAATCCCAGCACTTTGGGAGGCCAAGGCAGGCAGATCACGAGGTCAGGAGTTCGAGTCCAGCCTGACCAACATGGTGAAACCCCGTCTCTACTAAAAATACAAAAATTAGCCGGGCGTGGTGGCGTACACCTGTAATCCCAGCTACTCAGGAGGCTGAGGCAGGAGCATTGCTTGAACACGGGAGGTGAAGGTTGTAGTGAGCCAAGATCACGCCATTGCACTCCAGCCTGGGCGACAGAGTGAGACTCAGTCTCAAAAAAAAAAAAAAGGTTAGCTAGTGTCATTTATCAAAATTTTTTGACTGTTGCCTCAGACGTATATAAAGCATGAAAAACATCTTGCTCTTGGTTCAGTCCTTGTTCAAACAATGATACTAACAAACCTCTTGAAAATTTTTGTTCAGATAATTTGGGGCTACATCAAGTAAAACAAATGATTTGAGACACTTTATATATAGCTCTACTGTCCTCCCCTAGCAGAGTAATTTTAATTTAGAGAGCTAAAGGATTTAAACATAAAAATGTATCACTTCTAGAAGATAATTCAATATCATGCTATCAACATTAATTTAAATCAGTTCGAAGACATGCTTAAGTATTGCAGTTCCCTTTTATCATTACTAACAACTCTCTCTGAGCACCAGTGGGGATATCACACTCAACTAACAGCTAAATAAAATGAGGCCATCGAAAGTTAAGCAACTAGCCTTAGGAAACAAAGTCTTCGGTGAAAATAATTCAGCCGTGCCAGTTTCCAGCTCTGTTTTCTAGCTGCCAAGCTTCGTCCTGTATAGGTTTAATTCTACAGTTCTCGGAGATCACTGCACGTCTGAAATGCCAATTCTGACCCATGGAAATTGGTTTTAAGAATCAAATCCAGTCAGAAATATCCTGTGCTAAATAAATAAAAGGAAGACCTCTGTATCACACAGTAAGCTTAGTTTGTGGATGGTTTTATAGGGTACATTTTATCTAATACCTGTATCTTTATGCTAAAGGGCAAAACTTCATACAATAGACAGGGTTTATGAATATAAATTCCAAGACTCTAAAGGAATGGTAAATGTCATTGATTACTGCTCATAAGAGTTGAAAATATAAACATAACAAAGCATTCCACTCTTATGTTACTAAATTCAGAATCCTATTTTTAAAATTCTTTAAGAATATAATCCCAGAATTAATGCTTTGCACACTACCCTTTGGATAATTTTTAAAAATAAGTAAAATGCTAGAGTTTTTAAAACCAATGACTATATTTTTATCATAAAAATACATAAATACACACAGTAAAATGTAAAATCTCCCTCTCTGCCCCCTTTTCCCACCATCTCCCAACCGAGAGACAAGCACTGGGAATAGTTTAGTTCATTTTCTACACACACACACACACACACACACACACACACACACACACACCCCACAACTATATACAGCTTTTTGTTTTATATTGTTTTGTTTTAATGAATGAAATCCAATCTTCTTAAAAGAAACCATCTTCTAAGATAACTTTTAAGACAGTCTTTATTCTTCCCAATAAAGACAGTATGTCTTCACATAAAGACAGTATATCAAGCTTATCTAATATGTTACAGATTGCTAAGCATGTCTCTTATCACCTAACACCATGGTTGTAATGCCTACGGAGTGGGTTCATATATCTTACCTTAAACTATTAATAGTGACTACAGTACTGTAAGTTTATATACTAAGTGGTCCTGAACTGCTAGTCGATTTCATTCAGCCTTTTTAGGGTTTAAGGAGAGGTAATATGGGATAACAGGAAAACTGAGATTCAGAGAGGTGGACATGCCATTAATACCTGCGTAATCAACTTGGCCCTCAGTTAAAAGGTCCAATCCTTAGCAGAGGGCCTTGCACATACTATGTGCTTAGTGAATGTTAGCTAAGTTGAAGAGACTAAACAGAGAACCTTTAAGATCTCATTTAAGAGGTGACTCCACAGGTTCTAATTATACTCCCAGGGGTTAGAAGATATACATAAATAAAGGTAGATGTGGATGTTGCTAGAGGCAGATTTAAAAGAAAGATATGACATCTGCCCAATTGTCACCAAGGGAGAAAATAAATAGCAAAAAAGTCATATTTTAAAAGCACAGTGGTCTGGGGGCATTCAGGAACAAAGAGCCCTATATATTTTCATAGCTTCTACATAGATCAATACCAAAATTGATAAATAAATTAACAAATAGAAGACTAAGTTGTATTAGGTGTACTCTTTAAGAAGGCAGAGAAATTTATATTTCATTTTAGAAATTTAGTCAAAGAGTTAAGTAGAAATTTAAAGGTGTTAATTAATTAGAAAATATGAATAAATGAAATATATTATTTCTCAGTGATGAAAATAAGCTATTACTACATATGTATTCCTCTAGCAAAATGATGACACAGTAAAAAAAAGTATATATATATATGCATGTGTGTGTCTATATACACACACACATGAATGAATTGCTTCATGTACAGAAACCTTCTCAGTGTTACCTTTGACTATCCTAGGAGTCTTTCTCTAGAGTGGCTAATTCTCATATTCCATTTTGTTATGCACCCCTTTAGTGCTTTCAAACAAGAGTCTATTGGTATAAAATTGAGATGCTGGGATGTACTACTGTATCCTAGAATTGCTTCAATATGCCTGTGCTGTGTTCCAAGTTCCATTTTAAGTTCTTTCCATATCTTCTGTCCCCATTACATACTTTTAAAAAGCTACATAGAAAGTCAACTTATAATAGATACTCAATAAGTATTTGTTAATGCTAACTGAAAACATTAAGTCTTACCAATCAACACCTCTGGTTATATCTTACACAGCCATGACATATGGGGCATACATACAACAAGGGGAAAAACGAAAAACAAAAAGAGCAAGCCTTACACATCATTAAGCTCAGCTACTCTCCCAAGAAATTCTTCATAAGTTAAGGAGCCACTCT
Organism: Homo sapiens; assembly: GCF_000001405.40. Classification (NCBI taxonomy): domain Eukaryota; kingdom Metazoa; phylum Chordata; class Mammalia; order Primates; family Hominidae; genus Homo; species Homo sapiens. The sequence continues at coordinate 10,534,074 of NC_000011.10, forward strand.
CTCGAACCAACGTAACATGTTTTGCTACTTTTTCTGGTAACTTGTTAATAACCAACTGTGTCTGATCCGAAATTTGCTGTCCCATGATGAAAAGATGTCTTTCAAAATCCAGAGTGTTGCTTCACATAGTTTCTGTCAAATATACAGAAAAGTTACTTTTACATATTATACAAAAACGGCAATATACTCATTCTTCAAAAACATAAAGAAAAACTAGGGATACCTTTAAGTGAGAGTTGAGTAGACCTACATGAGTCTAAGGTAGAATTTAAATGACTCTGTTTTCAGATTCACATAGCTAAATGAGAAAACAGGATTCACTTATATATTATTGGGAGGGTGATGAACCTCTAATTCTTATAATTTTACCAAGTCAAAAACCACTAAAGCACATGTGCATGTGTACACACACACACACACACACACACACGCATTCAAGTAATTGTATTTAAGAGGAAGTTTGTCTACCTTCTATAATTTTCCTAAGAACATTTCCTGACTGCTTACCACATGTCAGGCTCCAAACTGTTTTCCGTATATTATGTCAATTACTTCTTACAACAATCCTAAGAGGTAGACAATATTACACCCCTACCTATTTCCCATAGACAGGGAAACTGAGCTAGGTGATTTATCTAAAGTTACACAGCTGTAAGTGGTGAAAGTGAACTCTGAATTTGTTTTTCAGATTCTAGTACTTACATTCTTATCCACTATGACATACTGGCTCACAATATATTTACATCAGCTAAATAATTTTTTGTTGAATTACTTTATTTATAGATGTGTACCTTAGTTTTAATTTTTAAAAATATATAAAAAGACTTGTGGCTTGAAAAACCTAAGAAAATTAAAATGTTAGATATTTTAACCACCTCACATTTTCTGCCTGGAAAAAGATAGCTCTTTTGTTCATTAACTCTTTTAGGTACCCCCAAAATATATATCTAATTATCAAGTTTTTAAATGCCCCCAAAATCAGATGCCCCCCCAAGAAATTCTATTTTATTTATCCATCAAAGACTATCATTTTATTTCATCCAAATTAACAACCATATCACATAAAGCAGGTGAAACAGTAATACTCTTATAGAAAAAGTTTTGGTAGGAAGATTGCTTTATCATTAATCAAAAAATAAAGCTATAAATTTAAAATATATATAACTTTATGAAGTTAGTAACCCCAAAATATGTAAAATTTCCTTTAGGTATTAAAATTTAATGTACTGTATTTGAAGTTAATTCCTTTAGTTACCTAAAATAGGAAAAGGACAATTGTAATTTAAAAAAAAAACAAAAAACAACAGTTTTGAATCTGAGCCTACTTGGTAATAATAAATATCACATTATAGAGATAAATGAAAGGAAGTTGTTGAGGAAGATCCAGGCCAAAAAAAAAAAAAAAAATCCCTGAAGTCAAATTATATGTAAATATAGCCAAGTGGATTTACAGCAACTGTATCCAAGAAGAAACAATTAAAGATCTTAGCTTAGAAGAGGTCTCTAGGGCAGTCAACAACAGTGATTGCTGAATTTCAAAGACTAGTAAAATCTCAAAGCACCATGGTGTTGGATACTTCTTTTAATTCTAAGCAAGGACAGTTTCCAAAAATAAACAAAAATTCCCCAAAACTTAACAAAAATCTCAAAAAGAACTTATAACCTGAAAAGTAGGATATAATATTAGAAAAAAAGTCTTTCCCAAGAAGGGCAGTAACTTCACAATGAGGTATACCACATATTTACCAGGTATACTACACATTGTCCTTATTTTTCTTGATCGAATCCAAACTTATGAAAACATCATCAGAAGCCAAGGGTTGCAGACTGGTATTAGGGAGCCACTGTGTTACAGGACTTTTTTAAAATTAAATTCAACAAGTAGCACGTGCCTGGTGCTTATGTTCTGGAGATAAAACAGTGAACAAAAGAAACATGGTTCTTGCCACTGTGGAGCATCCAATACAGTGGAGAAGAGACAGTAACCACACAAATAAATGTATAATTACAAAATGAGAAGTGCTAGGTGAACAAGTACAGGTGCTGTGAAAGCCTATAAAAGGGGGACTTGACCTAGTTTTGTATCAGGGAAGAAGTCCCTGGGCAAACAACATTTTACTTGAGGTCAGAATGGTCAGAGTTAGGGATTAAAAAAAAAGTAGGGAAATGGCAAAAGGAGGACACTCCAGGCAGAGGTTATGAAAAGTGCCTGAGACAGGAAGCAGCACGGTGACTTTGAGGTAATTTTTAAAAAGGCCACAAGGACTAAAGCAGAGAGGCAAAGGGAGAGGGAAACTGGCACCAAGAGTTGGGCTGTTTAACATTTTTGTTGATGACCTGAAGACTGTATGCCTGCCCAATCTGCGGATGACCAAAACTGGAATAAATGAATATTATCTAGTGAATAATAGGATCAAGACTAAAACAGACACTTACATGCTATTTAATATGACTAAAAGTTATATCCTGAAGAGCCAACTGCACAAAAACACATATGTAAGATGTGCTCAAAAGCAGTTAAAATACAGAAGGTCTGGGTTTTTGTTTTTGTGTTTTTTAAAGAGATGGAGTCTCTTTAAACAAACAGAGTTTGTTGCCCAGTCTGGTAACAAACTCCTGGGCTCAAGCAATCCTCCCGCCTCGGCCTCCCAGGCCGAGGATTACAGGCATGAGCTGCCGCACCCGGCCAAGTCTGGGGTTTTTAATCAAAATAAGTCAACAGTATAACGGGGGCAACAAGTATGCTAAAATAATCCTAAACTCTTGCTAGAAGCAGGTATCTTGAGCAAGCAGCCTACTAGTCCATTATGCTTTGCAATGGTTAGGCCACACTGAAAAGTCTGTATTCAGCTCTAAGCAGTTGGCTTTAAAGGATACTAATAAATTAGAACATATTCATGGGCATAGAAAAAAAAAGAGGTTTATTCTAGATAGTCATAGTTTGGTAACAATGAAGCAATATAAGTTTGTTTAAATATCTGAGGAGCTGTCATGTGGAAAAACAAGATTCATTTACAGAGAATGGGATGGCCACTAAGTATAGTAAGTATAAATTAGAAAGGCAGATTTCAGTTGATGATAAGCATGTCGCACCATCCAGAAGTGGAAATGGCTGCTACATGTGAGCTCCCTCTCATTGGAAGTATGGAAGTGTTTAGGTAAAGATTAGAAGTACATCTAATAAGTGTTACAGGGATTTTTACCTGGGTGGGAAGTGGAGTAGGTGACCTTTAACCTAACATTTTATTCCCAAAATGAAACTGAACCTTCCTCTAACATTCCTGTACCAATTTAATGAAAATGTAATTAAGATTCTAGTCAACCAGGCTGAAAACTTTGAATAATATCTACATTACTTAACAAAGAAAAAAACTGAACTTTTGAAATATATAGTCTCAATATTTAATATAAATACCTATGATAATTTAACCAACGTGGTATAGGGGAGATAGAATTTCTCTCCCTCTGCTCTCTGAGGTCTCCAGCTGGGCCCAAGAATTAAACTAACCTAAGACAGATTAACAGGAGAAAAACACACAAATTTTATTTAGTAATTTTTATACATACACAGGAGCCCTCAAGAAAAATAAGGACTAAAAAAAGTAATTAAGGCCAAAAGCTTACATAGTAGATTGGACAAAGGAGAAGTAAACTGTGAAAACATGACAAGACACAAGGGTTTGGGCTGGGCCAGTTAATCACAGAAAAGTGACTAGGAAGATAAGGGTTACTTTAAGAAGGCTTCTTTGAACACATTTCTCTCAGCTTTGATTGCCCACTTCTAGTAATGATAATGTCTTCCTCCTGGCATAGAGAGGACATCTTTCACATGGCTGTTTTATCTCCAGCCTTCAGGAAGAATTAGGAGGGTCAGTGGGCACTTCTTACATCTGCTGCTTTTCAATGTGCTTTTAACTCAAAATAATCCTTATGCCAAAGTGGCGTATTTTGCTACCCTACATTACCCACCAAAACCATATTTCAAAAGAAGAGTTAGTTGCTTATTTATTGAGTTATTAATAGAAAATGATCCCCTTTGTTTCAGCATTGTTTTCATCTGCTGCCCTAACTTTGAGTAAAGTTTATAATTTGAGGCAGCATATTAACTTGTTATCTTGTAACTGTACTTGGTATCTGGGAAACTTCATCACTAACTCCTTGCATTAAAATGCAACAGTATCTAGAGACTACCTGAGAGAGCCTGCAGAAGTGGTTTTCAACCTGGTTCCAGAAAGAGGGCTTGACATTTAGTTTATTTTGAAAACCATAAAATATTGATAAATATTAACATCTATCACTATATGGGTGTGAAAATAAGATATGACTCTGTGATCTGCATACAATATAAAACCACAACACAGAGTGCATGTTCACGAAAACAATCTGTTGAGGCCATCCTCTAGTCAACCACCACAGCTTTTCAGTGTCCCTCTTTGGTGACTGCACATATTTCTATCATACTATGACATTCGTTAAGTCACTTGGCCATTTCCCTCTAGTGAGCTTCTTGAGGACAGCAGCTATGGTCTGTCTTCTGGCAGATACACAAGCACTCAATAGATGTTTACTGAATAAATGCAGTAAATACCATTGGCAGTTTTTGTTTTATTATTATTCACTTAGTATTCTTTTGACTTTTGTTAATTTGGTCAGTCATCTATTAGTACTAGGTTGGAGAGAAGCAGAAGTTAAAAATATGTATGAAAGAAAATGTAAAACTGTGAAAATCTGTCATTAAATTAATGCTTATGTAAACTGGGAAACATTTACTATTTGATTTTAACAAGATACTCCCCCCTAGGCCATGCAACAGTGGTATTGCATAGAAACATAATTTGCAAACCACTGGCACAGAATTCAACAAAAGATGAATTTCTGGTCAAGATTTCTCAAAGAACTAGCAGCTCTCATATTATTGTGCCACCTATAACACAGTCATTTTTTGCAAGATAAAAATATGCTTTCAAAAAGCATTTGAAGGATTTTCTAAATAAAGAACTGTTATTTTGAAATGCACAAGATCAAGGATTCCAAAAATGCCACATTCTCTAGTGGGTGGTACATAGTGAATCACTTATTTTTCTAACAAATGAATTGTGGAAGTTCAAATATTCCTTATAAAAATATTAAAATTACATCATGGGTAACTGGCAAAGCAAAAACGAAAAAACTGCTCAAAAACTCCTAAAAATTTAAACCATAATTCATTCATAAAATAACTAAAGCAAAATGGAAAAGGCTGAAAATGCACCAAAATGACTAAATGACAAGTACTGCACTGTAGTATTTTAAAAACCTCTCTGAAACCAGTTCTCCATCAAATTTTGTATCAACCTCACCTAAAAGGATTTAATTGAAATAAACATCAATGATTTTCACTGTCAAGTCAACTTTAACATCAGTAATAAATACCAAGTACTACTGACTGGGTCCCTAAGGATATTATTTACTTTATTACTCATTGTTTACTCAAACTGTAGATCTGTAAACAGATATCAACTTTTTTTTTTCAAGACAAGTTAATATAGATACATAGTGAAATAATTAGGCCAGAGTCACTATAGAGTCCAGAATGCCTGTTCCAGAATCAAAGATCTTGATCAGAAAAAGATACATACATATATATTAGAGAGAGAAGGAGAGAGAAACTACAAAAGGATAGAGTGCCGTACTAGGAGATTAAGAATATGGATTTCTCACAGTAACAGTGTGTTTACTAAATGCATTTCATATTGGAAAAAGCATATTAGACTTGTAAGAATTCTCTCTGGACCTCCCTTGCCTTTTTGGGAAGGAAAGCGTGTTTGTATTTAGATGGGAACCAAGAAGGATCAGGCTACACACATCGAATATAAAGTTCATTTACACCAAATGACAAATATTAATTTTTGAAACATATAGTCATATTCTTGAGAAAAAGTTCTAGAAACTGAAGTCAGGCAATGTGAAAGAAAAGGATAAAAATCCATACTATTTTTGAGCTCTGAATTCAGAAAGCATCACTTCTCAGACGGGTGACTTCGACATGGAGGTGACTAATTTAGGATCGTCGGCCGGTGGCAGCTCATGCCCCCAGACAAAATTCTGAATGGGTAGAGGTCATTTTATAGCAAGAAGAATGGGCAGAAGGGAGTGAAAACGAATAAATTCGTGCTGAAGATGTAAGAATTATAAACAATTGAAAGTGTTCCAGCAGCTTTATATATATGCCAGAGGCAAGAACTGAATTAGCTGGCACCGCTAAATAGGACAGTGTCAGAATATAAAAGGTACACTACCTTTAATAAGGGGCATAGGGATCGATTTCAATAACAATCGTAAATCCACATTTTGTAACGCCGAGACAAATAACTGAAGGAATAATTTCAAAAGCTAACACAGAAGCCTTCTGCTCCTGCTGTGTAATCACTACCTTCTTATTATTAGCAAGAAAACGTTCTTTTCTTAGCCGGGTCTCAAGGTAGCAGCTAGTTTGACAAGGAAAGACCTTTGGGAAGGGTAGCAGCCTAAGCCAATTCATAAGTGTGGGGCTGGCTAAGTAGATCGACGTGGCTATTTCTGAGCTATCGTCCCAGGCAAAAGGTTTCTTATTTGGGTGTCCAGCCCGGCGGAGACCGAGCCCGCGGGCCACCCTAGCGCTCGCTCTGGCTACGCCGCCTCAGCCCCTCCTCAAGCGCACCTGGACATTTAACCAACAGCTAAGTCCGGCGGCCGAATGACTGAGCCGGCGGCAATATTCAAACAACCGTTTTGGGATAGAGAAGGAAAAACTCTCTCCGGGTCCCTCAGAACCACCCCGAGGCGGGACAAGCCACCGCCACCCCGGGCAACTGGAACCCGCCGGGCAGAAGACGGGCGTCAATAGAATGGCCTCCCCAGCCGTCCCCACGCCCCAATCCGAGGCCCGGGGAGGGCGGCGGGGCTAGGCCTGTCTCCCCGCGGAAGCCTGGCTCGGCAGCGGAGGGCCCTCTGGGGTTTCTCTTCCCAGACCCAGAGTCCTGGAGCAGCTAGCAAGGGAAACACGAAAGGACAGCGCCGCGGAGCTCACCCCAGGTTCAAGGCATCGCGCACCCTGCGGCAGCGGCTGCGCTGCCTCAGCCCACAGCTCAGACCTGCGGGTGGCCGCGACTCAGGCCGGGACCCGGTCGCACCTCTGTGACGCAAAGCCCCGCCCCCCGCGCGTTGCCGGGAGACGGCGCCCAACCTTCCTCTGCAGCGCCCCTACCGACCCGCGCTCCGCAGCTCCTGAGGGCTTTCGAGCCCAGATGGTCATCTGAGACGAGAGGTGGCGGCGAAGGAGAGTCTCGCCTGTCACGCTCCCGGAGCAGGGGCTTCATGAGGTGGCCATGGAAACAGCCTGGCAGACTCCCATCTCTCCTGGTGCCATCTCCGGAGCGGAAAGTGGAGCGCCCCGCTGGCGACCAAGGCCGCACTGAGAGCCCTGGTTTGGTCAACAGTTGGGCTCCAAGGTACCACTTCCCAGACCTCCAGCCTCCCCACTGATGATAGATACACAAAGGTCATCTTGTTTCTTTATGAGGCAATGGATTGTGTTCACCTAGCCGAGTTGTTAAGCATAAGAGAATGTATGAAAAGTAATTACAAGGTTCAAAATCCTGAGCTTTGATAAATGATAGATATGATGATGAGCACATGTTAGTGATATTACTGCTCTGCGGGACGTCTGAATCAGTAATTGCTGTCTTTTAAGCATCTGTTGTGTGCCAAATACTGCACTAGGCACTTTACGGGCATTGCTCTTGTTTAAGTCGTCTGGTCAAAGTTGCCTAGACAATAAACAGCAGAGCAAGGATTTTAACCCAGGTACAGCTGACACTGCTGCCTCTATGCTTAGCAGTTAAACTGGTTTTTATGTTTCTTGTTTGTACACCCCTCCTTCACCAGTCACTTGTAGATTCACCTTGTGAAGAGCTAATTCTTCCCTCTAATAATAATACTCTTTGACCATTTACTATATGTCAAACCGTATTTTAAGGACTTTAAAGGTATTAATTCGTTTAATCTTCACAGCAATCCTGTGAGTAGGTATTATTAATACCTTCACTAAGACACAGGCTTAGAAAAGTCGATTAACTTTTCCAAGGTCAAACAACCATTAAGGAGCAGAGCCAGATTCAAACCCAAGCAGACAGAACCCTGAACCTGTGTTTTTAATTCCTGTTTTAAACTGCCTCGGTAGTACGGTAAGACTTCATTAGCGCTAGGTCCATGCCTGTTTGTGCACCATTATTTCCCTGACAGCCAGCATGGTACTTGTTCAATATTTGAACATTTGATGAATATTTGAACACTGGAAAAGGAAAAAGCTTAAAAATGAAGTATAAATAATGATTTAATAAATTCCAAAAGATATCAAATTCAACAAGATTCCATAGTTCAGCCTAATCCGGGCCTGGGAGTTAGAAATATTACTCTGTAAAAATTGCCTTCAATTAAACATTGTATTGGAAGTTCTGGTCAATGAAATAAAAAAAGACAAATATATAAAAGGCATCCAAGTTGGAAAGGAAGTTGTAGCACTGCATTTATTTGCATAAGAAAATTGTGGAATACTACAAAAAAGCTGCTAGAACTCATAAGTGAGTTTACAAAAGTTGCAAGATACAAAATCAAATATACAAAAATCAGTTGTATTTCTATATACTAGCAATGAACAATTAGAAATGGAAAATTTTTAAATATCTCTTATCAGCAAAAAAAAAAAAAAAAAAAAAAGCAGCAAATTTGGGACAAATTTGACCAAAGATGAGAAAGACATGTATACTGAAAACTATAAAATATTATGGAATAGCAAAGACATGGAATCAACCCAGGTGCTTATCAATAGTGGATTGGATAAAGAAAGTGTGGTACATATACGCCATGGAATACTATACAACCACAAAAAGGACTAGATCATATCTTTTGCAGCAACATGAATACAGCTGGAGGCCATTGTCCTAAGCAAAATAATGCAGAAACAGGAAACCAAATACCGCATGTTCTCACTTATAAGTAGGAGCTAAACGTTGAGTACACAGACACAAAGTTGGGAACAATAAACACTGGGGATTCCAAAAGGGTAGAAAAAACTACTATTGGGTACTATGTTCACCACTTGGGTGACCTGGATCATTAGAAGCCTAAACCTCAGCATTGTTCGATATACCCATGTAACAAAACTACACGTGTACCCCCTGAATCTAAAATAAAATAAAAAACATTGTTAAGAGAAATTAAAGAAGACCTAAATAAATAGAGATACATTATGTTCATGAATCAGAAGACTGAGCATTTTTAAGATATCACTTCTGCCTAAATTGACCTACAGATTTAAGGAAATTCCAATAAAAATTCTAGCAGATTTCTTTTTGATGGAAATGACCAAACTAATTCTAAAATTTATATGGAGATGCAAAGGACCTAGGATAGTCAAGACTTTCATCAAAAAAAACAAAGTTTTGGGACTTACACTACCTGATCTCAAGACATTATAATAAGAGCTACTCAACACAGTATAGTATAGGTATGAAAATAGATAGAGTAATGGAACAGTATATAGAACCCAGAGATGTATCTATACATATGTCATCAATTGATTTTCGACAAATATGCCAAGGCAATTCAGTGGGGGAAAAGATAATCTTTTCAACAAATAAACCTGAAAAAATTGAATAGCATATGCCAAAAAACTCTTAATATCTTGCTCCTTTCCTCATACTGTCACAGGATCCTTGGAGTGTTGCTCTGCCAGCCAGAAACCTCTGTGGCCGGTGGCTCCTTTGCCCGAGTTTTGCTCAGGCCCACTGGGCTCATTCTGCCCATTTGGCCTTGCAGGCTGCACTCGGCTCATGCCACTGGCCCAGATCCCATGCCTGCCAAGGACGAGCCAGGCGCAAAGTGGTGAGGGGTGCGTGAGCAAGTGAGCGCGAGGTCTGGCCGCTGTGCACAGCTAGGCACGCCAGCTGTGGCGGGGCGGGTGGCTCCAGGTGCTGGCATGGGCGCTGGCTCCTGCAAAGCTGTGGCTGGACCAGGAGTACCACAAGCGGCTTCCACTGCTGGCACTAGGGAATGTGGTGGCACCTGGAAGCTTTGAGATGCCAGGAAATGCAGAGCCCCCAAGAGGGTGTTACAGTCCTGGCTCAGGGAGCTCTTAGGTCTGGGCTTCTCGAAGTGTCAAAGCTCTTCTCTCCTTCTCTCTTCTGTCCTTCTCATCGCTTGCAACATGGGGAGTGAGGGGGTGTTTCAGCCCTGTTTGTGTTACAGTTCTTTCAGTCCTGCCATTTGGCAGGTCCCAAGTTGTTGTCCCACATCCAGGAATAATGAGGTATGCAGACAATTGGAGGGTGAGTAGGGTGAAGAGGTGCTTTATTGAGTGACAGTATAGCTCTCAGGAGACTCTAAGTGGGTAGCTCCTTTCTGCAGGCAGGTTGTCCGGTTGTCTGCCCAGCTCTCAGCTGAGAGGAGACCCACAGTGGGTGGCTCCTTTCTGCAGGCAGGTCGTCAGGATGTCTGCTGAGCCCTCAGCAGAGAGGAGATCTGGAGTGGGTAGCTCCTACACGCAGGCAGGTTGTCCCCATGTTTCTTGAGTCTGGCTGAGCCTAGGATATTTATGGGCTCAAGAGGGAGGAAGTGCATGCTGATTGGTCCATGGGCAGTAGAAAAAGTGCCATAAGTTCTCACTCCAGTCTGAGGACCTGGCAGCCCAGCCCCCAGGCTTCAGACTCTCAGTTGCCTAAAGGTAGGGTTTCACTGAGGACCCACCCCTTTTTGCCCAGGAGCCAGTCTGCCTCATGCCACTGTCCATGGCACCAAGGCTGTTTGTGCCAGCGGGAGCCTGCAGGCCCACACTGAGCTGCCCTCAGCGCCCCCTCAGCTTCCCCTCCCATGCTCATCAGTGTCCAAAGTCCAGAGGGGGCTGAGGTGGCAGGGGGCTGGCATGTCAGTGTTGCCCCAAGCATGCACACACCTGCCAGATTGTGACAGCGTCTGGGCTTGGCCACAACTTTGCTCTGCCCCAGAAGCAGGGAGAGGCCAGACAGCAGGAGCAGGCACTTTCAAGCCTGTGGGGGCAAGGGGCTTCCTGGGCCCCTGAGAGCACAAGGATGCCCAGGTCCACAGCTGTGGTTGGGCAGCTGCAGCTGTGCCCAGGAGGGTGGGGCTCCCACCCCACCAACTCAGAAGCAGGTGGGGCTCCAGCCTGTTCCTGTTTTCATGGTTCTGTGGAGTGTGCAGCCCTGGCCAGGCCTCCCTCACTGCAGCTTGCATCTTTGCAGCAGCTGCTCCAGACGGGCTGCCACTGCCATCAATACTATATGTAAAAATTAACTAAAAATGGATCATACATCTAAATGTAAGAGCTAAAATCACAAAACTTCTAGAAGATATCTTAGTGACCTTGGATTTCTCAAAGACTTCTTAAAGATGGCACAAAAAGCACAAACTATAAATGAAAAAAAAAAAAAAGGATGAATTGTACTTCATCAAAATTAAATACTTCTGCTTTTTAAAAGACTCTGTTAAGAAAATAAAAAGGTAAGCCACAAACTTGGAGAAAGTATTTGCGAAACATATATTTGGCAAAAGACTTCTAACTAGAATACATAAATAACTCTTACAACCCAATAAGAAGACAACCCAACTTTTTAAAATGGGCAAAATATTTGAACAGACATTTCACCAAAGATTTATAAATGACAAAATAAGTGCATGAATTAATACCATTAATCATTAGGGAAATGCAAATCAGGAAAATAATAAGGTTTCACTGTGCACTGTAGCTACTAGAATGGCTAAAATTTGAAAGACAGATCATATCACATGTTGACAAGGATGTGGAACAACAGAAATTCTTGTATACTGCATGTTGGAAATGTAAAATAATACAACAATTTGGAAAAGAGTTTGGCTATTTCTTAAAAAGCTAAATATACACCTACCACATGATCTAACCATTTTACTCCTAGGTATTTACCCAAGAGCAATGAAGGCATATGCCTACACAGAGGCTTATACATGAATATACATAGCTTTAACTGTAATAGGCCCAAACTGGAAACAACCAAATGTCCATGAGTAGGTGAATGGAAAATAAATTGTGGCATATCCACAAAATGGAATATTACTAAGCAATAAGAAGGAATGGTTGATTGGTATACCTCAACAACATGGATGAGTCTCAAAATAACTATTTTGAGTGAAAGAAGCCAGATCCTCCCCCGCAATAAAAGAGTACCTGTGGTGTGACGCCATTCATATACAATTCTAGGCAATCCAAACTAATGTATAGTGACAAAATGCAGATCAGTGGTTGCCTGGGAATGCGGGAGCAGTGTTGTGGAGATGGGTGGGAGGGTAGTACCACAAAGGAGTGGGAGGAAACTTTTTGGAGTGATGGATATGTTCATCTTCTTGATTTTAAATGATGGTTTCACAGATGCATATGTTGAAACTTCTCAACTCGTACATTTTAATCATGCACAGTTTATTGTATGCCAATTATACCTCAATAAACTTGTTTAAAAAAGACATAGCTAGTTGAATTTTAAAGGGTTTTGTATTGTGGCCTAAACAGTCATGAAAAGTGCTCTGCACAAATTGCCTTCAACTTTGTAAAATAGAGCCATTACTCCTTCTTATATCTCATGGGGAGTATAGTGAGGATTGACAAGGAAAAGACTAAAAGACTAAAATATTTAAAATCAGTATTAAATTAATATTATTAATGACATCTCTAGATACCTTCTCATCACAACAGCTTTCTTCTTCTTACCTTTGCATGAGCATAATGAATTAATTAGAATGTAAAACAGAACAAGACAGTAATAAAGATTATCTTAAAAAACAAAATAGAAGAGATTAGAAATCCTCTGTGGAATAGGAATTTTGAAGCTACTTTGCAGCAGAATAAGGAAAACTTTATTTTTCTTACATATAAAAAAGTATAAGAAAAATATTTGTAGGAAACCACATATATAAATAGTAAAAGTTATGGAAGAAGAAACCTCTAAGTTTTTTATAAGAAGAAGGATCATTTTGCCATGAGTCTTGTAATTTGTAATGTATGTTCAGATTTTCATAGTTTTTTAAATAAGTATTTTCCAGTTAAAGAAAACACAGAGGCTTTGATAAATTCTAGTAAACATGGTCCTGTAGTCAAGATCAGGAAAATTGGAGACTTTTGGAATGGTATATTTTTTCTTCCATTTATTTATTTATTTATTTATTTATTTATGAGGTGGAGTCTTGCTCTGTTGCCAGGCTAGAGTGCAGTGGCACAATCTCGGCTCACTGCAACCTCCGCCTCCCAGGTTCAAGAGATTCTCGTGCCTCAGCCTCTCGAGTATCTGGGAATACAGGTGTGCGCCACCATGCCCAGCTAATTTTTGTATTTTTAGTAGAGATGGGGTTTCACTATGTTGGCCAGGATGATCTCGATCTCCTGACCTCGTGATCTGCCCGCCTCGGCCTCCCAAAGTGCTGGGATTACAGGTGTGATCCACTGAGCCCAGCCTGGTATATTTTTTTCTAGGAAAGTATGTCCAATGTCTCCTGCTTTTTTGTAAGGTCACTAAGCATCTGTGTTAGGACTGTGGGAATATATGAGGAAGACCCTGAGTGGCTATGGATTGTAAACATTTTTAACTTTCCGTATGTAATTCATAAAATCATAAAGTTGAAAAAAGACTGCCTAACAATCGCCTGGTCCAATATTCTTCTTTTAGAGGTGAGGAAGCTGAGACCCAAAGATGGAAAGTGATTCATCTAAGGGGTACAGAGCAAGTTAATTAAACTGGGTTAGAATCCAGATTTCCTGGCCACTAGTCCAGTGCTTTTCCTAACAATACACTACTGCTTTTAATTCTGTCAGTGTAGAATAAGAGGAACACCTAGTCACCTAAAATTAAGACGAAAGCTTCATCATTTTCTAGGACTTTGAGGCTTTTCTATCTCATTGATTTCTTCTTTCTGGCTGCTTCTACTCAAACTTTGTTCTCAGCCTTCTGCTCTTATTTTTTAAATGTTTGGGGCCGGGGGGCGGTGGTGCTCATGCACTCACAGCTTTAATTTTCACCAGTGTTGAGATGGTTTCCAAATCTACATTGCCAATTGTTATCTTTCATTGGTGTTCTAATCCGGTATTTCCATATTTACACATAATATCTCTCATAGGAATGAATGTACCACAGCAAGGGTGCCTTGATTTCCATACTAAAGTGGCTTCAGAATTCCAGCGTATCTGTGCTGGTGTCAGTCAATAGCAACCGCAATAGTTCTTGGCAGAGATGGCAGAGCCTAGAGAATTCTGTGGTTGCTGGAGGAAAAGGCAGCAGTCTCCAGTGGACAAGACATCATGTAGAGAAGTAGCACTGTTACTTGGTAGATGCCACCTAGGATATTACCAGGGAATCAGCAGTAGAGTCTGGCAGAGTCAGCAGTTCCTTGTGGGTGTGGCAGTGCCCAGAAGATATAGAAGCAGTGCCTAGTAGGGGCAGCAGTACCAGCTAGATGTGGTGATACCTAGAGGAAATAGTTATGGAGGAAGATGGACAAAACAAGGGGAAGTGGTCAGTGTGCCTAGCGGGAGATATGATAGTATTCACTGGAGTAGAATTAGTGGAATTAGTGGAGTAGACCAGTGGGAAAACACTTAATGCTATGTGGAAGGTGATCACACTTGCTTGTGAGCATATTTGAGTCACCTGCTTCCAGATAAACCTAGAAGTTTGTTGTTCTGCGGGGAGCAGGATTCTGCTTTAATCGATTCAGAGAAAAGTTACATTGGTGCATCCCAAGCCATCATTCTGGGAAAGGAGAATAAAAGAAGTTTGGATATTACAACAAAAATAATTATCTTTGCCCCCATCCATACTTCATTTATATCAGGTAATAACCCTCAGTGCAGAGTTCTCTGAGAAAACTCTTTTAAGCATATGGCTTAAGCCTGGAGGCCTAAGTAGGATCCACGAAGAGAAAGATGCAACAGGGGCTGAGTCCAGCTATCTAACTCCATATGTGGAATAGAAGTAATGGTAGAAAGTGGCTAACCTGCGTCTAGGGCGCAAGTCCTGCCAGAGGCTGAGACAGGAAGCAGAGAAGTGAGTGCCATGAATGGGTGCTGAGCTTTAAGGTAGCTCAGCTACCTTGAAGTTTAAGGATAACCTCATCAATCAATAAAATGTGTGTGCCTACCATTGAAAGTCTTGGTCTTTGTCAGTAGGTTTAGCGACTCCTCTTCCTATGAGTGGGGAATTGGAAAGGGGACATGAAGAAGTGGGAGCAAGGATGGGAATATTCTCTTGCTTATGTTACAGTCCGAACTGTTCCCCAGCTCTGATTGTCACCACATGACTTTTTTCCTTCATGCAGATGCAGATTCCTCAGCTTTCCCACTGACTACTGAATGATTATTATGTCATTTTGTTTGAGTATATTAGTGCTTTGATCTACCTGCCTCGGGGTTTCAGGCTTGGGGCAAGATCTCTTGCAGGCAAAGCCTTGCTTCTGTCCAAATCAGGATCAAATTTGCCTCTTGCCTCTGCCCAGATACCAGTCAATACCAAGGGTGAGATGACATCATTTCTGATGCCTACTAATGGTATGTGCCTCATCCCACCCTCCTTTCTGGATTGACCACCCAGACATATTTTCCATGCTGGATCTTCATATTTAAACATCCTCTCCCCATATTTTTACTACATAGAAATTTCTGTTATGTTCTTTAACTTGACGGTATATCTTTGATACATTATTTTACTAATCTTTACTAATGGAGAAAACATAATATGATTTTAAGATATTTGGTTATGATACTATAACATCGTATCGATGTTATATAACATCAATGTTTTATAACATTGAAGTCTTTGTTATTACTGTTATCATTTATGATGTTGACTTTGCTGAAATGTTGATCTTCATAGGTAAAAGAATATGCACAGTGGAGTACTGAATTAGGTCTTTTGGTATTCTTTTTTTTTTTTTTTTGAGATGGAGTCTTGCTCTGTCGCCCAGGCTGGAGTGCAGTGGTGCGATCTCGGCTCACTGCAAGCTCCACCTCCTGGGTTCACGCCATTCTCCTGCCTCAGCCTCCTGAGTAGCTGGGACTACAGGCGCCCGCCACCACGCCCGGCTAATTTTTTGTATTTTTAGTAGAGACGGGGTTTCACCGTGTTAGCCAGGATGATCTTGATCTCCCGACCTCATGATCCGCCTGCCTTGGCTTCCCAAAGTGCTGGGATTACAGGTGTGAGCCAGCGTGCCTGGCCAGTCTTTTGGTATTCTTAATTGATTTTGTCTTTTTTTCTATCACAAAAATATTTTCAACTTCACTGAAGGCAAAATTCAAACAAAATAACAGTGGAGTGGTAAAATGAGTCTGGAAGTTATCAAAAAGGATTCTAATTTTCAGAAAATGATGGCAATCTAAAATTCTGCACTAAATGCTAAGAAAGCGTCCTAGGCTTCAAAGACTAAAATAGAAATATAGAGACCAAGGAATCAAATTTTTGCCAATACTTATTAGCTTTGTTGTTACTGAGGGAACTCAATTTGTTTTTAATTACCCACAGTCCAAAACACACTGCAGTTTAGTTTCTCTATTAAGATAAATATCAGTTTGACTTACAGAAGTGAGTCAATGGCCAACTCAGAGAGTAAAGTTCAAGTATAGTAGCCTTTATGCATTCTTCTGGCTTGTTCATAGTTGCATTCTACACCAAAATAAAGTATTCAAGAAGAACAAAATTTAAGTGGACAGAAACAGTTAGCCCTGTACTGAGTGACCTTAGCACTTAATGCAGATAACTGGATAAAGGTATAACTTGCAGCTCATGAAATCTCAGTGAATAAATGTATACATGATGAATGTATATACATGTATTCATTCAACATTTACTCACAGCCTACTCAGTAAATGTGCTAGATTTACATATACTACCCAAGTGCTAAGAATGCAAGGAAAAATAAAATATGTACACAATTAACATAATACAATGTGGCATATAACACAGATGTGTAAACAAATTTTAAAAAGAAAGAATGAGAAAAATTCATTAATGTGATAGGAGGCAGCCTTCTAAAATGGCTCCCAATGATCTCCTCATCTTGGTATTCATGCCCTTGTATAATCCCTTCCACTTAAGCATGGGCTGGACATAGTGACTTGCTTCCAATGAATAAAATATGGCAAAAATAATCGGATGTCACTTCGAAGATTAGATCTAAAAGATTATAACTTTCATCTTGCCAGCACGCTTCCTCTCTGGCTCTTCTTGCTTATTGCTCTGATGAAGCAAACCGCTATTTTGTGAGCTGTCCCAAAGGGGAGGTTTGCTAGGAAAGAACTGAGGGTAGCCTTTGGCCAACTGCAAACAAGGAATTAATCCTGTCAACAACCATGCGAGTGAGCTTGAAAGTTAATTCTATTCCAGTCAAATCCTGAGATGACTAAGCCCTGGAAGACAGTTGAATTGCAGCTTTGTGAGAGACCCCGAAGCAGGGGACCCAGTTACCCATGCCTGGTTTCCTGATCCACAACAATGTTAGATAATAAATGCTGTAAAAGTCATGAAGTTTTTAGATAATTTGCTTTTCAACAATTGATAACTCATACAATTAGGAAGAAAAGGAAGGTGATTAAAATAGAAGGAATGGCAGTTGCAAAATGAGAGGGCATCGTACAGATTAAATTCTAGAATGGTAAATGAATTTGTGTAGCCATAGCATGAAGTATCCTTGCAGGAATGAATAAGATTTGAGAAGAGGATTCAAGGTCAAATTGTAAAATGCACTCAGTGTCATTTATTTCACTGTTCCCTTACAGAAAACTTGCCAACTATTTTAAACAACAAAAAAAAGTTTAAGACAGGAAATTAGGTACTTATAAAATTATTGGAAGGGCTGGAGAAATAATTTCTGGTCTCAGCCCCAGGAATGCCTCCCAGAGCAATTATCTCTGAATGGGTCCACTAGGGAAGCTTCCGTCTCCTCTATAATAAGAAAAGTGGGGAAGCAGGAGATGCAACTGTAATAGGTCTGTTGCTCAATGTGCATGGGAAGTCAATATGCCAAGACGCAGGGGTTGCAGCAGAGAAAGAGGTTTAATCATAGATAGGGCTGCTGAACAAGGAGACAGAAGGAAACTTCAAATCTGTCTCCTCAGAAAATTTGAGGCTAAGGTTTTTAAGGGTTTCGGAGTGGGCCAGAGTATGGAGGTCATTGACTGGTCAAAGAGTGCAGGGGAAGTCATGTGACAGGAAGGTAAAGAAATGATATTCTCTCTCTCTAAAGAAAAGGAGGGGGCAAGAGCTCATTGAAGAAATGGTTGATTCTAGAACCAGGGCAAAATAAGATACAAAAAAAGATACAAAATAAGAGGACACTGGAGCATCTTATAGTGCCAGAAAGTAGGGAAGTGCCCAATAAAAACACGAAGAAGGGAATATGTCAAAGGGATACAGGAGCAAATGGAAAGAGCTCCCAATAGTCCCAATAGTCAGTCTTCGAAAAAATTGAGCAACAACATAAATAAAATAGTATTGTATTATTACCTAAAGTAGAAAATATTCTTGAGTCCATACTGATATGAATAAATTATTTAAAAAATAAATTAATGAGGGGGAATAGATGAATCTCCTGTACAGGAAAAGCCCAAATAATTTATGTAGATATTCCACTTTTGAGGAAGCAGAGCATAACTCCTTTCTAATTAGGTGTGGGTTGTGCATAGTGACATCTTTTCAAAGAATATGGTATAGAGAAGAATAACTTTACAGTGGAGAAACCTGACAAACACTACCTCAGCCAGGTGCTTAAGGTGAACATCAGCAGTGATAGATCATGTTGATATAACATGATGAAAATGGCACTGTATTTCTGTGGTCTTCCTTCCCAAAACATACAGCTCCGGTGTAGTCATAAGAAAACATCAGAGAAATCCCAGCTGAGAGCTATCCTATATAATACCCAAATAGTACTCCTCAGAACTGACAAAATTATCAAGAACAAGAGAAGTCAGAGAAGCTGTCATAGCCAAGAGGACACGTGATGACTAAATGTAACGTGGTGTGCTGGGTAGGCTATTAGAACAGTAAAAGGACATTAGGTAAAAACTAAGGAAATCAGAATAAAGTATGGACTTCAGTTAATAATAGCATATCAGCATTGTTTCATTAAGTTACAAATGCACCATACTAATATCAGATATTAATAACGGGAAACTGGTGTGGATGTATGGGAAATCTTTGCACTATTTTCACATTTTTTTGGTAAATTTATTCTGAAATAAGTTTTTTTTTTTAAAAAAGCAAATAGTCTTCTAGATGCTAAAGGAGGAAATCTTAAATCACATCAGCACCGTTTGGAAATGTGGGCATTTCCTGAGGAACATAGAGAGAGGAGAGAATTCCTATTTGATTTTAGTATTACGAAAAATGCTCTTAGATCAAACTTGACCTTATATATAGACTATTACAGGAGTAACCCACTAAATTTTACTTATTTTAACTAGAAAATCCAACTAACAAAGAAGTGCTTTCCCTCCTGTTTAGAGGCTATGATATTACGATTATATAAATATTAATATATTGGTTTTCATCCACAGTTCCTGGCTCATAACTCCCAGAGTCCTTGTTACAGTCTTTTGTTACAATGTTGAGGTGCTTTAGGGCTCAGGAGCAGGTCTCAGGAAACAGAATCTCTCTTTTTTTTTTTTTTTTTGGAGACGGAGTCTCACTCTGTTACCTAGGCTAGAGTGCAGTGGCACGATCTTGGCTCACTGCAACCTCCGCCTCCTGGGTTCAAGCAATTCTCCTGCCTCAGCCTCCCGAGTAGTTGGGACTATAGGTGCACACCACCGTGCCTGGCTAATTTTTTTGTATTTTAGTAGAGACGGGGTTTCACCGTGTTGCCCAGGCTTGTCTCGAACTCCTGAGCTCAGGCAATCTGCCTGCCTCGGCCTCCCAAAGTGCTAGGATTATAGGCATGAGCTACCGTGCCCGGCCAACAGAATCTCTTTCTCTGACCTTCTCCTGTCCTCCTTTTACCTGCTCCAAGGCAGGACTCTAATCTGATTGTGGGTCAAAAGACCCTCATTGCAGACAGAGTCCTGCCCCATAATCTGGAGGATGAAAAGCTGCACAGAGAGGCCAAGGAGAACCTGAACAGGCAGGCCTTGCTGGGCTTCCCAACTCAGTCTATTAGTATGAGGTCATACCCTTTTTGTCCAATCACATTTCTACACAGTTGTCAATCATGCCTATGTAAAAAACAAAAAGGACAGGGTTTGGAGAGCTTCCGGATGGCTGAACACATGGAGGTTCCTGGAAGATGGCGCGGGTATGGAATCTCTGCACCCCTTCCTCCCTACCTGGCCCTATGCATCTCTTCATCTGTATCCTTCGTAACAACATTTATAACAAACCTGTAAATGTGTTACTCTGAGTTCTGTGAGCAGCTCCAGCAAATTAATTGAACCCAAAGAGGGGGTCATGAGAACCCCTACTTAAAGCGGGTTGTCGGGAGTTCTGGAGGCCCAGTCTTGTGACTGGTGTCTGTGGAGTGGGAGGCAGTTTTGGGGACTGAGCCCTCACCCTGTGGGATCTGACGCTACCTCCAGGTAGATAGTGTCAGAATTTAATTAGAGGACACCCAGCTGGTGTCTGCGGCTTGTTGTGTGGGGAAAACCCCCTTACCTTTTGTCATTGAGTTCTTTTGTTATTGAGTTGATGACTGTTGTGGTGGTGTGAGAGCAGAGGTAAAACAAGGCTCGGGAGTTTTTCTGAAACAGAGGCTTAATTTTTTTTTTTTCAAGCATGATATTTATTTTTTGTCTTTTTTTATTATTATACTTTAAGTTCTAGGGTACATGTGCACAATGTGCAGGTTTGTTACATATGTATACATGTGCCATGTTGGTGTGCTGCACCCATTAACTTGTCATTTACATTAGGTATATGTCCTAATGCTATCCCTCCCCCCTCCCCCCACCCCACGACAGGCCCGGTGTGTGATGTTCCCTACCCTGTGTCCAAGTGTTCTCATTGTTCAATTCCCACCTATGACTGAGAACATGTGGTGTTTGGTTTTCTGTCCTTGTGATAGTTTGCTCAGAATGATGGTTTCCAGCTTCATCCATGTCCCTACAAAGGACATGAACTCATCCTTTTTTATGGCTGCATAGTATTCCATGGTACCTGTGTGCCACATTTTCTTAATCCAGTCTATATTGACGGACATTTGGGTTGGTTCCAACTCTTTGCTATCTACAACTAGAAATACCATTTGACCCAGCCATCCCATTACTGGGTATATACCCAAAAGATTATAAATCATGCTGCTATAAAGACACATGCACACGTATGTTTATTGTGGCACCATTCATAATAGTAAAACATTTTCTTTTTGGTGTGAGAGACCCTCCCATTCCTTAGTAAAAACGTATTTACTTGCATGTTATTATTGTCCTTACAAACTTGTTTTTCCCTAGAGCAATTGATTTTGCTTTAGGTACTAGCTGAAGGTCTAGAGGCAATACAATTTAGGATCCTTGTCTAGAAATCAATATGATTCAATTCTTTTCAAGCCAAATGATATCTGTAGACTCCAGTTGTGTGCAAGCCCTGTGTGGAGCCTCAAGTCATCTGCGTTAGTCCAGCTTCCTATTCTTGGAAATCAGCTTTGCTTGATTGGACCTATATTGGCATGTTAATGTTTGATGGTGGCCTGGCCTTTATAAAAGCATACAATTTTGCAGATGACTCCTTCTCAGGATAGAGTGTCTTTGCTCAAAGGAGTGGATTTATTCTGTGTGAGCCAGGGAGGCAGGCATGAAGAAGGGGCATTCTGAAAGGGCAGGGAAGATCCTTTGCACCAGCTGAAAATGCCATCACGTGGCTCTCCACCTGCCTCTTTTGAAGACTGGCTGTGGCGAGGTGGACTGTAGGTCTGAAGTGGGGAGATCTCTTGCATTCTTCCAATTTCTCTTTGTTCAGTGGAGAATAAAGAAAATTTAAATAAGGAGGAGATTTCTAGACCAAGCCCTAACTTTAGCTACCTGTGACATTGGTAGCTTCATTTTATTTACTCTGTGAATGAAGGGTTTAGAGGAAATTATTCTGGATCCTTCTGAGCCTTATATTTTCTGACCCTATGAACTGGCTCAGGTAGGTCTTTGTTGAGGCTGGTGTCTACATCAATGAGGAGGCAGTTCTCAAAGTTCTTTAGTGGTTCTCTTTTTCTCCTTGTCATTGCCAACGGATTTAAGATAGATTCTGTGAAGTTGACACAGGAGTCCTAAGTTGTTTTCCTTACTTCACCCCTGTTGTTTGTGTTAAGTGTCCAATCTCAAGCTTGCATATTGGAATAGTTTACATTTCTATATTGTCATTTGCAAGAGAAGCACTGTGGAGTAGGGAAAGGAGCATGGGCTTTGCAGTCACTCTGACCTTTACCATTTAACTAGACCTGTGACCTCAGAAAGTGATTTAACTTCTCTAAACATCCAGTTTTCTAATTAATAAAAATGGCAGTAATTATCCTCACCTCTCAGGGAAAGTGTAGAGATTAAATGAGGCAACATGTAAAATGACTGTCACTTAGTAGATGCTCCATAAATCAGCCAGCCCACCCTTCCTTCCTTCCTTCCTTCCTTCCTTCCTTCCTTCCTTCCTTCCTTCCTTCCATAATCATGGAAGTTACATTCTTATCAGTATGTTTGCACATGATATTTGGGCTATTGAGTGATTTTATGTGGCTGGGCAGGGTTTTCTCCTCCCCACTTCCTCCTCCTGGATACGGCACAAACCTGTTTAACAGGAGAAGGTGGTAGCATTCTAATATGTAGTAGATGCCCACAAGATGGGAGATGTGGTGTGGGAGATCTGTTTTTTTTTTTTCAGCTAACACACAGAGGGAAGATCACTACTTAGGCGCTTTCCCTCTTTTCTTCTTTACTCCCTGAGAAATGGATGAAGCTGATAAAGCTTAAGGACTGACAAACCAGTTTCAAACTCATAGACCTACTGGGGCAGGCAGGTGATATATATGAGGGACGTGGGCTGGGTGTGAAGAAAAGGCCACAGTGTTACAAAGTTCATAGGAAAGGGCACCTTTACTTTGGCATGAGTGTGCAACAGAGAGTCATGAGGACTGTGGTGAAACAAAAAGAGCAGACCCCATTGAAAGGGGACAGCTGCTACTCAGTATCAGATAATGATTGCTATGAGGGAACATGGGTTCTTTACTTCCAGATCTTTCCATTTTTAGAGGGAACCCAGAAATGTAACCATGTGAAATCTCTTGATTTTTAATGCCTGGAAATGAAATCAAATTTTAAGATTATACTCCGTGGGCCAACCGGAAAAGATTATGCCAGCAGGTTGTGGCATCTGGGCCGAAGGAACCACGGAGCTGTGGGGTCACTGGTGAGGGGAAGAAGACAATTAGCAGTCTAAGCGGGAGGGAAAGAGAAAACTAGAGAAGCAGGGCGGTCAAAAGTGAGACGAATGAGCCATCCTGGATCTCTGGCTCCCTGGTGAATTCTGAAATGGATGGAAATGGAGGGCCAGCATCTCTAGTAAAGGACTGTTTAATGTGTATGTACTTGGCCAACTCAAAATAAAATGTTTGGAGCATGAATAGCCCCATATGATATATGCTGTTTGGTTGACATATGCTTGTATTTTAACAACCAACATTGTCCCTTTTATTTTTGCAAACAATATGATATGATCTGGTCCTCACTTTAATTTTACATGAAAGGTATAATGCATCTACGTAAATAAGAAAGCAAAGAAGTTTTCTAAATGCTTTAATTTTTTGTCACAAATATTTCTGCATCTCTCAGTCCCTTCTTGTTGGAAAAAGGAGGGCTAGTGATACATTTGTTAATGGCACTTTTAAAATGTGCTTTGGTATATAGAGGTAACAATGTACTTCTTAGGTATGTTAATAATAAATTAAGGTTATAATGGTTGCCATATTAGAGAAAATGAATAAGATTAGTCTCAGCAAAAATAAAAATTAGTTTGGAAGTAGATAAGCTAGAAATATCAAAACTGAAAAAAATAGCTTCCCAGATAGCGTTCTACTATGTGCAATTTTTTGAGGAATAATATTCAATTACAGAGTGTAATACCTTGCACAGCACTTGACATATAGTAGCTATTCAGCAAATGTTTGTTGAATTTTATTACTTTTTAAACAAATTACTGAGTAATCTTCCTTAGTAATCATTTCTGTAACTCAGATAAAAATAGAAATTTATAAGAGTTTTTATTTTTGTTACTTGTAAAAGTATATTTCCTAGAGAAAATATCAGCAGTGGTAGAGACCAGAAAAAGTAAGTGTGTGTGTTCTAAACAGTGATTCCAACTCAATGTGTTCAGAGAAAACACTTTGACCCTGTCTGTGTTTACAGTCCCTGCTGACAGTGTACTGTCGTATCCTCAGCCTTGTTCTATTTCTTTATTTTAGCTTTACAGAGATTAGGTCTCAAGTTATGAGAATCTCCATGGCTTTCAGGGGCTAAACTTTTCTGCCATTCTTTTGCTCTTACCGGGCTCAGAAGGACATGTCAGGTGGGATACGTGTTTCTCTTTCAGAGCTGAAGAAAGGGTCTGAGCTGCGGAATCAGTAGAGAAAGCCTTGGTCTCAGTGACTCCTTGGCTTTCAACCCACCTAGCCTCAGACAGCCAGGAGGCCTTTTTACCACTGGATACTGATGAGATGTTTTAGGTCCTTGCACTTTGCAAAACTCCTTTCTCCCAGTGGGATATTATTAGGACATAGCCAGGCTAGAAAGGCCGTGGGAAGCTTTGGAGGTAGGAGGATAGGATCCAGACAGGGTTACAATAAGGAGAAGGGCATTCTCTTTGGTGCACTCCATAGTCCAATGGCAGTCCTGAGCTGATTCCAGTTAGGAACCAAGGGTGGACTTTCTTCTTTGGTTCTTTGGCCCTTTTGATTTCCCCAGCTGGGGCAGGGTAAGGAGCATGAAAGAAACCAGCCTCAGGTGTGTCTCCTCATTTCTGTCTCATCTAAACTTCAGCTTCCAGGCATCGCACGGTAGTTTTGCTTGGACTCTTGGACTCTTCTGGGTTTTTATCAGTTTTCTTTGATTCCTCATTAGGGTTGCTATCATTGGCCTTCTCCTCCTTTACTACTTTGGTTTCGATCATTTCCTTCTGCTGATTCTTGTTTGTAAAAGGGAAGGCCTTCACATACCTTTAGGCAGAAACATGAAATTAAAGTGAGAGACTCTCACACATAACGATAGATAACACTTTTTGGCCATGGTACATATTGGCACAGTACACTGGATACCTTTATTTCAGAGTGATGCCAGCACATGCATGCTCTAATACATTAAGACATCACCACCTTAATGGATTCATTTAAATTGGACAATATGTTTGCAGGCCAGACTTTAGGCTGACCACATAACTCTTCCAACAAAAACAAAGAACCAAAAATCAAATAAAGCATATAAATTTTCCCCAGATGTCAATTTTTTTTAATTTCTTGATTTTCAAAGGACAGTCATTGACTGATGGCTGGACGACATGCATGTCCTGAAATAGAAAAGATTGGGCTGAAGGGAAAGAGATGAGATGAGGGAGAAATTTATATCAGAGGACTGCTATCTCCATTTTGATCAGCAAAATGCCAACAGTGACCCTGAAAAAGCACAGGATAGAAACATGACAAAGATTACAAGACTAGCAGTGCACCAACAACCCTACCTTTTGACATAGCAAAATCCAAGACCAGCTGCAGCACCAAAGAAGAGGAGAGCAAGCACTAGCAGAGCCGTGGGGACACCTGCAAGGAACAGAGACAAGGCCTGTTGGTCCTTCACTTAAACATTGTGTGTAATGCTCATTGCATGATCCAGGTGATTGAGACAGTAGACAGTACAGGAGAAAAACCTTCTCTGTAGCCCTTTATGATATTGGGCCCACACCAGCTTCTTTGCTTCATGCTTGTAGAATCATTGGCCTTGCTTCTCACACTCTCAATTCTATCAGTTGCAATATGACAGAGTTCATTTCTCCTCCATGGCCTTGAGACCTACTCTAGTCAACAAGCCTGCCTGAGAAAGAGATGACTAGAATAAAGTCATAGGCCTTTAGGGTATATATTTTAAAAAGAACTTATGCATAGGAACAGATAGTGATTTATTTTTAAAAGTCTTGAGTTTTCAACAGTGAAATTCTTTTATACTTACACTTTTTAGCTTAATCACTAAGGTTCTTTACAGCTCTCAGATTCTATGACTTCATGAAAGTTGAGTTTGTGTTAAGCTTTTATTAGTATTTGACAGGTCCTGAGCGCCTCATCTAAAGACAGGCAGGATTCTATGAATTATCTGTTATACATGAACATACATACACACGTAACATAGACACAGAAACCATTTACCTCCAAACCCAGCAGCTTCATTCTTGAATGCTGCTTTATTTTCAACAAATGGTTCAGTTTCTGTAGACATGGTGCTAGTTTCCATAAAAACTTCTGTGACACAAATCAATTTTTTTCTCCGTGGAATAGAAGTGGAAGCTGGAGCAGGAGGAGTAGTAGTAGGGGCAGGTATTGTAGAGTAAGGGGATGCCACCGAGTAGGTACTGTCACTGACAATAAATTCTGTTGTTTGTGTTGCAGTTTGAGTGTTGAATATGGGATCTTTGGTGGTGATAATTTCTGGAATGCACGAGTTAGTCCAAGTATCTGTTGGGATAGGGAAACATGGAATAAAAGTATTGCAACAGCCTCCTAACTGTTCTTCTTGCCTCTAGTCTTACTACCTCCAAACCCCTTATACCGCAGCTGGAATGGTCTTTAAAAAGCAAATCTAACCATATCACTTTCTTCCTTAGAAGCCTTCAGTGGCTATCTTTGTTGTATGGCCTACAAGGCCTTCTGTGATTTGGCCCCTGCTAACATGCCAGCCTCATCTGCTCTTTTTCTCTCATTGCCCCTGCCATACTGAAATTACTTGAAATTCCTTGATACACTTTATCTTACATCCAAGCCTTGCACCACGATGCTTTATTCACCTTTATGACTCTTTGCCTCTCTTTATTTAGCTTACTCTGACTCATCCCTCAGGTCTCAGATTGACCCTGTCTTTCTCAGGCAGACTTGTTGACTTGATTGGCATATGTTCTTGTACTTCCTTGTCACAGTTCTCATTACACTGTTCCCCACTGGACTGCAAGCTCTCTGGCAGCAGAAACCCCGTCTGTCTTGGTCAGCATGGTATGAGCACTGTGTGTGGTACATAGCACATGCTCAATAACTATTTGATGAATAGGGAAGGAAGGAAAAGGGAAAGGAAGGAAAGTATAGATTGGAAGACCAAATATACACATGTGGTGTCACTTCAGGACAAAGATATGCTAAGACCTGATATTTCTGGGCTCATTAAAAAAAGAAGTGAACAAAAAGGGACCAGGAGAGGGATAAGGGTTTGCTTTCCAATCTGTTGCATGTGCTAGAGAGGAAACACTTGTTAAAGCATCTTAATCTGAGTTGACCATGGCAGTAAGTGTTTAAATAGGTATCTCATTGAACAATATTACTAAACCCTTGTTTACACAGGAGGAAACTGAAGTTTAGAGAAATTGAATAACTCGCCCAAAGTCACAGAGCTAGTAAATGGCAGAGCCATGCAATATATTATAATATAAATTTGCATCTATTTTAAGTCCCTAATTATTTGTGGCAGTGGGTAGCATCAGCTGGGGTTGGGGGGTGGGCTAGCAGAGGGATAGCATTAGAAGAAATACCTAACGTAGGTGACGGGTTGATGGGTGCAGCAAACCACCATGGCACATGTATACCTATGTAACAAACCTGCACATTTTGCACGTGTATCCCAGAACTTAAAGTATAATAAAAATAAAATAATAAAATAAAATTATCTCTGGAAAAAAAGAAAAGAAATACATGGGATGGGAGTACAAGTTAAATGAAACCATGAGGAAATAGACAAATCCAAGTCCTCTTCCTCTGGCTCTTCTCTGTTTAGTCAGAGGGCTGGGTATCATCACATTGCCAGCTGGCAGGAAGGCAGTTAAAAAGCAAAGCCATTTGACAGGCATGGGCTGGCTATGAGGTATGCAGGCATATGTAGCTCACCAATTCCCCAGCCAGTGATGATAGACCAAAGAGGCAGAGAAGGGAAGGAAGATGGGAAATACACTGTTAGGAGAAGCCCTATGTTTCAGTCTTGATTCTGCCACTAACTGACCGTAGGACCTTGAACAAGCTAAGCCCGTGTTCTGAACTGTAGTTGTTTCATCCATGAAGTGAGGGAACTGGTCAAAGTTTCTCCATGGGCCTTTTCTGTGCCAAAGCCCTCTGGATCAGGGAACTACTTGGATCCTATATTGCCTTTCTGGGACAGTTTTTGCTAATATTGGCTGGTGCACATTTATCTCTCGGATCTTCGAGAATGATCTTGAAATCTATCCTGTGTATGACCTCTCAGCCACCTAACCTTCAGAAGGTCAGATAGATGAGTATGTGTGAAAAGTAATAATCAGACAGGGGTCCTTATGACAAACTGAGAGCAAGTGAGTATTTAGTAAAAGAAAAACTTTAGGAGAAGTACTTAGGTGAAGCACTTGGGCTAAGGCAGCCAAGGTCTTCAAGCAAGGTTAGTGGGTGACTTCATGACCACGAACAAATCAGTGCTGCCCTCCAGGTGTCAATCTTTTCCTTCATAAAGTGGAGACTGGGTCTGGTTCTTAAAATTATAAAGGAATGTGGAACAGTGGAAAGAGTGCGGTTTCAGAGTTAGACCTGAGTCTGAACCTTTACAGTAATGAGACGTTAGACAAATGTGTTTACATCCTTTGAACTCGGTTTCTTTTTTTTTTTTTTTTTTTTTTTTTGAGACGGAGTCTCACTCTGTCGCCCAGGCTGGAGTGCAATGGCATGATCTTGGCTCACTGCAAGCTCCGCCTCCTGGGTTCATGCCATTCTCCTGCCTCAGCCTCCCGAGTAGCTGGGACTACAGGTGCCTGCCACCACGCCTGGCTAATTTTTTGTATTTTTAGTAGAGACGGGGTTTCACCGTGTTAGGATGGTCTCAATCTCCTGACCTTGTGATCTGCCCGCCTCGGCCTCCCAAAGTGCTGGGATTACAGGCATGAGCCACTGTGCCCGGCCTGAACTCGGTTTCTTTATTTGCAAAGTGGGGATGATAAAGCATATCTCATAGGGATCTGTAGATTCCATATAGGTGGAAGCAACCAACCTTGGATTGAAAATATTTGGGAAAAAAAGAAAAATAACAATACAACAATAAAAAAGCAAATAATACAGTACAATGACTGTTTACATAGCATCTACATTGTATTAGGTATTATAAGTAGTTTAGAGATGATTTAAAGTGTACAGGAGGATGTGTGTAGGTTATATGCAAATATGACCCCATTTTATATCAGGGACTTGGGCATCTGTAGATTTTTGTATATGATGGGGTGCCGGAACCAATCTCCCACTGACACTGAGGGACGACTGTGCATCACTTTGTCCATAATGGATGCATTACATACATCTGTACCTTTGTTCCTTCCCTTCTGCCTGCTTATCTTATAGGATGCAGGGATGGTGGCAGTGGTAATTGAGCCTCCTGAATGTCTTCTCGTGTGTTGCCATTCAGTTATATCTCTCCTAACTTTTTCCTTTGAGGGGCATATTGCCACCCCTAGCCTGGCCAGAGAGACAGTGTCGGGAGAATTAGATGGCCGTGGCTGTGATTGCTTCTGCTGCTGCTCAGGGTTACTCTTCCCAGACAGGTCTCAGAGTGAGAGATACCCAGAGAATGCCACGTGGAAAGGTTGCAGATCAGACTCACCAGATGAGTTGTAACAATAGGCTGCAAACTGTCGGCTCACTGGAACCTTCCAAATCAGGACACCCACCCCATTTTTCCCACACTTGGGGTTTGGGCTAATCCTAGAGATGACCACGAATCCATCTCCAACCCAGCCATAGCTGTAAAAGAATACACACTAGTTGAACAGAAAAATGATTAGAAGGCTTCATCTCTATTGCTGAACAAGAACACAGAGCTAAAAAAGAACTCCAGCAGTGACAGTGAAACCAGCTTTTTCTCACCTGCAAGTTTCAAAGCTAGCTTTCAAGGCTGTTTCAACTTGGTCCTTGCCGGCCAAACTTAGTCCCAGCAGCCTACAGGCCTCCTTAGCTTCTGTGAAATTCAGCTGCTGGTTCGCCTTTTTGCTCACAAGGGTGATCCCCATAATTCTGCATGACACCTGGATGGAAAGCTCTGCAAAGGAATCACATAGGTCCTCAGTTTGCTGCTGTCCTTGTTTCCAGCCCTTAGACTCTCCTTCCCAGCAGAGTATATCGTCCTGATGCGCAGGGAGGTCTATCTGGCTGGGACTGGGGTTTAGAATAACAGGACACAGACCAGGCATTTTCCACAAGGACCATCTGCTGGGCTAGATGGATGCTTGTTCTTGTCCAAGCTGTAAATGTCGCCCAATCAAAATCTATCCCATCCCACTGCATTAAGATGCCTTGCTCACCATATAGGGGCTTTGGCTACCTGTTGTTGGGGTGCAGTCTAAGGGATGCAGTTACTGCAAACCTTTCTGGAGTCTGTAAAATGAAGCATCTGAGACTTTGAGAAAGATAGAATTCAGGGCTCTAGTTCATAGAATAGTTAGCAATACCCCAAACCAATGTGGTTTGGGGACACTACTATTTGTGAGATGGGCTGAAAATGTCACACTTGTTATAAAAGAATGTGAGTGCTCTCAGTTCCAGGTCTTTTGGCCACTGGGGGACAGGCTTACTCAGAAGTTCCTGGAGGAGCTGGCAGTAAACTTTGAATGGCAGAAAAACTAAATGAAGAAAGCAGAATTTTAGAGTCAGACTTGGGCTTAGATCTAGCATATGTCATTTGCTAGCTCTGTGACCTTAGCCTAGATACTTCATCTCTTTAATCTTCAGCTCTTTGAGCCTCCTTGTTTATAAATTCAAGGGAGTAACAGTGTCTACTGAATAGGGTAGTGAAAGTTAAGTGAGTAAATTCTAATACAAATGTTTAGCATAGTGCCTGCCACATGGTAGGTGCTTAATAAATCCACATAACATTATCATTATCGTTAAAGCATTTTGGTTTTGGTCTGCTAATGATTGATTACCCCACAGAAGCTGAGGCTGTTGAATAGGTAAGATATGAATAATATTTCTACTCAAAATCTAATGGATTTGGGAATTCTTTTGAACCCTTTTCTCTGGGTTCTGGGATGTACAGACCTGTATAAAATTGCCAAGTTGTATTGTATTCAAATACATTATTCCTACTGGGCTTCATCCACAAACATCCATAAAAGGGCATTTAAATCTCTCAAGTAATTGCTTGTACGCAGCTCTGTGTATTGGATGCTCAGTCAAATGCTTTGACCACTTCCTAGGTTGATATCTAATGGAAGTTTCTTTTTGAAAACATGGAAGGAGCATTTCTAAGTCCTCCATATGAACCTTGCTGTGGTGGCAGATTAGGAGCACACACTCAATTATGCCTGATTCTAAAACCCCAGTTCCTCTTTTTTCCTTCTTCTTTCCCAAGAGATGGATCTTGCTATGTTGCCCAGGCTGGTCGTAAATTCCTGGGCTCAAGCAATCCTCCCACCTCAGCCTCCCTGAGTAGCTGGAACTACAGGTGTGCACCAGTATGGCCAAGCAAGAACCCCAGTTCTTTTTTTTTTTTTGAGACGGAGTTTCACTCTTGTTGCCCAGGCTGGAGTGCAATAGCGTGATCTCGGCTCACTGTAACCTCCACCTCCTGGGTTCAAGCGATTCTCCTGCCTCATTCTCCCAAGTAGCTGGGATTACAGGCATGTGCCACCAAACCTGGCTAATTTTGTACTTTTAGTAGAGACAGGGTTTCTCCATGTTGGTCAGGTTGGTCTTGAACTGCCGACCTCAGGTGATCCACCCACCTTGGCTTCCCAAAGTGCTGGGATTACAGGCGTGAGCCACTGTGCCTGGCCCTTTTTTTTTTCTTTTTTGAGACAGAGTCTCGTTCTGTCACCCAGGCTGCAGTGCAGTGGCGTGATCCATGCTCACTGCAACCTCTGCCTCCCGGGTCCAAGCAACTCTTGTGCTTCAGCCTCCTGACTAGCTGGGACTACAGACGCGAGACACCATGCCCAGCTAATTTTTGTATTTTTTGTAGAGATGGGGTTTCACCATGTTGGCCAGGCTGGTCTCAAACTCCTGACCTCAGGTGATCCACCCACCTCGGCCTCCTAAAGTGCTGAGATTACAGTCATGAACCACCGTGCCCAACCCGGCCCCCAGTTCTTAACAATGACACTGTTTTACCTTTCACAGTGCTATAAGGAAATGAACACACACAGACACACACACACCCCTAGGCTGAACTCCCTGAACACACCGTTTGCTCTGAAATTTGGCTCTTTTAGCTCATGAGCTTGCTATTGCTCAGGTCTCTTATAGCTACTTCTTTGGGAATGGATTGCAGAGGTTTATTTGTCACATTATCAATTGGTCTTACTACCCTCTCATCATATGTCATTTGTACTCTAAATACTATTATTTAGAGGAGTGATAGACTTATTCTAGGTGGATAGACTTAGCTTTGAATATTTTTTCTATTGTTAACTGGCTGTTGCGACATCAGGCAAGTCAGCATTCTCATCTGAAAATGGGGATGGATATATCTTCTTCACATGATTTTTATCAGAATTAAATTAGATAACTTGTACCTAGCAGAGGCGGGGCCCAGTAGGAAGTCAACAACATTAGTCATTTTATGCTTTCCTATTTCATTTAGGGATCAAAAGAGGGAGCTGGAATTTAAGGGAGTACTCCAGTAACTCCTTCCTTAAGATTTCTCAGGAAACAGCAAACATAGTAGAAATAGTGTATGCTTAGGAGTTAGATATAAGGATGTGGAATCAGATAATAGCATATGCTTAGGAATCAGATAGGGCTGAATTCAAACCCAATATTTATTATGTACTGCCTGCATGACATTGGGCAAGTCACTTCACCTATAAACTGTCTTTTTGAGAGGATTAAATGAAATTGTATATACACACCTAGCTCTGGATCACTATATACTTGGCCCTCAAATATAGTTCCCACCCCTATTCACTTACCTTCATCAACTACTTTATTCTGCAGTCATGGTTATGCTGACTTTTGGTTGTTTCCAAAAATGTAATTTCCCTAGAAAATCTTTTTCCCTTGCTGAGGATAGTCCAGAGTGTGATGGAGTCATTTTCAAAAAACAGTGTCCAATAGTTTGAATAATGGCAGCATTGTGGGGAAAAATAGTCTCCCCAGAGGATTTCAAAGAGGACCAAACTTATTTGAAAGTAACAGTATTTTAAAAAACTAATCATATAACTCTGACCTTTCTTATAAAATGTAATGCAACAACATATAAATCAACTCTGAATGTCTGTTTCTAGCATATTTTATATCTCAGGTCATCTTCCAGCATAGGAACACACATTTTCCTATTAAAGTGCTCAGATTTTCATTTGCCCAGAGCTGCAATGAGTGATTTGTGGTTACAATTTTTTTGCCTACAGTGCAAAATGAGGTTTCCATTTAGGCATCTCAAAAGCCCAGCGATCACTTTAAGTCATTCCTTTAGTAGACAGCCGATGGCTTAATTTTCAAACTTATATTTTTACAGATTTTTTTCAGCTAATTTGCTATTTACTGAATATTTTTTTAAAACATTGCACCTCATTCATGGTATGATAAAATCAAAATTAAAATAATTATGCTAACACTCCCAAAAAACATAAAAACAGGCCAATTTTAGTGAAAGTTACCCATTATTCCCAAGCTTAGTGATTGCTTTAAATTTTTTACAATCATGGTTTGCGTCTTCAATGAAATACTTAAAAAAAAATTATTACTTCTGGATGCAGTGGCTCATGCCTGCAATCCCAGTACTTTGGTAGGCTGAGGCAGGACGATCACTTGAAGCCAGGAGTTCAAGACCAGGCTGGGCAACAAAGCGAGATCCCATTGCTACAAAAAATTTAAATACCACCCATACAAAAAAGAGTAAAAATCAAATGGTTTCTCTTCAGTGTTTTATTTCAAAATGTCCTCATTAAAAATATTCCATAACCAAAAGTAAAAGTCCAGATGATACAAACGTAAATGTCAATCATTTTGGTGAAGTTGACAATATGGTGGTACATTTTTGGCAGAGCAGTACCACCAATTAGACCTGCTGTTGACACTGAGGGTCACCCTCATTCCCAGAAATCCATAGTCAACAGCTTAGGAGGCTTAGGACTGAAGCCTTGCTTCAGTTTGGAAATCTGGTGAGAAACCTACCTTCTGCACGCAAAGAGCCTTGGACCAGGAGCCTCGTGGTCCAGATGGAAGTGAGAAGCAACACCAGGCTGAAGCACCTGGCCATCGTGCCTACCCCTTCAGAGCCAGGGAAACACCTCAGATGGCCACTGGTGATATGAGAGGCAGATGCTCAATAACTAGTCCGGATGGAGAGTTCTGGAACTATGTTGAGGCTCACACTCACTGCTCCACTTCATAACCGAGACATCCGGATTTCCCTGCTTTCAAGCTTCTGACTTGTCAAGGTCACTGGGGGAAATGAATGACGTCCCTTGAACGCCCAGGCTGTACTTTGTGGATGGCCTTCTGGAAAATTTAGCTAATGCTGACTCAGAAAACACACAAATGAGGAAGGCAGATAGCACAGTGTGAACTGCTAAAGGTTCTCCCAATTCCCATATTCCCTGCTGTTCCTCCTCCCCCAGCAGCTCAGTTCTCACACCATTCACTGTTACTGCCTGTGGAGTCCATCGTTTATGTACTCCTAGAAACATCTCTGTCCCTAAAGGAGACTGAGCATAGGTTGTGCCTCTTTTCCTCCCGCAATCAGTGATTTTTCCACCCAGCTGTTCGGCCTTGTGATCTGCAGGGTATGATGCTGAAGCTCATGAAAGTAAATGTCCACTTAAATACTGAGTCTAGAACCTTCTGCCTTCCTTTGAGTCTCCTTTTACACATTTGAAATCTCTACACCACTACAGGTGATTCCTTTTTCAAAGAAACCAGGCACATATAAACATTCACATTTACATAACACAAGTAGGAGGGCAATTTACAAAATTAAACATTTTACACTTTCCCCAAGGATTTTTAACTTTACAATAGTAATCACCACAGGGGTCTTTTATGAAATAACTTTCTCTTAATAACTCCTTTCATATTCTGGTAGGCCAGAATTCAAGTCAGACTCCACCTTTGTTGTTCGATGAACATGAGGTTTATCTGTGCTGTGTACCAGCAGAGTGTATTCTATGTTTTTCCAGCCGGATTTTCAGTGGTTTTTGCTTCATGGTAATTATGGAGTTCTGGCTTGTAAGCAATGTCTTGGGCAAAGGTTTATGAGATTTTTCCAAAATGAATGTCTTTTATAGGAAAAGTATATGGATAACGAATTCTTTTTTATATAAGTGGTACTGGTCATAAAGTTAGATATTTGTGTGAAAAATATCAATAACAAAAAGAGAATCTGCTCTAAACAAATGCAGGGAACTTCTAAAAGACCAGGGTAACAGCCCTTACACATCTCCAATACCGACCTCATGATCTGGGTGAGCACAAGCCCCAGTTTCTCAGAAACATGCATGACTCTATCATCACAGCACCAGGGAGGCAGACAGGCAGAGTCCTGGCCTCTTCATGATTATTCTTAAAGCCTAACACCATGCCCGAAAGAGAGCTAGCTTTCTAGCATTTGTTCACTTATTGCAAAAAGAACGAAGGAAGACAGGAAGGGGAAGAATGAATCAGGGAAGGCAAGGCTTTGTGTCAAGGAGGAGAATGAGAGTCACAGTGATCACCAGCCATAGAATTTCTGGA
This sequence comes from Homo sapiens, assembly GCF_000001405.40. NCBI lineage: Eukaryota > Metazoa > Chordata > Mammalia > Primates > Hominidae > Homo > Homo sapiens. Next base: position 10,570,005 of record NC_000011.10, read on the forward strand.
ATACCAATGAAGAGGCCTTAGAAAGGTCGCTGTGCCAGCTTTCTATTGCTGTCCAACAAATTACCATAGACTTAGCGGCTTAAACAGTACTCATTTATCATTTAACAGCTTCTATATGTCAGAGGTCTGAGTGGGCTCAGTTGGGTCCTCTGCCCTGGGTCTCACGAAACTGACATTAAGGTGCTGGCTGGGCTGGGCTCTTACCCAGAGGCTCTGGGGAAGAATCCACTTCGAAGCACATTTGGGTTGTTGGCAGAATTCATTTCTTTGAGGTTGTGGGAATGAGGTCCCTGTTTCCTTGCAGGGTGTCAGCCAGGGACCATTCTCTTCTCCTAGAGCCCTTCCATTTTCAAAGCAGCAATGACACACTGAGTCCTTCTCATACTTCTAGTCTCTCTTTCACTTCTACAGTTAGCCAGAGAAAGTTCTCTGCTCTTTTAAGAGACACGGTCTTGCTCTGTTGGCTGGAGCGCAGTGGCGCCATCGTGACTCACTGCAGCATCTACCTCCTGGGCTCAAGCAGAGCTCTCTACTTTTTTTTTTTTTTTTTTTTTTTTTGAGACAGAGTCTCACTCTGTTGCCCAGGCTGGAGTGCAGTGGCGTGATCTCAGCTCACTGCAAGCTCTGCCTCCTGGGTTCATGCCATTCCTTGCCTCAGCCTCCCGAGTATCTGGGACTACAGGCGCCCGCCACCACACCCAGCTAATTTTTTGTATTTTTGGTAGAGGCAGGGTTTCACTGTGTTAGCCAGGATGGTCTCGATCTCCTGACCTCATGATCCGCCCGCCTCAGCCTCCCAAATGCTGGGATTACAGGCGTGAGCCACCGCGCCCGGCGAGCTGTCTGCTTTTAAGGGCTCATGGGCCCACCTGGATAACCTCCCTATCTTAAGGTCAACTGTACCATCTAATGTAACACAACAAAGCTCCATACCCCTGGAGCTCCTATTCAAAGGCTCCAGGGATTAGGGTGGGACATCTTTGGAGGGCTATTCTAGAAATTCTGCCTTCCACAGTCACTTAACCTTGATTTGATTCTGATCTGCTTTCTGAGAGAAACTTCCACATCCACTGTTTTCTGCGGCCCTTTGCATCCCTCTGGGAGATTCATTTGCATATAATCTTGCTTGTCCACATTTGAAGTGGATATTAGGGAGTATGCCTTCCTTGGGAATAGCACAGCTTTTGCAGTCTGCTTCCTGCCGGCATAAGCTAAGATCCCAAAAGTTTTCTTAATTTTAAAAAAATTTTATTTTTAATCAATACATAATTATACACATGTACATTTTGATGTTTCCATACAAACAAGATGTAGTGATCAGATCAGGCTAATTAGCATATCCATCATCTGAAACATTTATCCTTTGTGTTGGGGGTGTTCAATATCTTCTCTTCCAGCTATTTGAAAATATGTTATTGTTATCTATAGTCATCCTATAGTGCCATAAAACACTATAACTTGTTCCTCCTAATTTTATGTCCTTTAACAAATCTGTCTTTTCCTCCTCTCTTCCCTTTCCAGCCACTAGTATCCTCTATTCTGTTTTTTACTTCCATGAGATCTTTTGTTAGCTTCCATGAATTAGAACATGTGGTGTTAACTTTCTGTTCATGGCTTATTTTACTTCACATAATGACCTCCATTTCCATCTATGTTGCTGTGAATGCCAGGATTTCATTTTTTACGGCTGAATACTATTCCGTTGTGTATGTACACCATGTTTTCTTTATCCACTCATCTGTTGCTGGACACATTTTAATACCATATCTTGGCGATTGTGAATACTGCTGCAATAAACATGAGGGTGCAGGTATCTCTCTGATATATTTTCTTTCCTCCTCAAAGCTGTTTCCTCACCTGAACAATGAAAGGGGTTTTTAGTCCTGGCTTGTGTTTCTTTGTAAATTCCCTCACAAAGTTAGATTTCTGCTTCCATGTGCCAATAATCATACCCCAAATCCTTTCCCAGTCATAATTCTCAAGAAGTATTTCCTGTTTCTCAGCACCATACCCCTCAAATTTAGTGGTGAATACACTAAGTTCATTTGAACTCACAAAGGGCCACATCCTTAATCTAGCCTTTGCCATAAGGCTGAGTCGATCTGTTCAACTGAGAAATTTTATTGGCTCCCACTCAAAGCTCTTTTTAGTCTGTCTGGGATTTAGAAGTGGTCAGGTTTTCTCACCCTTCAATCTTTCACATTTCTGAATACTCTATATTCTTTTTCATTTTTGCTCCCACATAGCCAATTATTTCTCCTGCCATACCTTGCCAAAGGCAGCCAAGAGAAGTTTCCATACCCCAACGCTGATTCTTTCCACCACTTATAAATAGGCTAACCATGAGATGCTTTCCAAGTTATCACAGGTAAGACTTTACTATCTTACCATCTTTCTAGCAGTTTTGTTTCTTGCCATGTAACTGGTAAGCTAGAACCTCATATTTTGGAATTTTGCTATTAAAGTACACAATTTCTGGTTCAAATGTATGCATTAGGGTAGGCTAACTGCTATAAACATCCTGGAATCTCTGTGGCTTAATATACTAAAATCTTATTTCTTATTCATGTCACAGTTCAATACTGGGAGTGCTCATTCAAAGACCCAGCTTCCGTCTAGTGGTTCTGCCATTTTCTCGGGTCTCAGTGTTCTCATCTGAATCCTCTGGCTTTGGTAGGCAGAGAAGGGAGTAAAAAAAGGTGTGAAGTATTGGGCAGGAGAGTTTATTTTTAGGGAACTAGATTTGGAAAGTCCACATTCCCCTGCAGCTAGCTGTAAGAAAGACAAAAATAGTTCAGCTGTGGAAATCAGGTTGGTTAAAAACTCAGCAGACTCAATCACAGCAAACTGTGTTAATTAAAAAAATCATAGACCAGGAAGATACAGGAAACCAGGATCAGGAATGGGGAAGGGAAGAGGAGGAACTGATCCAGCCCCTGTGAGGTAGCCCATAGTATAACGACCAAGGGTTGGGGACCTCTGACTTGGTTCTGGAATGCACTAATATATCCAAAGGCATCTAATTCTGGGTTGGGGTAAGACTGTAATTCAACTCCATAAAATGAGGAGGCATTTGGCTGCTGCCAGAGGTTTGGAAATGTGCTTTTATTTTCAAACTCAGGTATGTGACACTCTACAGTTCAATGCTAGCACACCTGTGTGAGGCTTAACAACATGAGGAACTGATAGCCAGTGATACACAAATCCAGCACTTCCTCTCCATTTACTCTGTCAGGCTGTATATGGGGAGCAACACATATGGCTTTGTGGCAGCCAGAAAGTGAAGGTCTTTTTAGGAGGTGACATCAACAATGACACAAACACATCACTCTGCAACTGAAGGCAGGGAACCAGACTCCTAGGGCTAAGCAGAGATGTCAGACTTCAGAGGCATTTGGGGGACTCTTCAGATCCACATCCTCACTGAAAATCCAGGGCCTGTTTCTCTCCAGTTCACTACCGCTTGGGCAGCAGCTCCCACTGCTTCAGGCTGGTCTTTGCTTTCCAGAAAAGATGGACTCATGAGCACTTTTTCAGCCCCTGTATATATGGCTATTCTTATGCTCCCTTTTGGAGATGTCCTTTTCCTCGACCTCCCTTGCTTACAAATGGAATAGGGTGGGAGAGGGCCTGTGCCTGGAAGTACTCTTGCAGGCTTTTCTGTGGGGCAGCTGGAGGTGCAGGAGCTCTCCATAACTGCCTTCCTGGCCTTTGACTCATCCAGAAACAAAGGTAGGAAACTTGTGACCAAGTGAACAATGGGGCCAGCTGAGCCTGGCCCTGCTTTAAGGGAGGCAGAGATTGAACATTCCCCACCTGGAGTTCTGCTTCCACGGCCACTCTCTAGAACTCTATTTGCATCCTGTCTTTGGCTCTGAGGGCCTCATGTAGCTAAAGCTCCTTCAGTTGTATCCAGACCCCCTGGAAGAGGCCGGGCAAATCATCCACTTCTGCCCCCAGAGTCCCTCTGCCCTGCTCTGTAACTCTTTACCTTAATGGCACATCCTTGATCAACCCTGGCTTGGGCCTCAGTCATTTTCTAGCTACTGTAAAGGATGCCCCCTTCAATAAACATGCTATTTTAAAGTGGGGCATGCTTGGGGTGGGGGGTCTCTCTGAAGGAGTGACTGCATTGAGCCCAGTCCTTGAGCTTGGCAATGGTGTTGCTAGTCTGGTCTCATTCCTGCTCTCTCACAGAGTAGACTGAAAAACAGAATAAGCTGAGGTTAAGAAAGATGTTGCTTTTTGCATTGTGATGGTGCTGGTACTGAGAAGCATGCAGCATGTCAGCTGTCCCCAGGCTGCTCTCCACCACCTTAAATGTTTGCTTGTTCTTTTGAGCAACATTTAATGACACCCTCCCAAGCGTCAGCCACCATGCTAGGCACTTACCCAAGAGATGGGTAAGACATGGTTCTTGTCTTTGAGGAAAAATGCTAGGGGAGATGGATACATAAATAGGCCATGGTATACTATAGGTAAAGGTCAATAATAATAATGTTTAAAACGTGCCAGAAAGCACAGAGGAGTGTGTGACCTATTATGTTGTGTCTGGTGAGGAGTATGGAAGGAAGGTCATCAAAGCTGGTATGGAGGGGATAATTTTTGCACTCGGTCGAGAAGAGTGACCTGAAGAAAAGAGAAGAACAGCTGGAAAAAAAACTAGTGAGTGGAGGTCCAGCACTATGAGAGAAACTGTTTAGTTGGGGAGCCAGAGATGGAGTAGCTGATGGGCCACTTGGGGGAATGAGACTGAAATGTGAGGCTTCCAGCTAGGAGACCATCAGAAGAGTCAAGGAGAGCACAGCTCTGGAGCCAGCCTACCCTGGGGTTGAGCTCCAGCCCCATGATTTACTACCGGGGTGTCCTTGTCAAGTTACTTGTTCTTTTTGTGCTTCAGTTTCCTTATTTGAAAATGGGAAGGGTAATATCCACTTCGTATTTTTTTTTCTTTTTCTTCAGGACTTAAATGAATTCATACCTATGTAATACTGAGAACAGTGCTTGGCTCATAGTAAGTCGTATATGAGTTTTAGCAATGAAAGCAAACAATATCAATAACAAAACAAAAATGCAAAACAATGACAACAAAACCCACATGGAAATCAAACCTCTACAAAACTGATGAAGGCAGTGGCTGTAAAAGTGGGGAGAGAAGTCAAAATGGAGAGGGGATGTGCTCCTTCAGTGTTGTGCTAAATAACTGGGGATGCTCTGAAACACCCCTAATTATACTGGGGTTGGAAACCCCATTTGAACTGAAGCACTGAGGTGCAAGTTTACTCTTGCATGTGGTCACACACAGAGTAAGAGACTGAAGCAGAAAGCACATCTTCTCTCCTCATTCACCTGTGAGGTGGGTTAACTGTTTTCAAAGAGAGAATAGGGAATAGATTGTGCTGTACAGCAGCTCAGAGTTGGCATTTGAAATGGAGACTAGTAAGTCTGCCATTGAAGCCATGAGTTTTCTGTGTTTTTAAAACATCTTCAATCCATGTGGACAGCTCATTGAACAGGTGCCTGGTGACTGCCCCACACTGGTGAAAATCTGTGGGTTGGCTTGGCATGCATCTTATTTATCCAGAGGTACACACCCAGAGCACACTTTTGAAGGGTTGTTGGCTCTGTGCACAGGCATGTTGTGTGTGTGTACACAACAGTATGTGTGTATGTGTGGACAGATGCGTATATAATAATTCATATCTTCCCATTTCAAGCACTGAGCTAAATTCAGCCTATACTTTTTTTTTTTTTTCTGAGAAGCCTTTCCTACTTCTGTAAAAAGAAACTCTCATTCCAAAGGAAAGAATGGGAGGCTGAAGTTATTGAAAATGAGATGGGAAATGGGAAGATAGTCACTTTGCAACTCCAAATTCCAGGTCTGATGCTTAGGGTGTTAGTCATTAAGCAAATTCTTCCTGATAACCAATTACAGAGAGGAAAAAAGAGAGTAAGTTTTTTACTGCCCCCTACCTCCTCCTCCCCCGTGCCCCGCTCCTTACCCCCAACCACCAGTGAAGGTGTTTTAGTTCTCCCCAGCCACCTGAGCTAGGGGCAGGAGACCTTCCCTTCCAATAGAGTTCCTTGGTGAAGGTGACTTCTTCATCCACTGGATGCTTTCCCAGGGCAGTTTTGTTGATCCTCCAAGAACATCAAGTCACTGTGTATGAATAGCTCCCACAGAAGTGCCGAGTGTTAAAAGAACCCTTCCTCATGACCTGATGGGATGGGCGGCAGTGTGTCCACACTTGGGCCTGACGTTATACTTGGGGAAAGGGTGGTAGTCTGAGTGTCTCAGAGCAGGGCACTGGCTAGGTGTGAGGTTTCCTACTGCTCTGTAGGCTGCTCATGCTGGAGTCCTGAGCTCCACCAGGAGTCCCTCTGGGCTGCCGAGCAAGTGGATCTTCCAAGGGGCCCATCAGCCTGCTCTGCACAAGAGTTATAGGAATTGTAGAGCCCCAGCACAACAGTCAAGACCAGCATCACTGCAGCCATCATCCAGATCACTTGCCAGTGCTGACACAGTTTGGGATACATGACTTGTAAGAAATGGACCAATTCTTCAAGTTTGCTGTCAATGAAAAAAAATATGCAGAGGCTTTAGTATACTGGGCACACATATGATACACAGACCCACAGTTCTCTCTGCGGATAGCTTCCATGCTGTCTTGAGCAATAGTTCTCAAACTTAGCTGTGCCTAGATTGGGTTGGCAGCAATTGTTCAAAATACCCCAAGCATACTAAATGAGAATATCCAAAGTTATGGTCCAGGAATCATTGGCTAAATTTTCCCAGGTGATTTTGATTCCACCAGTCCACAGCCTTGAAGTTGAGAGCTACTTATCTAGATCATTCTACTTAATTGTTTGATCATCCATCCATACATGCCCTCATCTATTCACGGGGTGATTACTGATATCTGCACTCTCCCAAGCCCGGGGGTACAGGATTGGTTGGCCATGCATCTTTTTAGCACCTAGCTGCATTAATGATCAGTTCCAAGCTCTAACCTGTGCCTTGCCTCAGATGCGTAATTCATTGTTCTCAGTTCCACATCTAACTGTGTCCAGAGTAGAAGGACTGTGCTAAACTCTAAGCAGCTTGATATCCAGTGATAAATGACAAGGGACTAGATCAACCTCAAGAGTTCACTTCAAACCATCCAAGAGCAGGCAGAAGATTAGAAGCCTCTAGCAATGTCTGGGTGGTTTGTTCATGATGTTATCTCAACCTCATTAATATTTATTCTCTAATTTCTCCCTCTTCCTCCTCTTCTTCCTTCACTCTCTCCACACTTCTTTCTCTATCCCTTTCATCTCTCTCTTCCTCTCCATTTTTGCCCCTTTTCCCTCTTGATTCCTTCCCAACTGTCTTTCATTTTGTCCTCTCTCTCTCTCTGTGGTGTGGTAAAAAGACACCGGGCAGATGGCCTGCTTTGACAAGTTCATTCTAGAGCTCTCTGAAGAAGCCCTGAGCCCCTTCATTAAGCCAGGATTTCCTGATGTTTTTAACCTCTAACCCAATTTAAAAAATAATATGAAAAATGAGAATACTGAGGATTCCTGAACCAAGGAGGTGGGGAAAGTGATAGAAGTGCTTTCTGAAGATCCTGAGGCTCATACACACACAGCAATGACCAAGCCATTGGCTGAGAAGCGGAGAGCTCAAATTTTGAGGTAGCAGAAAATGCATGACTAACAAAGGATTGACAGACTCAATAAATGCCCTCCTTAGAAAGGGACCAGATGCTCAGAATGCCTGCCTTGGATGCTAGGGCCACAGAGAACATTGACAGGTTTCCGTTCCATGCGGGAACCCCATCAGATCATTTCAGTCACAATTAAGGAAAGCACGAAAGTGAACACATTCGCTGATTTGAAAATCATTGACTATTTTCACAACTGTTGGGAAGGCAGGGTTTAGAAGTAGAAGGTTATTTTCTCTCAGCCCTTTGTAGATTCTCTAGATTCTATTTAGACAGAGTTGGATGCTAAAATGGAGCCTTTGGGGCTGTATTTCCATCCTCCAAAACAAGGTGCCAGAGTGGCTTCTCCCTACTCTAACCCCACTCTTAAGTGTGGCTCTGGAGGAAGAGACCAAGATCTGTCTGTGTGACCTTAGCTGGTCACCCATGCCTGGCCTATAAAAGAGTTTAGAAATAGATTAGAAATAGAATTTCTTTAGAAGTCAATTTTTGGTTATAATAAGTAAACTTCTGTTTCCTGAGAGTTATTGGAAAAGTAAAGGAACCTAAATGTCCTCTTAACCCCATAGAACTGGTTTGAACAGCCGTTAGGAGAAAAGACAAAAGTTTTATCTTGTCCCTTATGAGTCTCACTTGTTCAATGTCAGAAGACTGTGCTTTCTGTTTTAATATGGTTAAAATATTGGGGTTTACCCAAAGTTTATTTAAACTGATCCTCAAGAGAGCAATATTTGTAACATAATTGTTATATATAACAGATACGTGACTCAGACAAAAATACTTTAATGTGTGATGTTGAATCTCTTAAGCGATCAGCAGCTGGGCTGAACCCAGTGTTTTAAAAATGCAATAAGTAGGACATGGAACTCTTAATAACCTCAAACCTTGCTTGTTAGTGAGGCACCAACATTTCAGGGAAGAAATCATGTTTGAGAGCAGGTGCATGATAAATGTTACAGGCACCATTGCCACTCACTGATGACCAGGAGCTGGACAGAAAGGAACCAAGCTAAGCCTTACTTCCCCTGGGGTTTCATGAAATGGGAGGGAGCTGACAATTGCCTGAGATTGAATTAGCTAGATAAGACATTGAGCCCCTTGCTTTGCAAACCAGACTGTTTATATTCCATGTACTCTCTCTCTGTTTATTTCTCTTTTGTTCTTTCTCAGTGTTTGGAAGTGTTAGAAGTTCCAGTCTGTCTCTGCTGTATTCACGGGTGCCAGAGGAAAGGCTTTTTGTCTAGGGCTTTGCTTGACTGCATTAAAGGGGAGGAAGGCAATGTGGTGGACTGAGAAATATCAGCAGAGAACCCTCAGGAGGGAGATGAGGCCTAAGGAGAACAGGATCTGGTTGCTTGGAGTAGGGATTGCACTTTAATTGTTAAACTTGGAGGTTCTTTCACTGGGGAGACAGTGTGTGATTTGTTTTCAGTGGAGAAGCATTTCTCCAGTTCTCCTAACGGCTCTTCCCCTGAACAATGGGGTCGACCAGCATGGGCTGAGACCTCTGACTTTAGTTGAATTCTCCACCAACTGGGCTCTATTGATAGCTCCTGTGTGCCTATCCATTTTGCTTCTAATCTTCACTTCATTACCTATTTGTTGCATGCATGTGGTTTCCAGAGTTTTCCAGCAATGAGGCACAGATACATACCCAGATTAGATAATATTTCAGCAGCTGATTAGATATTTTGTCTGGAGCTGCCCTGGACCCCAAGATATCCCAGGGGTCTAAAAATAGATTTTGGTGAAGGTTTTCCAAGGTGGCTATTACTACATTTTAAAAAATCAAAATTCAAGACTTGTGGTTTAACTATACTAATAGAGACAACATAGCTGAATATATGAAATTGGGCTGTCCTGAAAATCCAGAATGTTGGCATGGTTATTATATCTGTGGGGTAGAGTAACACCTCATCTATGGGTGCTAGTTTATCCTATCCCTAAGCGTGAACTTCTAGGGGATAATTCAGGCCAGGTGGGGCTGAGACCTCATTCCTATAATACTTCATTGCATGGAGTGCCCTGGAACTAAATTAGGTCATTTCTACGATTCTGCATCCTAAAGGCCAGGCAGGAACCACAAGTGGGACAAGATACAGGTCTATATTCTCTTTATCTACATGTTATATTCTCCTTCCCCAACTTAGGGGAAAGTACCTTTGAAATAGGAAGTATTTTAAAAGAAAACCCCAAGTATTTCCAACCTAAAGTGAAGACCAAGCTTGATTGGTCAGCATGGTAGGCACCTGCTGGAGACTCACCTTTGCCACTGAGCTGAGTTTGCCCTCTATTCCGTGTGTCCTCCCTGTCCCTGTTCTTGTAAGAAACTCACTCCAGGGCTTCGAGTCAACTCTCTTTGTCTTGGGCCTCTTCATGGGGATGGCTACCCATAATTTCATCTGGGAAATGAGCTAACCATGGCTGGGCTGGGAGGGACTCCATTCAGGGCCCTTCGCCCTTCCTTAGCTCCTGGAGCTCTTGATTGCCATCCTCCCTTCCCATGACTGCCCCTGACCTCTCAAGCTCTTGCAAACTTCTCATTGCTAGCTATCTTGGCTCTTTGGGATTTCCTCTACCTCCTTCCCAACATGTGTGCCCTCTTGGTTTCTTGGGCTACTCACTGGGGCCCCAGATTCACTGCTGCCCTGGACTGGCATTTCCAGGGATTTTGTGCATTTAAATTAGATGAATTGTAACCCCCATTTCAGCAACGGCAAGGACTCCAAACACAGGCTTCCCACCTGCTTCTTGGGCCCTTTTCCTCTTCCTCAGTTTCTTCTACCTCTTCAGGTTCCTCAGGACTCTCACTCTTCTGTTCTTCCTCCTCCTCCTTCAGGTCTTGAAGTTCTTTGGTCTTCTTTAGACCTTCTTGGAATCTGGGGGGCAAAAAGGAACAGTTGAGTCTGGAAAGGGCAGATGCAGTGCATCCTTTCCTGAGTTCCTAGGGGAGGGGACTTGAGCAGCACCTCCAATAATTATGTGCTTCCTATGGTTCCACAAAACAGGAAAAAGCTGGGAAGCTCCACTGAATCCTAAGGCAGCTCACGCCAGTACCATTTCCCCTCACTCCTCAGTCATCCTTCCTGTTTATGTGAAAGTGTGACAAAACTGACAGGGAAAAAATGTGGTGCAGGGTCTCCTGACTGGGTTCTTAACCCACAAAACATTCCGTAGGGCTAAGATTGTATTTGTTCTCCATGTGACCGTGGAGCTTCAGCCTCTCATCTGTAAAAGAGAGAGGGTGACACTCATTTCACAGGGCGTTGGAATGATTTTTGCAAGTGCCAGGCACATGGCTTGATCTAGAGAGGTACTCAGTAAATGTTTACGAAACCAATGAAGGAGTTCATGCCCATAAATTCCAAGGATAGAGCACAGTGGTGGGTGAGAAAGGCACGCTTTCAAAGAGAAACCCTTGTGGTTTTTCTCCCCCAGGGTCAATATTACCCCAAACATACTCTGTTCACTTGTCCTATGCTGAGTGTCTAACACTAGCAGTTTGGCTGGGCAAACCCACCACTGAAGCCCATGGGTTCTGTGCCAGTGGGAAGCTATGTCTTCCTCATGAGCTATGGAGACAGGAGACGCATAGGGCACCATACATGGTTGGAGGTGATTCTCTACCTTGAGGCTTGGTACCTGCTCAGGACTTGGTCTCTCCAGTGCTGACAACTGGCCATGGGTGCTATTGAAGCTCAAATGGAGGAGGAGGCAGTTCGAAGTTGAAGAGACTCCATTTATAGGAGGAAGGAGTGACCAAAGCAGTTCTAGGGAGCAGAGCTGCAGCTGCTCCTGGGCACTGCTGGCAGCAACATGACTGCTTTGAGCACGTGTCAGGAAGCCTCAGGCACCACCAAGAGGAACCCATCCAGGACCCCTGATTTCCAGACTATTCTGAGCGGTGGCATTCTGGTGGCTCTCTGCCTAAAAAGAGGGCAGTCTTGTTATTGTCTAACCACACCCTCTGACCCTGCTTCCTCCTGTCCTTCCTGTGGAACAGTCTTGCTCTTTCCTATGTAGTTCCTTCCTGTGGCAAGGAGGTCCTGCGGCCACTGGTTACTTCCCTAAAGCCTCTAAGAAACAAGAAAGACCCATGGGAAGGCATCTTCTGAGAACTGCCAGGTGCCCTTGGGGTGGCTGAGGTCTGACTCACCCCTTGCTGTAGGCTTCTTCCTCCATCCTGGCCTTGGTCTCCTGACTAAGCTCCTCCAGGCAGCTCAGGGTCAGCGCAGGAGCAGAGGCTTCACAATCTGGGTCCCCATTTGTCTTTCCACTAGTGAGAAGAGGGAAGTACAGGGCATCATTTCAGAAAAAGGTGGAGGCCTAAAAACAAAACCATGTTTTTGGCCCGATTCCTGATTAGGAGTGAGGAAACTCAGGCTTTTTCAGTAACTTTCAGATTTTTTCCCAATCCTTCTACCCTGAGACAAGATTTTATAAAGGTCCTAGTCCATGAATTTTCCCCAGCCCATTAAATACCTCACCAGCTCCCCTTCTCCTCATGCTCCCAAACTGGCGTTTATTCTTATTCCAGGAGATGCTGTAATGGGTGATCTACAGCGCTGAGATGAGGAAAATGGGGGCAGACCAGCACGTTTAAGGTCATTCCATTCCTGTTGTCTATCTTTCACCTGAAGACCCCCACTCATCTTTTCAAATATCCACTCAGCATGACTAAGCCACAGGCACATTGTAATGTGCTGGGGGCACATTAGAAAATAAAGAAATGGTTTTTACCAACATGGAACTTAGCAGAAGGAAAAGCCCCAAAAAAGGAAAGAAAAAATATGTGATTAATTACAAATAATAACTTTTATGAAAGAAATTCTGTACAGTGACAGAAAATAACAAGGAGAGAATGTGTTTAGAGTGAATAGTTAGAAAAGGCCTCTCTGAGGTGCTGAAGTTGAAGCACAGGCCTGAAGGATGAGAAGTCAGATGTATTAATAGCAGAGGAGAGGGTTGGGTGTGGTGGCTCATGCTTGTAATCCCAGCACTTTGGGAGGCCAAGGCGGGCGGATCACCTGAGATCAGGAGTTCGAGACCAGCCTGGCCAACATGGTGAAACCCCATCTCTACTAAAAATACAAAAATTAGCCAGGTGTGGTGGCACACACCTGTAATCCCAGGTACTCAGGAGGCTGAGGCAAGAGAATCGCTTGAGCCTGGAGGCAGAGGTTGCAGTGAGCTGAGATCGCACCACTGCACTCCAGCCTGGATGACAAAGCAAAACTCAGTAAAAAAGCAGAGGAGAGATCATTCCAGGAAGAGAATGCGGGTTATGTAAAGACTCTGAGACACAAAAGGTGCTGAGTTGTTTGAGAACTTAAAAAGAGGCAGTGTGGCAGGAGTTAACTTTTGGACAAGAGACATTTGCAATGCCTGTGAGGTATCCAAAGGGAGATGTCAAGTAGACAGTTGAATTCACCAAAGTGAGTCAGGGAAGTTTTAGCTGGAGATATTCATTTGGTGTCATCAGAACATAAATGTTATTTAAAGCCACGGGGATAGACAAGATTGCTTAGGGAGATAATATGAAGAAAGACAAGAGGAGGACCCAGGACCAAGTCATGAGGAACTCCACACTTGTCTCAGGTGGAAAAGAAGGCATCTTCAGAGAAGGCTGAGAAGTAGCAGCCAGAGAGGTAAGAGGAAACCTAGGAGCAGGTGGAGTCTTGGGAGCCAGGAGACAAGAGCTCATCAAGGCGGAAGAGTAAACAGTGCCACACACTTCTGAGTTTGAAGCGTGCAGACAAGGTGACTATTAGATTTGATAATACAGAGGTCAACAGGAGCCTCTGTGTAATGTTGGGAGCCAAGCACAGGTTTAAAGTAAAGAAGGGGAGGTTGGAAAGGGGAAGCCACAGACACAGCAATTCGAGTAGGAAGGAGAGTAGAGGGGTGTGTTGGAGGGAGTGTGCAGCTGAAGTAGGTCAAGGGAGGATGCACATTTGAATGTAGGTAGAAATGATCCAGTAGAGGATGAGAGAAAGGGATGCCCGAAGGAACTCAGTCTTTGCAAAAGGAAATAGGGACAGACCTTGGAAAACTAGAGAATCTCTCCTTGTTTGTAACAAAGGTAAGATGATGATGAAGTTGTTGGGCTGGAGATCTGGTGAAGGAAAGTGAGAGGGCTCCTATGGGAATGTAGCTTAGGTATTCTCTATAAAGTGGAAGGCAAGGTCATCTGCTGAGAGTGAGAGGTAGAGGGGTCTAGGAAGGTCTGTGGAGAGAGGAGGGGTGTAAAAGAGTTATATGAGAAAGAAGGAAAACAGACATACTAGAACATCTTGGTAAGATGGCTGGGAGGTGCTGGGAGATCATTGCAGGTATGGGATCACAAGTTTAAAGGAAGTATCCAGATGGCTATGCTTTCCCTAGAAATCCTGCAGCCCACCTTCATGTCCTGATTCCCAATGGGAGCAATGTCGTCATGGAGGAGTCCTCCAACAAGGCAACACTGTGAGCAGAGCTTTCCAGCCAGGACTCTGAAAGATCACAGCTGCCACCCTCCCTGAACTCTCAGACAGGGTTTATGAGTGAGCCTTGTATCTTCTCCTCATTCTTGGCATCAGTTTCCCATCTCTTAGTTTTCCTCAGACCTTTTAAAATTTACATTTAGTCAGGCTGGAAACCACAACCCATTGTGAACAAGAAAGATAACGCTCTAAAAATACCAGCTGTTCATAACATTTCTCCTTTTGCAAATTACATTATCCACTCCCTTCCATGTGACCTTGGCCTAATGTGCAGTTTCCTATTTATCCAAACGACTGGAGCAAGAGGAGAAAAACATAGCTACAGCCAAGGGCAGGGAAAGTAATTCTTTCATGAAATATATATATATATATATATATATATATATATATATATGAAATGAGATATTGGTATCAGACTTTTGATTTATATACAACTGTCAGCCTTAGAGGTTCCTTAATGTTAAGCATGCGTGAAGGAGGACAGTGTAGTATAAAGGAAAAGAACTCGCCTGAGGCAAACTTGGATTCAAATACCAGCTCCAAAACATGCAAATTATTTAATCTTCCTGAACTTCAGATTCCTCAACTGTACAATGGGGATAGTAATACATACCTGATGGTGGAGGTGTAAGAATTAATGAAGAAATGTCAATAAACTTTCTGGAATATGGCACTCAACAAATTATATCTGCTATTATTATTGTTATATAGTAAATGTATTGGTACATTTTGGGAGCAATCTGAGCTACCTCCAAATATGACTCATAAAAAATCCAGGCAATTATTTATATCATCAAGGGAGAGCTTGTTATATATTACTGAGACACTTCAGAGTCAGAGGAACCCTAAATGTGAACTAATTTAAGGTATGGTAAATTAACATTACATTTTCATAAAATGGCTTTAGGAACTTTCTCAGGTGCATGTCTATTGTGTGTCATCACACATTATGCACCTTAGAATTTTGCAGATAAGTGACTGTAAACAAAGCTCTCATTGTCCTTGGGTCACTGATCTCTAGAGAGGAAAACTTTTCCCTAGCAGGGCCAGGAAGCCCATTTCATCGACTCTTTTACATGCAGATCTTCTGTTCATTTCAGCTCCCCTATAGGGCTCTCATATACATTCTCTCACTTGATCTTTCCAATGATAAGAAGAGCTAAACATTAACTTATATGTATCAGGCTGTGGTCTAACATCTCATTTAAGGCTCACAAATGACCCAAGAAGGTATTAGTGTTCTCTGTTTGACAGATGAGGAAACCAAGGCTCAAAAAGTAGGCTGAGGCATGAGAATCGCATTTCAAGTGATTTCATATCTGTCAAACAGAGAACAGTAATACCTTCTTGGGTCATTTGTGAGCCTTAAATGAGATGTTAGAACAGAGCCTGATAAGTAAGTTAACTTTTAGCTCTTCTTATCATTGGAAAGATCAAGTGAGAGAATGTGTATGATCTCGGGACCAGCCCAAGATCATACAACCAGTGTGTGGTAGAGCTCAAATTTTACCCTGTGCAGTCTGATATGTGCCCATTCTTCTGACTGCACTATCTGCCACCTAGGTGGGGTATTATCCCATTTCACAGATAAGAAACCCAAGCTCAGGTTGATTAAGTGACTTGCCTAAATTCACGTTATTGGTGCTGGGACTCTCACCTTGGTCTTCTACCTGTGTGTCAAGATGGACTTTCCAGCCCTCCATGAACCCCCGCTTTTCTTTCAATAGAAGCCTTCCATGAACCCCCACCTTTCTTTCAATAGAAGCCCTCCATGAACCCCCACCTTTCTTTCAATAGAAGCCCTCCATGAATCCCCCTGCCTTTCTTTCAACAGAAGTCTCTTCCTTTCACTCTGCTGAGTGAAGCCCTTCCTGCCCTCAGGCTGGACCATGGCTTCCATGCTGCCCCTCTTTTCAAGGCTGCTTGTCTACAGTGTAAGTGGCTGGGAGGGCCTTTGTTTACTGTGTGTGTGTGTGGAGGGTGGGTAGGGGGGAGTGGAGGGGTTGTGGGTAGGGTGGCAAGTGGGGGAAACACAACATGTAAAATGTTTGCTGTTCTCTCCTGACCTCTAAACTGAGCTTGTAGTTTCCTAAATATCTTCTCTAACTATCTGGAAGTTTCTCTCTAAGCATCTTTAAGACTAAGCTCAAATGCCTTCTCCTCTGTGAAACCTTTGCTGGTGTTCTCCCCTCCCCCACACCCTCTGGTTAAAGTTGATCTCTCCTTTTTTTTTTTTTTTCCTTGAGACAGGGTCCCGCTCTGTCACTCAGGCTGGAGTGCAGTGGCATGATCTGGGCACACTGCAACCTCCACCTCCCAGGTTCAAGCGATTCTCCTGCCTCAGCCTCCCAAGTAGCTGAGATTACAGGCGTGCACCATCACGCCTGGCTAATATTTGCATTTTTAGTAGAAATGGGGTTTCACCATGTTGGCCAGGCTGGTCTCGAACTCCTGGCCTCAAGTGATCCACCTGCCTCGGCCTCCCAAAGTGCTGGGGTTACAGGCATGAGCCACCGCACCTGGCCCTCTCTCTCCCTTTATGCTGCCACCGCACCTCTGTGACAGCATGACTCACAGGGAGGCATTGATGTATGTTTTAGATACCTGCATATGACTGTCATCACAGGAAGAAGGACTGTGTTTGGGTCAGAATAGTGCCTGGCATACAGTAGGTGCCTTTAAGTGCCTGTCAAGTTGCATCGGTTTCACTATGACTTATCCAGTCCCTACTAGGAATGTTGTAAAAGGCACAAGTCCTCTCTGTAAATGGTTATTTCCTGAGAACCCAGTGTTTGGGTTGGACTAAACGAATCTGTAATCATGGCTATAAACTGGAGCTGAGCACAGCCTGTGCCCACCCTAGGGATTTCTGGCCCGAAGGCTCATGGATCTTGGCATCTGTCCCCTGCCTGAAATCCTATGTGCTTTCTTTCTGGGATGATTCATGAAAATGAGGCTCATTATTCTCACACGTGCACCAGGTCAAAAATGTTTGTCATTGTGCTCAGCTCTCAGTAATGTGAAGAACTATTTAGTCAAAATATATTTTTGGACAGGCAGGTATATTAGATTCAACTTTTCCCACATGGTAAACAATATTTGAAAGTGGCTACTATCCTTTGTGATCGGCATATCTTCTTGGGCTCAGCAATATTTCCAAGTCACCCCCACTGCCATGGTTCCCTCTGACAAGCCCAGCCCAGGGAACCCAAGCTTCCTTACTCCGTGTTACTCAGTTCTAGATACCTGGGGTCCGCCACAAGTTTATTGGGGTGGGTGGCGGGAGGGAGGAATTCACTCCAAGATACCATCAGCAAAGGGGAGTTGCTTACTGTACAAATTTAGTGTCCTGTGAAATCTTTAAGGAATTTACCCTGGGTGCTTCAAGAGTATAGAAACATGGTTATTTTTAGAGATTCAGAGTTAAAATTGCTCTGTGATACATTAACATAATAACCCCTTTTTGACACTAACCCTGTGCATCATCTACATCCTGGTTTTGCTGATCGCTCTGTGAACGGTTCCACACACACCCTGTCTCTCACCCCGACTCTGTTCTCCACTCCATGCCCAACCGGTCACCATGCTCTTTCAAAAATAGCTCTTAAATTCATCCTCTTCTCTATGGTCACACTGAACTTCGTTTTGTTCTTCCAGTTGGGCGGTCTATTAAAAGGGTAAGGGCATGTGCTCTGCTATCTACCAGCTGTGTAACCTCAGGCAAGTGACGATTTCTCTGAGCTTCAGTTTCCTCATCTATAAAACAGAGATATTAATAGTACACCTACCTCATGGAATTACTGTGAGGATTAACTGAGATTATTAATACAAAGCAATTAGCAAAGCACTTGGCATACAGCGAGGTGCAGCAAATAGTTAACAGTAATTACCATTGTCATCAGTGCAGTAGTTAACAGTAATTACCATTGTCATCAGTGCAGTAAATAGTTAACAGTAATTACCATTGTCATCAGTGCTGTAAATAGTCAACAGTAATTACCATTGTCATCGTTATCATTATCATCATTCCTTGAATACTCCATACTTTGTCACATGGACAAAGCCTGGAATGTTGTTAACCTCCTGTTCACCTAGTTGATTATGTACCCTTTAGATTTTTACTTTAAAAGTAAGTTCCTAGAGGGAAACTTTTTTTTTTTTGTTTTTTGAGACAGGGTCTGGTTCTGTCGCTCAGGCTCCAGGCTGCAGTGCAGTGGTGCAATCTCAGCTCACTGAAACTTCTCCCGGCTGGGGTCAAGCCATCCTCCCACCTCAGCCTCCTGAGTAGCTGGGACTACAGGTGGACGCCACCACGCCTGGCTAATTTTTATATTTTTTGTAGAGATGGGGCTTTCGTTATATTGCCCAGGCTGGTCTTCAACTCTTGAGCTCAAGTCATCCACTTGCCTTGGCCTCCCAAAGTGCTGGGGTTACAGGCGTGAGCCACTGCCCAGCCAAGGGGAATCATTTTCTAAGCTCTCTCTTCCCCCCACTTCCCCAGTTCCCCCAACCTTACACCAAAATCAGGTTAGGTGCTCATTTTCTGTGCATCATTCCCTTAGCAACCTACACTTCCTTACGATCCCACCCATCATGTTGTATTATAATAGGCTGCTTCCCATCTGTCTTTCCCGCTAGACTGCAAGCTCCTTGAGTACATTCTATGTGCCTGGCCCTTGGTGATTAATTGCTGAAGGAATGAAAGAACAAAAGACTACAATTACATAGCCATTTCTACTTGTGGAACTGCTCTTGAGCTTTGTTTTCTCTTCATCTTCAGGACTAACTTTAAATATCACTCTCCACCCATATGTTTAAGTCTACAGGTTTCTAGGCCCTTGGTGAGTGAAGAGCAGTTCATTACGAAATGACCTCCAAGAACAAGGCTCAGCATTCTCTGAAATCTCATGAAGCAGTGTAACCAGCTCTCAAGTATCTTCCTGTGAACTAGCCACAGGGTATTTGATCTTATCCTTTGCTTAGCCAGTGCCCTTCCTGCTTTGTCACTGTATGCTTAGGAAAGGTGAAATCATTTTAACACAAAGCTGAATACAACAGTCTCCAAAGCAATGTATATTAAACTATAACACATTATTTCTCTTTCACGATATGGATAGGGCAGTTAGAATTGACTGTATTTGTGTATAGGACAGAAGATACGAATTCACTTTTACTCATATATTGTCTCATTGTTAGTCTGTTGGGAATCAAGTAAATTTTCCACTTTATATTTATTTATTTATTTATTTGTATTTTTAGTAGAGACAGGGTTTCACCATCTTGGCCAGGCGGTCTTGAACTCCTGACCTCATGAACCACCCGCCTCAGCCTCCCAAACTGCTGGGATCACAGGTGTGAGCCACCGTGCCTGGCCATGTTTCCAGTTTTAAATGGAAATCACTTAACATCTTTGAGAAATCCAGAAGGGGAAGCTGTTGTTCATCCTGAACCCCTCTTCCTCTAAAGATGCCCTCACCTCTTTGCAACCATTCTTACATGGGTATATTCCCAACTGGCGAGTCAGCCCCAGTGTGCTTGACTTGCCTTAATCCCCACTCTGTCCATATCTCTCCAGGTTCTATAAAGCACTGGAAAGGTGATGCCACTATTGATCGTCACCCATTGACACTCCTAATTTGGGGCTGCTGCTTATTGTCTCCAATTTTGTACCTCAGTTTCCCTTACCAAGGATAATTCATGTTTTCATGATCCCCACTGCCTTGGACAGAAGTGCTCAACTGGCCTGGCATAAGTTCTACAGAGTTCAGGCCCTCTCTGTCATGATTAAGAGTCTGTTGAAGAGATCTTCTGCCTTGAGTGGCTCTGCAGGCCTAGAGTTGGGAAAGGGGCTAGAGTTGAGGGTTCTCTGAAGTAGGGATCTGTGCACCCAAAGGGAAGGTTGGCAGGGAGAATTTTAGTGGGTTTCTCAGTCAGAGCATGAGGTGACCATTTCTGGAGAGATTCAGAGACCCTGGATGAGGTACTATGACTCTAGGGACTTGGTAAGTTTCTGTAAACTCGGTTACTTCCATGTGGTGGTGGTTGTGTTGCCTCTTGACAATTTCCCTGTAGTGATCAAGAAAAGACAGAGAGAGAGACCCCAAGAGACCCTCTATAACACGAAGGACCTGTGAGCTTATGGGGGTGAGGTGGCAAAGAGACGAAATGCTGGGCAAACTTCAAGACTAACAAATCACTGGGTGATAAGCTGGTGGCTATACAGAATGACAGATGTAGGAGGCAGGCTGAGTCTGGAGATGGGAGCTTGTCTGTACTGAAAAGGGTCCCAACATACAGGTTCCCTGCCAGATAGCAAAACTTTTCTAACAGCAAAGAAAAACAAAGGACTAAAGCTGTCTTGAGGCAAGGAAGAAGGAAGAATAAGGTATATGTTTTACCAAGTGAGAAAAGACACAAGGGGAAAATTCTGAGAGGCAGCAGGTGTGATCCAGATGTTTTTCAGCAAGCAAATGAAAGAATTTGAAAAGTAAGCTATAAAATCCTCTGAGTGCATAGAAACAGCCTGCCTTACTCTGGCTGAGGATGAAAAGATCTGCAAATTGCATAGATGCCTAGAAAATCACAGAAACTGCTGGCTGCTAATCCAATATGCATTTTCCTTCCTACTTCCTAACAGCAACATGATTCTGTTCAGGAATTTACTCTTCTTCATGGAGTCATTTTGCTTTATGGGAAGCTGACCCTCTCACCAACCCCAGGGAATAGTTTAATCCCATAATGACAATCCCTTTCCCAAAGTGATTCTTTTAGAAAGGGACTTCCTTCCAGATTTGTCAATGAGATAATAGAGAAGACTGGTGAAAGGCTTCTGGGTTTATTCCTAAGAAAGGAACATGGCAAGAAACAGTCCCTTTCTTCCTCTAGGTATTGTCCTGTCTGGAGGGGATCCCAGGAACTACCAGCCATTTGCCACAATCCTGATGATGAAGTTAACATACAATGTGGCCAGAGGCAAGGAAGTTGTAGACTCGCTGAGCTAGAGCCCTGCTGTGCCATACCAGGAGCAGCTCTACCTCTGGACTTAATTAAGTCCCATTGAGTTGGGGCTTTATTTTGTCTGTAGCCCAAGGAATCCCAATTGGCAGAGAAGGCTCCAGCCTTCTCTGGGCTCTCTAAGATTGGGTACACTTGGCCTCACTCAGGGCATCTTCCTGGTTCAAGAATTTTGCAAACAGGTTCTGAAATCTTTGTGGGTTTCAGACTCCCATTCATTTCCCTTAAAACTTAATTTGCTTTCCACTGCATTTTGGGGATAAAAATGGGAGGAAGGAAAGTAAAATGGGGAAAATTTCCTGAGAGATCCCTGAAGCCAAGAGGAAAATCGACAAACTTACTTTTCCAAAAGTGCAGGCAGTGCTGAAGTGACAGGTAGGCTGCCTTTCCCATTGGGTGATTCCGACTGAGTGAAAAACAGAAGACAGAGAATTGAGGATGCGCTATGGAAGGAAGAAGCCAGAGCTGCTGGATTTCTGATGATGCTGGGAGCGGGGCTGCTGCTTCTCCTCTTTCCTCCATGCCCCCACTTTCCAATCTTCATCTGAGCCCAGGACTTGGCCCTTTCCCTCAGGCCTTCCCTGTCCTCCTTTCCTCTAGGGCACATGCAGCTTCCTCCTTTTCCTTCACCTCTGCTAAGTTTCCTTAAGTGAAGAGGAAAGTTTACATCTTGAGGCTCCATTCTGGAGAGGAGCCATCAGTTTTTCTCTGTCCCGTTTAGCAACTGTGACTGAACACCAGTGGGCCTCCTACAAATGCAGGTCTCAGGCTCCTTACAATAGATTCACACAAGCCCATCACTGTCCCTAGAGACATAGCTCCAGGTACAATTCTCAGGAGATGCAAATCACTACTGAAAGCTCAAACCATCAGAAATTTCTTTACAATACGTTCCCCAGGATTTCCAGGTTGTGTTGTTGCAATGGATTTGGTTTAAGTAATGGTTCTCAATGTTGGCTGCACATTAGAATCACCTGGGGGAGGTTTTAAAAAAGTATCGATCCACTCCAGAATCTTGGTGTGGGGCCTGGGGGAATAATGGTTTAAAAGTACCCTGTGTGGTTTTTAATCTATGGCCCTGATTGCCAACCCCTAGTCTAAAGGAATATATATTTGGAAAATAAATTTATGCTTTTAGGCAAAGTATGGGAAATAGATCTGTTAAAATACACTAACCAGTCCTCTCCAACATTCTTAAACATTTTTTTCAGGTTGTTTTATTTTAGTGGGTAATTTGGGAATTTAGGTTGATTTCATAGACGACTGAAATGCTTGAGGCAGGAAGCAGTGAATACCACTCATTGGTATTACATAGAGCTTGAATTTCCAGTTGCTTACACAATCAGATTGTTTCCTTATAGGGTAGTGCTAGTCATAGGCAGGGGATAGAGAAACCACTGAAGAAAGAATTAGAGAGAATTAGCCAGATGCACAAAGGCCTGGGATACAGAAAATATTTTGTTATATCCAAACGTCTTTGTCTAAAAGAAATGGAAATGTATTTTTCCTGATTATTACCAATACATTCTTATTATAGAAATATAAAAAGGCATCAGGAAGAAAATAAAAATGAACTATTTTACCATTGCCTAGAGATAACCATTATTAGCTGTTTCACATATCTTCTACCAGAAATTTCTATGTCTACACACAGAAACACACTCTTTTAAAAAGTACAAAACAGAATTATACTGTTTATACACTAGGTTTTGTATATTCTATTTTACTTGCTTTTGATTCATAATAAATTATGGATAATTCTACAGAAACCCCTTATAGGAATATCCATTTGCTTAACCAATCTCTTATTAGTGAACATGGAGTTGTTTCCCACTTTTCATTATTATGAACAATGCTACAATGAACTGAGGCAGGAGAACAATGGGTTGAAGAACTCAGGCTGTGGAATCAGAGAACCTAGGGTTCAAAGCTGTTCTACCACCTATCACACATTACAAACTTCAGCTACTTAAGCCCACTGCAGAGTAGAAAAAAATTGTAACCACCTTGGCAGATTGTGGTGTAAGCACAAAAAGAGTTATCATTTGCAAAGAACGCTGAGCTGCCAACACCATGCTGAGGGCAGTGGGACTTCCCAGAGTAGTAGAATACATGCAGCCTGGTGTATATTGAGTTTTTGAGCCTATCACTCAGATTCTATTCTGGAAATTTCCTCTCCTTGTTGACCCTGCCCCCATTTGGTCACCCTCCCTGCCCTAGGACTGAGTACGAAGGAAAGGTTATTCTACTATTCTGTGCTGGGAGGCAGACATCGTCATACTTACCAAGGCTGGTAAGGAGGGAATGGATGATGAGCTGGGAGTTTGGCCAGGCAGATTCAGGGCATTAAACTTAGGAACCACAGCAACGCTGACCCTCCGGCGAGGCATATTCTGCAGGAAGAGAAGTGACCAGGCTCACTGTCTTGGAGGTAGCAATAGCCATAGTTCAGAAGGGCTGGGAAAAAGCCTCCTCATTTCTAATGCTGTAATGGCATTCACTGGATATTTTGGTTTTGCAGTAGCAATGATAGAATTGGTGTGGAGAGAGTGGCCAAAGTTGACCCAAATTTTCTGTTGTTGGTGAGTGAACGCTCAATCTGTTCTATTTTAGCTTATGAGATCTTGGAGATACAGAATGGAAATGACCCCACAGTCTCTGGGTAACACCCTGGAGACTGTATTCAAGCTGCCTGTAGCAATATGAAGGCTTATGATCACTTCATGTTCATTTAAGGGATGTATACATAGTTAAGGAAACCATGAGCAAGAAAGGTAAGATGTCAGAGGCTAAACTTGAGAGTGTGGAAAGCCGAATAGAAACTCTGTTCAGAGATTCTCTGGCATCCATGGATCCCAGAATGAATGATTGTTTGGGTGACCATGGAAACTTCTGTCATACTCCTTCCAGGAGCCCTGGTATTCCTTGAACATGCATACCTTTCCCAGCGTGAGGGACATGGACCGTGCCGTGCGAGGGACCCCATCTTCTGCAGCAGGAGGGAGCAGAGAAGAGAACACAGGTAAGTTTCAGGCTAGGCACCAGCAGGAAACAGAAACTAGGCTATCGTATCCATGGGCCAGAACTGGCCCTCAAGGGATAGCCCAAGGGTCTGGGTGTTGGGGACACTGAGTTTGGCACTTCATCCTTTGAGATGGGGCTGCAGAGTGGGGGCTTTTTTTGGACAAAACCTTTATCCTAACTCCCCTTCTCACTATAGGAAGCCCCAGTCTTGGACCTCTGATCTTTATCTGACCCCACTAAACACGCTCTGCATAACACCCTAGATAGTGTATGAAAACTACTCAGCAACACGAAGACTTATTGGGTTATTTCATGCTCGTTCAAGGATGTACAGTCAGAGAAACTATGAGCAAGGAAGGTGTGGTGCCAGTAAATAATGAAAACTTGCTAACAGAAGTAGTTTCAATATGTTACCTACCAAATGACTCAGAGCAAAGGAAGCTACCACCCCAGGATTTTCTTCTCCTTACTACATACATTAAGTGATATAACTCACGTAATATGTTTAGCTTCATACCTGGATAATCCTACCACCAGGAAACACCTGAGTATGTGCAGAGAAAGGTATTTGCTAGTTCAATTCAATTTGATTCAGTTTAACCAATATCATTTAGCCTGCATATCTCTCTCTTTCATATCCATATATTTTTGGTGAGTCTCTTGAAAAGCACATAGCCGTATGTGTTTTTTCAAAAAAAAATTTTTTTTTCTTTTGAGACAGTCTCACTCTGTCACGTAGGCTGGAGTGCAGTGGCACGATCTTGGTTCACTGCAACCTCCGGCTCCTGGGTTCATGTGATTCTCGTGCCTCAGCCTCCCAAGTAGCTGGGATTACAGATGTGTGCCACCACACCTGGTTAATTTTTTTATTTTTAGTAGAAACAGGGTTTCGCCATGTTGGCCAGGCTGGTCTCCAACTCCTGAGCTTAAAGTATCTACCCGCCTCGGCCGCCCAAGGTGCTAGAATTACAGGCATGAACCACCACACCTGGCCTGTTTTTTTCATAATCTAATCTGAGATTCTCTATTAACCAATAGATTTATACTAGTTATAGTTCTTGTGATTAATATATTTGTATTTATTTCTACCATGTAATTTTATATTTTCTATTTATTTTGTTTTATTCATTGACTTTTTCTACCCCTCCTCCCACCTGACACTTTTGTTTGGAAATTATACATTCTATTTTTAACCTTTAGCATGTCCTCTTAACTTTTGAACATACTGACTTTAAATTTAAAATTAAACAAGCTCTCTATTCTTTTCTTGAATAAATCTTAAAATAATAACCCTCCCTCTTAATTATATTGCTTTCCAGGATTTTTATTTCACCTTGTGTTTGTATTCTTAAATTATTCATTATGTTTGTTGATTTCTACAGAGAGTGCTTATTTAGATTTACCCACGTTTACAAATGTCTTTGTTGACTATTCTTTCTTGTATCCTACTTGTTTCTTTTGAGCTCAATTTTTTTTAACTTTTATTTTAGGTTCAGGGTACATGTGCAGGTGCATTACATAAACTTGTCATGAAGATTTGTTGTACAGATTATTTCGTCACCCAGGTATTAAGCCTAGTAGACAGCATTGATTTTTTCTGCTCCTCTCCCTCCTCCTACTTTCCACCCTCAAGTAGGCCTTGGTACCTGTTGTTCCCTTGTTTATGGCCATATGTACTCAATGTCTAGCTCCCACTTCTTAGTGAGAACATGCAGTATTTGGTTTTCTCTTCCTGTGTTAGTTTGCTAAGGATAAGGACCTCCAGCCCCACGCATGTTCCTGCAAAAGAGGTGATCTCATTCTTTTTTATGGCTGCATAGTATTCCATGGTGTATATGTACCACATTTTTCTTTATCCAATATGTCATTGATGAGCATTTAGGTTGATTCCATGTCTTTGCTATTGTGAAAAGTGCTGCAATGAACATTTGTGAGCATGTGTTTGAGTTCAATTTCAATCTTCCTTAGGTACATCCTCTAGTTGTTCTTTCAGCGAGGGTCTATGAGAGGTAAACTTTCTCAATTGTCTCCAAATAGTCTTTACCAAGCCCTCAATCTTGCATGGTATCTTAGCCATCTGTGTTATCTCTAGATTGACAGTTATTTTCTCTTAGTTCTTTTAAGAAATTATTCCATTGGCTTCTTCTATTATTGCCATTGAGAATTGTCATTCCTTTGTAAGTAATCTTCTCTTTGATGACTTTTAAGATCTTCCCTTTGTCTTTACTGTTCTGCAGTTTCTCTTTGGTGTGTTTTTATTTTTCCTGCTTGGAATTCACGTATTTTCTGAATCCAATGATTGATGACTTTCCTTAGTTCTAGAAAATCCTTAGCCATTCTTTCTTGGCATATTTTCTCTCCTTGGTTTTCCCCTTAAGGATGGCCTAATAAATGTATTTGGGACTTTCTCATTCTGCATTCTATATCCCATATCTCAATGCTTCTTTCATAATTTTAATCAATTTATTTCTCTGAACTATACATTGGGTAACTTCCTCAAACCTATCTTCAAGTTAACTAATTTTTCTTCAACTGTGCCCAATTTGATTTAAATGTTATAATCAATCAGGATAAGCTAGGTTATACTAGTTTAATAGCATAGTAATAATAAGCAACTCCAAAGTATTAGTGGCTGATAACAAGGAAGATGTGATTTGCTTATGCTACATGCTCATTTACTTCCAAGTCTGCAGCAAGCTTGGTTCTCTGTTTCCTCACTCTGGACTCAGCCTAATACTGGCCTTCTACTATTCTGGAGCAATGATGGTTATCATGTTAGGAGGAAGAAACAGGGCAAACTGCATTCTAGTTCTTAGAGGCCTAGGTTCAGATGTGACATGTCCTTCTACTCATATTTCATTCACCAAAGCAAATCCCATGGCCTTGCCTTGTGACTTCAAGGGGATGGGTAAATGTGCCCAGAAGAAGGAGATCTGGAATAATGAAGAATAGCCTCAAATATAGTAACTACCACATCTAAACTCTTGAGTTTTTGATTTCTGTGACTTTATTCCTCATTTTGAGGAGTTCTATTTTATTCTTCTTTGATAACTGTATTCTTTTACTCTGTTTTTGATCCATTATTTTATGTCTCCAATAATTTTTGTTTAAGTTAGAGACGGTCTCACTCTGTCATCCAGAATGAAGTGCAGTGGCATGATCACAGCTCACTGAAGCCTTGACTTCCTGGGCTCAAGCGATCCTCCCACCTTAGCCTCCTGATAAGCTAGAACTACAGGTGCCCACCACCACATCTGACTAATTGCTTTTTATTTTTATTTTTTGTGGAGATAGGGTCTCACTTTGTTGCCCAGGCTGGTCTCACTTTGTTGCCCAGGCTGGTCTCAACCTCCTGGCCTCAAGCGATCCTTTCACCTTGGCCTCCCAAAGTGTTAGGATTACAGACGTGAGCCACTGTACCCAGCTACCTGTAACAATTTTAAGCTTATCTTAAAAAAATTGTCAGATCATTTTATTTTCCGAGGTTCTTAGGATATAATCCTATTGTTTTGTGTAACTGATGACTTTTGTTCATGATGAATTGTTTTCTTGTGTATTTTATAATTTTAAGTTGTGAAGTCATCTTCAGTGAGGCTTTATTAGAGGAATCCTGTGTGTCCAGATGCAGGGTCTGTCTCTCCAGAGTACTTTTCTGCTTATTTCTAACATATCTTAGAAGCACCATCTTGCTGTTCTTTTCAAATCCTCTGCATATTGCATCATCACTGCTGTCACTTTGTGAGCACGTACTTTCCCTATGAGGAAGGAGAAAGTGTTTTTTCCTACTACAGTCCAGGGTGAAACAAATTTCCTTGTTTCTCTGCTGGTTGGTGATTATTATTTTTCCTTATCCAAATTCCATCTGAGGATATAGTCCTTGGACGCCCTTAACTTTCTGTGGGAATCTGTGTCAACTCTCTACCATAGGTGTTCCAGGCCTTGTCTCAGACCACAGGCAAGTGCAAAAGCTCAGCTCCCAGATAACCAAGGCTGACACTTGTCCCTAAGGAAGCTGCAGGGTCAGCTTGGTTTCAGTTCTCTTTTCTTTTCTTGTATCTGGGTATTTCAATTTATTTTCTTGTGGATTCAGCTATTTAGACAAAGGTTTGCTTTATTTTGTCCAGCAGCAATTTCTAAGTGCTTGTGGTCAAAAGATTTTCAAGTTTTCCAGTCAGCCAAAATAGCAGAACCAGAAAATATTCTTTACATGTGAAGAGTTCATATAAATTAGTAAACTACCAAGCTTACAAGTGGCAAAGGTCATAAATACAGAATTTTTAAAAGCAGAAATACAAATGTTCCATAAACATTTGGAAAGGCCAAGAAATACAATTAAAACAATAAGACAAGACACAATTGTGGCCTATCAAAGTCATGGATATTTACAAAAAGAAAGAACAAGAATTGTGTCAATGGCACGGTGAATTGAGTATTGTAACCCATTCAGTGAAAACATAAATGGGTTATTTGAAAATAATTTGCTTTAAGAGCCTTAAAAAATTTATTTCCCCTGAGCTAGTATTCATACTTCTAGAAATCTACACTAAGGAAATAATCTAAAATGCAGATAATTGGTAAATTTCATATTCAGAAAGAAACATGTTATTTTTAAAAAATGTATATCACCTTCCTTGAAATCAGGGATATTTTATTTACTGCAGTCTTCAAAACCCCAGGCATAGACAAAGATTGCAGAGGTTGTATAAAGGCTTAAGACACAAACACTATTAGGGAACAGTCATAGAGTATCTTATGGAAACACCTGCTGAGTGGTTACGGCCACTCTGCCTAGCCCAAGCTGAGGTATAGCTTGGAAGAACAACTGGAGTGGAAACAAATATCAGAAAAACACGTACAGCTATCGTTGACCTTTCCTACGGTAAGCGTTTTCTCATCCTCCTAGAGTGAATGTGGGACTCTGTGGTGTATTCTCCTCGGAAGTCTGCTTTCTTCTGTCATAGCACTGGCTACACTGCCTTGACTTCCCAAAGGTTGGGAGCTCCTTTGGGTCTGTGACTGTGTGCCCTTTACCTCTATATTCCAGTATTATATAGGGCAAACCAAAGGTACTCAATAAATGTCTGTAGAATGAACGAATGAGACTCATGGGTAACTGCTCATCCTATAAATCTTAGGTAAGGTGGTTTGCAGGAGGCCTTGTGCAGCAATAAATGCAGGAGTCCACGCATTAGGATTCCTTTGGCGGCAACTTCCTCAGCTTCCAACACTGACGGAAAATGGTTAGAGGCCTAGGTGCATGTGGGTCAGGAGCCTTGCTGACAGATCCAAAGCTGACAGTCTGGAGCATGTGTGCATGCTGCCTTTGGACTCTGGGACATGTCACTGATATTCTCCAGGAAACTTGTGAAACCTCCTGTTTATAAAGGTTTCTCCATCTGTTATACTTTCTGTACTTTCCCTTCTGCAGCTCTTGGTAACACGGATGTTTGCATTCCACAGGGATTCCTGTTGCTAAAAGGTCTGTTTTCTCCTGCTAGCCACCCTCATCAGCCAGAGTTCAAACCCTGACAGTGCCCATGGAGAGATCTGGTCCAAGGCACCAACCTCTTCCTGCTGGACTGAGAAAGAGCCTCCTACTGTGTCTCTCTTTACCTCAGCTTTTGCACACCTCCAATATATTGTCCACTGAAGTCAGAATAATCTAAAAATAAAGGCTGATTACCTCATGTGGTATAAACTTACCAATGACTCCCCGTTGCCTAGAGGCTCAAATTGCTAGCATGGCCTGGCGTGTGGCCCTGGTCAACCAAGTCTCACTTCCACACCCTGACACTGCCACTATGACAAACTGTTTGTTTCATCTTGTTTTCACCCCCAACCTCCACACCTTTGTCCATGCTGGTTTCTCCACTTGGGATGTGTCTTCCTCTATTGACTGGAGAACTCCTATTTTTACTTTAAAACACCAACAAGATACCATCCCTCTTTGAAGGCTTCTTTGTCTCCCTTCAAGCAGAATCAGGTGGGCCCTCCCCCGTGCTCCTATAGCAATTCGTATAGAACTTCTAAACAAGAGTATTTCTTTGAAACTTCTGTCTTACCCATGAGTCTGCTGTTTTTCTCCGTAACATCTCCTTCAGCCAGACTCTCACTCCACCCTAACTGCCCAGGTTTCACCCCTCACCTGGACTGTTGCAAGAACATCTTCATGGGGTTTTCTATCCCTGCTTTGTCCCAGTAATGTAACTGCCACACCACAGTTAAAGGGAATCTTCTTAAACTACATATATGATCAAGTCATTTTCTTGATTAAAATCATTGGCTGGATCCCTAATGCTTTCCAGAATAAAGCCCAAATTCCTTAGCATGTGCTGCCTAAAAGGGGATCCCAAAGCACACGGACTGACAGGGTCTAGGGTCACTCTCAGACCCTGTAAGTCCAAGAGCTCTTGTAGCCCATGGGCTTTGTATCCATGGTCAGCCACTGTGATTTATTGCTTTGGGAGTTAGGAAGTCACTTTGGAAAGGCTCATGTTTCCTGGTTCCAGACTGCCCTGCCAGGCCCACTGAAGCAGCTGCTGGGAGGCCCCTGTGGGCAGCACTAGACAGGAGTGCTGCTCAACTGGAAATAAGTCCTGGGGCTGTTCTGACAGCTCTAATCCTAGCCAAGAGCTCTTGGAAGTCCACCTTGTAGGGCCAAGATGGGGCAGGAGCCTAGGTCCTTACCAGAGGGGCCACAGCTGCGGCTTGAATTCTGATTTGCAAGCTTTTTAAACTCCATGAGCTCCGCATGGTCCTTCTCATACGTCCTCTTTAGATTCTCCACATACTGCATCATCACTTCCGTTGCTTTCGACATGCGCTTTTCCTGCGGGGAAGGAGCGCATGAGTGCATGAGGCCATTGGAGGAAAGGCTCCGTTGGCACTTATTTGCTCTGACCTAGGGTCTGGGCTAGGAGAATCAAAAGGATACAGGGACAAGACTCTGCCCTCTGAAGAGTTTGCTGTCTGCCATGTGAGCTGAGAGGTGGACTCAGCACCTGCGCTTAGGGAGAATGAGAAAAGCACAGCCACCACACTGCAGGAGATGACAGGCAGAGGAGAGTTGTTTCTGCTTGCAGAGAACGGGTCAGGGGAGGCTTCATGGAGAGGGAATGCAGTGGATGTAGGATGTGAGCAGCATCTGGGCCCATAGACAAGGGCAGGAGGGACACAGCGTTCAGGCCAGGGAACTCCAAGAGGAGTCTAGAGGCAGGGAAGCACAGGGCTTATATGTAGATGAGGTTTTATCCTCTGAATAAGAGTCCTCTGGAGAGTGAAGAAAGGCACGACGACAAATTATGCTGGGACAATCGACATAATAAACCAGGGCTGTCCAGAAAGCCCAGACACTGCAGGTCCTCCTACCTATGTAGGGATCAGCAAGCAGTTGGGTCTATTTGTAAGTCTGGGTTGTGAAGGACCTCGAATGCTAGACAAAGGAATTTGAACTTATTCTGAAGGAAAAGGGAAGCCATTGAATATCTCCCTTAAAGTAAGAGAGTAATATAATCAGGTCATAGGTAGAGATGGGACTCAAGGGAGTGAGACTGGTGGCAGTGAGGGCAGCAGGTAAAAACAGGATGAAGCCTGACCTGGCCCAGTGGAGCCAGAGAGGAAGGCAAAGACTGAGACATAGCAGCCAAGACGAGGGAGCCATTTGGAGAAGGGAGCAGATGGCGTGAGTGACAGGTGGGCTGAGGCACAAGTTTGGGAAGCCTGCACACAATGAGAACAATTTCTCTCTGCTCATACCCCAGTTAGATCCCTCAGAGGATCTAGCTCAGGCCCTGCCTGGCCACAGAGGGACACACCCAGTGGCTTCGCAGGAACAGGTCCCACAGTCATGCGTGGCTGAGACCAGCTACTTCCCTAGAGTCCTCCCGTGTTGCTGCTCCCAGCTGGAGTGACTTCCTGGGCACCACTGCTGAGTCAGATGTCCTTGTCCTGAAGGACACAGGGTGGGATGGCCCAGCGACAGGTCTTTCTTTTATTTAATAGGAACTGCTCAGGGCTGCACCACCCCAGGAACCTCCTCTCATGTAACCAGAGCAGCAGGACATAGATTCATGTCATAGCAACATAATAACAACATCCAAATGCTTTACAAGTACGGCAGCAACCCTCTATGGCAGATACTGTGACCATCCTCATTTTATACTTGAAAAGACTGAAGCAGAGAAACCTCAGTAAGGGGCCCAAGGTCACACAGCGAATGAAGGTTGGAGCCAGGATTAGAACTCGGGCAATGTGCTCCTGCTACAACATGGGGGGCCGGGGCGGGGCTCTGTATGCTTCAGGACTTCAAAGTGGCCAAGAGAGAGCCAGACCTGGGCCTGTGCCCCGCTCCGCCACTAACGCTTTTACTTTCTGAGACTCTGCATCTTCATCTGGGAGACAGGATATTTATAGGGTTGCTGGGTGGATTTAATGAGACAAAGCAGGTTTTCCTAAAGTATGTTTTGTCAAATACTAGCTCCATGGGAGTTGAACAGGTATTTTTTGAGAAAAATAAAATGGAGAGCTGTGGGGGGAATTCTTCAGTTAAATACGTTTGGGAACTATGTAGGTAAAGTGAACCAGCCTTCTCCACCACAGGAGTTACCAAAGCCTTGATTAGGCCAATGTGTTAGAAATTTCCAAGAAAGAAAGATAGTATGCAGTAGTCCCCAAACTTGTGCGTCCACAGAAACCTTTTTCCACAAAGCACCTTGAGGGTTCAGTGATCTGCCAAAAATACTCTGAATAATACTGCAATGATGTGCATAGGATGCCTGGCCCAGAGGAAGCCACCTCTAAGTGGTATCTGTAGTTGCCGCTGCTTGGGTGATTGCTCTACTTTACGTAGGTGGAACAGAGTTGGCAAGACCGGGGGCTGGAGAGACTCACCTGGCGGACGGCGCCTACCACCTCAGCTCGGCTGGAGAGGCGGGCAGCCAGGCGGTGCAGGACAGCGATGTCCTCCAGCAACTTCTGGTAGGTTTCCCGGTGCTCACAGTGGTGCCAGAGTGAAGCTGAGGACTGAACAGGAGTAGGAGCATCACCTGGGGTCCTCAAATAATGTTATGGACTAAATCAGCAGTCCCCAACCTTTTCGGCCTCAGGGACTGGTTTGGAAGACAATTTTTCCACAAACCTGGTGGGGGCGATGGTTTGGGGATGAAACTCTTCCACCTCTGATCATTAGATTCTTATAAGGAGGGTACAACCTAGATCCTTCGCATGCACAGTTTACAATAGGGTTCGTGACCCTATGGGAATCGAATGCTGCTGCTGATCTGACAGGCGGCGGAGCTCAGGAGGTCATGCTCTCAGGCAGCTCACCTCCTACTGTGCAGCCTGGTTCCTAACAGGCCATGGTTTGGTACCGGTTTGCGGCCTGGCCCAGGGGATGCGGACCACTGGGCTAAATGTCTGTGCCCCCCACAAAGTCATCTGCTGACTTTTGGGGGGACATATCCTAACTCCTCAATGTGATAGTGAAGTGGGGCCTGGGCGAGGTGAT
Source organism: Homo sapiens (assembly GCF_000001405.40). Classification (NCBI taxonomy): domain Eukaryota; kingdom Metazoa; phylum Chordata; class Mammalia; order Primates; family Hominidae; genus Homo; species Homo sapiens. Next base: position 10,603,736 of record NC_000011.10, read on the forward strand.
TAGGTGAGGAGAGTGGAGCCCCACGAATGGAATTAGTGCTCTTATAAAAGGGACCCCAGAGAGTTCTGTTCTCTTTCCACCATGTAAGATATAATGGAAAGGTGGTAGTCTGCAAGCCAGAGATGGCCCTCACCAGAACCCGACCATGCTGGTGCCCTGATCTTGGCCTTCCAGCCTCCAGAACTATGAGAAATAAATGTTTGCCATTTAAGCCACCCAGTCTAAGGCCCTTTGTTACAGCAATTCAAACTGACTAAGACACACACCAAGCCTAGACTCAGCTCTCATGAAAGCAGCTCTGGGCCCCATCCAGGCTGAGAGAAGTGGCCTCTGCAGGGCCTGGGCCACAGTTTCTTCTGGTGCTTGGAGAAGCCCAATGTGAACACGCTATCCCTGGCGCCTGAAAGTAGGAGTCACACCCAGGCCACCCTGCCCCCTTCTGAGAAGCTCCCAAGGCTTTGGAGGACCTGTCCACAGCCCTGAGGGAACCAGGCCTTTGGGATCTCTGCCTCAGTTCCCCCCAACTCTCTGAGGAACACTGTCAGAGTCTTGGCTCAATTTTTCACTTCAGGAGACTATACTTGGTACCTGAGAGAAGCATGACACCCTGTATGGCCCTTGGGGACAGTCTCTGCTCCAGGGATTCCTCACATCAGGCTCCACAATTACCGTAATGGAAGCTTTGAAGTTTTCCAGTTCTTTCTCAGTGTTCTCCTCTGTCAGGTTGCGTTCCCTTTCAGCCTGGTTAATTCTAGATTCCAGAGTGTAGCTGTCATTTCTAAAGGCCAAGGACAGTTGCACAAACACGTTCTGTTGGGAACAAGGGTGTGAGAGAGGTGCTGGGAGGAGTTACTGCAGAGGACAAGGCTGCAGCTGTGCTCCTTGCACGAGCGTTTTGCAACGGCCCCTGGAACAGCCGCCAAAGCACCAAAGCAGCCATGTGCAAGGGAAACGCTCACTTCACAGGAAACCACAAAAAAGATGGTAAAGCAGGGACCAAGGTCCACGCTAGGCCCTTCCCAGAACCGGAGGTCCAAATGTATTCTACCAAAAAATAAGAAGAGAATAACACTTTGCTTTTTCCTGAATTTTAAGAAAATAACATCCTGTATCTGGGTTTAGATAAACTCAGGCCAGTACAGCTAATTGTGTAAGCATCTGGATTTATGCTGGGATTTATTGCATGAGGGGTTTTGGAGATTTTGCAGGAAAATACTGTATTGAAAGAAACTCCATGTGAGATTTAAGCATTGTTGACGTAAAGCAAACTTCAATCAGCATCTAGCCCGAGTATTCCAAATCCTGTATTGATAGAAGCTTTAAGTAGCTGCCAGGAGATTAAATAAGGCCAGGTATGATTCTGTTCGGTTAAGCTTTCTGGAATAAATAAATGTTTCATGCTAAAATTGCAGCCTGCATGAACAGACTTTGAAAAGATAATATTGGTCATACATGGAATTCCCAGAACAGTAGGAAACTACTAGGGAGAAGAAATAGACAGATGGACCTCACTCAGGAAGGAAGCAATGGTCTTCAATTTTACAGCCATCATCTGCCCTGAGTGGTAGCAGATTTATACCCTGCAGGGTTAGTAACCACAGGGGCTTCTGAAGTTCATGTAACATGGCCCATGGAAGGCAGTCATCTCCAGAAGAATTGAAGGTACAGAATTGACCCAATGATGATGATGAAGGCAATATTGAAAACTACTCCTTATTGAGCATCTACTATATGCCAGCACTGCTTTTCATTCTACAAATTCATGTAATCTCACAATAACCCTCTGGGGTGGGAACTGTTATACCTGTTTATGGGTAAAGAGGCCAAGACCAGAACGGTCATTAACTTGTTCAAGGTGACACGGAGTAACGGAGCCAGGATTTAACCTCAGACTGTCTGATTTGAAAGCCTGTTTTATTTCCACCATGCCGAGAGCTGTGTCCATATACATCTGCGGTCAGCATTTGGACATTAAACAAACCGCCCATGGCCCATCTTCACAAATGTCAGTGGGTAGGCTTAGAGCTCATAGCCCAGTGATAGAAATTTTCTGCCTTACCCGGCCTTGGTCAAGTCTATGAATAATGCTCAATGCTTAATTTTCTATACCTTGATTATCCCCTTAACAGCAGTGTGACACAATGAGTTCTGAATTCAGTGAGAACACTTGGATCTAGGTCTTGGTTTTGCCAACTACAGTATCTAGAAACTTGGTGTGGTTATTTACTCACTCAGTTTTCTCCTTTGTGCTGATTCCTGCTCCACCTGCTTTTCAGAGCTGCTGGTTAGGATCAGCTGAAAGGATGGCTATGCGTGTGTTATAGACTGCAAGTGCAATGCCTGTGTGCAAGTTATAGATACTACCTGTGGTAGATACTTCATACTGTCTGTCTTCCTCTGCTTATCTGGTCCACATCAGCAGTTCTCATTGTCTCACCTCTGATAAGTTCTCTTTGTCCGCTACAGAATGAAATGCAGATTCCCCTCAGCTCACTCACAACCCCGCTGGGACAAGGAGGCCCCAGTGAGGAAACCGGAAGGCTGGATTGCTGACAGCACAGCTTCCCGGCTCCGCTGAGCTGGCATTCTTGTAGCTGAAACCCTGAGGAGGCCAGCCCCCTTTCCCACTAAACTAAAGCTTAGAACTTGAAATCTGACCATTTTTCAGTAATTTTGAAATAAATTTGATTCAATTCTGCAGCCTCCCAGCTGGTTTTGTGTATCTAAGTCGTACATTTAAAGAATATAAACAATCCTTACAGGAATGTAAAATTTCCAACTACCTTCTCCCTTTTGCCCAAATTTGTCAAAATCTTCCATGAACGGACGTGGGAATGGGGATCTCATGGTTCAAGAGGGCTGGTCATGAATGTTCACATTACCCCACAGTCACTCTTTCTCATTTTTGTCTAAAAATGTCAGAGCTAGAGTCTGGAGGAAGAAATGTTTTGAATAAGCCCAGTCAAGCACGGGCACTAAATTTCATAACACACTTGAGTCACTTACCTCAACTTCCTTTTCAGTGAGTGGAGGGGCACTGTGAAAAAGAAAACACACAATTGAACTGTGTGCAACCTAGTCAATAGACCCAAAGGTGACTCTGAATGACCAGCAGACCATGTGTTTCCAGGGGTGGAGTAAGCTGTGTTGGTGAGAAGGAAAAGATGCAATGTCCCCTTGCCTGTGCTCTGTCACCTGTGAGATACTGACTCTTACGGCACCATGACTATCTCTGTGACTTTGGACAAGTTATTTAATCTCTCTAAGCCCCAGCGTGCTCATCTGCAAAATGGGAATCATATCACCTACCTTGCAGAGGTATTATAAGCACTATATGTACTCATGTATGTATGTGTATGTGTTTGTATGCATAAATATATGGCATCCACACTCAGTGGGCTCTCGGGAAATGTGACCTTGAACTCATAGCCTTGCTGTGAGAAATAAGAAAATGCATGTGATAAGGACTTTATAACTCATACACATCTAAGTTGCCATTATAATTGTTCTGGGGATATCCACCCAGGTCTGCAAAGCCTCACCCTCCTCTGTCTCTGAGGGCTGTGACAAAGGTGCATGCGGGCCAGAGAATAAATGGTAGGAGAGAGTGACCAGGGTTCTTCTCCACAGCAAGAACTTCTGATGGCTAGAATCACAGAGTGGCAAGAAAGCCCCAGCCGACACAGAGGCATCCTTTTGAGCAGCTCCTCGTCTGTGGCGTTCCCACAGCCAGGGCTCTCCAGCTATAGGCAGTCCCTGCATCTGCATGTCCACTCGATGCTGCTGTGGCTGCTGCTCTTGCTGGTAACTAAAGCTGGCCCCATCTGAAGTCCACACAATGTAAATAATGCACAGGCCCTTTCCTGTGCTGGGGCGGGGAGGCCTGGGAGGGGTCCTACCAGCGTCACAGAACTTGGCAACAGAGCATGCCATCAATAAGCTTCTCAGGAAACACAGCTTCCTCTCTTGAACGGGTGTGAAGGGACCCCAAGAGCAAAGGTAGGGGTCAGCCATCTCTGCAGGGGGCTGGTTCTCACCCCTAGGGAATGATATGAGTGCCTTCCTGTCAGGATGAGAAGACCCCATGGCCATGAAGTCAGCGGAGTCCAGAACACGGGACAAACAGCTGCAGGGATGTTTGACACTTACAGTCCTTGTCACAACCCCACCCATCAGGCCCTTGCCTTAACTGTCATCTACAGCATACACATATGATTTAAATGATTTGGCAAAACTTGCCAAGTTTGTTTCTGACTCCTGGGTTTGTTGGGATATTATGTGAAATGCACATATTTTCATAAATTATAAACCAAACATTTTTCTATTTCAATGACTCACATTCTGCTTTTTTGCTGTAGAACACACCCACCTTATTTTTATTTTATTTATTTATTTTTGGGGACAGGGTCTCGCTCTGCTGCCCAGGCTGGAGTGCAGTGGCAGGATCACTGCAGAGGTGGCTTACTACAGCCTTGAACTCCTGGGTTCAAGCAATCCTCCTGCCTCAGCCACCAGAGTAGCTGGGACTATGGGTGCATGCCACTATACCTGGCTAATTTTTTATTTTTATTTTTTGTAGAAACAGAGTTTCACTCTGTTGTCCAGGCTGGTCTTAAACTCTTGGCCTCAAGTGATCCTCTTGCCTTGAGCCTACAAAGTGCTAGGATTACAGGTGTATGAGCCACCACACCCAGTTAGAACATACCCACCTTAAAAAAAAAGTGGGGGTCTGGGGGGAAACTCTGAGGACTCAGAGAAGTATGATTTAGGCAGAGAAGCCACATGGTATGTCTGGTGTCTGATGCAGATAACTGTGCCTTACAAATGGGCATAGGTACCCGGGGGCAGAGCTGTGAGCCTCTAAAAGGACACAGCATCTTTTTTAAGTGACTATTTGTATATCTTCTCTGAAGAAATGTCTATTTAAATCCTTTCCCCATTTTGAAAAATTGGTTATTTATCTTTTTATTGAGTGTAAGCCTTCTTTATATGCTCTAGAAACAAGTTCCTTTTCAGATAAGTGATTTGCAAATATTTCATTCTGTGGGTTGCCTTTCACTTTCTTGACACTGTTTGCAGCACAGAAGTTTTTATTTTGAGGAAGTACTATTTATTTTTAAAATCTTGTCTCTTGTGTTTTTGGTGCCATATCTAAAAAACCCAAAGACATGAAGATTTACTTATATTTTTTCTTTGAAGAGTCTTATAGTGTTCTCTCTGACATTTAGGTCTATGATCCATTATGAGTTAATTTGTGTGTTTTGTGTGAGGTAGGGGTCCAACTTCACTCTTTTGTATGTGGCTATCCAGTTGTCCCAGCACCGTTTGTTAAAATTACAATTTTTTTCCTCTGTAAATCTTACCAAAACCCTTGCATGAGTGGCTTTTTGTCATTTGTTATTTGCACATCTCAAATTATTACTTTATCACAGAGGCCTTTCCTTGACCTCCTACCCAATGCCCCACTCTCATGTCATTCTCTAGATGTGCCCTATTTTATGGTCTTTCTACCAACTTTACTCTTTCAAATCATTCATTTGGTTACTTAAATGTTATTTGTGCTTTGGGAGGCCGAGGTAGAAGGATCACTTGAGGCCAGGAGTTCAAGATTATCTTGGGCAACATAGCAAGACCCTATCTCTACAAAAAAATATTTGAAAACTTAACTAGTCATGGGTAAATGGTGTATCTGGGATTGAAACCCATGTCTCCTGGCTCAAAGCCCATTCTCTGCTGCCATGAGCTTCTGGTGACCCTTATGCCTTCATGAACTGTGCTCACCTAAGAACCCCACCTGGCCTTTGAGTTGAAAACACCCAGCCTGGCCTTTCATTATTCTTTTTGTTTCGAATGCATTATCCCTATCTAGACAATTGGACTTTGGCCCTTCTGGGTTCAAGAATTAAGACTGGTGTTCCTCTGTGTCCCACCTAGAATCCAACACAGGGGCCACTCGGTACAGGGCCTTCTGTAACCCACATCCTGATTTTACCTTCCAGGGAGACTCCTGTGGACCCGCAGTTTGCGCAGCAGCACATCAGAAATATTAGGCATGACATCTAAGCCACTCTTTGACTCTTCTTCCTCAATAGCTGGGGAGAGTTCAGAAGGAAGCCCTGAAAAAAAAGTGCTTACTTATAAAATGTCTCTTTGAAATCACAGTAGTACTGTTGGCAGCTAGCTTCAGGAGCTTTGACATTTATAAGTATCTAGTTCTATGTTAAGGGCTTTTTAATTGTTATCTTACATTATTCTCACAATGAGCTAGAACTTAGTCATCCCATTTCACATGTAGATAAGCCAAGGCTCAGCAAGGTTAAGTCACTTGCTCAAGATTACAGAACTAGCAAATGACATGGCCAGACCTCAAGGTCTACCTGCTTCAAATGTTATGTTCTTCCCTTTGCTTCCCACAGTATTAAGCTGGCAATTGGAAGCTGGTTGGCTCTTTGGCTATAATGTTTGGGAAAAAAACCTGCTCCTTGGCAGGCTTCTCAGGAGACCTGTTGTTCAATTATTCCTCCTCGGATAAATTAAAATGTTCTATATTATGTATCCTACTTAGAAATTAACATCTGATTCCATACCCCATAGATAAGAGATTTTCCAGAGTAAACCTAAGGTTGCTAGATCTTTTACAGATCTCAGAAACATAAATGCCTCCTAGTCAACAGAGACAATGAACAGCTTTTTGTTTTTTAAACTTCTAAAACTATCTTGGGTCTGTGCTTTGAAGACAGAATGAACAAACCAAGTATTCTCTTTTCCATAAATCTTTCTCCTGTTTGAAAACAGCTCCTGTGCCTCTCTAAAGCTTCTCTTCTCCAGACTCTAGCTCCATTTTTCCAACAAGCTCACTGTGCTCCACTGTGGCCCATGGTCTCTAGATACCATCCCATTCCTGCACACATTCTGGTTTGTTGCTGTTACAGAGGCCCAGATGTTCTCTAACAAGATCTTAGCACAGGAAGACTTTGGTAAATGTCCCTGGCATTGATGTTTGTTATTCATGCAGCATAGATTTTGTGTGCCTGACTACGGGCTTACAGTACACTTAGCATTAAGCAAAACTCTCAACCTCTTTAGTTGACCCAAATCAGTTATCCTCATCCTGTATAATGGTTACTTTCCATTTGCATGTAGAACTTCATATTTATCCATGTTTTACTCTTTCTCCTGGATTTTAACCTGGTAGCTTTCCAATCTGCTCAATCATTTTCCAGGATCCTAGGCTAGGCTAGAGACCAGGACTATAGGCATAGTTGTAGCCACCTGAAGAGTTAAGACTGGGAATCATGTGAATAGAAAGAAGTCTCACCAAAGGAGACCATGAAGAGACAAGAGGCTATCTAGTTTGGCTCAAGGTAAAATATGTTTAAATACTTTGAGCTTGCCAGTAAGAGAATGGTAGGCATGGATTCCTTGGTACTCAAGGTAGCCAAGTAAGCTGGAGGATCATCTGTCAGAGATGGGTCAGTCAGCAATTCTTCTTTGGATATGAGATTCAACTAGAAGTTCTCTTAGCTACCTGTTACCTCTCTGGTTCTGTCCTGGTATTTATAGCTCTCTGACAAGGTTTCTGTGGTAAACCTTGTGTCACCCCTGGCATCATTCTACCTTTATGTATGTATCCCTACCACACTCAACAGAGAGTCAACTGAGTAGCAAGCTCCTGAGATATCTATAGGATGATCGAAACATATGAGGTCTAATAATCAAGTGAAATGCATATCAGGGTTTTTGCCTAGAAAAGTTTCCCAAAATGGTGCTTGAAGAGTAATGCCAGAATTGGTGGATTCTAGGAACCAACCACCTTCCTCCTGAATTCAACCAAATTAACAACAAAAAATTTCAGAACAAATAAAAAATACACAAGAAACTCTAAGATACAAGAAAAGGCAATAGTCTTTAAAAATAGTGACTAGAGAAAGAATAAAAATTACTAGGAATAAATGTAGAGCTTCCACCCATGATAACCCTTTCTTCTTCTCCAAAGAATCAGTACTGAAAGGAAGATGGGAGAGAAAAAATTCTTACAAAGAGTTCAATACCACAGAATAGAGAGGGAAAGGGATGGAGGGGGCAAGTAGGCAGTTGTCAGAGGAGATTCAGAAAGTTTCCCTAGAATAGAAGGTTCTCCATTCCATCTTACCAGCATTTCGAAGAGAGAAAAAACTGCCTGGGCTGCCTGCCATTTTGCTTTTCTTACTGATGAGAAGAAGAGAGGAAAGGCAGAATGATCGCACAGAACACAGAGTGGATTTTCTTGAATGATATGAAGGGATTTACAAGGAAGGAAGACTAACGGTAAAGTAAATAAAACACGTCCCTCTGAAGGAGTGAATGGCAGGAGACACATGGAAAGCCCCAACCACCATGTTCTCCCCCGACTCCTGAAAAACAGTGGCTAAACTCCTTGGATTTGCCGTTTTTTCCTTCCTTTCTTAGCAGAGGAGTAGCCGTTGGGAAGCATTGGGTCAAGTCTGGAAAATAAACCTACGGACAGCTTGTCTCTACAATTCCAACCTAAATTGGTGAAACAATCTGAAACCCACTACTAACCACCTCCAAAGGAATAAGATATGCCCCCGATTTGGTATAACAAACTCACGTTTTGGACTATGAACAGAGTTACGGAAAAAGAGAAGAAACCAATTCTACAAACAGCTCTATCTTAACTTCCCCTTTTCCCCACCACCTAAGCAGTAACAAAACAAACACAAAATATACAATCCTCAACTAAAGCACTAAAGGGAAGGCTAAGAGATCCCAGCTAAGGTAGGAAGGAGTCAACAAAAACTAACCTACAATACAATATATCTAGGGAAAGGGAATCAAGGTAGAAATATACAAATCAGAAAAAAATAAAAGGAAAACAGATGGCATGGCAACTATACAAAAATACTATAGACAAAAGAGGAAGGAAGGTAGAAAGGAAGGAAAAGGGAAATGTGCAAGAGACAGATGTCAGGATGGAAACATAGTTGCAAGAAACACATCAAAAAATGCAAAAGTATGCTTCTGTGCAAAATATATACCATAAATACTTTGACTCTAGAAAAAATAACCTGAAAAAAAATTAAGAAATTAGAGTTGGGATGAGAAGATCATGCAAAGATGGAAGATGATTGCTATTTAAGGAAACAAATTAAAGACCAAAATAAAAGGACTAATCAAGAAATTGGGAAATATACAACCAACCAATTTATTGGAAAAATGAAGGAATAAAGCAGATATAGCTTCAAGCTGAATTAGAGGAGGGTGGTAGAGATTGAGTAATCATAACGAATGCAAAGAAGGAAAGAAAGATTGAAGTATATGGAGATAAAATAATGGACCTGGAGTTGAGACTCTGATGACCCATCTATGCATTATGTTGTCTCCGAAGCAGTGAACAAAACAAATGGAACAAAGGACATATTCAAAGATATAACAGAAGAAAAATGTTCCTCACTTGAGGGGAAAGTTGAACCCTTCAGGTTGACAGACCGCATCATGTTAAAAAATATATTTAAATGCTTCATACAAAAAAAAAAAAAAAAACCCAGACATCTACATGGGAAAGTGAAGATTAAGAGGTGCTGGAAATCAGCTGGTCCCAGCTTTCTCCATAACTTTAAATACAGGGGAGCAACATCTACGCAGTTCCAAGGAAAACAGTCAACCAAGAATTTTGTAACCACACAAGCTGTCCTTCAAGAAAAGACAAAATTTTCAAATGTGATAGAACTCAGGGAACACAGCACCTCTGAACTCTTTCAGGAAAATTGTTGGAAAACAAAATCCAGCTAAACAAGACATAAATCGAATAAATTTGGGAAAGGGACCAGTGGTGAACATGAAATCTTTTTACATTTAAGTCTAAGGCTAAATAACTGTGGAAACCATGGTTACAGAATATGGAATGTAAATGTTATAACCTTAATGATGTACAAAGAAGAATTCAAGATGTGTAGAGGTAGAAATGGAAATGTAGGAAGAAATGTGAAGGTGGGAAGATATTCGGCCATTCTCATCTTTTCCTGCAGGAAGTCAGTAGGTACCATTGTAGTGACTACATGTTCTTATCTTCCGTATTCTTGATGTTCTGTCACTTGGTGCCTTAATCCTGGAGTGACAGCCCCTCTCAAGGCTAGCTAATTCCTAGAAACAACTCTCCTTCAAGTGTGTCTTTGAAATACAAACCAGCCAATCCAGAACCCACACCTGTAAACATCACCTTTATCAAATTCTCACGCACCAAGCCAATACTCCCCCTAAATCACCCCAGGGCCAGTACCTGACAACTACGGGCCACCCTATAGCCTAGGTCCTGCCAAAATTATTCAAACTAGCCAACCCTAAACATACTGAGGATACCTACCCTGCCTCTACCTTTCCTTTCCAAGAAAACCCCAGTAAAGGCTTGGGGCCATCTCTCCCCTCACCACTTCTGCCTTCTGACCCACCCTAGCCCTTCCCCAAGGGGCTCTGTATGATGTGCCACACATCCTGCTATTAGGGATCTGTGAGTATAAACCTATTCCTTCATGAGAATCATTTGTGGGTCTCTGTGTCATACCATACCTGATTAAAACAAATGCCAGGTCCAAAGTTTAGATTAAATTTAAAACCTATAATGCAAAAAAACTACCTCATAATTTATAGATTTCATGCCATCCCCATCAAGCTACCAATGACTTTCTTCACAGAATTGGAAAAAATACTTTAAAGTTCATGTGGAACCGAAAAAGAGCCTGCATTGCCAAGACAATCCTAAGCCAAAAGAACAAAGCTGGAGGCATCATGCTGTCTGACTTCAAACTATACTACAAGGCTACAGTAACCAAAACAGCATGGTACTGGTACCAAAACAGAGATATAGACCAATGGAACAGAACAAAGCCCTCAGAAATAATACCACACATCTACAACCATCTGATCTTTGACAAACCTGACAAAAACAAGAAATGGGGAAAGGAGTCCTATTTAATAAATGGTGCTGGGAAAACTGGCTAGCCATATGTAGAAAGCTGAAACTGGATTCCTTCCTTACACCTTATACAAAAATTAATTCAAGATCAATTAAGGACTTCAATGTTAGACCTAAAACCTAAAAACCCTAGAAGAAAACCTAGGCAATACCATTCAGGACATAGGCATGGGCAAGGACTTCATGTCTAAAACACCAAAAGCAATGGCAACAAAAGCCAAAATTGACAAATGGGATCTAATTAAAGAGCTTCTGCACAGCAAAAGAAACTACCATCAGAGTGAACAGGCAACCTACAGAACAGGAGAAAATTTTTGCAATCTACTCATCTGACAAAGGGCTAATATCCAGAATCTACAAAGAACTCAAACAAATTTACAGGAAAAAAACAACCCCATCAAAAAGTGGGCAAAGGATATGAACAGACACTTCTCAAAAGAAGACATTTATGCAGCCAACAGACACATGGAAAAATGCTCATTATCACTGGCCATCAGAGAAATGCAAATCAAAACCACAATGAGATACCATCTCACCCCAGTTAGAATGGCGATCATTAAAAAGTCAGGAAACAACAGGTGCTGGAGAGGATATGGAGAAATAGGAACACTTTTACACTGTTGGTGGGACTATGAACTGGTTCAACCATTGTGGAAGACAGTGTGGCGATTCCTCAAGGATCTAGAAGTAGAAATACCATTTGACCCAGCCATCCCATTACTGGATATATACCCAAAGGATTATAAATCATGCTGTTATAAAGACACATGCACACGTATGTTTATTGCAGCACTATTCACAATAGCAAAGACTTGGAACCAACCCAAATGTCCATCAATGATAGACTGGATTAAGAAAATGTGGCACATATACACCATGGAATACTATGCACCCATAAAAAAGGATGAGTTCATGTCCTTTGTAGGGACATGGATGAAGCTGGAAACCATCATTCTCAGCAAACTATCGCAGGGACAAAAAACCAAACACCGCATGTTCTCACTCATAGGCGGGAATTGAACAATGAGAACACTTGGACACAGGAAGGGGAACATCACACACCGGGGCCTGTGGTGGGGTCCGGGGGATGGGGGAGGGATAGCATTAGCAGATATACCTAATGTAAATGACGAGTTAATGGGTGCAGCACACCAACATGGCACATGTATACATATGTAACAAACTTGCACGTTGTGCACATGTACCTTAGAACTTAAAGTATAATAATAAAAAAAAGTATATTACTAAGTGAAAAAAGCAAGGTTTGGAACACCTTGTATAATATACTACGATTTATGTTTAAAAAATCCACTTTTGGCTGGGCGCGGTGGCTCTCGCCTGTAATCTCAGCCCTTTGGGAGGCCGAGGCGGGCGGATCACGAGGTCAGGACATCGAGACCATCCTGGCTAACGTGGTGAAACCCTAGCTCTACTAAAAATACAAAAAATTAGCCCGGCGTGGTGGCGAGCGCCTGTAGTCCCGGCCGAGGAAGGAGAGCGGCGTGAATCCGGGAGGTGGAGCTTGCAGTGAGCTGAGATGGCACCACTGCACTCCAGCCTGGGTGACAGTGAGACTCCATCTCAAAAAAAAAAAAAAAGAAAAATCCACTTTTACATATATGTCTATATTTAGAAATGCTTGGAATATATCTAGAAGTTACACTAAAACATAGTGACAGTGGTTGCCTCTGCTACTGGGGGACAGAGATGTAATGAGACTTACTTTTTCCTATGTCTCATTTTGTACTTTTTGAATTTTGTACTATGGACATGATTATTTATAAAAATTGAATTAAAACTCATACCAAAGCAAAAACAAAAAACAAAAAACAAAAAACAAAAAACTACCTCAGTAACTCCAAACCCTTTATGCATTTCATAATACATTTTTTATACTTTTAGAAACCAATTTCTCTTCTTTGGAGGAAGCAGTTACCAAAATTCAGCAAGTCTTATAGTTTCACTTCAAGTTCAATTAAATTCTAATAGTTTTAATTTCAAACAAGTATATCTAGTATAATCTCCCTCTTTTTCCCTTCCTCCTTCTGTATTAGTGGGGAAGGAGGTGTTTAGTGTAAGCTATTTTTACTTTCTTCCTTGTATTTTTCACTATTGGTTGAATTTTTAGATATGAACATAAGCCACTTTCAACAAAAAGTAATAAATTTATTTTCAAATATATCTCCCAGGACTAGCTCATTCCAATGAAAATATTTGTTTCTGACCATGTCAGGGACTTGGAAAAATTACTTTTGGAGCTCTGAAAGATGCTCTGAGTCCCAGGATGGTTCCTAAAAGTCAAAGCTGCTAGTTGGGGATAAACTTTTTTTTACCTCTTTCTTCTCAGGGAGGCCTCTTTCCTGCCCAAGACCTGAGGCTCTGAGTCTAGACTGGGGGTTTTGGAAGGACTGTCCATTCGATGTACTTCTCTGCCTCAGCCTACGTGTCCCTCAAAATCCAGGTCCAGATAGCCAACTACCTTCTAGACGTTGCCACCTGGTTAAGGAGAATAAAAATCATTTCAAGAGCCACCATTTACTGAACATCAACTATGCAGTAGATACACTTTGTCATTTCTTACAATAGTACTGCAAATAAAAAATAGCTTAAACACCTCCTTCCCCACAAATACAGAAGGAGCAAGGGAAAAAGAGGGAGATTATACTAGATATACTTTTTTGAAATTAAAAGTATTAGAGTTTAATTGAACTTGAAGTGAAGTGAAACTGTAGGACCTGCTGAATTTTGGTAATTGCTTCCTCCAAAGAAGAGAAATTGGTTTCTGAAAGTACAAAGAATGTATTATGAAATGCATTTTCTGGAGAAACTGAAGCTCAGCTGAGTTAAAGTGATTTACTAGGGTCCAGCTTATCAGCAGTACAGCCAGAATGCAAAACCAGGTTTGTCTGTTGCATTCAAGCTGCTTTCCGTGGGCATTTGACATGTCCAAACTCAAATTCACTGTCTTCCTTCTCAAGCAAACTCCTCCTCCTGTCTCACAATTCATCACCCTCACAACCATGCAGACAGGTGCCTGGTGGTATTCCTGGTCTGCCTCTCAACTCCATCTCCTCATCAAGTCCTGACAAGCTGATCTCCAATAGCTGTCAAACTATCCTGTCCACATTTACTACCACCTCATTACCTCTCACCAGGCTATTTCCCTATCCTTTTACCTGGTGTCTCCCTGTCTCTAGCCTCTGCTGTTTCAGGCCAGCTCTCACAATCTGTCCAGAAGAATTATTCTAAAATATAGATTTGATCCTGATGCTTCCTTACCTGCAGGCTTCTCTTTCCAAAGTGTCCTAAATGAAATTCAAACTCATTAATTGGCCTTCAAAGCCTTCAATTTCCTTGGTCTCAGCCCACTGTTCCCACCTTGTTGCCCATCTCTCTGGGACGTGTAGCTCACACTTAGTTCACATGACATTCCTTCTGTTCCTGAAGTATGCCAAGCACTAGAAGATGCCTACATGCTTTTGCTTCTGCTGTCCCCCTGCTTGGGATGACTTTCTCTTCCCCAGCTCAAGGTGGCTCCTCCTGAAAACCTTCCCTGACTCAACCCCACTGAGCTAGCTGCTTCTTCCTCTTTGTTCCCAGGTACTTTATGGCCTGTTAAAGTTTTATCACAATTTATCGTAGTGACTTTGTCTATTCTTATGTTTCCTCTCCTAGACAGTGAGCTTATTCGTTCATACATTTGTTTAATGTTTATTGAGTGTTTACTATGTCCCTGGCAATGAGCTGGGAGCTAAGGATACAATGCTAAGCAAAACTGACATGCCACATCCTCTGGAGCTCATTATTCAGGGGAACAGAGATTAATCAGAGAAACATCCAAACAATTTCACACTGAGAGATTTTACAAAGGAGAAGGGATCCGAAGGTACCAGCAAACCCTTCCCAAGAAAAGTGACATGAGCAGATATCTAAAGATTGAGTTGGGAGTTCATTAGGCAAAGAGGGAGAGAGGAAGAACATTCCATGCAGAAGACAGAATGTGCCATGCGTAAGAAGAGGAAAGAATGAGCTGCCGAAGGCAGGCCAAAATATTGTGAGTGAGAGTGAGTGTGGCCCTAGAATATGCTGGGGAAGTGGGTGGGGTTAACTATTCAGGGCCTTGTAGGTTCTACTGAGGATTCAAGTGCTCTTCCTAAGAGCAGAATGAAGCCTCTGAAGATGCTGAAACAGATTTGCCTTCTAGAGATCCCTGCGGCTGCTGTGTTGGCCATGGTGTGAGCTGGGTTGGGGGTTGGGAGTGCAGGGAGAGGGGACCAGGTTGCAGGCTGTTGAGTTAGCCAAGGGGACTGATAATGGTAGCTGGGACAAGGCCTTCTCCCTGATGGTGGGGCCTGAACCCTTTTCACTTAATGCATCCCCAGCACACAGCCTAAGAACTGGCCCACAGTCAGTCTCACATATTTGGCTTGAAATAACCTGCAACTGATCAAAGATCAAAACAGCATACAATATAGTTCCTGAGAAGGGAACTGATTGGGTTGTTGGAAAGACTAGATGCAGCACAGAAATGAGCCTCCCAGTCCTCACAAACTGAAGGAGAGCCAAAATTCTTCAGACTCCAGAATGTTCTGATAAGTATCTTTTCCCATTTCTCAAAGGAACAGCCAACAACCATCATAAGAGACTGGATTTTTCCCCATGAGTTCATATGCAGGGCTGTATTTAGTGCCTATAAATACAATCTGAGCCAGCTCTCATAAAATGCTCCCAAAGCCTTTTATCCTGGGTATGGGAGGGGACGGGGCTCTTTGATGGGGCTTTCAGAATATAAGAAAAGAAAGTCACAAGTCTGCAAGTATTCATTAAACACGGAGGGTTGCCCACCACATCTCTAGCACTGTGGAGCACAGTGTACAAGAATATCCCATTTGGTTGGCAAGATAGAGTTCTACAACCTAAATGACAGAAATGAAAATGTATGCCAGGTTCCTGCTGGAATAAAGACCAGTATCACATGCAAACATTACAGCAGCTTAGTGAAGTAGGTACTGTTATTAACCTCCTTTAAAAGATGAACAAACTGAAGCGTGGAGAGAATTAGAACCTTGACCAAGGCTATGCAGCTGGTAAGTGATGAAGTCTGAGCTCTTAAGCATCCAGACCCTAGAACTGAGAGAAAATGAGAGGGAGTGTATATTGTTGGACACTGACCATGGTTAATTTTATTTTTAAAATTTGGTGCTTATAGGAGTCACATTCATTTGCCTGATAATTTTACTTCTAAGATCCATCTTATGCCCTATTAATATTGGATAATAAAGTTTTGCTGTAGGTAGTGGATGTCTAAATTGGTATAATTTTGTAAGCTAATC
The DNA here is from genome assembly GCF_000001405.40 of Homo sapiens. Taxonomy (NCBI): domain Eukaryota; kingdom Metazoa; phylum Chordata; class Mammalia; order Primates; family Hominidae; genus Homo; species Homo sapiens. Next base: position 10,620,041 of record NC_000011.10, read on the forward strand.
TGGCAGTGTGCACATATACATTTAAAAGTAAATACTTTTAACCAATCAATTGCAAGTCTAGAATAGTAGCCCATGGAAAAAACAGATTTCTATAAAGATCTATGTAAGATAGTATTCATTATAACAGTGTTTTTAATAGAGAAAAAAAGTGGAAATATTATTACAACTGGGGAGAAGTAGTATTTTTATAATGATTGAAATAATAGAAGACTTCTCAAAGGGAAAGATAGGCAAACATGATTATGTAAAATCTTTACAATTCCTCTAAAATAACACAAAACGTATTAAAAAGCAAAAAAAAGATTGAATGAAAATATATTAAAATACAGCCCCCCCCAAAAGAAAGAAAGCCAATTAAGGGCTAATATCTATAATGTATCAAGTTTACATATATTACCAACAAAAACCAAACAAATCAACGAAAAACCCCAGACCTAAATGGGTACACGGGCAAAGATGTAAGAAGTTAAGTCACCCAGTAAGAAAACAAAGTGACTATTTTAACATTTTAAGTTTGAGCTTCCTAGCAAATTAATTGAAATAATAATGAAATTTCACACTAATAATAATAAACTTAAAACAATGACAATTATTGATTATTCTTACTATATTCTGAATAATAAGGAGCAGAAGCAAACACCAGCACGGGTAATGCGTAAGAGAAAGATGTCCATTCAGTCTTTGTCAGTAGCGTTATTCATTGTAAGTAATTTGGGAAATGCAAATGTTTCTACTCTTTAACCTTGTGATTCTCAAGTCTGAACACTTATCTCAAGGGAATGATTTAAAGGAAGAAAAAAGAACAACTAACGGTCCATAATTGTTTATACTAGCATTGTTAATCCTAGTTCAAAGAACAATAGATAGGTCAATACAAGAGGAACTATGCACCCATTAAATCATAACTGAGGAGAAATTGCTGAGTATAAAATAACAAGTAAAAAAAAGAAGCTGTATCTATTCATCAAATCAACTGAAAACATTATAAATATGGGCAAATATTGCAAAGAAGAAAAATTGTTAGTTTTTCAGAATTGATGGGGTTGTGGGTGAAATTTTAAAGTGTTTTTTCCAGTGTTTTAAATATGCTTTAGTAAATTTAAAATTATAATTAGAGAAGTATATGCTGCATTTTCAAAAGATCTCTTTAAAGATGGTTATTTAAAATATTTTGCCCTTGGGAAAAAACACTGTTTGAAATTTTACTTCTGGGAACCTTCTTATTAATGCTGAATAAATAGGTAGGTGTAAGTTACTACAGTTCAGACCAGGGGCTTCCACCATTGTTAGTGACATCCTGGACACATTCACCCAAGAATCCATAGGGCTCTTATGCTGAGACTGGCCCCCAGCAGCTTGAAGCGGGGCAAGGATTTTCAAATGGTGCTCTGTGAAGCCTGGGTCCCTGGAGGTACCTTGGGCCCACAGTCTCAGAAGATGAAGGATCCAAGCCCTTCTATCCCCTTCAACCAGAGCAGCCCCATTTGCATCTCCCCAACACGCTGGCCTCCTACAGATCAGCTTGTCTGAAATGTTGTGCAGCTTAAAAAAAGTTTTAAAACTGTTCATGAGATGGCCAAACCATGAGATTTGGAGTCAGGAGATCCTCGGGCCTCAGTTTCCTCAACTATAAGAGCAAGAATCCCTGCCCCTCTTAGCTGACTGGGAAGATTACATAAAATCAGAGGTAACAAAATGGTTTATACTGTGGAAAATGCTATGGGAAGTTTATTAATTAAGATTGAATTAAAAGGACTAGGTGACACGGATGAACCTTGAAGATGTTTTACTAATTGAAATGAGCTCGACACAAAAGGACAGATACTGTATGATTCCATTTCTAGGAGGGATCTAGAAGAGTCAAATACATAGAGACAGAAAGTAGAAGGTGATCACCAGGGGCTGGGGAGGGAGGGAATAAAGAGTTATTGTTTTAATGAGTATGGCATTTCAGTTTGCAATGATGAAAACGTTCTAGAAATGGATAGTGGTGATGGCTTCATAATATGAATGTACTTACTGCCACTGAACTGTATACTTAAAAATGGCTAAAATGGCAAGTTGAATGTTATATATATTTACAATAAAAAATAGTCCCCCACCCCCTCTGAAAAAGGGAGTACTATATAGAGTAAAATACAAAAGAAAGTCAAGAAAGTAGAAGATTGCAGAGCTGGTGGGACTAACCCACTGCTTTAAGGAACAGGTACCATATGACTCAGAGAGGAGGGAGATAGCCCAGCAGGAGGGAGATGCCGCGGGGACAGAGGCACAGAGGCTAGAGGGTGAGTGGCCACAGAGAAGAGGCTCTGGGAAGAGGGAAGAGCCAGGAGCCTGGCCTGTTGGAAACACTCATCTCTCTCCACTCACCCATGCCTCTTTGCCCACCTCATGGCACTATGGTTACAGTTACAAATTATTTTCATGTACCTATCTCAATGCTCCTGCCACATCTTTTTAAAAATGTTTCTTTTGAGACAGGATCTCACTCTGTACCCCAGAGCGAGACCCTAGAGTACAGTGGCACGATCACAGTTCACTGCAGCCTTGACCTCCCAGGCTCAAGCGATCCTCCCACCTCAGCCTCCCGGGTAGCTGGGACTACAGGTGTGTGTCACCATGCCCAGGTAATTTTTGTATTTTTTGTAGAGATGGGGCTTCGTCATGCTGCCCAGACTGGTCTCAAAGTCCTCAGCTCAAGCAAGCCACCTCCCTCCCAAAGTGCTGGGATTACAGGTTCACCTAGCCCCCTGCCACATCTCATACAATTTCATTCGTTCATTCAACAAATACCTATGCAGGCCCTAGTAGTGCCAGGCATTGTTGTAAGCAGTGGACACACACACACACACACACACACACTCCTGCCCTTGGGGGCTTCTTCTCTAGGGATAATAGCTGACACCTAGATAACACCTGTCATGTACCAGGTATTGTTTTAGGTACTTTATAGATATTAGCTGCTTTAATCTCCATAATCACCTAAGAAGGCAGGTACTGTTCTTAGCCTGGTTTTACATGCCCAGGGAGGTTGAATAGCTTGCCCAGGTCACCTGAGTGGTAGCAGGGCTTACAGTTCCAACTCGTGGTGGGGCTCGACATACTCATGCAGGAGAATGGGGCCGAGGAAGGGTGTTGGGGGCACTGGGAGCAGGGCTGGACTTGCCCAGCTAGATCTAGAGGGGTCAGAACCCTACTGAGAACATCGGCAGAGGTGAGTGCAGAGAGGGAGGCAGTGCGGGGGCTGAAGCCTCATTTTCAGAACCATTTTCCCCGCCATGGTTCTGGCAGAAGGTGGACAGGGAACCAGAGGCTTGGAGGAAGGGGCCTGCAGCTACCCAGCAGGGCAGGGCTGGGGTATGGACTTTGTGGTGACAGCAGATTAGTAAGCAAGAGATGGCCGTGATGCCTTGAAAAGAGGAACTCTTCAGTTTGGGCAGCTTCCTGGGTGTACGAGGAAAAGGAAGTGTCAAAAGTTCAGGCCTGAGGCACCCTTCCAGGCCCACTAGATGCCAGCATGGCTTAGGGAGGGCTGACAGCGAGGCCTGGGGGCTGGTTGGAAGGAGGCAGGTTTGGAGGTGCTGAGCGGGCAGAAGACACAATCGGATTCATTCATTCACCAGCAAATGTTTCCTGAGGAAGACACAGGAAGTCTTGTGTTTACACATTCACCTTCCTTGATCTGGCACAGACAAATCAGCACTCGCTGAGACAGCATCTGCCCCAACCCCACCTACCTTTTTCCTGCTCAGCTGCTTCACTAAGGTCTGGAAGCTTGAGCCCCACTAAGTTCTGATTTCTCATCAGGATGTGCTCCTTTGTGGTAAAAGAAAGAGATAACAATTTCAGATGATGACACTGGGCTGGGCTGTTCTCTTGGCTCTGTCTATGGTTCTGCGACCACTATCTTAGGTGGGAAAGCGGGGCAGCCTGAGAGGTGGGTGGGCAGGCATGGCATGGTGAGGCCTGAGAAGCACCAGGAAATAGTTCCTCTCCCAGTCCGTGAAGGTGCCTGAAACGCCACTGTCAGCACCACTTTCCATGGGTCAGGGACTACCCTTGGCATGGTCTTTTTAAACAAGTCTGTGGGCTTCAGGGTAAATGAACTGCTTGGCCTCACTGTGGCTGAGGTTTGCAAAGGACACACAGGGGCAGAACTAAGGGCTCTGGGACAGGAGGGTCCCCTGGGTGTGTATGGCGCTGCTCCTGGAAACAGCTTTGGCGATCTCATGGCTGGCTGGATCTTCCTGCCCTGTCATTCCGGGCAGTGACTGCTCACTTCCAGGAGCTGCGATTGCCCCACACACTCAGGTCATCAATGGCCTTTTATGGCACCTCTTGAGTTTTTAAACTCTCCAGAAAAGTGAGGCCTGAGAATTGCTGGCTTAGGGCCTCAGCTGGCAGAGCCCGGGGAGAGATGGGATGTGGCCCAAGTGGGCTCACACCTGCTCTAAGCCAATTAGCACCAGACCAAGGACCTGAGTGGAGGCACCTGGCAGAGCTCCTTGCCCCTGTGACTTATGGATCTTCAGTCTGCTGTGTGGCAGAGGGCACTTGGGAATGGTTTGTCCCCCGAGAAGGGAGGAAAGGAAGGGGCCAGCAGAGGGTGCTCATGATCCAAGTGGAAGTCATGGTCAAGGACCCTTTACCCATTTGGTTAGCAAGCCAGAGGCCCACAGCCCATCAGCTTCAGCACACTGGAGTCGGGTAGGGGCTGGGCACTCAGGTGCCAGGGTAGTGGTTAGTGACATGGGGCCTCCAGGTTCCCTGTAACTTCTCTGGGTGGGCGAAATCTGCAGGAGTGTAGGGAGTGAGGAGGCTCTGATAACCAGAGGCCCATGAAGGCAAATCCCTGGCTATCGGCCCCTTGGCTCCAACTTCCGCTAGAGATCCGGGACTGTGGCAACTCCTCTGGGCCCTGTGCTGTTTGATCCGCTAGTTAGTTGGGTCTTTCTGACTAGGAGGAGTTTTGTGTGTAAAATGTTAACATCAGCAGCCACGCCCCAGCTCCCCTGTGCCTCCAGTTCAGAGCATCATGAAGGTATCTGAATAGGATAGTGGCCAGCATTGGAATGTGTCCCTGCCAGCACACAAATCCCCTCAATTGTGCTTGAGTGCTATCGGGCACCTTCTTTTCTTCCCTGCCCCACATTTCCCTCTGTAGAGGAGCCAGGAGAAGCCTCCTGCTCTGAGGGTGCTGGGCCTCACTCTGTGGAATCCAGGTGCCTTGGTTTATATTCCAAGTGGGCCTTCTGGAGGAGACAGGACTGGTCAGAATTGCTTTGTCCTGTTATCTGGTCTCTATCTCTGGATGCCCCCAATCATACCCTGCATAGGGTGGCAACCCCACAGGAGACCGCTGTGCCTGGTTTGATGGCCAACAGAAGCTGAGGGGACACCATGGGCACTGGAAGAAACTCACCATGGGCGGAGCAGCCTTCACACTTGCAGATGGACTTAAAGCTTTTGTTAACAGGCATCAGGAAGGAAGGCTTGGGGGCATCACAAAGGAAATCACTATTTCACCCTTGCTAGCTAATCCTAGGCATGACTGGGCACTCCATCAAGGGATTCCTGTTTATGAGCCACTGACTCCGGTTGGAGGAGGAAAGCAGCCCAGGACTGAGGGGCCCACATGTCCCTCCACACGTCTGCCTTCCCCTGAGATGTGGCTTTGTGTGGCAACTAGATTTTAGACTGAGCTCTGCCTGGTAACTGGCATAAAAAAGCACCTAAAACTGGTATTTAGGAAAGAGATGCCACATAAATAGGCCTGACTTCTCAGAGTGGGAAAATTTACGCCCTCACAAGGCCCAAGTCCAGGCCAGAGCTGCCCTGGCCAGGGGCCCAGACTCAGCCCTGAGGTCTTCAGCCCAGGGAGTACCTGGAGTACACACTCTGCCCAACTGGCCCCCAGGAACCCACCTCTCGGAGCTTGGTCAGTTTCTGCATCCGCACGGGCTGCACTTGTATCTGAAAGTCTTTGAGACCAGGGGCCTTGGCCAGCTTGCCGCCGGCCTTGCCTGCAAAACGCTTTTCTTCCTCTGCCAGTGGCAGCTTGGCAAGCACTTTCTGCAGCCGGGGGCCAGGTTCTTCAGGGCCACTGTCCCAGGAGAGCCCTCGCAGCAGCGGGGGCCGGGACACAGTGGGTGGAAGCTCAGCTTTGGAGCCAGCCTCGGGCCCCATCGGCTCTCCAGCTGGGCCTCTCCCCTGGGAGGCTGGGGGACCCACTCCTGCCGCATCCTGGGTTGGACTTCTCGGCAGAGGGCTGCCCTCCCAGCCCGTTTTCAAGAGCTGCTTCCCCAGCTCGCTCTCCACGGGGCCAGGCTGAGGGCTGTTCAGGGCCATTTTCCCACTGCTGTTTGTAACAGGAGCTAGGCCTTTGGGTGTGGTCTCGGGGTACTGGAGGGGATCGAAGTTTTCCTTTTGTTCTATTGCAATCTCTTTGGACTTCTCAACTGGAGGAGGACGAGGAGCCAGCCTGCCCTGAGACACTTTCCTCTGGTCATTCTGCTTCCTGTCAGCTAGCCCTTTGGGGACGTTCTGAAAAAGACAAGGTAGAGCTGGAACCCTCGGGGGCAGGTTGAGGGGAAACAGGTGAGGCCACTTCTGCTGTGGAGTCTCTGCCCCCACACACCTTGCCAAGGGGCCCATTTGTATAAGTGTGTATGGGGTATGAGTGGACGATGTGGAAGGAGAGGGCTTCTGCCCGAGGTTTGTCAAACAGACAGGAAAATGGAACCTGCAATCCAAAACCAGCCAAGAATTTCCCAAGGGATAGGAGCTGAGGAAAACTGAATAGAAGGCAGCTTTGGCCCTAACTCAGTTGCCCCAGATCTAGCCTTGGTGCTGCTTAGCAAGGCCCTTAACTCTTAGGGACCCAGGTTTGTGAACCCTCTGAAATTATGTATGTGTATGTCTGTGTGTGGAGGGGTGTTTTTCTAGGAAAAACATCCACAGCTTTCAACAATTTCTCAGAGTTCCATGATCCAAAGAGGTTAGGGATCATTGGATGGGGTGATTCTTGCAAAGGTGATGTCTTCCTGCTCAGAAGCTCTAAGATTCTGCAGTGTTAGTTTACTTTGTTCATTCCCCAAGGGAAACCTGGGCCGTGAGCAGCACGTGGGTCTGGGGGTCTGTGTGGCTGCCTCGTGTGTGCTGAGACTCTTCCAGAGGACTGTATCCCAGACCCAGTTCCAGGTGACACTAAATTCTACTGCTGCCCTTGAAACACTGAGCACGTGGGCCCCTCGATGTGAGCAGGGTGGGGCGCTTCTGTTGCTCATCAACAAAGATGAGGTTTTCCCGGCTTCCCCAGACAGAATCCCAGGCAGGGGCTGGCGCTTTCCTGCCCTTTTCACTGGAGCTGACAGGAGCCACAGTCTCACCTGGCCTGGAGGTCCCCCTTGTCTCCAACCAGCAGCCTGACTGGGGGTCAGCGCTGTGAGTATTGCCTCCACGGAGTTCACCCCCCTGAATCCTGCCTCCCCACCCCTCCACCTTAGACTTCTAGTCACTATAAGGCAGGGGAATCTGCTGTTTCCCCAGCCCTGACCCTCCACTCATACGTGTGCATGCACACACACTTGAAGGCTGCCCAGGAGCCAGCCTAGGCTTCTAGGAGACTGTGCCCCCCACACTCAAATCATCCAAAGGGAGCAAAGCTCAAACTCACAGGCTCGCCAGGGTGAGGTGAAGAGACGTCGGCCTCATCCCCCTTCTGCTGGAGAAGGTGAACAGGAGTCAGTCAGCAATGGGAAGAGACCGTGTTTCCTCTTGAAATATCCCCAAGGAGGCCCCCTAGCAGTGGTGTTCATGCCCTCCACCCAGCACCCTCATCTCCAGTGGGTCACGAAGGGCCTCCTGGTGTTCGGGGTAAGGGGAGAGACCCATTGGCATAGAAACAGCACAGCAGGTGGGGGGTCCTGTCACCTGTGGTGGTGCTCCAGGCAGAGGGGATGGCGGGCCACTGCACACATCCAAACCTGGAAGGGTCCAGACACTAGTGAGTGAGGCCCAGCAGCCCAGGCCCTCAGCTGTGCTTTCAGCCACATCTCCCTCCCCGGGCTATCCTCCCTTTGCAATCTCAGGCCTGGAAGATTTGCTGACTACCTCCCGTGTGCCAGGTTCTCAGGTGGGCCCTCACAGAATGTTCACAGAGACCACAGGAGGAAACTGAGGCACAGGGAAATCAAAGTCTCATGGCCAGGAAATGTCAGCACTGAGATTTGGGCCCAGGCTGCCTGGCCCCGACCTGAGCGTGCCCTGCCGCACTGATGAGGGCCGGTTGCCCTTCCTGGCACCCTCCCCCTTTCCTTGTTGGCTGGAGGGTGTGACTCTGGGTACAGCCTAATGAAAGGGAAGAAGTCAGACCCCAAAGAGGCCTTTCTGTATAAGCTCTTGAGGGCTTCTCTGAGCCTCCCTGAGCCAGAGAGGCTGTCCTAGTCCCCTTTCCCACCCAGCCTTCCTGACCCTGGGGTACACCTGCCTCCCGACACAAGCCCAAGATGCTAACAGAAAGTCTATCTGCCTCCTCTGGGTGGCCCAGCAAATGCCCCCCCTGGAGAGGGGTCTTGCTCTGGGTGTGAAGGGGCCATCAGAGTTCTTGAAGGGGAAGCCTGCAGGCTGGGAGGCATGCTGATCTGTCCAGGCTGAGCTGCCACCCAGAGCGAGAGGCAGGGCAGGAAGTCCCCGGGCAGCTGGGCCTCACCTGGCGGGGTGGGGACTGTAAGTGAGTTGCTCCGAGAGGATGTAGGAGAAGCGCTGGGGCTGAGGTTCGGGGAAACAGCTGTGAAGACAGACACAAATTGGCTGGCATTCATGAAGGTTTAGGACTTCAACCTGGCAAAGGCATCCTTTTAGGTATTCCCAGGCCCTGGGAACTGGGTCTGCCTTGCTGGGCTCAGGGGCTGATGCTGGACTGCAATATGATGCTCCTGTTACAGCCCAACCCCTCCCTGCTGCTGCTCAAGAGATGGGTGCCCTCAGGCCATTTGGGGGTTCGAGGATAGAGTCACACTTCTCAGCCTGCCTGGCCTGACCTCAAGGCACTGTCCAGAAACTGAGGCCTGGCGTTGGTTGGCAGGTACAGCTCCAGAGGCTGCTCCTTCTCGACTTCCCAGGGTGGCCCTGACTTCAAAAGCTCCCCTTGTCCTCCTAAGTACACTTACACACTTGCCCAACTTTTTGCTCAGGAAGAAAAGTGACTCTAGCATAGAGGAAGCAGGAGGATTTCTGGGCCCAGGAAAACCTTCCCTCTAACCCAGAAATTCCCCAAAGACCATCTCCTCTTCCCCAGAGGGCCTAGGATCCTTCCCAGCACCCACAGAGATCAAGGGAAGGGAGCCCAGGACAGAATCCTGACCTCTGCTGAGGAGAGCAGGTGAGTCCAAGGCGACCTCCTCGGAGGTGAGGCGCCCACTGCAGCTGGTGCCAGGCCCTTCCCTCCCGACCCTAGAGGGGCTCAGGGCAGCCACCTGTACATCCTGCCACCCTACCTGATGGGGAGTCTCCGGGGCTGCTCCTGGACTTCCTCCCACGGCGGGTCAGGAATCGCTCACTCACCAACTTGGCTTCTTCCAGCAGCGCCAGGTTTTTCTTCTTGTCCTCCTCTGAGATGCTGATGTCTGGCAGCTGGTCATTCACCAGGTCAATGATGTGCCCCGCGGGGTCTGCAGAAGGAGGATGAGCTGGGGTGAGAGCCACTGCATCCGTGGCCCCAGGCTGAGGTCATGCCATACCATGCCTCATCCCAGGGACTCTGCCCACAGCTGACCCAGCCAGCCAAACCTCAGCCCAGTGCCATCAAGAGGGTTGCATGGGGACAGACAGTGGCTTCCTCTGCAGGCCTGGCCCCTATGGCTTATGGCCTGTGGTCCTCCGTCACAAATGGTCCTGGAGCCATCTCAGGTTCCCAGAATTTTCCTAAACTCTGTCAGGAAGGGAAGGCCACCCAGGAGCCTTACCTCCGGCACCATCTGCGCCCCCAGTGCATTCTTGCTTCTGGCCTGTTTCTTTCACAAGCTAATGCGCTTAAGGTTTGTGAATAAAAGAAGGAGACCAAAGATCATTGGCCACGGCCACAACCCCGTGGCCACCTTCCCTCCAGTCACATTGTTCACCCCATTTTTCTCCAAAACTGCCCCTCTGGATGAGGTGGGTGAACGGCACCACCTCTCACCTGGCTGCTCAGGATCACAGGAGTCACTCCCCACTTCTCCCTCTTCCTCCCTCCCCCAACATCCAATCAGTTGATCAAGTCCTCCCTGCATTTACCTATAAACATCTCTGGAGCCTGTTCCTCATCTCCATTCTTGCTCATTAGCTCTTTTTTTTTTTTTTCTTTTTTTGAGACAGAGTCTCACTCTGTGGCCCAGGCTGGAGTGCAGTGGCACAATCTCGGCTCACTGCAACCTCTGCCTCCTGGGTTCAAGTGATTCTCCTGCCTCAGCCTCGCTCGTACTTGTTAGCTCTTTCCTGGACAATTATGTCTTCTACCTAAGAGGTCCCTGCCCTCAGGCGAGCTCCTCCATCCCATCCCCCACTGCCTATCAGAGTGGCTATCAGAGCCACATCTGGCCATGCCATTCTCCACCTCATCTCATGGGGATTTCTCATGCTCCTCAGTGTGGTATCCAAACCCTAAACTGGGCTCAGCCAGTCTTGCTGGCCCCCACATACTCCTCCCAAGTCCCTCCACTTCAGCTGTGTCTGCAGTGAACAGCTCCCATTTCACCTCCATCGGGTTCCATTCGTCTTTGGGCAGCAGATCCTTGGTTTTCACTTGGTAAAAACCTCTCTGATTCCCCATTAGCTAACCCCCCTCCCCTGTGCCAAGAGTGGGAATGTGGACTAGTCTTGGCCAATCAATGAACAGAATCCCCTTGGCCACAGGGATTGGCTCGGGGATGGCCATGTGAAGCCATTGAGGGGCAATCCTGGTGTGGAGTATATGGGGAAGAAGAACTCTCCACTGATGGGGCGTAAGCTTGGAGTTGCTGGTAGCTATTGGCTACCATGTGTTGAAGAGTCTGCCAAGAAGAAAGCTAACACACAAGAAAAAAGGTTCAAGAGATGGAATGGGACAATTGCTAATAACCCACTTTGAGCACCTGGATCCAGCACTACCTGAAATCACAAGCCCTGGCTTTTGTAAATTTTTTTTTGGTGTGAGGTAGTTTGAGTTGGGTTTCTATCATTTGAAAAAGTCCCAATTGGTACACATGGCAGAGTTTCAGTTGCCAGCAACATGCTCCAGGGAGGTTCCTGCTCTTTCAGTGTGTTTCCTATTCCCCCTGGAATGCCTTTCCTCCCTCGCCTATCTGTCCAGCTCTCTAAGGCACAACTCAAATGCCACCTCCTCTGGAATACCTTCCTAAAACTTCCTCTCCTCAGAGAGACTCGGTCCCCTTCTTGCCTTGGCTGGCCTAGCTCTTCTGTGCAGTCTCTTATCATACAGTGTCCCAATTATCTGTTCATTTCTCAGTCTCTTCATAGTCTATGAGCAGCATGAAGGCAGGGACCAACTCTATATGAGATCTATGTTCCAACAGCCCAGGGCAGATCGTGAGCCACCATCTGGGGATGAGCAGATGACCAGGGCAGCCGGCCTTACACTCAGGCACCTACTCCAACCTGGATGTGGGCCTCTTTAGCAGAGGCTGGAGGACTCTGCCCCCTAAACCCCAGAAATGAGTTTCACTCAGCTGTTCTTTCTTTCTTTGACTTCTGCATCTTCCTCTTCATGCCCTGGTCTTGTCTTTTGAGCAATGAAAACTGAATTAAATATGCTTCTCCTAGACCCAGACACGGAGGGGCTGATCTACCCTGTCCTGTTGGACTTATCGGGAGGGAGCGCCTTAAAGAGCAGGAGAGAGGAAGGAGTCAAGCCCAGCCACGCTGCCAGACCTGTCTTTCTACTCAACATGCCTTAGATTGCCCTGGTCCTTACCCACAGATGTCAGGGAGGCAGTGGACACCTTCAAGTGTCGGTGAGAAAGCCTCTTGTGGGGACTGTGAACTCTGAAAGACAGAACAGTCATCTTGTTCAGAAAATCAATCCACAACTTGAAAATAGGTGAAAAGATGCCTGTATATTCTTTTTCTTTTTCTTTCTTTCTTTCTTTGTTTCCTTCTTTCCTTCTTTCTTTCTTTTTTTTTTTTTTTGACTCAGTTTTACTCTGTCACCCAGGCTGGAGTGCAGTGGCGCAATCTCAGCTCACTGCAGCCTCTGCCTCCCAGGTTCAAGCAATTCTCCTGCCTCAGCCTCCCAAGTATCTGAGACTACAGGCATGTGCCACCACACCCAGCTAATTTTTGTATTTTTAGTGGAGATGGGGTTTCACCATGTCAGCCAGGCTGGTCTTGAACTCCTGACCTCAGGTGATCTGCCCGCCTTGGCCTCCCAAAGTGCTGGGATTACAGGTATGAGCCACTGTGCCCAGCCAGATGCCTGTATATTCTTTCAAAGTCATCCTAGAACATCATCTTACAAGCTTCTCGAGGGTTTCTCTGACTCTCAACTTGGGAACGTCTTAGAAATGCAAATTCTCAGGCCCCAACTCAGATCAGAAATTCTGGAGGTGGGCCCAGCCAGCTATGATTTTACAGCTCTCCAGGTGATTCTGACGCGTGCTAAAGTTTTCCAACCACTGCCCTAAGAGGATGTGACTTTGACTTACTATTTCCTACTCATTAGGTCCCAGACTCTGAGCTAACATCTAACTTGTAGAAGCCTCATAAAATGTAAATCATTGTTGTCTGACAAAGACGCAGATGATTTCTGTTTGGGAAAAAAGACAAAAATATGGTTTCATTGCCCTGTAGAACATTCACCTATTTTATATCTAACTTAGCAGTTTTATTCCAGCACTTTCCTCCCCACTGATGATATATGTATATCCATTGCTTGTATCCTCCTTTGAACCGGCTTTGTTATCCAGATGCTTCTTGTATTAATGAGGTAAGTAAATCTTTGACATATGCTCAGTATATTTATATGAGAATTATCTTTTTCCTTTTCTTTTTCTTTCTTTCTTTTTTTTTTTTTTTTTGAGACGGAGTCTCGCACTGTCGCCCAGGCTGGAGTGCAGTGGCGCGATCTGGGCTCACTGCAAGCTCCGCCTCCCGGGTTCACGCCATTCTCCTGCCTCAGCCTCCCGAGTAGCTGGGACTACAGGCGCCCGCCACCACACCCGGCTAATTTTTCTGTATTTGTAGTAGAGACGTGGTTTCACTGTGTTAGCCAGGATGGTCTCGATCTCCTGACCTCATGATTCACCCGCCTTGGCCTCCCAAAGTGCTAGGATTACAGGCATGAGCCACTGCGCCCGGCCGAGAATTATCTTTTTAACTTTTTGAAAATTAGACAGTCTCATTTCAGCGAGCCCAGTTCGTGGGCTAGTGCTCTGTGAAACCAAGGCGGAGACATTCCTCTACCTGTGAGCCCATGTCCCTGCCAAGAGATCATATTTCACACGTTTTGGCCAGGGGCAGGATTCTACATTCAAACACCTGCACCTTTCATGTTTGGCTGCAAATAGCTGGACAGTTATTATGGGAAACTCTCCTGCGGTGATTTATGCTTTTCTTAAAGGCTAGCCCTTTCCATGGGGGAACAAGTCCTTCTGGGGCCCCTGGGCATTAAATGTTTTAACCTCCACTAGCCCTGCTGGGGGAGGAGGCTGCAAATGGGCTGGAGCCGTCGCAGAGCCAAAAGGACCACATCCAGGAGAGGAAAAATCATTTTAGGAGGAAGATAATGGAAAAATTCCTATTTCTATCTTGTATTTTGAAAAACTGCTTGATTATAGTTTAGTCAATAAAATGATACAAGAAAAAAGAAAAGATTTATTTAAAAATATAGCTGTCTGATCCTCATGTTCTAGGAAATATTGTTTGTCACAATGCAAGGATCAGGCACCTGTACCTGTTGGCCAGGTTTTTGTCGGTTTCTCCTTCTGGTGAAGTGGCATCCCCAGTCAGGACAATCGTGGGAGTTGGACTGCAAGATACTCCTGCGGCAGGAGGACCCTGCCGGTTTAGAACAAAAACACAGAGTTAGGCTTGGGCTGGTGGGACTTCCAGGGACAGGAGCCAGAGCATTTATTCTCACATCATGATGCTCAGAGCCATCTTGATAAGGGGACAAATGCAGTTTACTCTTTATTCCCCCAGCTTTATTGAGGTATAGTTGACAAATAAACATTGTATATATTCAAGGCACACAATGCGATGTTTTCATTACCTTGATACAATGTTTTGATACAATGTGACATATTCACGGCATACAGTGTGATGTTTTGATGTGAAATGATTACCACAGTCAGGCTAACTAATATATCCACCAACTCACATAGTTACCTTTTTGTGTGGTGGACAATACTTAGCAAATTCCAAGTATACAATACATTATTAACTACAGTCACCGTGCTGTACGTTAGATCCCCAGAACGTATTCACCTCATAACCAAAATAGTAAGTTGAATTCTTTGACCAACATCTCCCCATTTCTCCCACCCCCAGTCACTGGCAACCACCATTCTACTCTCTGTTTCTGCAAGTTTGACCTTTTAAGATTCTACATATAAGTGAGATCATGCAGTATTGTCTTTCTGTGCCTGGCTTATTTCACTTAGCATAGTGTCCTGCAGGCTCACCCACATTGTTGCAAAAGGTGAGATTTCCTTCTTTTTTTAAGGATGAATAATATTCTTGTGTGTGTGTGTGTGTGTGTGTGTGTGTGTGTATACAGACACAATATTTTATTGTGTATATATTTTTCACATTTTTTAATTCATCCATTGACAGACATTTAGATTGTTTCCATACCTTGTCTATTGTGAATAGTGCACACATATAGGTTATTTGGATTACTCAGAAAACAAAAAAGGCAGTTTCTCCTTTATTCCCCAGCAGGCCCTCACCTGAGCTTAACACGGTCCACTATTCATGCACTAAGATTAGGGACACTACAAGCTATCCCTGGTTAGTTCTCACTAGCAATGCAGGAAAAGAATGGTACAGAGTCCTCAGATTGAGGCCAGCCTGGCTGGGGAAGAATGATGGCCTGGGGAAAAGGTAGTGGCACCCACACACCCCTGAGGTTCCACGACAGTCCTACCTTTGGGTAACTTTGACATTTCAGTGATCGTAATTTGTTAGAAGACTCTCCTGGGGTTTTCTCTTAGGTCCTTCCATCAACTTAAGAGGGTGCCTGTCATTTTCCTTCTCCTCCTTCCCACCCCCTTGACTGGCATGTGCTGCCACTGCTCCCTCTGTGAGCACCTGACTGCCTTTGCCAAAGGCCTGCCTCCTAGCGTCCCAGAGCATGTTGCTGCCACCTCCACTATTGGTGCTGCCTCCCGCAGCTTCAAAGCAGTGGGTGCCCACTGTCTCTATTGCCACTTTCCCTGGTGGGCCAAATCCTTCTAGAGCCCCTGCATATGAAATGTTTTCACCTCCACTAGCCCCACTGGCGGTGGGAGCTGCCAATGGGCTGGAGCCTCTGGCAGAGCCAGGCTGTGTTCTTGAGCCTTCAGTGTGCAGGTGTTGGTTCCCTGCAAGGTAGGGAGGAGGCCTGCTCTCCTTTTGACATTATGCCTTGTTGTGAAATGGGTCTCATACAGTGCTATCTGGACTTCTTACGTCCCACAATTTTTAGTGAACCCAGCTTTTCCCATTTTCATTTTCATCTCTTCCCTTCTTTGGCCCCAAGCATAAGGCCACATGAGCTGGAGAAGTCTCTGGGTGAGAGTCCAGCTGGGGAGCACCATGCTGCTTCTCTTGTGGAAAGGATGCTTTTATGTGGAAACCCAGAGCCAGATCCTTGAGGAGATGTTCATTGGGCTCTGTGTTCTTATCCGGGAGCGATTCAGTGCAGAAAGCTACAGTGGCTGAAGGAAGAGGAGGCACTCAGAATCTCCCGGGACATGGAAGGGAAGCTTGGGCAGGGACGTGGGCTGTGTAGAAGCAGAAGGAAGCAGCATTGCCTATTGGAAGGGTCAGACAAACCTGGGCTCAAATTTCAACTACTAGCTATGTGTCGTGGACAAGTTATTTAACCTCTCTATGATCCATGATTATAAAGTCTAACTCACAAGGTTAGTGTGAAGATTAAAAATAACATTGATAAGGTACCTATGCATGATTGACATTTTTATTTATTTAATTTATTTAGTTTCTTCAGTGCAGTGGCACAATCATAGCTCGTTGTAGCCTCTGCCTCCTGGGCTCAAGTGATTGCCCTGGTTCAGCCTCCTGAGTAGTTGGGACTACAGGTGTGCACCACCACGCCTGGCTGACTTAAAAATTTTTTTTTTAGAGACAGGGTCTTACTATGTTGGCCAGGCTGGTCTTGAACTTCCAGAATCAAGCGATCTTCCCACGTCTGCCTCTGAAGGTGCTGGGATTAAAGGTGTGAGCCACGATGCCAGGCCATGATTGATATTCTAAATGTGCTAAGCATCTAGCATATGATTAATGTTTTAAATAAATGTGTACATTACTTTAGATTTCTTTCTCTTTCAACAAACACTTTATGGTTATCCACCATGTGCCAAAAGCAACTTGAGATATGAAGAGAAGACCCTAAAGGGCTCGCAGTCAAGCAAGGGATACAGGGAAGTAACTCATAATAAATATAAGGAAACAAGGGATGGACCACATTCTGTGAAAGCTCAGAGGAAGGAAAAGAAAACTCTTTAGTGAGGGGAGTTAAAGAAGACTCTATAGAGGAGTGGACATTTGAGCTAGGTCTTGAAGGATGAATAGGAGCTTGCACGACAAAGATGTTAGAGGACAGGATTTGGCCAAAGGGAATCGCATTAGCAAAAGGCATTACTGGGAATCAGGGATTTGTCAGTGTAGCTGGTGCAGGTGCATGGACTATGACATGTGAGATAGGAGAGGTCAGGGCTGGGGGAATTGTGAAAGTACAATAAGAGATTGAGCCAGCTTCTGAAGGACCTCGAAGCTACTCTAATGAGTTTGGTCTTTATGGTTTTGGAGATGGGAAGCCCTGAAGGTTAGGCTTGAGAATAACTTAACTACCCAAAGGGAAATACAGAAATGTTGACAGCAGATCATCCATGCATCCCTCTATTCACACTGGTTGAGATGACAGAAGAGGCCCAGTTATTAGAACATCTATCATCCCCTATAGGAATTCTGAGGAGCTCCCTGGTAAATAGGAGCTGTGTCTCCATTTGGAAACCTAGAGCTGGCCAAGAGGGAGTGACAAGAAGTCAGCACGTGCTTGTGGCTGAAACCAAGACTGGCTGACCTGTCCTCATGATCCCAGAGCTCCAGTCCCTCTGAGGACACAGATACCCATCCTTCTGTCAAGGACTCCCCCTAGAAGAGACACCCAGGGAGTTTTCTGAAAAGCAACAACTCATTCTCTGGATAGTATGCCTTGATGGGCTGGTGATAAGCTTGTCCTCCTGTGGCTTTATCCCTCCGTTCCTATAATGGCACAATGGCCAAAGGCCTGCTCTCTCTCACAGGAAGATTATGCAAGTAAAAAGAAATGACGAATGTGTATGCACTTTGATAAGTGTCATATGGTCTACAAGTACCCTTGAGTCATGATTATTATTAAAATGAATGATGGCTCTATTCAAGGTGAGCCAGTTTTTCCCATCTTTTGTTCAGTGGGCTCCCCTGGTGGGAGGCCAGCAAGCAGCAGAGGCTGGGGTTTCCAGGGGACCAGAAGAGAAGTGGAACAATGATCTGGGGCCCCGAGGACATGCAGTGGAACAGTATTCACAAGGGCTGGGGAGGTTAAGAAGGGGAAGCAGTGTGTCAAATGGCAGGTAGCCAGATAGAGGGGGCAGCAGGCAGGGCCAGGGGCAGGTGCCAAGCTAAATGGGAGAGCCAGGGAAGAAGAAGGAATAGGGAGTTTTCTACTGTGTGGGTTTTCTGGTGAGTAGGAAGAGCTGAAGTCTTTCCAGAGGAATCTCTTCACATCATTAAAAAGGAGTAGCATTAGCAAAAGGCATTACTGGGAATCAGGGATTTGTCAGTGTTTCTGGCAGGTGTGATCTCTTGGATGTCAATTAAGCAATCAGCATCCTCTGATGCATATTCTGAGCTCAGAGGTGCAAATTAGAGACCCATGTGCCTGTTTGCTAGTAGTGTTTACAAGTTTTTAAATTAGTTATCAACATTCCATAATTGTAAGAATTCACATAAAGGTCTGGATAGCCTGCTTTTCCTTAAACTGAAAGATCAAACAATCTTAGGCCCATATTTCTGCAGAGTAACCAGGTTTGAGCTATCCTAAATTGGCTTTCTTCAGTGATTTGTGCTCCCTGGCCCCAAATGCATCTGAGTTACTGCCCTGTGTCATGTAGTTTTCATCCTGGCCTGGTTTTCCAGAGCACAGGAGGTTTGTGCTTAAAATCTCTCCCACCCACATCATCTGGGCAGCCTCATGCCTATCACCATGGGAACGCCAATGGAAACTCTGACTGTGCTTATAGCATGCGCGGGCTTCTTTCCCTGGATTTTATTCTGACTGTGAAAATTTGAGCTCTGAAAGTTGCCTTTTTCATGTCTGTCATATTTAGAGAATTTCTTTCTTGTATGAGTCCTCTGATGAACAAGAAGAAATGCATTTTGTCTAAAATATCATTTTTTACATGCATTCTATCATATGGTTTCCACCACCCCTTGTGGTGGGGCTTTACAAATTCCTGGCATGCATTGATGAGGATAAGCTGTGTCTATTTAAAGGGGCAGGATGGGCCAAACATGAGCTAATTCCATGTTGTATTCTGAAAAAATAATTGTGGTGGTATTAGGAGAGTTATAGCATATATCCATTTCTAACAGTTTCATATATTCAGGCTGCTAAATAAGTAAAATACATATTTTATTTTATTTTTATGTATTGTTTTGAGATGGAGGCTCACTCTGTCTCCCAGGCTGGAGTGCAGTGATATGATCTTGGCTCACTGCAACCTCCGCCTCCCGGTCAAGCAATTCTCATGCCTCAGCCTCCCGAGTAGCTGGGACTACAGGCATGCACCACCATGCCCAGCTAATTTTTGTATTTTTAGTAGAGATGGGGTTTCACCACATTGGTCAGGCTGGTCTCCAACTCCTGGCCTAAAGTAATCTGCCTGCCTTGGCCTCCCAAAGTGCTGGGATTACAGGCGTGAGCCACCATGCCTGGCCTTTGTTTATTTTTAATCTTATTGACACTATCTACTTCTCAAAGCAACTTGAAGTAACCAACAATAAAATATAAGATATAAAAACATGAGACTATATAAATGGGGGAATGATGGATGATTTGACAAACATAAATATCCCTAGCAGACAAGGAGAACCTCATGCTCCTAACAGTCTATGGTTGGGAGTTGTGGTTAAACTATTTGCCCTGAAACCTAATGAAGCCGTGATCCACGTGGCGCAGACTCTGAGAAGGCTCGCCTTACGGAACTGTTCAACAGAAAGAAAACCAGCATAGAAGGAACTTCATTCTTTACTCTCACCTCTCAAAGAACATGAAAGGGGAACAAATCTTCACTCCCATCCTGACCTCTCCTCTGCCCTTTTCTCTTTCCTTAACGATTCTCACGCCCCCTCTCTGATGACTCTTCCCCTGCTTGCCTCCCTGCCCAGATCCTCTGTCTACCTTCTTTCTCTTTTTCTCCTGCTCCAGCCTTTACTCCCCCAGCTCCATCCAGTTATTTTTTGTGCAGATTGTCTTCATTTGTTTGTATGATTGACTCACAAACATTTACTGAAGAGTCTTACAGAGCAAAGACCTTCTTGGAGAAGAGAGGGGCACTGGGCTGGCAATGATCAGATTCTGTTTGGCGTCCAAGAAAGGGATGTGGTCTGTGAACACTCCCACATTATTGGACCTTATTCTGTCCAATCATCCGGCAAACATTTATTGAATGCCTATTGTGGCCAGGGTCTATGCTAAGGTCTGGGAAGACAAAGGTGAACTGAGCGGGCCTCTGCAATGCTTCCCATTCATTAGCATGAAGGAATGGGGAGAGAAGGGGAAGTAACCTCCACTGCTATTACTAATAGTGCCCTCGGTGTTGATACCTACCAGGTAAATGGGTACAAGGCACGGGAGTGAGCTGCCTTCTGATAGGAGCTTTCTCTGCTTGCTGGCTAATGGTTACCTGAAGCAAAGCTCTCCTGACTGTAGGCATCTCACTGGGGAGGAGGACCATGGCAGAGGTGCCCATACAAAAAGGCAGAAACAAGCCATGGGTGGCAAGTGCCAAGCAGGTAACCGCAGACACTCACAATTCCAAGTGGCTTACAAAGCAGGAAGCATAAAGCGATTAGGAGGAAATCCTCTAATCCCTTGATGGAACATCCTGGAAGGTTCTTCACACTTGCCTTCTAATGTGTGCAAAATACACAACTCATAAAATCATAGTGTTCTTTCCCTCATCAGCTGACAGAATCGTTGAGCAAGCTCTGGGCAACTTCTCCTTTTCTGCAAAACTGTTTTGGTGGGAACATTCAGGTCTTGTGGGGGCTGTTTTTCACTCTATCAGGGACTGGGGAGACAGTAATCCAGGAGAGAGTGTGTGGGAAGATTCTAGGGGCCCTCTGGGGTGAATTCTGCCAGATTTTCATGCAGTGCACACACGCATCCCTGCTCCCATTCTGAGCTGTCAAACACAAGGCAGGCCTTCAAGAAAGCTTGGGAGAGCAGTAAGACCAAATAGCGTTGGCCAGACAACCTACTGGCTTAGGGGCTTCAGGGCCTCAGGCTCAGAAGCCACACTACCTTATGGTATACTTTTTAGCTGGATAACCTTGGGCAAGTTACCTTGCCTCTCTGTGCCTCAGTTACCTAATCTATAATGGAACTATCTCACAGGGTAGTTATAAGAATTAAACAAGTTGATATAGAAATAGGATTTCTGGATAAAGCACAGGATGCCCCAGTTATATTTGAATTTCAAATGTACAACAGATAATTTTTAGTATGTGTGTCTCAAATATTCCATGGACATAACTGTATTCTCTCTCTCTCTCTCGACTGAATCTTGCTATGTGCCCAGGCTGGTCTCAAATTTCTGGGCTCAGGTGATCCTCTCACCTGAGTAGCTGGGACTGCAGGTGTGAGCCACCATGTACAGCATATAATCATATTTTCATTTTCCAAATCTGGCAGCCCTAGATGGCAAGCCTGTGGAAGTGCACCTAGCACTGAGCAAATGCTCACTAAGCATTAGATGTTATGTTCCCTTATTATTCCCTTCGGGATTGAATTAATGACTTTGGCATTTGGTTTTGAAAAGATGGTTGCTCTTAGTTCTGGGTCTCCTCAACCATCTGGAGTTAAATTGGGAGAGCCCAGCCACTGTGGTCACGGCGCAATGGAGCATCTCTCCTGGGGCATCTGACCACATAAGCCCAAGTGATCAAGGACCCACCACCAAGGCCACCTTCACCCGGCTCCACTCCCTCTCACCCTCTGCCTCTCAAACCAATCAATGCCCTTTGTGGGTTACAGACATGGAAGCACAGAAACAAACATGGCTAGAGGGAATTGGCAGTTACTCAGGCCCACTGTGTGGTGGGCCCTGTCCCAGACCCCCCTCGTGTTTTCTCACCGAATCCTCCCAGAAACTCAGTGGGTAAACCTGAGGACACCACCTACAAATTGGGGGTGATAATGCCTCCCAAACTCATAGAATTGTGAAGAGGAAACGAGAAGATGAAAGTGAAGGCCATGAGCATGGGGTAGAAGATTGATATCTTTCTTTTTTCTCTTCTGCTTTTCTATTTTGATCTCCACTTTATCAATGCAAAAACTGACTTGTCCAGGGCTGTGCCGCTTGTAAATAGGGGAAGTGACTGAACACAGGCTGTGTCCTTCCCACGACACCACGCTACTCTTAAAGCTGCATCCCCAGTTTTTGGTCTCACCTCCCCTGGTTCCTGGTGCCCTGCTGGCCTCTGACACTCTTATTCTTCCAAGCTGCACTCTCCTTCACAGAAGGTACCTCTTCCTCCAGGAAGCCCTCAAACCAGCACAAGGCTGAACACACAGCTGGAGAAAAGGACAGCATGGGCAGAGGATGCCCTTGGCTCACTGCCCTTCTCACTCCTCCATGGGCCCAGCCTCCCTGGGGGTCCATTTCCCTTCCCTGGAATCAGCCAAGCACTGAGGGCTGGGTCATCTCCCAGCAAGCTCACCCTCTAATAAGCCAGCAGGCCACATTTTGTTCTCCTTAAATAAATCTTATAGAAACATTTAAATGTTTATTTCACTCATAGATTCTCAGGAATGCACAATAGTTTTCCTAACCGCCTGGGCACAGGGATAAATATAGGCCAGTGTCATAGATGGGAATATTAGCTTCCTTTCCCCAGAGTCACATGGCTAGGCCCAGGCTAGGAAACTGTAAGGAACACCCCCAGCCCCAGCTCCAGCCCACTCCAGCTCAGGCAGGCATGGGGGGTTTAGATCCTGTAGATGGGCGCTGGCAGACAGCCCAGGAGAGGAGGACCCTGCTGGAAGGCAATGTGGGCTAGTGAAGAAGTCGGGTAGGCCTAGACCAGAATCCCACCTGGGTGACCTTGGGCAAGTTACTAGTTACTAAACTTCTCTTTCATGGTCTAAAACATTACATAGAGCTAATAATCACTATTCTCTAGGCTTGTTTTAAGTATTAAATGAGAGAAAGCAATAATAATGACGGTGAAAGTGGTGGTGGTGGGTGCGTGCTGTGAGACTGTATCCCCAGATCCCTGTCTTGTAGCCTGGAGGGCAAACAGGGACTGCCTTGGTAGAGAGGAGATCCAGCAGCAAAAGCAGCCAGTGCTCTTACAACAGGATAAAAGGACTCTCTGGGCCGGGCACGGTGGCTCACGCCTGTAATCCCAGCACTTTGGGAGGCCGAGGCATGGCCTCGGTGGATCACAAGGTCAGGAGATCGAGACCATCTTGGCTAACACAGTGAAACCCCGTCTCTACTAAAAATACAAAAGCAAAATTAGCCGGGCATGGTGGCGGGCACCTGTAGTCCCAGCTACTCGGGAAGCTGAGGCGGGAGAATGGCGTGAACCCAGGAGGCGGAGCTTACAGTGAGCCTGATCGTGCCACTGCACTCCTCCAGCCTGGGCGACAGAGTGAGACTCCGTCTCAAAAAAAAAAAAAAAAAAAAAAAGGACTCTCTGGGGACTTGAAAGAAAATGATTATCCCAGCGGCAAGTCCTAGGGGCACAGGAGAGAGCAGAAGTGCCTCTGCTGAGTTCTGCTGGACATGGGGCTCCTCCCTGCCAAGCATAGAGGGCCAGTTCCCTGGCTCCCCAAAGGCTCCCCGGTGTCTTCCCTATAGGCCCTCCCTTGCACCAAGGGCCTGCTCTGCCTCTGGTGGATCCTCTTTCCTGCCATTGTCCATTTATTTCTAGAAGTCAGATATAAAGAACAACTGCCTTGTTCATCACTGTTTTTACTCTCATGCCAACAGACTCTGGGAGTGTGGAAAAGCACACAATATATGTTAGCTTTATTCCAAGGAGAGTAACTCAGCTAGTCGTTCATCCGTCATATCTACTATCCTCCCTTCCTTCCTCCCTTCCTAACACTACTCCACCCTCCATTTCTTCTGCCTTTTAATGCAGTCATTTAGTCATCTAGCCAGCCAATTATCTACCCAACCTATCACAACACAATCAAGCATCCATCCACCTTTCCATCCATCCATCCCTCCCTCCCTCCCTAAGCTCCGACCGCATGCTGGAGCCTATGCTTATGGGTGGAGATACACATGTGAAAGGCACAGTCTGTGGCCCGCAAGTAGCTCACACATAGCCTGATGTGTGGAGACAGAAAAACAAAGAACAGCAATCTGTTTCATTGCTCACAATAGGAACTAAGGGAAAACAATTTTTATATGCATTTCCGACTGTCTGTAACCGTCAACATTTCTAAAACACTTTCTGCCTTGTTTTAGGCACTTCCACGCTAAATTCTCACAGCTCTTACCCTGTGACCAGAACCACTAGAGGCCAGCCTGGTGGAACTGTCCTCTTGAGCTCTTTTTTATAATGATGGAGCATCAAGCACCTGTTTCCCATGCATGGGGCCTCTGGTGTCCTAGCTAGGGCCAGGAAAGGAAGGAAAACCTGGCAGGATGACATCAGTGGGAAACTTGAGTTTGAATCTCTATTTGACCACAGCACAGCTAGGTGATCTTTGACAATTACATAAACTCTCAGAGACTCCATTTCTTCATCTAAAAAATAGAGATAATAATATCTACCTTGGAGGGATTAGACCACATACCAGGTGCCCAGTAGTTGCTACCATTATCTTGTATACCAGATACTAATATTTTATTGATAATTTATTTTAAATTATTTTATTGAAGGCCTTAATTGAGGCTGTTCTTGCAAAGGATGTGATGAGATAAGTAGAAATGAACTCAGAGAAGATGAATTCAAAATCCTCGATGGGAGCATCCAAGTACTTCCTGGTTTCTGGTGAGTATAGTGCCCTTACCTGCCTGTTTTCTCATCTATAAAGTGGGATAGCCATCATGCCTGTGTCTTGGAGTTGTCGTGAGGTTGCTATGTGTAAAGTGCCTAGAGCAGTGCCTGGCACATGGGAGGTACCGTATGAGGGTTCTCACTGGGGAAGCTGGGGGGCAGGGGGATCCCTACTCTACACAGTCCTTACCAGGTTCCAAGTGTTTTACATGCTTTATCTGGTTCCTCTTCATCTCATTCCTGACAGATAATTGATCCTTTGGGTCACACACCTTTTCTCTAGTCGGGCAGCACACGGTTCCCAAGGAGTTTCCAGGGAGGTACAGGCAGAACCTCTCTGTTGGCCAGTGAGGACAGGGCTTGAACAGCCAAAAGGAGTCAAATGGATAGAGAAGCTGGCAATCTGCCTTCAGCAGTAAAGTATATGGCTAAACTCGAGATATTCCCATAGACAGCGCAGAACAAGTCTCCTCCAGGTCCTGATGGGAGAAGGCCGTGGGAGAACACAAGAGCAAATTGGATCTGACAGAACTGGCATTTGGTAGTAAATCTACCAGGAAGTGAGCTTCCTGAGAGCAGGACCTTAGTTAGTTAATGCTCAATAAACATTTATTGAGCAAATTCAATAAACATTGACTGAGTAAATGTACTTCAATTCCTCGATTCCATATTTATTGAGTGCCTACCATGTGTATGTGAATAATCATCCCTTGCCTCTGTGCTCAAACTCTATTGCATATAATGGGGTATTTTTGGAATAGAAATAGGAAAACAATTAATTATAGCCCATTTCCTCAGCTTACAACCATGAGACAGTGGAATCCGGGCCTTGCTATTTCCCTATTATGTGATTTTCAGCAACTGGCTTAACCTTTCCAAGCCTCAGTATCCTGATCTGTGAAATGTGCATAGTCATCACTACCATGTACGACTGCGTTCTGAAGGTTAAATGCTAGAAAACACTAGGAACCTGTGTGTTAGTTTCTTTCCCTTCATCTGGATAAGATACCTAACTGCTCTAAATTCGCACTTTCATGGGGGTGACTCTCTCTGCTCTGTCTACCTCACAGTGGTTTTGCACTTGCAATGTCATTGCACTTGCAGTGACACATGTGGAAACTTTTTGCAAACCGTTTTGTGCTATAGGGACTGAGCGCCTATTGTGAGCTAAGTACTTTGCTCATCACTTTATATATATTATTCCAGTAATTAAAGTCAAGCTGCCTGGGTTTGAATTTAGCCTCAACCACTTCCTTAGCTATGTCACCCACTGCACATTACTTTTCTGTGCTTAAATTCTTTATCTGTTACTGGAAATACTAATAGTTTTCCCAGGAGTATTGCGAGAATTAAATGAGATAATGTAACATATAAAACAAGCCTAATATGGTACCTGGCACATAGTAAGTTCTCCATAAAGGTTAGCTGTTGTTAGTGGCTATTCCTATAACTCTTAGTTTCTAGATGAGGAAACTGGGGCAAGGAATAATGAGGAATCACTTATCCAAGGTAGCAGTCAAGGATGTGAAGCCCAAGTTCTTCCTGCTCTGCCATGCTGCTTATACCTTACATTTCTATGAGCCTTTCCTGTACCTTCTGGAACTCCCTGGCTGCTTGGTCATCCTCCTCTTCTTAAAGGACAGACAGGTTGGCTCTGAGCCCAGCCCACTGACTGAGGGTGTAAGCCAGGATAGGCCTCCTACAACCCTTGTCCACTGTTTTTACTCTCATGCCAACAGACTTTGGGAGTGTGGAAAAACACAGTATGTGTTAGCTTTATTCCAAGGAGAGTAACTCAGCTAGTCATTCATCCATCATATCTACTATCCTCCCTTCCTTCCTCCCTTCCTAACATTAGCCCTCCCTCCATTTCTTCTGCCCTTTAGTGCAGTCATTTAATCATCTAGCCAGCCAATTATCTACCCAACCCCAGATTTGTTATGGTGGCACTTACATCAGTCCCTATTTCTGAGCCAAAACAGGAGGAAGGCCAGCACCTCCATAGCCAGAGGTTCTAGGTGCTCCACAAGCAGATCCCTTCCTATAAGGGCCACACAAACAAGACTGCTTCTCCAGAGCACACTCCAACCACATCTCAGTTACTTAAAAGTTACGGGAGGGGAGGGGTGCAGATGCCACTCATCAGTGGAGTGCTGCAGTGACCTTAAGTCACAAGAGCTACTGCGTAACAGGGCTGAGCATCCATGTCTGCCTAGAGCATCAACGAATGAAACACAAAGTGGATGCTCGGAGAGACCCAGAGTGCCTCATGCATGTGGCCTAAACCAGGCAATAGCATGGTGGCCTGTGTTTCTAGGAGTTAATGTGCCCTTCCCCTTCCTCAATGTGTCCATGTCCCTTCCTCATTCTCCTTCAGCTAAGCAATCAGACAGCCCACTCAAGTTAAAGTTGGGCTGTTTGATTACCTGACTGAAGGAGAATGAGGAAGGGGCATAGACAGGCATGTGACATGCAGCTTTGGTTGCTGGCCCCACGAGCTTGTGCTCCTGAGGGGCTGGCAGGCAGAAGGGGTTTGGTGGTGCTTTGGCATTCCCCTGACAGCGAGCTCTGAAGTTGGCCCTTCTGAGGTGAGTGGCTTTGGGAACACAGGACAACGTACTGTTGGCCCAGGTCCCAGAGCTCTCACTGAGGACCCAGGGGCAGTAACAGTGCTCAGTGCGGGTATGGACTAAGCATGGGCTTTGGGGTCAGGCTGCCTGGGCCCAGATCCTGGGCCTGCCACTTATGAGCTGTATGACCTTGGAGGAAGGTAGTTAATTTCTTTGTGCCTCAGTTTCCTCAGCTATGAAATGGGAATGATAATACCTACCGTAAGGCTAATTATATGTTAAATGAGTTAATATGGTAGACGAGTATCTGGCACAGGGTTAGCTATTATTATTAAGTGGCTTTGTGTGCAGCGGAGGTAGGGGAACAGGGGAGGTGGTAGCTGGGTGCTGGAATGGGTGATATGAAGAGGTGAAGTCTGCTTATGAGTTCACACTGACCTGCCCCTGGGGGCTTCTAAAACCCTTTGGAGGAGGATGGGAGTTGTTCAGGTGGAAGCTAGAGCCGGTGAAAATTGGGCTCTTACAGCTAACATGAGCCTCTTTGTACCCTCAGGTTTACAAGGCACTTCAGAGGATGCTGCACTGTCTGGGTGAGTCAGCTTCCTACTGTGGCTGCTGGTCACAGTCCAGGAACTCATCTAGGCCTAGGTAAGATTGCATCTGGAGCCTGGGGCCAGGTCTGGGGCCCTACAGTAAGGCGGAGATGGGCTGGTATGTGTCCTGAGCGGAGGTTAGGAAGGCTCTGAACACTGTCATGGGAGCAAAGACTGAAGAAACTAGAGAAAAAGAGACTCTGAGAAGACTCAGAACTGCCTTTCTGCATCTGTAGGATTTCACCCCACTATAGGTTGTATGGAGGGCAGAACCGAGGGAGAGTCTTGGGGGAGGCAGATTCCAGCCTGACCAGGACAGAGCTGGCCAACCAGTGCACAGGCTTCCTTGGGAGGCGGTGAGCTTTTCATTATAGAAATATTCCTACAGATTCCTACCCTGGGCCCGGTGGCTCACGCCTGTAATCCCAGCACTTTGGGAGGCCGAGGTGGGCAGATCACTTGAGGCCAGGAGTTTGAGACCAGCCTGGCCAACACGGCGAAACCCCATATCTACTAAAAATACAAAAATTAGCCAGGCGTGGTGGTGCAGGCCTGTAGTCCCGGCTATTCGGGAGGCTGAGGCACAAGAATCATTTGAACCTGGGAGACAGAGGTTGCAGTGAGCTGAGATCACACCAATGCACTCCAGCCTGGGTGACAAAGCAAGACTCTGTCTCAAAAATACAAAGATATATTCCTACAGATTCCTAAGACCTACCTCAAGAGATTCCAATTCAGTAGGTCTTGGATGGCTGAGGAATCTGGTGTTCAAAAAATTCCCAGGGTGACTGAGTGGGGCTCACGTTATAGAGAGCTTTGCCTGCCTGGGCGGAGCTTAGATGTGACCTGGGATTCTTCTAGCACTGGCAGTCTGTCATTCTGTGGTCCCCTCAGGTCCCAGGCTTGTGTTCTGACAGCTTCTATTCCTGCTAGAACCCCTTGGCTACAAACTCTTCCCTTTGAGTCTCTCCCTGTTCAAGGGCCAATGCAGAAAACCCCACTCAGGACATAGCCTTACAAAGTGCATTGTTGGGGGGCTTTTTGTGGTATTTGATTGCAGCTTCTGATTAAGGACCTGAAGAGTACGTCTGTCTGTGCATGCCTGTGTATCTGCGTGTGTGTCTGTGTGTGTGTATGCGTGTGTACGTGCAGAAAGAGAAACAGGATCTAGTCCTACAGATTTTGTGTTTGTGTGTGAGAAGGCCTCGGCTAGTGCTCATGCCAGTGATGGGAAATAGGGGCTGGGACCTGAGGAATCACAACTAGGGCTGGACCCCGGGGAGCTGTAAACTTAGAAGGATGCTCTGTTCTTTGCCTGCTTCACAGACTGGGAATTCAGGCAGGATTGGGACTTCCAGCCGAGTCATCCTGGCCAACCCCGCTTCCTTGGCTGCCTGGCCTCGGATGCTCCCAGGGACTCAGGTTCCAGCCCCCTGAAGGCTCCAGGCCAGCTCCTGAGGCCTGACCCTCCCGAGGCCGTGACTACCTGAGAAACCCAATGTGGGTGGTCTGGTGGGTGCAATAGTGGGAGAAGCACTTTACTCACCATGCCTGGTTGCCTTCTGAAAAGCTTTGAAATGTCCAGGGCGTGGCAGTAAGGGAAGAGGGTAAAAGAAAGTTGAGTTTGATGTGGCCTTTGGTTGGGGGGGTCTGAACTGCCCCAGCTTCATGGTCCCTCAGGCTATAGAAGGCACTTGAGGGCTGGGCTGAACAGGCAGAGTCTAGGAGGCAGCAACTAACCCTTGTACTGGGTAACACATAAGAAACCAGCAGCACAGCAAAGTTAACAGACTTGGTCTCAAAGTTTCTTGGCCAAGACAAGGTCTCTTGACCAGAATGTAGAGGAGCTGGGATTGAAGCCCAGCTTGGTATGACTGCACAGTTTACATTCTTAAATCCTGTGCTAGGTATCCTCCCTGATAGGACCTGGGCTTCTCGGCTCCCGGCTCCCCTGAATTCCTGCTGGCCTTCCTAACCATCACAGCTTCAAAATGCATATAGGTACAGTGCCATTAGGTTGGCATGATGAATTTCTAGAGGTTGCCACAATGGGGGGAGGGTTCCATGAGCTTGCCTGCCACAAAGTTGAGAGTAAGCGATCCCTGATTGGCTAGTGGGAGCTCCAAATTCCAGTTCCCCACAAGTTCAGTCTCCCTGTGACCCTGAGCCAGAACCAGACTCTTATTAAATAACGGATGGTCTCTGAAGGCCCTTCAAGTGCCATGATTCTCTCTGTGCCCATGGGAAATCAAGACTATAGAGAGAATGTTTGCAGGTACTGATAGCTTCTGCATTATTGGGGCCCAGCAGAAGGACCCATGAGGGAAGAATGCATGAGTGAACATTATTTTTACAAATGGGTAGATTCTTAGTGAATATTCTCATGTTATGATTACATTTGTTTTCTTACACATTACAACTCTGGGAACTTAAGTAACAAACACTTTAAAAAGAATGGCCCTTTGGATCTCCATATCCCAAACCCATGGGATCAAGATGTTGTAGAACTTGGCAGTCTTGTGGGTGGGGAGATGCCCTTCCCTTGAATGTCTAAGTGACAGGTGTCTATGTTGTCTTGTTTTATGTTTCCTGAGGATATACTCTGAAAGAACTTTTAATTATAAAGCATTGTAAGCAGGAAGAATTTAATATAAAAGCCTGTCTTCACTGACAGCAGGGGTGCATCTTTGCTGATCTTTTATTATCTTATATTTTAGGAATGCTTTTAGTCTTGGGGCAGCTGTTTGGGGGAGTTGCCCAGGATTTAAGAGCTACATTTTGCCTGAGAATCTGATTCAAGGGTACTACCATTGTTAGTAAAGTAGAAGGGGCCAGGGATGGCCATTTTCAGAGGAGTCCAGGGCGAGGAAATAGGGATGCTAAGGAGACAGAGGCCAAGAAAGTCATGGCCTGAGGGTCTGGAAGCAGTCGCATTTGAATGCAGTTGTGAGTGTTTTGTCTCTCCTTTCCTTAATCCCCAAGCTTTTGGAACTTGGCACCCTCAGCAGCAGGACCCACTATTTCCCAGAATGGGGGCCTGGACTTGATAAAACCCTGGGCTGGGCTGCCTGAGGCTGAAGGGCTAGGGGGTTGGCCCACTGTCACTTAGACATTCAAGGGAAGGACAACCCCCTCACCCCTAAGGCTGCCAAGTTCTGCAACATCTTAATCCGATGAGCTTGGGATATGCAGATACAAAGGGCCATTCTTTTCTAAGTGTTTACTATCTAAGTTCCCAGAGTCGTAATGTGTCAGAAAACAAATGCCATCATAACATGAAAATACTCACTAAGAATCTGCCCTTTTGTAAAAATAATGCTCCACTTATAGATTCTTCCCTCACTTAAAAAGCGTCTATCCCACCTGGCTCAGGTCAGTTTGGATGACTGTCCGATATAACAGGACAATACCATTTCAATGCAAATCAACTGCAAAGTTCATGAAGTCAAAGAAAACAGTGATGGAGAATTTTACATGCAAGGTCTTTGACCAAGGAGATCAGATAGAGCTTATCAATTAAGTGAAGAAAATACGACGAGGATGATGCTCAAATAGGTTCTTCAAAAGGGAATAATTTGAATATCGAGGGACTGAAAGAGATCCTTGGGGAAATGGATGAAGCCCTTAAGTATTAAACAGACGTAGACTCTTAATTAGGTGCTGTAAAGTAAAATGTGAAGAGCGAGTTACTATGTGAACAGATCACTTTGCTGGTATAATAAATAAATATACCCACACCAAAATCAACATTTTATTCTTTCTTCAATCTGAAAATTAGCACATAACCTATATTTTGTAATCTGTATAGCTAAAAATAGCTTGTTTTGAATGCCTCATTTGTACAATAAAAATCTTGATGTCTCTTTAAATTAATCTGCTTTCATCATTTCCTTTCTATAATAAAATTTCACTGAAAACCTTTTTTGCTATTTACTATACAATTTTGATCTCCATTTTAAGTGGATTCACTTTAAGTGGCCTTTTCTCGTGCCCACTCACCTGACATAAGAGGTTCTCAGTGCTAATGGTTCTCATATAAGTCCTTCTCCGGTTTCAGAGGGAGCCTGCATGGTTTGTGGTTTGACTTCTGAGGCCTCAGTCAGACACAGCCTAGATGGTTGGTTCTATACCCAGAATATTTGGGGCCTCGGTCAATTCAAACCAACTCAGAGTAATTGATTCCTCAGTATGGAAGCCACACACCTTCTCCAGGTACCCACTGCAACCTACATGAGCTGTCAGCAAACCCTCTGGCCAGCCTAAAAGCTGTGGCCTCAGCCCAGGGTGCTTGGCTTGGCCCCCAGCCAGGCTAGCTGAGGGCAGGGAGGGGGCACTTACTTGGCCGGCAGGGCTCTGGGCTGCCTGTGGCTCTCCGGGGGGCTCCTCGTCCTCGGGAATGTGGGGCATGGCAGCCTCCTGCTGGGAGTGGCCACGTGTGCCCGGAACCTCCGCTGCGTCAGCCCCAAAGATGCTCCAAGAGGCCTGGGCTCCACAGGCTGGGGAGATGCCAAAAGGACAAGTCAAATCCATTCCCATCCCTGTCCCAAGCTGGGTTCCATTTCCCGGAGCCACAAGCCACAGTGAGAGCCGGCTTGAGTTTGCATCAACACCGGAGGTCAAACCAGGCTAGGAGAGGGCATTTGGAATTTCATTTCCTCCGGCTCTCTGGCTTTGTTTACAAAGTCAGAGGTGACCTTAGAGATTTTGCATCTAATTTGGTCTTTACAGTAAACACAGCTATCCCAGAAGGGAGAAATGTGCTTCGAACTCCTCAAAGCTGTAGCTAATGGAAGATACTCCATTGAGATCACATTGGCAGTTGTTTACCACTTACTGAGCACCTACTGGGTGCCAGGCCCTGTCCTAGGAGCATCACCATCATCTGATTGAATCCTCAAGATGACCTCTGATGTAGGCATTAATATTCCCATTTTACAGATGAGAGAACCGCCCCAGAGAGTGAAAGTCACTTGCCCCAAATCATACAGAGAACCAATAATTTGAACCCAGATCTTCCTGATTTTGAGGCTGGGGCTTTTTCTGCTATACTACACAGTGTTCCTCAGCCATGTGGATGGGGAGTAAGAGGTGCTGTTTCCTGACTTCCTCCCTGACACCTCCCCTCATGCTCTTCTGACCCTCAGCACAGGCTCTCTCATTTGAGTTCAGCCCTTATGGGGACTACACCAGCCCTACTAAAACCTGGGGGCTCAGGCAGGGTGAATTCCATGTGCCCTGTGCCCACCCCTGGCAACCTTAGATTGACTCCCAGAAGCCAGGCTATCCCTTCCCCATGGTGCAGCAGCCTGGGGGCACTGGGGTCCCAGTGCTGATTGGGACTGCAATCAGCATAATCTCATCCACCTCCCACAGTGACTGGCTCAGGGATAGACAATGGACCCAGCCTACATCGATGAGCTTAAAGTGGTGTTCTAGGACCAGATGCTTTCTCCTGCTCTGAGTGGTGGAGTGTGAAGATATGAGACCTGGTGCTACGGACACTATTTTGCTTCCATGAGGAAAGCCAGACAGAATCTAAATGATACACACAGAGGAGGGCAGAGCGAAGGGACCTGCAGAGAAACAGAACTGGAGCCCTGATTAAAGTGTGCCTGAAGCCTGAACACTTTCTGGACTAGCTGGTTACATGAACAATTAAGCCTCTTGGTGTTGAAATCACTTTGTGTTGGGTTTTTGTTCCTTGTAACTGAAAACATGCTCCACTACTCTTTCGTGCTTCTTGTCTGTCAAGATGCCTAGGAGTATGATCCTGCCAACAGACCTGAGCCAATGGGTCTAGCTCCTCTGCTTCCTCTTAGAAGAGGAGACTAGCAATGCCAGGTTTCCATAGGGAAAGGCAGGATAGCAATGTAGAAAGAACACAGGCTTTGGAACCAGATATCTCGGTGTGAGTCCTCACTTTGCCACTCACTGGCTATGTGGCCTTGGAAAGTAGGCTTCATCTCTGAGTCCCAGTTTTCTTGTCAAAACAGATAAGAATGCCTCCCAAGCAGGATGCTCCAAGGATGAAACACACTCAGTTCACAGTAGTTCCCACAGAGGCCACCTGCACGGGGGTCTGCAGCCCAGGAAGCTTGGCCGAAGCTCCAAGGGCTCTGCCTGGCCTCTCCCCATCCTTAAACTCCCTCCTTCTTTTATTAGTGGGGTGGGCAATACCTTCAGGAATCTATAGAACTAACAACTGGCCTGGTTCTGCAACTTTTAGAGATTCCCTGAAGGAGCTGCTCCACTGCACAGTAGATTAAGACCACCATGCAGATAACATAGTGAGGTGACCTTTGGCTGATGGGACATGGTGGGTGGGGGTGGAGATGAAGGACACTGTCATTTACTGAGCACCAACTGTGTTCCAGGTCCTCTGGAAGGTACTGCTGACTGCTGGAGGCTGTAGGAGGAAGAACCGGAAAGCCCTGCCACCTCCCATAATACTTGGTGTTCTTCCTGTCCTTCAGAAAGGGCTCGGAAAGCCCCTAGAGTCAGGGCACTGGAGAAAAGGCCTGAGCTGCCATCAGCCCAGCTCTGACAGACCCCCCAGCCAACACACATACCTCTAGACTCCTGGACTGAGCTCCTTGAGCTAGGCAAGGTGTCAGATTCATCCTAGGTACCCAAAAGATTCAGCAAAGAATGATTGTTGATTTATGTTTAAAGAACTAGGGACTTTTAGCCCCAGGATTGGTCAAGGTGACCACCATCTTGATTGCTGTCTTTCTCTGCAATGAACAAGTTAGCCCACACAGCTCTGGAACAGTTAGGGTGACCCCTACTGGTCACCTCAAGAAATCTCAAGTAGACCATCCATAGAGTCATTCATTCTTTCACTGCCAAAATTTTACACCTACTCTACCAGGCCTGTGCAAGGGGCTGGTGACATAAAGATAATCTTGGCCTTCAAGGAACATAGAGCCCAGTGGTAGGAGACGCTGGAGAACAGTATAATGGGGTAAATATTTTGAAAGTGAGAAGTTGCAGGACCCCAGAAAAGGGTTACCTGTGGGAACTGGGATGGTGGGACATGATTTTAGCAAATATTTCACATTACAAATGTTTGAGCTGAGCCGTGAACACAAATGCTGAGTGGAATTTCTTGGAACAGATTAGCTGGGTGTCTAGTGGGGAAGATAAGACAGGATGGGGAGAAGCCACATTGGACAGACTTCACCTGGCTCTTGGGAATGAGAACTACGGGGCCAGGGCATGCTGTCTGTGTCTTCCATGCCAAATTCTTACTGTATGAATAAACTGAGCATCAGGTTCACCCAAAGGTGAGCTCTGTGATTAATTTCTATCATCTTTACTTGGATTTCAGCAGCAGTGGCATCAGTGGTGCTGGGTAAAGTATTTGGTAACAGGGGTTGAGGGTAGCAAAAGACTAGCCACAAACCCTGATTCTACTAAAGGAAGTTGGCTACATCTCATAGGAAACCTTTTAAAATTATGTGTGACGTATGTACAGGTCCAGGCTGTCTTAACAGGGGCATGGTTTCTAAAACATGGGAGGTGACTATTCCACTTTTCTTTTGTCTTAATCTACACAAAGTATATTGTGCTCTGCCTGTTAAGAAGGATTTAGACAAATTGGGACATGTTTTGAACCTGGGAAGCAGGAAGCAAGGAGAACAAAAATTTGTGTTTAAAGAACTAGAGAACTTTAGCCCGGAGAAGAGGAAGTGCAGGGAGAAATAAAAATCTCTTCTCAGATGTTTGGAAAGCATTCATGTGGTTTTACTGTTCCCAAAGAATAGATGTCATAACTAATGACTGAAAGGTCAGATGAAGGCAAGGGACGACCTTCTAGTGGTTGGAACCACCTGAAGATGAAACAGGCTGTTCTTTAAGGTAGTGAGTCCCCATTCCTTGGAGCGTTCTCGTAAAGCCTGGGACAAGGGTCACAGGATTCCTAACCACTTCAGGGGCCTTTTCTAACCCTGGGAGTCCCTGAAATCCTGGACTCTTTTTAGCTACAACAAACTGAAAGACCTGACGATTCCATCCCAGGACTCTGGGATTATGGTCTGAAGTCTCATGAGAAATACCTCATTTTTTAACCCTCTACTTTCTTCCTCCACCTCCCTCTCTTCCAAAAAGAGCTTAAGTCAGTCCCTGTGACAGAAAGCAGAATAGAACAAATGAGTTAAGTCAGATGTCAGCTGCCACAACATAAAAGTAGAGTGGATGCTTGCTGAGGCCCCACTCTTGACAAGATGGAACCCCAGGCTCCTCAGGGGAGCCCCAGCAGCCCTGCCTGCAGGGGCCATTCCCACGCTGCTCCTGCCCTGTTTGCTGTCTCTCCCATCCATTATTATAAACTCGCTGCTTAAAATAGCAAGGTAAAAGGAGAGTCCCTGCCCCAGGGTGACATCTGGGTTCTGCTGGAGCTTGTGGGCACACGGACCTCACATCCATCACTGCAAAGTTTAGAATATAATCTCCAGGAAGTGCTGATCTAGAGCACCAACCCATAAAAGGAAAAAATATTTAGTAATGTTTGGTCTCCAAGCTGTTCCTTCTTTAACCCATTTTCAGGGCCCTTCTTGCTGCCTCTCCAGTCTGGTTCGGAAAGGGTTAGGTAGGCCAGTGCCAAGAGCTAATCAGCTTTTATGACTCTACTCATTCTGCCTCCAGCTAGTGCCTAACTAGAACCTGGCCCATTTTACAGGCCGGGAAACTGAGGTGCAGAAACGGAAACAACTTGACTGGTTCAGCTACCCTTGTATCTGGTGCAAATCTTCCAAGAGACTCTGCTGGGATAACTATCCAGTAATTTGTGCAACTGAAGAGGCTAGAAGTTCCTAAACCATATTTAAATATTTTATCTGCCCCTGCTCATGAAAGAAAACAAACTAATATGCTTTTGTTCATGCTTTCATTCTTCAGCTACTTCTAAGTCGCCTACTGAGCATCGGACACTATGCTAAATGTATTTCAAGTGCTATTTTCTTTAACCCCCATGAGATAGGTTTTATTATTTCCATTTAATATATTAAGGATCTAGGGCTCAGAGAGGTTCCGCAACCTGCTCAAGATCACACAGCTAGTAAGTAGCTGGTGAAGGGCTATAATCCAGGCTAGTCTGACTCCTAGGCCCGCCATCTTTCCTCTCTTCCACTCTGGCTTCTTCACCAGGAGTTCTGCTTGAGTGTGGCAGAAAAGACTAGCACGGGGGCCCTGCCTCCCAGGGGAGGGCTGGAGTGAGTACTCCCAGTGAGGCTAAGGATGGTGGGAGGCAGAGGGGAGGAAACAGGACCTACACTTCGGTTGTCGGGCCGGGGTCTTATGAGGGCTAAAGAGTGGCCTACAGTTGAGCCTGCATGTCCTCTGGTAGGTGGTAGCAGCAGGTGGAGGACGCGGAGGCCGGCCCTGCCTTGTAGGCTTCAAAGGCCTTACTGTATCCCAGAAAGTATAGAGCCATCATCGGGACGCACGGTTCAGGAACAGAATTTACAGAGACTATCTCTTTCAGTGCTGTCAGCAGCCCTGTGAGATGGGGAGAGTAAGTACTATTATTATTAACATTAAAGTTAGACCCATGTTACAGATGAGGAAACAGAGGCCCAGAGACTTGCCCAATGTCATCGCTCATGAATGGCAGTGCTGGGAATTCACCGAATCTGGGTCTGATGCTCCCCTTCCTTGCAGGGCCAAGCCTGTTCTCGGCAGGCAGCAGCAGCCTCTCATCATGGCGCCAAAGATGCCTCTCCCAGAGCCTTGCAACCTGCCTAGGAGAGACCAAACTCCTCTCTGAAACCACAGTATCCCAGGAGCACAGCCCGTAAGCTAAGCGGCTCTCAGATTCTCTCTGTGAATCTTTGAGCATTGAGGGAAGAGCCAAGAAGCCCTTTCGGGAAACCATGGGTTAACCTAGCCTCCACTGACCTTTCTGGAGTGACTCAGTATTCTCAGAAGGGAGTTTTTTTGTTCTTCCAGCTTTGAATTTTTGCTTTCATTTTAGCAGCACAAAGAATGTGAAAGAGATTAGGTTGCTATTAATACCACGGGTCTATCTCTAGATGGACAACTGATGGGGGGAATTGTTGGGGGTGACTGCACGTGGAGCTCTCTTAGCCCTTCTGCAAATCCAGAGGGTGATGGAGGGACACTGAGAACTCACCAGTCTTACCCCTGCACCCATTTTTACCAATGGGGAACCGAGGCCCAGAGGGGCAGGCATGTGACCAAGGCCACATCTATGAGTGAGGGGCAGAGTCAGAAAAGTCCCCAGAGCACCCATGCCCCGAGCCCGGCTGCATGTGGCAGCTTTCTGACTTTTCATTTTGACGGTTTTGCTCATAGTAAAGGGTAAGCCATTGTGTCTGTGCTGTGAAAGCAGGCGTCCTTCGGCAGTGACTCGTCATTGTTCTTGCTCTCATGCTCTCATGGTCACTCTCGCAGGAGAGAGGATGCTCCCCACAGGAGATCTGCTGAAAGTGCTGGGAGGTGCCTCTGGGGGTCCCCTGGGCCTGGCCAACTGCAGAGCTGGGTTCCGCGACTCCACAAGTGAGCCGGATGGGAAGCCTGCCTTGGGAAAGCCCCATCCTGCTTCCTAACCTTGGCCTGCTCACGGGGCTTTGTTGCTTGGCAGATTCCGTTCTAATCCTTCCTCTGCCTCTCCCTTGCTGGATAAATCTCCCCTGGCCTCAGTTCCCTCATTTGAAAATGGAGGTAATAGCACCCACCTTTTAGCGTTGTTGTAACGATTAAATCAGGAAATACATGCAAGGTGCTGGTACATAGAGTCCACTCAGTGCCCTCGCCATTCTCCAAACAGGGCAGCTGAGTTCTCTAAGCATGCACAGCATCAACAAAACCAAGCCAAGGCTCAGAGAGACTCTGGTGTTCATCCTAGTGGCTCAGAGCTCCCAGATTTGTCTCCTGCAAGTAAAAGAGACTCAGTCCTGGTCTTTGCTGTGGACAGTCCCAGGTCTGTGCTGGGCTTGCCCCATGTCTGTGCTGTGCTCAGTCCCAGGTCCGTGCTGTGGTCAGTCCCAGGTCTGTGCTGTGGTCAGTCCCAGGTCAGTGCTGTGGTCAGTCCCAGGTCCGTGCTGTGGTCAGTCCCAGGTCCGTGCTGTGCTTGCCCCGTGTCTGTGCTGTGCTCAGTCCTAGGTCTGTGCTGTGGTTACCCCATGTCTGTGCTGTGCTCACCCCATGTCTGTGCCGTGCTCAGTCCTAGGTCTGTGCTGTGGTTACCCCATGTCTGTGCTGTGCTCACCCCATGTCTGTGCTGTGCTCAGTCCCAGGTCTGTGCTATGGCTGCCCAAGGTCTGTGCTGTGGCTGCCCAACGTCTGTGCTGTGCTCAGTCCCAGGTCTGTGCTGTGCTTGCCCCAGATCTGTGCTGTGCTTAGTCCCAGGTCTGGGCTGTGCTCAGTCCCAGGTTGGTCTGGTTTCAAAGCCCCAGTTCTTTCCACTATCCCTGTACTCATGATGACTCCCCCAAAACAGAGGTTTTTGTTCCACAGGTGAGACATGAGGCCTAGTGTGGAATCCCTCCTGGAAGAGAGCCAGCCACAGTGTCTGGCCAAGTAGGTATTTGTGCTGTGCTGAACAAGTGGGTAAGTGAGTGACTGAAGGGGGTACAGCCACCCCCCAGTGTGTGGTGGAAGCCCCAGGATTCTCTCCTGAAAGTGGATCTAGATTGAAGGGAATTGTGCAGGAGCAGGAATGGTGAAGGGCGGAGATGCAGGGAGAAAGCCTCGGTGGCAACAGAAAAGGGAGGATGAGGAAGTGGAAGTCACTTCCCCCAAGACTGTGTCCCCTAAACAAAGTCACGTTTCGGGAGGCTGGCCCTGAGAACCCCGACAATCCTGGGGTTTGCACCTCTGTGGGAAACCTTCTTAGGGCCCGATTTTCTCCAGCCCTGCTCTCCGCTCCTGTGGAGCTCGTATAGGCTTTGTTGGCTGGGGGTGCCCTGGGAAGGAGCCAGCACCTGCTCAGACCAATGACAGGAAATAAGCCTAAACATCTCCCCAGGTTTCCTTTCCAGCTTGTTCACTTCAGGAATTCTTTTTTTAAAAATAGGTCCACTTGAAAAAATTTTTTCTTCTTCAAAATATGTACAATTGCTCAATCGGAGGCAGTTCAAAGGCACCGAGAATAGCAGCAAAGTATCTGAGCCTCCCATTTAGCGCCTAGCAGATATAAATCTTGCCCAGTTCTGTTTGTTCCAGGCTGCTCAGCAGCCTCTTCCCTGAGTCACTCACTCAAGAGTGACATGAGTCATCATCCTGGGGTCAAGGACCACACGGCATTCTGGGTCTGTGAGATCCCATAAAGGGCAGGGCACCGAGGGGTCTCCAGGAAGACATGGAGGATCAGGAACTGTCTCCTAGGCCCTAGGCTTGGCTCTGCCTCCCCACATGGGTGACTTTAGAGAGTCACTAAGCCTGAGAAGTAGGTGGATTTCTGGGCCCTTCTAACTTGTACTTTGGAGGAATCTCTTTAGTGGTGCACAGGAGCCTGCTTGTTCCAGCTCATAAGAGTCTAATGTAATTTTCAAGAATTCTGTGAACTGGTGGTTAAACACAGACATTATTAAAAAATAAATTACATGAACTCACATTAAACAAAAAGGAGATAAATACTCAAAATAACTGCTTTTTAATTATTTTACTACATTTTACTATTATCTATGCTCTTCTGAAGATTTATTTCTATTGTCTCTGCATAGCGGAAACTATATAATGATTTGCTACTGCCCATCTCTTCTCAGTTCCATGATCAGTGAGGGTGAGTTAGTAGCTTGCCATTGGTCATAGTGGGAGTATCTATACCATGGAAATTGGCAAACACTATGTACATATCAGGGCCTTTTCCCCCCAGAGAGCTGGCCGTGGAACATTGCCAGCACACCACTGAGCTACTCAGCCCCAGGCTCCCTGATTCTTGCTCCTACCAGGGTGCAGAAGGAACACAGATGACTTTAGTATCACCCCAAGATAGCACAGTTATGGAGACTTCATTGCCAATTGTCTTTGGACAACTTTTCCCAAGTGGACTATGAATCCCTTATCCTCAACACATCCCTGACAGAGCTCATTGTTTCTTTCCCTCCCCAGCCCACTCCTCCTGTGCCCCAGAGAATGGCACTCAAGCTACAAACCTAGAAGTCACCGTGACTCCTTCATTTCTGTCACCCTCCACATTCAATTAGATGACTCTGAGTCCCATCAATCCTAGTTCAGAAATGCCCTTCCTCCCATCCCTGGCACCCCTGCCCATGGCTCTGTGTGACCTGAGTCACTGCAACAGCCTCATTTGTCTCCTTACCTCTGGCCTGGTCCCTTCCAATGACCCTCCATAATGATACCAGAGCAGTCTGTCTGAAACACAAATTGGATCATCCTTCCCCTTCATAAACTCCTTGAGGATTGATTCCCTTTTACCATGGGGGGGCCAGTTCTGAGTCAAGCTCCTAGCCCCTCTCTCGAGGCTGATCCCCTCTTTCAACCTTTGTACACCTTATGCCCCAACCACAGTGGACCAAAAGCCAACCTCCAAACATGCCCTGCTTTTTTACACCCTTTGCATACATCCTCCTCCTTATACTTGGGCTGCCTTCTGTCCTCCTTCTATACTTTATGGGTTCCTACTTGTCCTCCAAGACCCAGTTCACATATCTCCTCCTTCATAAACCCATTCCTCCTCTTCACCTCAGGAAAAGTTACTCCCTTCCTGTAGTAGTTTCCTACTGCGTCTGTACCAAATTTCCACATATTTGGTGGCTTAAAACTGCACAAATT
Organism: Homo sapiens; assembly: GCF_000001405.40. NCBI lineage: Eukaryota > Metazoa > Chordata > Mammalia > Primates > Hominidae > Homo > Homo sapiens. Next base: position 10,661,445 of record NC_000011.10, read on the forward strand.
CATTATCTTACAATTCTTGAGGTCAGAAGTTCAAAATCCATCTCAGCAGGCTAAAGTCTAAGCATCAGCAGGGCTGTGCTTCTTCAGGAGGCTCTAGGGGAGAATCCATTTCCTGCCATTTCCAGCTTTAGAGGCTGCCTACATTCGTTGGCTGGTGACCCTTTTTTCTCCATCCTCAAAGCCAGCAGAGTCGCTGGCATCTTTTCTCCCCTCTGATCTCTGCTTCCCCCTTCACATTTCCTTCTCCTCTGACTTTCACCGTCCTGCCTCCTTATAAGAACTCATGATTACATTGAACCCGCTCAGTTAATCCAGGGTAATCTCCATCTAAGTATTCCCAATTTAATCATATCTGCAAAGGCCCTTTTGCCATTTAAGGTAACATCTTCATAGGTTCCTGGGTTAGGATGTAGACATCTTGGGGAGGGGGGAGTATTCAGCCTACTGCCCTATCCTCCCAGGGTACTTTGCCCAGAACTCAACCCAACTAGAATTTGAACATCTCAAGAGCAGAGACTCTGCCTTATTCATAGCTTTATGAATATTCTTATAATATTCATATTTTTATGACCTGCCTCCAGTACAGGGTCAAACACAGAATAGGCATTCACTAAATGTTTATTGAGTTAATAAATGAATGACACCGTATTTCTAAAAAGCAGAGAAGAAGGTTTTACATAGGCTGGGTGCAGTTGCCCATGCCTGTAATCCCAGGGCTTTGGGAGATCAAGGCGGGTGGATCACTTGAAGTCAGGAGTTCAAGACCAGCCTGGCCAACATGGTGAAACCCCATCTCTACTAAAAATACAAAACTTAGCCATCATCTGGGTTGCTATATAAGCAAGTGGGTGGCCTTGCCTGCCCTCATTCTCATTGAGCTTCCCCAGGTTAATGGCCAAGTTTTTCTCTCTCTCGATGATGTACCCGGGTTTCATGTCTTCTCTGCCACACAGATGTGCAAATTTCTCCCATAGTATTCTACAACTAAAACCTCACAAAAGGCCAGGGCCTCCTTCTCTGACACCTTCATGCTTCTGTTCTGCCATCCAGGAGTAATTTGCAAAGTGAATTTTCAGATTAACTTATCAATGGCTCTTCTAGCTTTAACCTAAGCCTAACAGAAGACCACAGAGCAGCCCCACCAGCCCCTCTGGCTCCGCTTGGAATGCTGACCAAAGCATTTCCTCAAACAGTTGGTTATGTGTGTTCAAATGCGGCAGCACCCTCGTGTCTGCTGCTGTGGTACTCTGGAACCACCTCCTTCCTGACAGAGCAGAGCCGGGAGGCTTTGCAAGGTGGTCATTGCCTTTAAACCCAGACCTGGACTCATGGCTTGATTCCTGCTCCAGCAAAGGCACAGACTCTGGTATTAGGGGTCCTGGCAATCCAGCACCTGGGATTGCCCATTCCCATGAAGCAGGCCTCTGGGAAATGTACCTTATTTCAGGTAGAAGGCAGGAGGCACTGTACCCACTTGATGGGATCGCACTAGGCCTTGATGGCCTTGGTTCTTTCAGAAGCCAACATGTGGGCTGAATCTGAGCCAACGGCCTCTTCCTTGGATCTCCCGGCCTCTGAACCTGAAGATGCCCTTTTCTTAGGATGGGAGCAAGGATGGATAAAGGCAAGCTGGTGTTTTGTCCAGGCCCAGAGATCTGTCAAGGGCCATCTAGACCACCAGGAACCAGAAGAGGCACCCTATTGCCTTGGATTCTTTAGAAACTTTGTTCCAAATAAAAATAAAGCTTCCTTGACTTGGCAACACCACAGCCCAATAAATAAATAAATAAGCAAAAAAAGAAAAGAAAATTAACACCCAGTTCCCAGTGTGCCTCTCTCATTCAGTTCCTCCTACTTCTCCATCATCTCCCCTTCCCTTCCTAGTTTTCTTCTAGGAAGAGGTCATCAGGGTCTATTAGGAACCTGTAGGAATACATATAGGAATATAGGAATATATGTAGGAACTGGTTTGGGAAAGTCAGAAGGAAAAGATGGCCTCCATGGTGCCTGCCTAAATCATTCACCCATTCTAGAAAAGCTTGTTGAGTGCTTCCTATGTGTTAGGTACTGTGCTGGGCACTGGGGCTCTGGGGTGTGTCCTCCAAGGCCACCTCCTCCAGGAAGGCTTCCCTGACCTCTCCTGGAAGCTATATTCTCCTCTGGTCTATGACAGCACTGTGTGGCTATCCCAATCTGCCAAGCAGTGGTTTCTGTTTCTCATTTGCAAAGCCTGAGGGCAGATAGCTTTCTTTTGTAACACAGGTACAGAGAAAGTTCTCAATACCTGGTGGATCTCTTCTTTTGAAAGCAAGGACTCTAGGAATCAAGCCTCACTTTTCACATGGCCTACTACACACCCAGCACAATGTAGATACGCTAGCTCTTGAACCATCTCAGGTCTGTGAGAAAGGAATTACTTGTCCATTTTACAGATGAGGAAATGGAGCCTTAGACAAGCAAAGTGACTCGCTCTAGGTCACACAGTCAGAAGGCAGAGTCAGGATTAAACACTGGGTCTCCTCTGCCCAAAATGGGATGTTTGGCTCTTCCTTAGAGAGAGCTTATTCCTATGCTTCTCTAATCTTAGCAAAGACAGAACAAGGGTATTAGGAGATGTTTTTTGATAGGGCAGTGCTCTTGATCATTCTAGATCCCAGCTCTTCCTCAGGGCCAGCACAGCCAACAAGAACAACAGCAGCCGAGACGCAGCCCCTCTCCGAGGAACTGGAAGTCCTTCTCACGGCATCCCCTGGGGTAGACAGGAAGCAGCTGCGACTGTGATCATCTAAGACCAGCAGGAGAGAGTGTTCTTCCCTGCTGGGATGGAGCACCCCAGCTCAGGTCCCCGCCTCCTGTTCATCTCCACTCTGGGAATCCCAGTTCTCCAAAGCCATGGAAATAGGCCCAATAACCTTGGGCTGGGCTGCTGGGCAAAGTCTGGTGTAAAGCATGCTACAGAAAGCTACAGCAGGATTGAGATAGGGGTTCAGGGACAGGGCCTTGTGGGGAGTGAAGAGCAGACTGCCATGCTAACTGCCTGTGTAGGAATGAGTTCCTTCACCATTCAGGCCTCAGTCTCTCCATCTCAATAGTAAAGGCTGGGCTAACTTGCCAGCCTGAGCCCTGCTTTCTGCCCCATGAGTTCAAGTTCACGTTGCCTATTGAAAGCAGTCACACAGTAGGAAGTTAGGGGCCTTCCTGGCATCCCAGGGCTGGAAGCAGCCATCACATCCCCCTGATCACAGTGATTGGCTGGAGGGTGAGCATGTGAGCTGACAAGAACCAATGAGATGCAAGAAGACATTACTGGGCATCCTGGGAAAGCCATCCTTAACTGCAGCCTTGAGTTCCAGAGGGTGAAAGCAGAATCCCTCTTAAGATGATGAAGAAGAACTTGTCTAAGGATGGAATCAATGTGAGACAGAGCACAGCTAAGAGCCAGAAAGAAACTAGGTCCTGAGGCTATCTTCTCAGATCCTGATCAAGCCATGCCTGATATCCCCAGCCTTTTCTGTTTTGAGAACCAATGAATACCCCTTTTTTCTTAAGCTGGCTTGTACGAGCTTTTTTGGCACTTGCAATAAAGAGTTCCAACTGGTGCAAACAGCCTATCCTTTATAATGCTGCCTGTGGGGACTTTCTTGGCACCAAGTCTTCTCTCACCTCTCTACTGTGCTGCTTACCTAACCCTAACCCTAACCCTAACCCTGAGAGTTTAAGCTGGGAACTCAGATCTAGAGTTGATGAGCTTACCCTAAGTTATTCCCTAACTTAGAATATCACCATGCCCTTTTCCTCAGAACCTGTTCCTCTTTCTGCATTCCCTGCTACCATTGGTGGGCCCAGCATCTGGCCAGAAACCCCAGCCCAAACACAGAACCTTCTCCCACCTCTCCAGGATGCCTGTCCCCACTTCTTTTTACTAATACACACATCTAAACTGTTAGGGCTCCAGAGGAGTGACTCGGTTTGACCAACCTCCATGTTCCTGCCTAGACGATAGACTGGTACACACCAAGATATGTTTGTTGAGTCAAATTTCAACCTTCAAATGATTTTCAAACATCATTACTTCCTGGGGGCGACCACTCCACCTACCTATCCCTCAGCTCAGAGCTGGATAGGCTCTCACTCTCAACCCTCCCCAGAAGAGCAGACCCCAAGACCGGGACAATGATTGGCTGTGTGAACAGGCTCGCAGCCCTGTGCTTGGAACCCCAGCACCAGAGTTTAGGGTGGAGACTCCCATGTGCAGGACAGGAAGGAAGCTCACACCTTGCCGACTGAGGCCAGCAGCAGGGTGGGAGCAGCTGTGGATCTTGGCCAGGGTCTTTTTTTCACCAATAGACTCTGAGCTGAACTGCAGGATGGTGGGTGTGTACACAAGAAGACACGTGATAAAGTAAAAGTGAGCAGTCCCTTGGTTATCCAGATGTATGCAAACAGCTGCATTAGCTGAGTCTTTAGACCCAAGTTGAGAACAGGTTATGGTGAACAGTGATATGCAATGGCAGGGGTGGGTGGAAGCCGGGAGGGTAGAGCCTGGGAATGGCTCTCCCAACAGCAAGCTTTGGTGATTAGAGGCCCATGTATTTCAAGGTCCTACTGCTTAAATGGGCATGTGCAACTGTGACTGCCTAATGATATGAGATTGGAAGTAACCATAGAGAATTTCTCCGCAGGGGAGTCATTTTTCCACCATGGAGAGGTGGGGATGGTCTGGGAGTAATTCTGAGGCATTAGCAGGAGAGAAACTGACATTTATTGTACCAGGTGCTCTACCTGACTCTTTACATCCTTTATCTTATCCAGTCCTTACAACAGCCCTGCATGGTACGATTATTCCCATCTTACAGGTGAGAAAATTGAAGCTCAGAAAGGTGAAGTAATTTGTTTCAGACATCACAATTACTAAGTAATGTTAACAGGGTTTGAGCTCAGGGGAGCCTGACTCCAAGCCCAGGGTTCTGCTCAGTATACCATAATGAAGGCTTCTAGGTCAATACAGAGCCAGGCGACAGCAGCAGCAACAACTTCAACCAAAAATGAAATGCTAACACAGGACCAGAAGAGGTTTTTCTGGCTAAGGCTTCACCAGTTTGTCATCGTGGAGAAGGTATCATCCCTAACAATCAGATTTACCTATGTTCTTTGTTAACCTGCAGTTTGTTATACATGCAATAGCTCTGCTTAAGTTAACTGGTAAATAGCATAGAGTTTATCCAACGGGTTAAGCTGAGTCATTCTCGTGAAGTATTTTCTTGTTTTTAGAAAAGACTGAGTAAAGAGAGCTCTGAGGGCAGGTTAAGGCCAGGGACTGCCTGGAGATGCCTCAGCAGTTTTGCTGGAGCTGTTCTGGGCTGTGAGTGGGCAGGCAGGTGAGCAGACCCCCTTCCTGGCCCAGGTTCCACAAGGAGCATAGGCACTGGGAAATCACTGGGTTTTGGCAGGGTTTTCTTGGATCACACTAGCAACATTACCAAGGCCTGAGTGGAGCTCCTGCACCCTGGGGAACATTTTCCCAGGGTAGCCCCCAGGCTCCTTAGGTCGGCTCAGACACCCCTCTTTCCTGTGCCCACAGTTGGTATTTCCTAGTTATAAAATGATTTTTTCATTAATGCTATGATAGAATGTAGAGGAATGTAGATATTTTTAATATGACAACATATGTTTATAGAACAGAAGTTTTTTTTTTCGTTTTTTTGTTTTTGTTTTTAAAGCACCTAATTTGGAGTCACCCTGGATCCCAGAAGCCCCAAAGTCCTGGGACATTGTTCTCGTGGCCTTTCATCTCTTTTCCTCTGATCTTCTGGATCCCCTACACAGGGCCCTTCCTCTAGGGTTGGCAGAGTTTGGGAAAAGCAAAGGCCTTCTAGGGCCCTGGGCTGGAATGCTGGCTGGGGTATGGCTGGCAGGCTTTGTGGTTGGGACTGGTTGGGAGCAGCAGCTCTGCTCTGCTCAGCCTGCAGGTCAGCACTGGAAGGCCCAAGTTGGGCAGGGGCCCCAGGACAGGAGGGAGGGAGCCGCTACTCAATGCTTTCCTGATATCCTCTTACTGCCTCAGTTACCTCCCAATTCCCTACTCATAAAAATCTAGCCATCCTGCAGCCCTATTCATTCTACATGTCCAGATGAGAAAAGCTGATAACCAGAAAATCGACTCCTGGGGTAGGTGGAGGGTGGTTCTCCTATGAAGTAATCCATCTTCCACACAGCTGGAATTCTAAAACATAGGTGTGGTCGCAGGCCTCCCTCAAGTCAAACATTTCAATGGCTTTCTGTGTGCTGACTCCCAAGTCTGGCTGCTTACTAAAAGCACCTGAGGTGCTTGATAAAATGAAGATTCCTACACCCTTCTCAGATAGACTGACTCAGAATATCTGGGAATAGGGCCTGGGAATCTGTATGGCTAAAAGCCCCTAAAGGGGAATCTGATCCAAAGACCAGAGCTGGAGAAGCCCTCGTCCACAGATGAAGTCCAGTTTCCTGGGCACTCATGCAAAACTTTCTGCTCTGAGACTGCCAAACCTCTCTGTTTTTTCTCCAGCCACTAACACCAAGGTATCCTGCACCCCAGCCTCACCTAATGCTCACTTTCCAGAATATTCCACGTGCTATCAAACCTCAGTGTCACTCCCTCTGCCTAGAAGGCCATCCCCCCATCTGTCTCCATGAAAGACCCTACTCATCCTTCAGGAGCCACCACATGATTCTCACCAGATTAAACCCTCTGCCCCATTTCCTTTTAGCATTTTAAATTGTTTAGTTGGAAACATAGACTTTAACCTTCTATTTGCCACTTTCTAGCTCTATGACTTTGGCTGTTGACTTTCAATGTCCTCACAAATTATTATGAAAAATATTCAAATTTGAAAAGTATGTAAATGTATGTAAATTAGATATACAGTGTCTAGCACAAAATAACTAACAGAATGGTAACTTTTATTATTATTATTCCTATATTATGATGGCATTCCTCTAACACAGAGTTCAACAAACTATGGCCTTTGGGCCAAATCTGACCAACTAATGGTTTTTGTAAATAAATTTTTATCAAAATACAGCACAACCATTCATTTGTATATTGTCTATGGCTGTTTTCATGCTATGAGGGCAATTGAGTAGTTGAGGCAGACACTCTGACTTATAAAGCCGAAATATGTACTAGCTGCCTTTTTTCAGAAAAGTTAGCCAACCCTGCTCTAACATAATTGCAATTATTTTTTTATAGTTTCGTCTCCCCTATTTGGCTGAGAGACACTCAAGGATCTTCATGGCAGACTCCTGTTCATCCTTTTAAACTAAGTCTTTCTCATCTTTGTATCTCTAACATTTGGTATATAATTAGGGCTTGGTATATGTTAAATTGAAGTGAATAATTCTTTAACCCAGTTTAAATGCACACATCTCCTGAAAGCCCTGATGGGAAGATGGGGTAAGTGCCAGCAGACCTGGCTCTGAGGCTGCCTCCCTCCTGGCTTCAGCATCCCACAGTCTCACTGCCTCCCACCACCCAAAACCCAGCACTCTGTGCTTTGCAGCTGTAATATTTCCCCTGATAGAGAGGGGAGGAAGAAGTCCTTCAAAGGTTAGTATATTCCCATTATCCAAGAGTGTACAAATGGATGGTCTAATGGTCCCCATGGTCCTTACAGGGGGCAATTTGGTGGACCCATTTTTAATAAATAAACTAATGGATTGGTATTTTTTCTCTGGAGATCTATATTTTGTTTAGTTTCAACTACCCATGAATTTGCATTCCTGACAAAAGCTCCTTTTGAGAAGAGAACTAGGATTTCCAAGCAGTGAGACCATTTCTTTGTGAGCTGTTTATGAAACTACTCTGTGACCTTGGGCCAGTCACCCGCCTCTCTGGGCCTAGCTTTCAGTTTCTGTATAACAACTTCCAGACTTGACTCCCTGGAGTTCTAGCCAGAGGGATGAACCAACTCATGGTGAGTGAAAACAGTGGCCTGGCAACAGGCAGCTTGACAGAGTGTCTTCCCTCTTCCATGCTGCAGTAGCACATTCCCTGTCCTCCCCAGCAAATACAGCGACTCATTTCTACTGCCTTTTCTTGAGGCTTAAGGAAGATACTTTAGCCCTAAAGTAGATCTTCAGAAGATAAGAAAATGCCATGGTGTGGAAAACTCTGTGCTGGATGAAGTGGAAACACTCAGCTCTCCCCCGAGGCCAGATGAAAAGCACATGGATGAAAGCCAAAGTCCATCCCTTCCTTGAGCCTTTGGGAGCAGCAGTCCACCCTCTCTTTCAGAAAGTAGTTCCCCCCCTTACCCTTCACCCTCCTTGCAGACACCCCCATGGGATAAAATACTGAGCCTGCAGGATCCTGGTTATCTGGGGGCAAATCGGTGTAACTGTGGATTGAACTGACTTTTATTGATTTCCCAGCAGGTGATTTATAACTGCCTGCTTCCTAAAAGGGCTTGTGGCCAGATGGCAATAAAAACACTCAGAGGCCAAGAGAGTTAAAAATAAATGCTGAAAAAGAGAGCAGAGGAAAGAGGGAGATAGACAGCTGCACTAACCGAGGTGGGATGACTGCTCAGTCTGGATCACAGGGATGGGAATCTTGCTTTTCAGTTCCTACTGACATAACCAATTGAGATCAGCAGCACCTTGTTTTTGGCTTTTGCAAGAATTGCAGAGCAAGGAGTAGCTACATCTTGAGCTTCCAAAACTAACCCTTAGTCCAACAGAGAACAAAATTGAGTGAGATTTTGCATTTTAGAACTTTATAAAGCTCACTTCACAGAGGGACTCCTCATACAACTATGTCACCGTACTGTTTACACAACAGGATCTGGAAGTACTTTAAAGCCGGCAGTGTAAATCAAATTCTAGGTGTTATGTACATGTCTGAGTCTAATGGCTGGTCATCCACCCTCCTTGACTTGGCTTTAGAGTAGTCCTTAACTAAAACGAGTTCTAGGGTCATGCAAAACCATGCACAAGGATCCTTTAGCTTAGTGAAAATAGGCAGTGCTTTCTAATTCTGGCCATAGGTCACTGTCATTTGGTGGTCACGGTGAATTGGTTATTTAACAAATTCTGTTTTCACTAGTTGCAACTAACCAGAAATCAGATCTCTCAAAGGAAAACCAAGAAGGCTATTGCTATGGGCTTAATTGTGCCCCCCAATACTCCTCCTAGTTCTTATGTCAAAATCCTAACCCCCAGTACATAATAATGTGACTGTATTTGGAGACAGGGCCTTTAAAGAGGTGATTAAGTTTAAATGAGGCCATTAGAATAGACCCTAATCCAATCTGACTGGTGTCCTTATAAGAAGAGGAAATTTGGATGTAGAGGCACCAAGGATGTGCCTATACAGAAGAAAGACCATATGAGGACACAGAGAGAAGGTGGCCATCTATAAGCAAGGAGAGAGGCCGCAGAAGAAACCAGACCTGCTGATACCTTGATCTGGGACTTCCTTAGAACTGTTAGAAAATAAATTTCCATTGTTTAAGCCACCTGGCTTGTGATATTTTAATACAGTAGCTCTGACAATCTAATATAGCTATTGATAGAATCTCTCAGCCATATCAGATTTAAATTCAAGTCTGTTTCAAACATTTAATCTTTGAAATAGGGATCAATACATTTTGGAGAATAATTGCTTTAGTATTTTTCCAGGCTAACCACAAAACTCCTTTCAGAACCTTTCTAATGAAATAAAAATTCTCTAGACTAGGTCCCAAGAATTCTACCTTTGAAGAAGTAAAATTATCTCTATTTGCAGGTGATATGATCTTATATATGCAAAATCCTGAGGAATCCACTAAAAAACTATTAGGACTAATAAATGAGCTCAGCAAGGCTGCAGGATATATGATTGATATAGTACAATCAATTATATTTCTATACATTAGCAATGAACAATCAAAAAATGAAATTAATAAAGCAATTCTATTCACAATAGCATCAAAAGCATAAATACTTAGGAATACACCCAACGGCTGGCCGGGTGTGGTAGCTCACACCTGTAATACCACAACTTTGGGAGGCTGAGGTGGGTGGATCACCTGAGGCCAGGAGTTTGAGACCAGCTTGGCCATGATGGCAAAACCTCATCTAAACTAAAAATACAAAAATTAGCAGGGCATGGTGGCGCGCACCTGTAGTCCCAGCTACTCAGGAGGCTGAGGCATGAGAATCGCTTGAACCCAGGAGGTGGAGGTTTCAGTGAGCCAAGATCACACCACTGCACTCCAGCCTGGGTGACAGGGTGAGACTCTGTCTTAAAAACAACAACAACAAACACAACAACAACAACAACAACAAAAACCAGAAATATACTTAACAAAATAAATGTAAAACTTTTACTCTGAGAGATATGAAATATATTTGAAAGAAATTAAAGCCCTAAATTGTTGGAATGCCATCTCATTCCAATTTCATATGGAAACACAAGGAAGCAACAATAATCAAAACAAACTAAAAAGAAGAAAAAAATTATCTACACATCCCAATTGCAAAACTTACTATAAAACTATCGTAATATAGTATGATACTATACACTATACAAGAAGAGACATACACATCAATGCAACAGACTTGAGAGTTCATACATAAGCCCTTACATTTATAGTTAATTGATTTCAACAAGGATGCCAAGACAATTCGATGGGGAAAGAAGTCTTTTCAACAAATGGTTCTGGAACAACGGGATAACCACATGTAAAAGAATAAAGTTGGACCTCTTCCTATACCATACACAAAAATTAACTCAAAACATCTAAATGGGAGAGCTATAACTATAGAATTCTTAGGTGAAAGCATGTGAGTAAATCTTGGTGTCCTTGGTTTAGACAATGCCTTCTTAGATACAACACCATAAATGCAGGCAACAAAAGAAAAAGTAAATAAATTGGACTTCATCGCGATACAAAAAATTCTGTATTGAAAGTGATGCTATCAAGGAAGTAAAATGACAACCCACAGAATAGAAAAAAATTTGCAAATAGCATATCTAATAAAGGACTTGAATAAAGAACTCTTATAATGATAAAAAGACAAGTAATACAATTTTTAAATGGGCAAAATATTTGAATACACATGTCTCCAAAGAATATATGCCAATGACCAATAAGCACATGAACAGATGTTCAACGTCATCAACTATCAGGGAAATACAAATTAAAACAGCAATAAGGTACCACTTTACACCCATGAGGGTGGTTAAAATAAAAAAGACAACAGCAAGTGTCGACTAGGATGTGAAGAAACTAGAACCCTTATATATTGCTGGTAGAAATGTAAAATGGCGTAACCGCTTTGGAAAACAGCTTAGCAGTTCCTCAAAAGGTTGAACATAGGATTACTGCATGATCTACCAATTCTTCTAGATATGTACCCAAGAGAAATGAAAATGTATATCCACATAAAAACATGTACACAATGTTCATAGCAGCACTATTTATAATAGCCAAAACATGGAAATAAACTAAATGTCCATAAGGTAATTAATGGATGAATAAAATGTGGTATATTCATACAATAGAATCTATTCGGTCATAAAAAGGAATGAAGAGCCAGGCGCGGTGGCTCACACTTGTAATCCCAGCACTTTGGGAGGCTGAGACGGGCGAATCACTTGAGGTCAGGAGTTTGAGACAAGCCTGGCCAACATGGTAAAATCCCGTCTCTACTAAAAATACAAAAATTAGCTGGGCTTGGTGCCGTGCGCCTGTAATTCCAGCTACTCAGGAGGCTGAGGCATGAGAATTGCTTTAACCCAGGAGGCGAAGGTTGCAGTGAGCTGAGATCATGCCACTTGCACTCCAGCCTGGGTGACGGAGTGAAACTTTGTCTCAAAAAAAAGGAATGAAGTAATGATATAAGTTTTAAGTTTCATGCTAAAGTATGAAACTTAAAATGAATGAAAGGATGAACTTGAAAATATTATGGTAAGTGAAAGAAGCCAGTCACAAAAAACCATACGTATTATTTTATTTATATAAAATGCCCATAATAGAGAAAGCTATAGAGATGGAAGGTAAATTAATGGTTGCTTAGGGCTGAGAGGATGGGGAAATGGGACGTGGCTGTTAATAAGTGTGGGGTTTCTTTTTGGATGATAAAAATATTCTGGAATTAGTTAGCCATGATGGCTGCACAACTCTCTGAATATACTAAAATCCACTGAATTGTACACTTTAAGTAGGTGAGTCATATGGCGTGTGGATTATATTTTAACAAAGCTGTTTAAAATTTTTTCTAACTTCCATTAAAAAAAAAAGAGAAGGAAGCTAGCTTTGGTCCTTAGTGCCTTGTGACCTCTCTGGGCATAGCTTCCTCAAACATAAACATTAGAAATTAAGCTCGATGATTTATAACGTGCCTTCCATCTCTGAAATTGCTGAGGATACATAATGTAAGAAAACAGGTTGAGGGAAAGAGATAGATTATGTGTCTAGGATGGGCTCGTGTGAGGAGAAATGAAGGAGGAGGCAACAATAAGAAGACTAAGAGAAATAGAGATGAAGGGACAGGGACACGGGCTCAGAGAGACAGACAGAGACATGGAGACAAGACTACACCCCAAAAGAAAGACAGACTCACTGGGATGAATGTGCAGATTACTCATCTGTTCTTCCATTTAACAAATATTTACAGAGCGCCTACCAAGTGCCAAGCTCTGTGCAGTAGTAAACCAGGTAGACCAGGGCACTGAGCTCAGAGGTAAGAGACATAGCAGTAAGCAGGCAATTTGCAAGCAAGCACAGAGAGCGAGAGCTGGGATGCAGTAATTCAAGATGCTCCAGAAGTGCACAGATGCAACATACACCCCACACCACACTCCACATGCACAAATGTCCCAAAGGTAGACTCATTTTTGTAGGGAGCGCCATTCCTCATCTGAGGCATTTAGAGTTCTGCTAGCAAAGACATTCAAATAAACGGGTTTTTACAAGTATGGGCACAAATGGGGGTGACACCTTTCAGTTCTCACCCTGAAGTCTCTATAAAATGAGGCTGAAGGACAGGATTCATCCCTCACTCCAGAGCTTCCCAGTACTCTTTCCCCCTCATCGGGAGGGACTGGCTTTGGAAACAGAGAGGAATGTGACCTATTACAGCCACACCAGCACCACTCCTCTGGGCTTTCAGCTGGAAACTTCCCAGAACACATTTTGTTCCACCCTCCTTCCATCCCATCCAGACCTGGCGACCTGGCCCAATGAAGGCATCACATGTTGCCCCTTCCCCTGTCTTGTGGCTTCTCTGCTGCTGACAGGCACATGAAAGGGAATTGAAGCTCAACAGAAAAGTGACTGCTTCCTGCACGGTGTCGGCTCCCTGCCTGACTCAGATTCAGCCAACTCTGAGGAGGGAAGGCAAGGGACGTTTCTGGATATCTCTTGCCCGGGTCCCTCTTCTCCTAACTCCAGATTTAGCGAGAGTCCAAGCTACACAATATTCCTGAAATAGCCCCAAGTCACATCCTAAGATGGGGGTTCATCCCCTCATATGAAGGATTCTCTTTGGAGAAGATGTTGGGGGCTTTGGACGCCGTGCACTGGCACACGAATAGGAAACGCAGAGTGACCCGGAGCAGGAAGGAATGGGCACCGCCCTGCAGATTCTGGGCAGGCTGCACCAGTGCTGGGCTGGGAAACAGCCCCTGGGCTCCCTGAAGATCTCCCTGGCTGTGCACCATTTGGAGCAGCAGTGAATTAATGTGATTCAGGCTCCAAAAATAGTAGCCAGAGCATCTAAAATTGCTTTCCACCCTGGACTGGGCCAGTCCCCTGGGAATGTCAGCATTTCTAAAATGTCCCCATTCACCCAGAGTGCCTTTGTCAGACCCCAAGTAGAATCTGGGCCACCGTTAAGCTCTCCTGGTTCCGTTGGCTCCTGCCCGGTTCCCCTCTCCTGTGTGTCACGTGCACTGCCTCCCAAACAGGAAATGCTAATTCATGCCTGCCACTTGCTGTTACCAGGTCCAAGAACTTTAACCCTGCAAATGGCTTGGAAGGGCAGAAATGGTCCCTTGCAGAAGTGGCCTGGGTGGCTCTCTATCACTGAGTTGGGATTTAATTCCTAACAATGACGACTGGGGAAGCAGGTCACCTGAGGAACCCTGAGCCTCTGGTCTGCTGCTGATGCCAAAGGGAGTCATTTCCACAGTGGCTTGTCTTTCTCTGACAAAATTATTTGGGGATCTCAGGGAATTTCATCATCATGAAGACTTGTCACTCTAGGCCTACCTCAGTGCTTTTGCACATCCTGTACTCTACGCAGGAAACACCATTTACGCCCTCTTCCCTGACTGACAAATGCCCCTTCATCCTCTTATTCAGCGCCTTCCTAAGAGTGCTGCGGTCTTTACTAAGTTTGTCTGCAATGAATGCTCTGGAATGGCCACCTTTGCCCAGGTTACACTCCCATGCCTAGAGATTCACACCCTGCATTCTCCTACCCACTGATCGACCACGACTCTCAGCTGCCTTATTCATGGACAGGAGTGAGGCAAGGAACAAGCCTCTCCCCTGCCTCATGGAGGCTGGCCTCCCATCTAACAATTAAATGGCCAGAGTCTGTAACCACTGCATGGGGTTCCTGATTTAAATGCAGTTTGGGAATCTCTCTGCCTAGAGAATCGTGATTTGATCTTTGTGATCATGTCCTTTAGTTCTCAGGTTCTTAGCTGTGATGCTCGTACTGCCTCTTAGTGGCTTCGCTTTGCCTCCCTAAGAGATTCCAGAAGCGCAGGACACAGAAAGTGATGGAGGAGTGAGGAGGGAGAATGAGTTAGTCTACACCTTGGTTTCTCCCTGTGCGGTGGGAGCTAACGGTTTCTCCGTCAGAATGGTTGAGAGGATGGCATGAGATGCGTACATGACTCAGCACAGTCAGTGCTTTGGGGGGCAGCTGCATTTTCGCCCATGCGGTCCCCAGTCCCCCTTCTTCTGGCGACAGCAGCACATCCATCATACTTGTGCTTGGGATGGGGGTGGTTGACCCCACTGTGGGATTGGAGCTATGACACTGGACTGGCCCCACAGAATATCCCATGCTCCCAGCTCTGGGTTGTAATTGAGGAATGAGCACGTGACTCAGACCAGGCCAATACATTCAGTTCGGTGACTTCTGTTGGAACTGTTGGGGGAGTTCCTGCTGCAAGCGTTGCTGAAAGGAGAGGCTGGGAACTGCAGGTGCCACAGTGCCACCACACAGGAGAGGTCACCTGAGAATACATCTAATGCCAAGGACAGCTGAGAGACAAGGGGATGAGACCGTGGATCCAGCCATGTCCGAGATTGCCCTAGAACTCTCAATGATATGATCCAGAACATTCTGCTAATTTGCTAATCTAATTTGAATCCGTTTCTATTCTAGGCAAACCAGAATCCTGGCAAATGCCAAGCTCAATATGTTTGGAGGTTCACCCTTCCCACGGCCATTGCTCTGGGGCGAGCGGTGTTCCTTGGCCTCTGCAGAGACGATGCCACAGCTCATCTCCCTGTCCTCAGTCTCTCGTTCTTCAGTCTTTTACTGCACTGACTGTTCTCAAACACAGGCTTAGAAGATGCCTTGACTCCCCACTGCCTGGAGATCATGTCCCAACTTCCTCAGATCCACCTGCAAAGCTCTACATCTGACTCTAATTTCCTTTGTGCGTCTCTCCCATGACCTTCCCCTCTGGGTCCATGCATACTCTGTGCCCCACCCATATTAACCTCTTCCCCACTCTGAAACGCTCCCTCCACTCTCCCAACCCTGTACTTTTCCTGGGAAGTTCCTCACTTCTTTCTTACCTACCTGCCAGATCCACAACTACCTTCTCTTCTGAGAAGTCTTCATGGATGGCCCCAGACTGAGTCAATGTCTCCTTCTCCTGAATCAATGTCTCCCTTGTACATACTGTAGTACCTCTTGGTGTTTATGACTTGAGAGTAATTTATACATTTTTTTTGAGAGCAGGGAGCATGTCTTACTCCTTTCAGGATCCCCTGGGATCCTTACACAAGATTTGCTCACTCTAGACCCTCCCTGAATTTGCTGACACAAGACCTTGGCTTCCAGCTGACAAACTCTGACTACCCCGTCCCCTCCCCTCAACCATACTCTAGGAGAGGGGTGCCTAAACTTTGGGTCACATTTCCTCTTCACCAGTAAACTTCTTTTTTAAAAAATTATGATAAAATATGTGTGACATATGATGTATCATTTTAACCATTTTGAAGTGTACAATTCAGTGGCATTAAGCACATTCACAATGCTGTGCACCTATCACCCCTACCTAGTTCCAGAACTTTTTCATCATCCCAAATGGAAACTCTGTACCCAGTAAGCAGTCACTCCCTGTTCCTCCTTTCTGGCAGGCCCTGCCAACCACGAATCTGCTTTCTGTCCCTGTGGCTTTAACCGGTTCTGGATAGTTATATGAATGCAACCATACAATATGTGACATTTTCGGTCTAGCTTCTTTCACTTAGATAATGTTTTTGAGGTTTATCCACATGGTAGCATGTATCCATACTTCATTCCTTTTTATGGCTGAATAATATTCCATCATTATCTATCTCTCTATCTGTCTATCTATCTATCTATCTATCATCTATCTGTCTATCCATCCCACATTTTGTTTATTCATTCATCAGGTGATAGACATTCGTGTTGTTTCCTCCTTTTGGCTATTGTGAATAGTGCTGTTACACTGTGATACAACTTCTGTTTGAACACCTGTTTTCAATTCTTTTGCATATAGACCTAGGACTGGAATTAATGGGTCATATGGAAATTTTACATTTACTGGGAAGCTGCTTATCCTTGCTTTCTCCAAGCCTCAACAACATGCTGGGTCTATTTAACTGCTTTCACGCTGAGAGAGCCCAAGGTTCTTAGAAGGGAGCGATTTCATCTTGTCGTCTCCTGATGGCAATCCCTAAAGGATGTTCCTAGTTTTTAATACTGCCCTCTTGCTGTTTAGAGCTTTCCTTTGTCTAAGCTATTTCAGACATATTATTTAATTTATTCCTCACAGAAATACTGTAAGGAGGAAACGATTACGTCTGCTTTTTGATGTGGAGGCTGACAGATTCAGAGGATGAAGTGATGCGGCAAGGTCACACAGCCATTAGGAGCCCAGCTGAGACTGACCCCAGCCCAGTGCCCTTTCCACGCCACCACAGCGGCCCTCTCTCAATTTGCCTCTCTTTTCAAAGTCTTTGTAAAATAGCCACCATCTGAAATGTATTCTCAGACCCACCATTGTTTAGAAATGCCCTCTTGGTAGGCAACTGGTTGATGCTGGCATGGACCTCTGCAAACACTCTACCAGTTGGCACCTCATTTGTAATCGAAGCTTTTTCCTGGGGCAGATTCTGCCTGTACCAAACAGACCAATGTTTACCTTTTCTGGGTCTTCTGTCACCTTCTGCAATCCTGGGTTAATGTTCCCTTTTGATGCTGCTATGAGTCTAAATCTGAGTGTGTCCCACAAGCTCAACCTCAGCTCTCTAAATTTCCTCCCTGTTCTTTTGTTCAACCCAAGGTCAACCCAAGAGCTTCCCCTTCCCTTTCTCAGGAAGAAACTATCCCTTGGACCAAGGGGTCCCCTGACCTCTTTGGAGTAGAAAAGAGGCACAATGCCCTTCAGCCTGACATGGTGAAGTTGTGTCTATACTGCTCCTTGGAAGCTTCCAATCTTAGTGTCCTAGTTCTACATGAGACCAGGAGACTGTAGAAATAAGCAAAACAGGCAATGATAACAATAACAACATTCTCTATCCATCAGAAGCATAGAGCTTTTTAAAAGCATACGATTCAGTGGCATTAGGTACATTCGCAATGTTGTGCACCTACCACCCTTATCTAGTTCCAGAACACTTTCATCATCCCAAATGGAAACTCTGTACCAATGAAGCAGTCACTCCCTGTTCCCCTTCCCCCCAGGCCCTGGCAACCACAGATCTGGTGCCTGGTGCTTTAGGCATATTTACTCACTCAATCCCCCAACTGCCCTATGAGGTGGATGCCACTTTGCAGATAAGGAAACTGAAGTTCAATGTGATGCTGTGACCTCCAGAGTCACAGAGCTAATGGGTGGCCAAACAGGGATTGAAGCCGTCAGAGCCCATGGCTTCCCCATTCCAGCCCACTGTCTGCCTCTCAGGCAGAAGGTTTGTGAGCTGACCTTGCTCACTGAGAGCTTTCCTTAGCAGTTCTGCAAGCAGCAAGGACTCTCTAGATGCCACGTGATCCATCCTGTGTCCACCCAAGTAGGAATACCACTAACCACTTATCCCAAAGTTGTATAGAGTTCTGTACAACTCCAGATCTGGGTGATGTTGTCAGGAGCTCTGAAAAGAAAGCTTATGTGTTTCACTCTATTTGGGAATATCAGCGGGAGATAGGTTTCTGTCTTGCAGGACATCTCAGAGCCTTTAAAAGTAAATGTGCAGTATAAATCTGCAAGAAGGGGTGAAAGGATATAATGTTTCCCAAATTTATTTGACCATGAAACGTTTTTCCAAGGAGTATCTCAAAGTGTCCTCTTTAAAACTCCACTCTGGGCCAGGCACAGTGGCTCGCACCTCTAATCCCAACACTTTGGGAGGCTCAGGCAGGTAGATCACCTGAGGTCAGGGGTTTGAGACTGGCCTGGCCAACATGGTGAAACCTGTCTCTACTAAAAATACAAAAATTGGCCAGGCATGGTGGCGCATGCCTGTAATCCCAGCTACTTGGGAGGCTGAAGTAGGAGAATCGCTTGAACCCAGGAGGTGGAGGTTGCAGTGAGCAGAGATTACACCACTACACTCCAGTCTGGGCAACAAGAATGAAACTGAGGAAAGAAAGAAAGAAAAAGAGAGAGAGAGAGAGAGGGAGGGAGGGAGGGAGGGGGGAAGGAAGGAAGGAAGGAAGGAAAGAAAGAAAGAAAGAAAGAAAGAAGGAAGGAAGGAAGGAAGGAAGGAAGGAAGGAAGGAAAGAAAGGGAAAGAAAGAAAGAGAGGGAAGGAAGGAAAGAAAGGGAAAGAGAAAGAAGGAAGGAAGGAAGGAGAGGAAGGGAGGGAGAAAGAGAGAGAAAGGGAAAAAGAAAGGAAGAAAGGAAGGAAGGAAGGGGAAGGGGAAGGGGAAGGGGAAGGGGAAGGGAAATCTCCATTCAGAAATGCCCTAAACCCTCTTAGGTTAGAGGGTGTCCAGAGGTGAGAGAGGACAGTAATTATGTCCATTGGCCCTGGAGCTGGGCTGCCCGGGTTCATATCCCAGCCCTGCCATGTGACCTTGGGCAAGCTGTTTCATCTTTCTATGCCTCAGTTTCCTCACTTGTAAAACATGGATAATAACAATCTTGTGAATTATGTAATATAAACTTCTTAGAACAATGCCTTTTGTGACATAGGGCTCACAAACATTCTAATAAGGTCCTTGGGGCCGGGCGGGTTAGAGGGGGCAGTGAGAGGGATTATGTTACCTATAATGCATAAAACTGTAAAACTCCAGATAATTCATGAAAGATTACACAGATAGCATGGTTTCATTGTCCTCAGGGAGGGTCAGTGAGTTCCAGTGGGAGGAGAAAGTGCTATGCAGATGGTAGTTAGCTGCTTGATCCATCTTCCTGGGTCTTTTCAAGTTCACCAGGTCTCCTCTACTTAGGGAGTGCCCGACACCTCCTGGAGGCCCCTCAAATTCTGGTGCCTATGAGTTTCACCACTTCCAAGGAACAGAAATCTTGTCCTTTTGTCACCACCCACTACTCCTGTAGGGCATACTCATCTGCCCCCAGAGCTGGAGTGCTGGGAGAAGCTGGCCCTGTAGTGTGAGGGCAGAGTGGCCAGGCTCT
This sequence comes from Homo sapiens, assembly GCF_000001405.40. Lineage (NCBI taxonomy): Eukaryota > Metazoa > Chordata > Mammalia > Primates > Hominidae > Homo > Homo sapiens. Next base: position 10,681,266 of record NC_000011.10, read on the forward strand.
AGCGGCTGCCTGGACCATCATTTCCAATCTGAGCAGTAAATGTCTAACGCATGAGTCAAGTGCCTTGTTAATAAAAAAGAGAATAAATAGGCATTCCCTTTAGCAGTAAATGTTTTTTTTAAAAATACAACCTTCCATTAACTTTGGACCTGATGCCCATTCTAACTGTCACCAAAGGACTTGAATGGGATTGTAGAAAATAAACAATAACAGCTGACTCTTCAAACACACCTGCAGTCCTCCTCCTTGTCACTGACAGTGCCCAGCTGTCAATTATTGCTCTGAGATGGGCTCTATCATGCAACTATTGGGATGAATCACTGGGCCCTGTAGGGTGAATGGTTCACAGATGAGGAAAATGAGGACTTGGAAAGAAGATTTGATTTGCTCAAGAGCACAACATGAGTTGAAGGCAGAACCAGGCCTACAACTCAGGACCACTGCTTATACGGTCTCTTCATTTCAGCTTAGGAAGTGGCACCAGGGACGGATGCTGGAAGACCTTGACTGCCCTTAAACCTGAGAGGTTTCATTCATGCATGCATTTGTTCATTCATTTAATGTATCTACCAAATACCTGCTACAAACTGCCATGGTGCTAGCTTCCCTTAATACCTTTCTATAAAACCATAATGATCTAACCCTTTTTGAAATCTTATTGTCCCAGCTCTACTCTCTCCCGGCCTGAAAAACTCCAAGTATGAGTTTCTATCTGTTGATGGGCTGCATGCACTTTGCACCAAGGGCAATATGGCCTTGGCTCTGCCACTTTCTAGCTGTGTAATCCTGAGTGAACTACTCAGCCTCACAAAGTCTCCATTTTCTCATCAGTAACATAGAGATAATATTATAACCTGTATCACAGGATGCTGCAAAAATATGAGATAATGTATGTAAAGAACTTAACATAGTATTTAGCTGGTGCTCAATAAATGACAGTAATTTACAGACAGAAATGACAGAAAGTTACAGTAATAAGCACATTATTATTACTCTTGTCATGTGAAACAAGTCTCTGGAGATTCAGCAAATGGAATCTTCCCCTCTGGGACTCTAAAAAGTCAGGCTCTCTTTGTTCATGTGCCTAAGCAACTTTTGTGCTTTATAAACTATAGGAATCGTGATATAGGGACAACTTGCCAAATGTTTTCAGGTCTAATGCAACAGATCCTTGATGTCTATAACCAACCGTATCTTTTTTTCCTTTCTGGGACCAGCTGGCCTGAGAAATAGTCTTCCTCTAAGTCTGATAAGGTCTGTGAACCCCAGACCTGTTAGGAATGTTGGCTATACATGGAGATAACTGCAAGGAAATGGGGCTGCCCTCCAATGTATTAACAAGGTTTAAAAAAACCCATAAACAATGGACATGGTTAGTTATCTATGGAAGTAACCCAAGAAATTCTCTGTATATGGGGTTGCAGAGTTGAGAGGCTTAACAGACATCTCTAGAAGGCAGGACAGAAAGACAACTATAAATAAGTGGGTGATGACATTCTTTGAAGACACTTTTACTTTAAGCAATTTTCCCTTCTTTAGTAAGAACCCCTATATATGAGGGATGGCTTCCCCATGACCACATTTATACCCCACAATCCTGTCCCCTGGCCATGACTGATTGACCCTGATCCAAGCTGGACTTATCAGATTATTTCTTTCAAGAACTTAGAGACCAGGAGCTTCTGGAACCTAGTCATACTGGGCCTGTGGCCTGGGCAGTGATCTTCAGAGTAGAGTATGTCATCCAGGGAATGCAGGATGACTTGGTGGAGTATAGGAAGGAAATTTAAAATAAAAACCTTCAATTTTTAATTAAAAATAGTAACAAAGTACACTTCCTTAATATTTAATAAACAGATTGGCAGTGGTGCTGGTTCATGTATTGAAAGGCCAGTTATATCCAGTTTGTGAGCTGTTGTATGGGGAATTCTACAGTGTTACGGAACTGATGTAGCACCCTCATGTATCCATTTGTTTTTCCTGAAGGGTGACACAGTTTGTGTGTGCCCAAGTAAGTAGGTTAATAAAACATATTTATCTAGTTTTAACCAAACCTACTATCATAAAATGTGTATGCGGCTTAAAAGGTTTGTGCCAAAAAAAAAAAAAAAGTACAATGAAAATACTTCTACTAATAAAGCTAACAGTAATTCTCAAAAAAAAATTTTACAAAGTAGTGGATAAAACTGAAAATTTAATATAATAATTCAGGAAGTAAGGATGTCCCTCTTCCACATGAGGTATCTGAGCTGGTTTTCCTCTGCCCTCCTTCCCTTTCTCCCTGCCCTGCCCCCTGGTTCTCTGCTGTGTGCTTCAGGATGACACCTATGGAATGTATAACTTGGGCTCCTTTGCTTGCAGGCTGAGTTTGGCCAAGGGACCAGTAGGGGATGGGAGGAGAGAGAGGCCTGGGCCTTTCCTCCCTTGCTCCAGCACCACATCTCTGGCAGTGACTGTGACTCTCCTTAGCTACAGCTCATTCTGGATGGAACCTCTTCCCTGGCTCCAGAGCTCACTAGCTTCTGGTAATACGATTTTCTTCTCTTTCCCCTTGAAGAAGCACATAGAATCATGACCAAAGAATACTTATTTAGGGAAAGCAGGAAAATTGTTGACACTTTAAAAAAAAAAAAAAAAGCATGATTTTCAAAATATTATTTCATCTTTCTTGTTCTTTAAAAATTTCTATTTTTATGTTTTATAAAGTAACGCATTAGTACAATAGCTCATGAATATGATTTATAATAAAGAAATATACATAAATTGGAGGTGCATGCTAAAAAAATTTTCTCTAAACTAATAAGATGCAACATCCAAAAAACTTGAAGACCTCTCCTGTAGAGAAAAGGCTGGCAAACTATAAATCATGCTGCTATAAAGACACATGCATACGTATGTTTATTGCGGCACTATTCACAATAGCAAAGACTTGGAATCAACCCAAATGTCCAACAATGATAGACTGGATTAAGAAAATGTGGCACATATACACCATGGAATACTATGCAGCCTTAAAAAATGATGAGTTCATGTCCTTTGTAGGGACATGGATGAAACTGGAAATCATCATTCTCAGTAAACTATTGCAAGGACAAAAAACCAAACACTGCATCTTCTCACTCATAGATGGGAATTGAACAATGAGAACACATGGACACAGGAAGGGGAACATCACACTCTGGGGACTGTTGTGGGGTGGGGAGAGCGGGGAGGGAGAGCATTAGGAGATATACCTAATGCTAAATGACGAGTTAATGGGTGCAGCACACCAGCATGGCACATGTATACATATGTAACTAACCTGCATATTGTACACATGTACCCTAAAACTTAAAGTATAATAATAATAATAATAATAATAATAATAATAATAATAATAATAAAGAGAAAAGGCTGGCAAGTTCCTGCTGCTGGGATCTGAAAGCTGCCCTGGGTCCTGCCTTCCTGAGGCATTGCTGGCTACCTACCTTTTCCTTTGATTTTCTCAAATACCTTATAATAAATCCTACTTTCTCTTAAGTTAGCCAACATAGCCTTCTGAGATCTGGCAATCAAAGAACTTTAACCAATATATAGGTGGGATCTGCAATTTCTTGTGTGCTGGGACAGACTATGTGAATATCACATAATAACTACCATTTTATAGAGCATTTTTCTACAGCAAAGAGAAAGGCTTGTCCAAACTTCCCAGAGGAAAGAGGCCCTTCCTGAGCTCTGGAAGAGTCTCTCTGCTGT